>NC_000010.11:119745617-120370700 GCF_000001405.40 Homo sapiens | reverse complement strand
AAGGCTGGTGAAAAAAGTACAGAGATCAATTAGCAAAGTCTGAAATCAACAAAAAAGGTAGAATGTGCAGAAGTACTGCCTGGAAATAATCGCTGAGAACTCAAGATCTAAAATTCATGCAGAATATGAGCTGTGCCATGTACTTTAATGCCTTTATCTCATCTGCTCCAGAAACCCAGTTTAGGTACAATCCTTTATGGAGCAAAGAGATTGGGGTGGGAGGGAAGATGCTCATCTTCAGAAGAAACACTGTGTTGTCTCTAGTCACAGGGAGTTCTGAGACAGAAAACCCAGAGACTTGGCTGAGAGTGAGAAAGAGAGGACAAGGAAGAAGGAGAAGAAGGCAAGGAGAGGAAGCAAGGTTCTTGTAAGGGATCTGAATAGATCATCTCAAAATCTGCCACTTTAGCACAAGTATTATTTTGAGCTGAAGACACTCAAGAAACAGCAGATGCCATCAAAGCTCTCTGCCCTCCCCGACACTTCCACATTTGCCTAAAAGCAGGCTTAGACTCTGAATCACCAGGGATGACTCTAGACTCTTATTGACCCAGAGATAGCACCAGGAATCTACATAACAAATCTTATTAAAATAAACTTCATCTTCCATTAGTTTTCCCCCATATATTTACTTGTCCATGGTTTGCTGCCCTTGGAAGCCTAAACTCATTTTCCTTTGTCTTGTCATGTCTCTATAAGTTTATTGTTCTTTGCTAAGATGTGATCTAAGCCCCACGTTTTAGCCACTCCTTTGATTTTACTCATGACTGAGTTTCTCCCATGGATATGCACAATGCACATGTTAATAAGCTCTGTTTGTTTTTCTCTTGTTAATTCATCTTTGTCAGTTTCATTTCCAGAGCCTGAGCCAGAGAACCTTGGAGGGTAGAGGGAAAACATTTTTTCCTCCTCTAACCCACCAAAAGACAAGCCATCCTGTTCAGATCAAGAGCTCTGTTCCCTTCATCAACAGCTGTGCTCCTAGCTCACACCTGGGCCCAGATGTTTCTTGTTAAGCCAGCTGATCGCAGGGTTGAAAATGTCCTACATTTCAGACAACCTGGGCTTTAAAAAGATACAGTAAAATGCTACACATAGTGACAAGCACAAAGTAAGAATGTGGCAAATCCTCTTGTTGGTCCCCAGTAGAACTCCAGAAAGATGTGTGCATCTCCTGAGCTGGAGTTATGGGGAAGGAGGCATGGCCAGTCCTGGAGGTTGACTAAGCTTCTTCTACCTCAATACTCCAAAGATGACCCACTTAAGGTAGCATGGGTACCACTTAGGAGCTTTTTAAAAATATAAAACCTTGGGCCCCTCCCCAAACGTACTGAATCCGGATCTTTGGGGGTAAAGCTCAGAAGTGTGATTTGGTGATTTAACAAGCCCGCCGGGGATTCTGATCCACCCTCAAGTCTGAGGTGCTGTGCTCTAATTAACACCAGGCTTTCTGGATCTTCCCCATTGATCTGATTGGAAGATCCCGCAATACTGTAGAGTCCAAACCTTTAATCTCCCTACAGCTACAAAGTCGACACCACACTGTGTTTACTCAGTCCTACTGTGTTGCCACATTTGTTTGTACAAATTCTTTCTTCTCTGACCTTCCTTATTCTTGATTTTGCAATTGCCTGGTTGTGCATGCAGCAAAGCAACTTTTTGGTGAGCCAGACATCTCTCAGTGCCCACAAAGTCGCCTCTTGCTTTTTTTCACACTCTGAAATAGCCACAGAATAGCACTATGGAAACTCCAGGACAAGGTTCTCAAACTTGAGTGCATACAAGGAACAACTGGGGGGCGTGTTTGAAAATGTAGATTCCTGGGTCCCATCCCCAGAGATTGTGATTCAGTTTATGTGAGTCTAGGAATCTGCACTTTAAACTGATTCCTCAGATACCTGGGGAGCAGGTGGTACAGGGGACCACACTTAGAAAAACCCATCACTAGGTAATTCATCATGCGGAAATGCTAGAAGCAACATGTCCCATCCTCCCTGAAATGAGCTGATGGCTCTTTCTGATTTGCGTTTGATGGTATCCATCAAACAAGTTAATGCTAACCACGAATTAATGACTTTTAAGCAATTCGTGTAGGTGGCTGTCCATGTAATCAATCTTAATTCGAAAACACTGCTGAGTGCCCACACAAGGGTAATAATGTGCTCGATCTCTCACATAAATCTCTCAAATGGAAATTAAGCAGGTAGATGTTACACGCTGGTGCGCATTCTTCAGCTTTCTGAGGGGTAGCATTAGGTTAACAGGATTGAAGCAGAAAAATCAATTAGAGAATCAGGAGAGCTCTTGTCCTGCCATATTCAGAGCCATGCTTGACTTTAGAGCCAGTGCAGGGACCCAGGGTCAAAAACCCTTCCCTCTATGAGTCAGGTGTGCCATGAACCCAGAGAGCCCTGGAAGGCCAAAGTCACTTGTAAAAGGAGGGTATGGAATCAGAAGCACGCCATTCCCAAGCCTCAGGCAAAGCATTCATGCCCTGCCTCAAATATTAGAAGCACCTGTTACTTTGGAAGACAAAACCCAGGCAATACGGAGGTCGCTGGTTGTCTATCTAAGACACTTGCTTTTGGGCAATGTCCTTCCTCTCCTGCCAGGTGGTCACACTGCCTTGCCTGCTCCTTAGTGATGAGATAACCCAGAAGTCCCTTCCCTGTCCACAGGGATTGGTCCAAGGACAGCCATGTGGCTGGAGCAGAACCAGAGTCCTCCTGTGACTTGTTATAGTGGATGCTTGGGATTGGGAGCAATGAGGACCATGTAAGCTGGGAGCTGCCACTTAATAGAAGAACCAGCCTAAGAATAGAGGAGGAAGCAGAGCTTGGAGCCCAGATTGATCTCTGAATTTCTTTATTACATAAGCCAATAGTTCTTTATTACATAAGCCAATTATTTCTTTATTACATAAGCCAATTAGTTCATTTAGTTGAGTCTAACTAAAACTTGCTTGCTGGTTTGAGTTTTCCTGACTAAAACAATCACATCATTGTAATGTTTGAACATTCTTGGTTCTGGCAGAAGTGAGAACCTGGAGTCTACATTGCACAGTTCACACAAATCACAAAGTTACCAAGCCGGCCCCAAAGAGCACGTGCTGGTGTGACTGCTGGGGCTGTAGAATTGGATCTCAATGTAGTTTGCTGTGCTTCAGTTGCTTTCCAAACACAGCCCACCTACAAGGTCATGTGATTTACATGTCTGTATGTGATACTTTCAAAGGAGGTAGGAAATGGACCAGGGAACTTGACTACAAAAGACTGAGCACGTAGGTCCCTGAAAGAGAGAGGGAATCTGACCAAGGGAAGACCTTTCAGCATCTAGCCACTAAAGGCATCACTGTGAGTGACAGGATGTGTGTGTGGTATGACCACAGAACACTCTCTATGTCCCCAAGTTCTGGAGGCAGAGCACCTGTATGCAGCTTTTGCAGCCCCCAGCAGGGCTCACAGAGTACTTGAGGGTGATTCTTAGATAATAGTTTGGTTTATGGCAAATGAGTGAAGCTGGAGTGTGACCAAACTGGCTTTGGGAGCTTTGCATTTCTTGCCTCATTTATCAGCACTTACAGTTTACAGACAGCACACTGGCTGCTTCTGAGGGCAGAAGGGATGAGCTGAGATGGCTGACCCAGGCCCAAATGTGAACCAGGGTTTTGGTGATGTTGGCTGGTTGCACAGTGAATGGGGCTCATCTGACCACCCAGGGCTCCAGGTACTAAGGCTGAGATTTGTAAAGCACATTAGCAGGGACAGAGTCTCCATTGTCCTCAGATTTATGAACTAAAACCTGCAACAGAAATGCAGACCCATCTTTCATGCACGGAATGCTTTCCACACCGATGTTCCCCCTGCTTTCCCTTATGCGAACTCATTTGCTTTCCAGACAACTTGTTTCCTCTCCTTATCCTGCAGCAATGACAATGCCTCGGAGCAGCCTTCTCCCCCCGCTATTTGAATCACTCCTCAAATGTTGCTGTACCTCCATTTCAGCATTTACTTTATATTTCCTTGCACTCACATAATTAGTTGTTTAATTATGTCTCTCCCAATAGGTTGACAGCTCTTACACAGCAAGAGCCTCATTTTAGTTACCTTTGTATCTATTTCAGCCTCTTCTCTCAGAGTCTAGCATAATGCTTACACAGTAGATACATAACAAATGCATATTACATTGAAATACATTAAATGGCATGTTAAATAAATATGGGAATTACACACAAGTTGCGGAATTTGGGCTTTTGGGTGCTGAGCAGTCTTAAACTAGACAGCTCTCAACAAGTGGTGAAAGGAGTTTCCACAAAGAAGAGACCTCATAGGACACAAGGGGAATAAAATAAGCACATGCTCTCCCCGACAAAGGCACTGGGTTTCCAGCACAACTCTCGCAGCTGCAAGGAGAGCCATGTAGAGATGCAGATGAGTGAGTTTTCCGCTTCCTGCAGTGGTCCGCTCCATCCACAACCTCACTTTCCACAGTTTCAGTTATCTGCAGTCAACTACAGTTCAAAATATTATATGGAAAATTCCAGAAATAATTCATAAGTTTTAAAGTACATGCCACTCTGCGTAGTGTGATGACATCTTGCTCCTTCCCACCCAGGATGTGAATCATCCCTTTGTCCAGCGTCTCCACACTGTCTACTCACCCGTTACTCCCTTAGCAGTTTTCTCAGTTATCAGGTTAATGGATCACAACAAGAAGAAAGGTGAGTACAGTACAATAAGATATGTTGAAAGAGAGAGACCACATTCACATAACTTTTATTACAATATATTGTTACAATTGTTCTATTTTATTATAATTGTAAATCCTTTACTGTGCCTAATTCATAAATTAAGCTTTATCATAGGCATGTATGTATTGGATAAAACAAAAATTTGGTACTATCTGAAGCTTCAGGCATCCTGTAGGGGTCTTGGAACTTATTCCCCGCAGATAAGAGGGGCTACTGTTTTTCTTGCCCACATTCATCTCCCAGGTGAGAATAGGAGGCTGACTTCTAGATAGTTACATGAATTAAAATCATTCAATTTGGCTCTGTGAAATTGGACATAAAGAGGGAAAATGGCTGGGGATGGTGGCTTACATCTGTAATCCCAGCAGTTTGGGAGGCCAAGGCAGGAGGATTGCTTGAGCGCAGGAGTTCGAGATCAGCATGGGCAAAATGGTGAGACCCCCATCTCTACAAAAAAATTTTTTTTCATTAGCCAGGTATGATGGCACATGCCTATAGTCTAAGCTACTCAGGAGGCTGAGGCTGAAGGATTGCTTGAGCCCAGGAATTTGAGGCAGCAGTTGGGCCATGATTGTGCCAGTGTACTCCTCTTGCCTGGGCGACAAAGCAAGACCCCATCTCTAAAAAATAAATAAACATTTTTAAAAGAAAGAAGAAACCTTAAATGGAATTATTAATTGTAAATATCTTAGGAAAATTACCCTAAAATAATGCCTTTCAGCCCAGCCTGAGAGAGATTTTCTGGATGGTAAAACCACAAGGGCTTTACTGATTCATGAATGGAAACAATTCTCAAATTCGACTGGGCAACTGATTCACCTGAAGAGCTTGCTCAAATGCAGATATTCTGATTCAGGAGTGTGGATGGGCCAAGTAACCTGCATTTTAGCAAGCACCCAGTGGTTCTGATGCATAGCTGCAGGGTGACCCTGTTTCTCTCTCGGGTCCTCATTGTCAAGGGTGCAGCTCTGTGGCACAGTCATTGCTGCACTTAGTGGTCTGAAGTACACAGGAGAAGTAGGTGGGAAGTCACTCATCTTCTTGTTCAAAGTATATGAACATCTGATCAGGCAGAAATGTAAACGTGAGGCTGTCCTCCTACCCTTTGGAGGTGGAGGTGGAGAGGGTGGAGCATCAGCCAAATCCTGACTACTCCCAGGGACACCGTGATGGTTAGTTCTATGTGTCAACATGGATGGGTGGTCGTGTCCAGTTATTCAGTCAAATTCTAGCCTAGGTGTTGTTGGGGAGGTATTATGTGTGTGTGTGTGTGTGTGTGTGTGTGTGTGTGTGTGTGTGTGTGTGTGCGTACATACACATACATACATCCCCTACTACTTCTGTTCCCTGGAGAGCCTTGACTGATAAAGGCATTTTATCCTTTCCCAAGCCAAATGTTTAATGATGAAGTCTCCAGGCTTCAGGAAGCAGAAAATAAAAATGTAAATATATCCCTAGAATGGCTAGCCTAAGAGAGGTCCAGGATTGGGCAGAGGCATTCTCCACTTCAAAAGGAAGAAGAAGTTGGGGAGAGGAAGCTCCACATTTGCCTCCAAGGAATATTCTTGGGTGACTTAAGACTATGAGTCTCAGTTGCTTCTCAGCCTACTGGACCAGCTGCCAACCTGGCCCTCCCTTCAGCCTCTCCAAGGCTCAGGCCTGGAATGACTTTCTAAGTCCCCAGCCCTCCAGGGACTGCCATTGTTTGCAATAGGGATGTGCCCATCTCTCCTTGTGGCTCCACAGACGTCAATCTCACTATCATGGATCACAGGTGCACGGTAGAGCTGTGCCTTGTTGAGATTTTGCAATCAAGGTTCCTTCTATTTTAGAATAACCCTGGAGGTCCAGGTCAGGTACTAATTTGTGATTCGATTGAGGTCCAAATGTGAACCAGGAGCTGGAGAAAAATGTGGAGCAGTGAGGTGTTGTTCTTTATCCATTGTCATATAAAAGGTTAATTGCCATTGTGATTTGTTTTAAAGTGATTTCTTTTCAAATTTAGGTAAGCTCATCATTTATGTTCCTCCAGAAATTTTGAGATGTCATCAGCAGGGAACAAGACACACAGGTGCCTGCTCTCTCCAAGGGATTGTATTCTGGTGGGGGGACACAGGCTGTAGACAAATGAACAGAAGCCTGCCTGTCCATGTGTTCAGGCTGCTATAATGCAATGCCTTAGCCTGGGAGGCTTTTAAACAACAGAATCATATTCCGTTTTCTTTTCTTTTCTTTTTTCTTTCTTTTTTTTTATAAGTAACACCTTCGATTTTTAATGTTTTATAGATTCAGGGACACAAGTGTTATTTTGTTACTATTGCGAAGTAGTAAAGTCTGGGCTTTTAGTGTAGCCATCACCCAAATAGTATACATTGTATCCATTAAGTAATTTATCATCCCTCACCCCATCCCCAACTCCCACCCTTCCAAGTCTTCAATATCTATTATTCCACTCTCTAGGTCCTTATGTGCCCATGATTTAGCTCCCACTTATAAGTGAGAACATGTATTACTTAACTTTCTGAGTTATTCACTTAAAATAATGATCTCCCGTTCTATCCATGTTGCTGGAAAAAAACATGATTTCATTCTTTTTTATGACTGAGTAGTATTCCATTATAAGTAAAGAAAACCCCATTTTCTTTTTTTCTATTTCCTTTTCTTTTTTTATATGTTATTTTTTAAATCCATTCTCTCAGTTACCCTTTGTGTTACAAACAATCCAATTACACTCTTTTAGTTATTTAGAAATGTACAGTTAAGTTATTATTGACTATAGTCACTCTGTTTTGGTATCAAATAGTAAGTCTTAACAGAAATTTGTATCTTACAGTTCTGAAGACTAGGAAGTCCAAAATCAAGGTACTGGCAGATGGGTGTCTGACAAAGACCCATTCCTCATAGACGATGCCTTCTTGCTGTATCCTTATCTGGTAGAAGGAACAAGGCAGCTCTCTGAGCTCCCTTTCATCCAGGCACTAATCCCATTCACGAGGGTTCCAACCTCAGGACCTAATCACCTCCCAAAGGCCCCGCTTCCTAACACTATGACCTTGGTGATTAGATTTCAACATTTGAATTTCAGAGGAAAATAAACATTCAGATCATAGCAGTGTCTCATGTTGAAAGCTGCAGAAGGAAAATAAAATAGGCTGGGTGATCAGAGAGTGACTGGGGGGTGGGGAGGATGCATTAAACTTGAGGAACATCTTCTCTGAAAAAGTGACATTTAAGGAGCCAGCCACACAAAAATTCAGACAGAGAAAGTATAAAATTTAGCCAGGAGAGGTGGCTCACACCTGTAATCCCAGCACTTTGGGAGGCTGAGGCAGGTGGATCACCTGAGGTCAGGAGCTCGAGACCAGCCTGACCAATATGGTAAAACCCCATCTCTACTAAAAATACAAACATTAGTCAGGCGTGGTGGCAGGTGCCTGTAATCCCAGCTACTTTGGAGGCTGAGACAGGAGAATCGCTTGAACCCAGGAGGCAGAGGTTGCAGTGAGCTGAGATCGTGCCACTGCATTCCAGGCTGAGTGACAGAACCAGACTCTGTCTCAAAAAGAAAAAAAAAAATTAGGACAAGTAGGCAGAGGCCAGCTCATGGCAAACCTTGTGAGCCGAGTTTTTCTTGATAATTTCATAAATATGGTAACTTCATAAATATGATAATTGCACAATATGGTGAAATTTCTCAAGCCAACCCTCCAGGCACACTGATTGTTTCTAATGCCCAACATTTTCTCAAGAGGTAATGTGTCCAGGTTAAAAACAGACAAACAAACCTGCATCTCCCAGCATCACCTAAAGATAGGAGTAGCCACATTTTGGTCTATGAACAACCAAGTTCTGGTCTATGACGCATGAGCAGAGAAAAGTTGTTGGATGGGTGACAAGAGTTGTAGATTCTGGGAAATTTTCCTAGAAGGAGGAGAGGGATTGGAAGAGGATAATTCCATTGGCATATGCCTTTTGTCCTTCGTATCCCTTCTCCCTGCCTGGAACTTAGGTGTGATAGCTGTCACTCCAGCAGCAGGTCTGTGGCCAAGAAGCGACCTATAGATTCAAAGCTATATACTAAGAATGACAGAACAGAAAGGTAGATGAGCCTGGGATTACTTTATGGAGTCCCAATTTTATATTTTGTTTCCCACCTATAGACTTCTCCTTAGATGAGAAAAGTAAACGCCTGTTTTTCTTAAGATACCATTTTTTAAACCTGCATGTTGTGCACATGTACCCTAGAACTTAAATAAAAATAAATAAATAAAATAAAATAAAAAGATACCATTTTTTGAGTCTACACTATATAGAGCTAAACTTAGTATCTTATATCCCCCTACCTTTAGTTTGCAAGGTTGGCTCTGTCCCTGGATCACAGCTGGAAGTGGACTGAGCCATATCAGAAGCTTGTGACTGGCTCTGATGCCCATTCCTGCCACTCCTGCTCATCTCCCTACTCATTCCCCTGACAACTGTGGGCACAGCGTTGGGTGCACTGGTTGATCTCCTTTGGATACTGTGGTCAGAGCACTTACACAGGGGCCCACTGGCCTTTCAGGAGGGTTGATGTCTCAGGTTTCTAAGTAGGGCTCCAGCTAAGGAAACCACGATGGTCTCCTTAGACAGTAAACCGGGCAACTGCATCTGCACCCAGGATGCCTCCTACACAGGCTTCACCTGTGTCAGACTCAATTCCAAAAACAAAAGGATGAGCAAATAGAAGGCAAAAATCACATGGGAGAAAAATGAAGAATGGGATTTTTTTTTTAATTAACACGATTTCCTACTCTCAGGGGAGTTAATTAAAATGTAACTGTTTCCATCCGATTTAAGTTTTCCGCCGTGCTCAAAAGAGTAAGTTACTGTTAGAATGATCAGACATGCAACATAAACACAGTAGGAGAATACAAGGAGGAGGTAGTTTTAGGGCTTGGGAGGAGGCTTTCTGTTATCATCAGATTTTCTGGGGGTAAATGTGATTAGACTTTGATTTACAATTTCTAATCTCCCCAGCTCACTACAGCAAATGGCAAGCCCTTAGCATCAGAAGAACAGTGAAGAGAAGATTCAGTAACTGAGAGGAGAAAACACTTTTAATCCCTAAACAAAAATACATCCACATCCTCAGGTTAAAGTTAAGAGATTTTTGAAAACATCTGGTGAGAAGATGCTGTTGCCAAGTTGAAAAATATACTAAGTTGGAAAGCCTTTAGGAAATCAGCTGCACGGTTTGAGATTGTTTTGCAAAACCGCCAAAACCAGGAAAGTCTTTTTTTTTAATTTTTTTGAGGCGGGAAAGTCTTTTTAAATTTTACTTTAAGTTCTGGGATACATGTGCAGAACATGCAGATTTGTTACATAGGTATACATGTGCCATTGTGGTTTGCGCACCTATCAACCCATCATCTACGTTTTAAGCCCCACATGCATTAGGTATTTCTCCTAATGCTCTCCCTCCCCTACACTTCCGCCCCCCAACAGGCCCCAATGTGTGATGTTCCCCTCCCTGTGTCCATGTGTTGTCATTGTTCAGCTCCCACTTTTATGAGTGAAAATGTCCTGTGTTTGGTTTTCTGTTCCTGTGTTAGTTTGCTGAGAATGATGGTTTCCAGCTTCATCCATGTCCCTGCAAAGGACATGAACTCATTCTTTTTTATGACTGCATAGTATTCCATGGTATATATGTGCCACATTTTCTGTATCCAGTCTATCATTGATGGGCATTTGGGTTGGTCTTAATCATATATGCTCTGGACTCAAATATAAACCTCAAAATTCATATGTTGAAGCCCTAACCTCCCAATGTGACTTTGTGGAAATTGATCCTTTACAAAAGCAATTCAGGTTAAATGAAGTCATAAAGTTAGGGCCCTGATATGATATGATGAGTGTCCTCATAAGAATAAACAAAAGAGAGGGAGCTTCTTCTCTCTCTCCCGCTGTCAGGACATAGCAAGAAGGCCCTGTCCGCAATCCAGGAAGAGGGCCTTCACCAGAACCAACCATGCTGGCACCTCCGTCTCAAACTTCCAGCCCCTAGAACTATAAGAAAATAAATTTTGGTTGTTTAAGCCACCCAGCCTATGGTATTCTGTGATGGCAGCCTGAGCTAAGATGATACAATGAAGTGTGTCCCTCAATTTGCTGTATTAAAATTGAAGAGCTCAGCGGTAGTTGTTGGAGCAGTTCACTGCTTGGGCTATGGAGTCAGATGGCTTTTTAGCTGTGTGGCCATACGGAGGGCACGTCACCTTTCTAAAGCTCAACGTCTTAATCTGTAAAATGGGGACAATAATAGTAGCTACGAAGAATAAATGTGGAGATACAGCCCTGGCAGGGAATGTTTGTTGGTTTTTCTTTTGGGAGGGATCTTTTCCAGTGCTCTTCCTCTGTTTGAAGGTTGGTGGGATGCAGGGACATCCAACTATAGACGTCAAGGCCCAGATGCTTTTCACTTGGTCCTGCTGTCCCTAACGTGGTTTACTGGTGACTTAAGCTCAGCAACTAGGATGCCCCAGCCTGCACCTGTGACCTGGGAGTGACAGAAGCAGAAAAGGAGGGACAGTGTAGAGGGGCTGCATCCCAGGTCCAGGGGCACCACCTGTACCCTAGGGCGCGGGGGTTCTAACCAGGCTGGAACCATGGGTGACCCTCGGTTCTGGCTGCCTGGCTTCCCTTGCACTGGACCATTACCCGAGTGTAGTTTTCCAGCCTTCCCCTTGGGCTTGCTAATCTTTTGCCACAAACTCCTCTTTTGCTTAAATTAACTCAAGTTGGTATTCTGGGTCTTTTGTGGTCCCATATAAATTTTAGAATTCTTTTCTCTGTTTCCATGAAGAATGTCAGTCCTATTTCGATAGGGATTACGTTAAATCTGTAGATTGCACTGGGTGATATGAACATTTTAAAACTAGTGATTATTTCAATCCATGATTGTGCTCAATCAAGAACCCTGTCTGGTATGGTGCTCAAGAAGTGTCGGGCTGATATCGTTGGGACTTTAGGTAGTTAAATGACATTCCGTTGTTTCATTTTTTAGAGTTAGAAATTAATTGAGGAATAAGACCCACATGACCAACAGAGATCAAAGTGGCAGCTCCACTCCACTTTCTTACTATAAATTCTGGACATGGCTTTCACGCGCAGCCACAACAAGGCATCTAGCACTTTAGAAATGAACTCGGCTGCCCAGGCACAAGCTGAACTGAGCAATCGCTGGCTCTTAATTGAGGAATAAGACCCACATGACCAACAGAGATCAAAGTGGCAGCTCCACTCCACTTTCTTACTATAAATTCTGGACATGGCTTTCACGCGCAGCCACAACAAGGCATCTAGCACTTTAGAAATGAACTCGGCTGCCCAGGCACAAGCTGAACTGAGCAATCGCTGGCTCTCTGCACAGTGTGAGGCCTCTTAGCCCCCTGGAGAGGGCAAGGCAGGCAGAACACACCCATCCTGCAGGAAGGCTGATCCCAGGAAATGTCTGGTCATCCCCTCAACTCACCAGCCAGAGGACCCCTCCCCATCCTCTGGGGAAAAGTGGGGGTTTGGGGGTGATGGAGACAAACTGCACCCTTACTTTTGTTCCAGAATACTGAAGTTGCTTGCCCGAAAGTCAGTGGCCAGGTAATCTGTAGATCCTCAATAACGGCAGTTAGCTCACTCATCTAACAAATCATCCAGGTTTTAGATTACTTCTGGTAAGATTTTTTTCTTTTCTATTAGTAATGGTAGAAAATTTAAAACTGTACTTCAGACCAAAGAATTCAAAACTGCTCGCAAATTTCAAAATCCTTGTCCTACTATCCATTTTCACTTAAAGAAACCTGATAATACAAAATTTAGCCTGGTGTGGTGGCATACACCTGTAGTCCCAGCTACTGTGGAGACTGAGGTGGGAGAATCACTTGAACCTGGAAGAAAAAAAAATGCTGGGCACGTTGGCTCACAACTATAATCCCAGAACTTTGGGAGGCAGAGGCAGATGGATCACTTGAGCTCAGGAGTTTGAGACCAGCCTGGCCAACATGGTGAAACCCTGTCTTTGCTAAAAATACAAAAAATTAGCCAGGTGTCGTGGCTCATGCCTGTAGTCTCAGCTACTCGTGAGGCTGAGGCAGGAGACTCGCTTGAACCTGGGAGGCAGAAGTTGCAGTAAGCTGAGATCGTGCCACTGCACTCCAGCCAGGGCGATAGAGTGAGACTCTGTCTCAAAATAAATAAATAAATAAATAAATAAATAAATAAATAAATAAATATTAAAAGAAAGAAAGAAACAAAGAAAACTGATAGCATCATATTCCTCTTAAACATTGTGCATCCAAAGTCTAAGAGCTACCTATTAATAAATTGCATTACTATGTTGAGTCTGCTCTGTGTCTCTATATAAGAACATAAACCTCGGGCCGGGCGCGGTGGCTCACACCTGTAATCTCAGCACTTTCGGAGACCGAGGCGGGCAGATCACGAGGTCAGGAGCTCGAGACCGTCCTGGCTAACACGGTGAAACCCCATCTCTACTAAAAATACAAAAAATTAGCCAGGTGTGCTGGCGGGCGCCTGTTGTCCCAGCTACTCAGGAGGCTGAGGCAGGAGAATAGCGTGAACCTGGGAGGCGGAGCTTGCAGTGAGCCGAGATCGCGCCACTGCACTCCAGCCTGGGCGACAGAACGAGACCCTGTCTCAAACAAACAAACAAAAAAGAACATAAACCTCAAGGAAAGAAATCCCAGCTTCAGATCTCTGAAGAATAAGTATGGTACGGAATATCATTCCATTATCTCAGCTACTTTCCCTCAGTGAAAACTTTCATCAGAATTCCAACCACGTTTTAATATCTGTGTTTAAATGAATATGAAATAATTTAAATATAAATCAAGTGAGGTCATTGAAAGTTGAGACTCAAATCAGGCAATGTACAGGGAAGGCTGGAACTGTCTAGTATATGAAGGTTATCTGAGACTATCAGTCAAGGCTCTCCAGAGAAATAGAGCCAGTAGGATAGATATAAATAGACATACACATGTATACACATACAAATGCATATAATAATTAAAGAGATTTATTTATTTTAAGGAATTGGCTCATTTGATTGCGGGGCCTCACAAGTCTGAAATTGACGTGGTCAGTAGGATAGAAGCTCAGGCAGGAACTGATGCTGCAGTATTGAGACAGAATTTTCCCTCTGGGAAATCTCAGTTTTTGCTCTTAAGGAAATCCCCTTATTTGAAGCCAATTGCTTATAGATGCTAACTACATCTACAAAATACCTTCATGACAACACCTAAACTACTGTTTTGGTTAAATAATTGGGTACTATGTCCTAGGCAAGTTGACACATAAACTGACCCTCACAGAGACGTAGCAGGTCCCTGGGATTCTTTTTAAGGATTTCCTCCATGCCATAATCCAGCCAAGTGAATTATTTTTCAAACTACAGGGATTATAAAAAATAATTTGATTAATCACATTCCTCCACTGCATTCATTTTGTCAAATATACTTGTAACTTTACATATGTAGATATACATATATACATCTATGCATATATATACACATATATATATGACTCAGGCATCCATTCGTGCACACACATATACAAACACACATATATATCTAGTATGATACAACATCACTTTCAAATGCACTCCACATGCATCCAAATGGATTCCAAAAACCCTTTTCCTGCTCATTTGCACTCCAAACTAGCTGTACTTTATGTGAACATTTTAAATTACTTTTCCTATAGATGATGCTGTTGGGTTCATTACATCTCCCTTTTCTTGTCACAATGGTGATATTCAACTTGGATTTTCATTACAAGCCATTTTCTGGTTATTGTTTAGAGCCTGGAAACTAATCTGCTCTCTGCCTGTCCCTCAGACATCAATGGTTTTGCCATATTGAAATGCAAAAAGAGAAACAAAATATGCTATTTCATATGTAAGTTGTGACTATAGGGCAATAGGAAGTTTGTTGTCAATTAGCCTTTCATTTAATTACTTTGGCAAATGTGATTTTTTAAAAAACTAGACAAGAAAATCAGTTCCTGCTTCTCAACAATGAACATGGGTCGGACCACTATTACACAACACTTCTAAGAGATGAAGCACAGTGGGTCTTAATTTCTAGTATTTCCAGAGAGCTTATTTTTGAATGAAAAATAACAAAAAACCCCATCAGTGGAATTCCTTACTCAACCAATCCCCTTTTATTTATTTCTTCCAGACAGTATGATGACCATTCTGTTAGCTAATACCCTGGATGAGCTGTAATTCAGAGCGATTTAATTAGCTTTAATAATAGCATCCATGCTTAGTCCTTCTGAAGATTCATTGCAACATGAGGGCATAAATTGGCAAATGTCTACAGTAGGGAATGCCTGGTTATAACTCTCACCTCTGGACTCTCATAAATTCAAAACAGCAGTATCAGTCTCTTCCATCTTCAGTTTTCAATGGATTTTTCTCTCTCAACTTTCCAGGTGACGAATGACACCTTCTTTGGTCTATCTAATACTCAACCTACTGATATTGTTGCAGAAACAAACTTCCCTGGTTTATCCAAAGCATATTTCTCTGCTTTGAACTGATATTTATGTAGGCCCTTTTCATGTGAATAAAAAGTTTGCTAGAACAGACATAATCTAAATCCATGTTTACCTGTGATTTGCCTTGAAGAAAGCCAAATGGTTTGTCTGCCTCAGCTCAAGAATGAACTTTCCCTTTCGGCCGGAACCGCCATCTTCCAGTAATTCGCCAAAATGACGAACACAAAGGGAAAGAGGAGAGGCACCCGATATATGTTCTCTAGGCCTTTTAGAAAACATGGAGTTGTTCCTTTGGCCACATATATGCGAATCTATAAGAAAGGTGATATTGTAGACATCAAGGGAATGGGTACTGTTCAAAAAGGAATGCCCCACAAGTGTTACCATGGCAAAACTGGAAGAGTCTACAATGTTACCCAGCATGCTGTTGGCATTGTTGTAAACAAACAAGTTAAGGGCAAGATTCTTGCCAAGAGAATTAATGTGCGTATTGAGCACATTAAGCACTCTAAGAGCCGAGATAGCTTCCTGAAACGTGTGAAGGAAAATGATCAGAAAAAGAAAGAAGCCAAAGAGAAAGGTACCTGGGTTCAACTAAAGCGCCAGCCTGCTCCACCCAGAGAAGCACACTTTGTGAGAACCAATGGGAAGGAGCCTGAGCTGCTGGAACCTATTCCCTATGAATTCATGGCATAATAGGTGTTAAAAAAAAAAATAAAGGACCTCTGGGCTACAAAAAAAAAAAAAAAAAAAGAATGAACTTTCAACTCTTTTCGCTTGGGAAGAAAATGTTCCAGATCATTGGATCATTTTTGTTTGTTTGTTTGTTTAATAATTTGGAGTTATTTTTATTCAATGATTTCTACTTAATCTGGAAAATAATGAAAGCTTTTGTAATGAGACAATATTTAGAAAGATTAACCAGTTTATATATTTGTCAATGGTTTTAAGAAAACAATTGGAAGGTGAATTTAAAAATAGAATGACTCCACAGATGCTTGCAATCCTCTCCAGCATTTCTTCTTGCCTGAATTTTGGGGAAAACAAAAAGCCATTTTAACTGGGGTAAGATGATACCTCGTTGTAGTTTTGATTTGCATTTCTCTGATGATCTATGATATTGAGCACGTTTTCATATACCTGTTTGTCATTTGTATGTCTTCTTTTGAGAAGTGCTTATACAGATCTTTTGCCCATATTTTAATTGGATTATTAGATTTTTCATATAGAGTTTGAGCTCCTTATGTATTCTGGTTATTAATCCCTTGTCAGATGGGTAGTTTGAAAATATTTTCTCTCATTCTTTAGGTTGCCTTTTCACTTCGTTGACTGCTTCCTTTGCTGTGCAGAAGCTTTTTAACTTGATGAGATCCCATTTGTCCATTTTTGCTTTGGTTGCCTAGGCTTGTGGGTTATTACTCAAGAAATCTTTGCCCATTCCAATGTCCTGGAGAGTTTCCCCAATATTTTCTCTTGGTAGCTTCATAGTTGGAGGTCTTAGTCTTTAGTCTTTATTTTGATTTGATTTTTGTCTACGGAAAGAGATAGAGTTCTAGTTCATTCTTTTGTAGATGGATATTCAGTTTTCCCAGCATCATTTATTGAAGAGACTGTCTTTTTCCCAGTGTAGGTTCTTGGCACCTTTGTCAAAAATGAGTTCACTGTAGATGTATGGATTTATTACTGGGTTCTCTATTCTATTCCATTGGTCTATGTGTTTGTTTTATTGCCCATACCATGCCATTTTGGTTACTATAGCTCTGTGGTGTAATTTAAAGTCAGGTAATGTAATTCCTCCAGTTTTGTACTTTTTGCATTTGGATAACTTTGGCTATTCTGGGTCTTTTGTGGTTCCACATAAATTTTAGAATTCTTTTCCCTATTTCCATGAAGAAGAATGTTATTGATGTTTTGACAGGAATTACATTAAATCTGTAGATTGTTTTGGGTAGTATGGACATTTTAACAATATTGATTCTTCCAATCCATGAACATGGAATCTTTTTCCATTTTTTAGTATCTTCAATTTCTTGCAATGTTTTATAGTTTTCATTGTAGAGATCTTTTACTTCTTTGCTTAAGTTAATTCCTAGGTATTTTATTTTATTTGTAGCTATTGTGAATGGGGTTGCTTTCTTGATTTCTGTTTCAGATTGTTCACTGTTGGCATATAGAAATGTTACTGATTTTTGTACGTTGATTTTGTATCCTGCAACTTTACTGAATTTGTTTATCAGTTCTAATAGTCTTTTGGTGGAGCCTTTAGGTTTTTCCAAATACAAGATCATATTATCTGCAAATAAGAATAATTTGACTTCTTCATTTCCAATCCAGATAGATGCTCTTCATTATTTCTCTTGTATGCCTTGCTCTATCTAAGGCTTCCAGTACTATGTTGAATAACAGTGGTAAATGTGGGCATCCTTGTCATGTTCCCAATCTTAGAAGAAAGACTTCCAGTTTTTCCTCATTCAGTATGATAGTAGCTATGGGTCTATTGTATATGGCTTTTGTTACACTGAGGTATGTTCATTCTATACCCAGTTTTTTTTTTTTAGAGTTTTTATCATGAAGGGATGTTGAGCCTTACCAAATGTTTTTTCAGCATCAACTGAAATGATCATATAGTTTTTGTCCTTCATTCTGTTGATATGAAGTATCACATTAATTGATTTGCATATGTTGAACCATCCTTGCATCCCTAGGATAAATCCCATTTGGTCATGAAGAACAATCTTTTTAATATGTTGCTGAATTCAATTTGCTAAGCATTTTGTTGAGGATTTTTGCATCAGTATTCATCAGGCATATTGACCTGTAGTTTTCTTTTTCTGCTGTGCCTGTGTCTGGTTTTGGTATCAGGATGATACTGGCCTCATGACATGAGTTTGAAAGTATTCCCCCCTCCTGCATTTTTTGGAATAGTTTGAGTAGGATTGGTACTAGTTCTTCTTTAAAAGTTTGGTATGGGCCAAGGGCAGTGGCTCATGCCTGTAATCCCAGCACTTTGGGAAGCCAAGGAGGGCAGATCACCAGAGTTCAGGAGTTCAAGACCAGCCTGCCCAACATGGTGAAAACCCATCTCTACTAAAAATACAAAAAAACAAAAAAATTACTACTCCTGCCTCAGCCTCCCGAGTAGCTGGGTTTACAGGTGTGTGCTGGGCATGGTGGTGTGCACCTGTGTAATCCCAGCTACTTAGGAGGCTGAGGCAGGAGAATTATTTGAACCTGGGAGATGGAAGTTGCAGTGAGCCAAGATGGCGCCACTGCACTCCCTCCTGGGCAACACAGTGAGACTCCATCTCAAAAAAAAAAAAAAAAAGTGTGGTAGAATTCAGCAGTGAAGCTATCAGGTTCTGGGCTTTTCTTTGCTGAAAGACATTTTATTATGACCTTGATCTCATTACCTGTCATTGGTCTTTTCAGGTTTTGAATTTTTTCATGGTTCAGTCTTGGTAAGTTGTATGTGTCTAGGAATTTATACATTTCTTCTAGATTTCCAAATTTATTGGCATATAGTTGCTCATAGTTGCCACTAACAATCCTTTGAATTTCTGTGGTATCAGTTGTAATGTCTCCTTTTTCATCTCTGATTTTGTTGAGTCTAATGTCTCTCTTTTTCTTAATTAGTCTAGCTAATGGTTTATCAATTTTGTTTATCTTTTCAGAAAAAAGCAACATTTTGTTCTGTTGATTTTTTGTTTTCTTCATTTCAAATTCATTTATTTCTGCTGTAACCTTTATTATTTATTTTCTTCCACTAATTTTGGATTTGGTTTGCTTTTGCTTTTTTAGTTGTTTAAGATGCATCCTTAGGTTGTTTAGTTGAAGTTTTTCTTCTTTTTTGATGTAGGCACTTATAGTTGCAAACTTCCCTTTTAGTAAGTACTCCCTTTGCTGTATCCCATAGGTTTTGGTATGTTATGTTTCCATTATCATTTGTTTCAAGAAACTTTTCCGTTTCCTTCTTAATTTCTTCATTGACCCACTGGTCATTCAGGTTCATATTGTTTCATTTCCACGTGTTTGTATAGTTTCCAAAATTCTTCTTGCTATCAATTTCTACTTTTATTCTATTATGGTCAGAGAAGATACTTGATATTACTCCAACAGTTTTTAATGTTTCAAGACTTGCTTTTTGACCCAACATATGGTCTATCCTTGAGAATGATCCATGTGCAGAGGAAAATAATGTGTATTCTTCAGCCATTGGATGTAATGTTCTGTAAATATCTGTTAGGTCCATTTGGTCTATAGTGCAGATTAAGTCTGATGGTTTCTTTGTTGATTTCTGTATGAAAGATCTGTCCAATGCTGAAAGTGGAATGTGGAAGACTCCAGCTATTACTGTATGAGGGCCTATCTCTCTCTTTAGCTCTAATAATATTTGCTTTACATATTTGAGTGCTCCAGTGTTGGATGCATATATAATTGTTATTTCCTCTTGCTGAATTGGCCCCATCATCATCATATAGTGATCTTCGTTGTTTCTTCTTATAATTTTTGTCTTTAAATTTATTTTGTCTGATATAGGTATAGCTAGCTCCTCCTGCTCTTTTTTAGTTTCCATTGGCATGGAATATCTTTTTCCATCCCCCTTTTTCGGTCTATGTGTGTCTTCATAGGAGAAATGTGTTTCTTGTTGGCAACAGATTATTGGGTCTTGTTTTTTTTTTTTTTTTTTTTTAATCCATTCAGCCACTCTATGTCTTTTGATTGGAGAGTTTAGTCCATTGACATTCAATGTTATTATTGTTAAATAAGGACTTACTCCTGCCATTGTTATTTGGTTTCTGGTTGTTTTATGGTTTTTCTCTTTCATTTTTCCTTCCTTCCTGTCTTCCTTTTAGTGAATATAATTTCCTCTGGTGGTATTATTTAATTTCATGCTTTTCGTGTGTGTATCCATTATATGTTTCTAGATTTGAGGTTACCATGAGACTTGCAAATACTATCTTATAACCCATTATTTTAAGCTGATAACAACTTAATACTGTTTACATAAACAAATAAGCAAAAAAACTAATAAAAACTCTACACTTTAACTTCATCCCCCTACTTTTCAATTTTTTGTTGTTTCTATTTATATCTTATTGTATTGTCTATGTCCTGCAAATTTGTAGTTATTATTTTTTATTGGTTCACCATTTAGTCTTTCTACTTAAAATAGGAGTTTTACATATCACAGGTACATTGTTATAATATTCTGTGTTTTTCTGTGTACAATTACTATTACCATTGGGTTTTATACCTTCAGTTGATTTCTTCTTGCTCATTAACATCCTTTTCCTTTCTGACTGAAGTACTCCCTTTGGCATTTATTTTAGGACAGGTCTGGTGTTTATGAAATCCCTCAAATTTTGTTTGTCTGGGAAAATCTTTATTTCTTTGTGGATATTTTTGCCAGATATACAATTCTAGGGAAAAAGTTTTTTTCCTTCAGCATTTTAAATATGTCATGCCACTCTCTCCTGGCCTGTAAGGTTTCCATTGGAAAGTCTACTTCCAGACATATTGGAGTGTCATTATATGTTATTTGTTTCTCTTGCTGCTTTTGGAATCATTTTTATCCTTGACCTTTGGGAGTTTAATTCTTAAATGCCTTGAGGTAGTCTTCTTTGGGTTAAATCTGCTGGGTGTTCTATAACCTTCTTTACTTCAATATTGGCATCTTTCTCTAGGTTTGAGTCTTTCTCTCTTATTATCTCTTTGAATAAACTTTCTACCCCTATCTCTTTCTCTACCTCCTTTTTAAGGCCAATAACTCTTAGATTACCCCATTCCAGGCTATTTTTTCTTCTGTCTCCTCCATGTGTTTTCAAATACCATATCTTCAAGCTCACTAATTCTTTCTTCTGCTTGATCAATTCTGCTATTGAAAGACTGGTGCATTCTTCAGTATGTCAACTGCATTTTTCAACCCCAGAATTTCCTTTTAATTATTTCAATCTCTTTGTCAAATTTATCTGATAGAATACTGAATTCCTTCTCTGTATCTAGCTTAAATTTCTTTAAGTTTCCTCAAAACAGCTATTTTGAATTCTCTGTCTGAAAGGTCACATATCTCGGTTTCTCCAGGATTGGTCCCTGGTGCCTTATTTAGTTTGTTCGGTGACGTCATGTTTTCTTGGATGATCTTAATGCTTGTGGATGTTCATCTGTGTCTGAGCATTGAAGAGTTGGGTATTTATTATAGTCTTTGTAATCTGGGATTGTTTGTACCCATCCTTCTTGAGAAGACTTTCTAGGTATTCAAAAGGACTTAGCTATAGTGATCCAAGCCTATCTGCATTTGAGGACACCCTAAGCCTAGTAATGATGTGGGATTTGCAGACTCGTAGAGGTACCACCTTGATGGTCTTAGATAACATCTGGCAGGCAGAGGTTCTTATTCTATTCCCTTACTTTCTCCCAAATAAATGGAGTCACTCTCTCTCTCTCTCTCTCTCTGTTCTCAGCTGCCTGGAGTTAGGTGTAGAGTGACACAAGCACCCCTGTGACCACAACCCTGGGACTGCACTTGGTCAGACCTGAAGCCAGCACAGCACCGAGTCTCACCCAAGGCCTGCTGCAATCACTCCCTGGCTACTGCTGAGGTTTGCTCAAGGCCCTGGGGCTCTACAGTCAGCAGGTGGTAAAGCCGGCCAGGTTTATGTCCTTCCCTTCAGAATGGCAAGTTCTCCCAGGCCCCAGACAGATCTAGAGATGTCAACTGGGAGCTGGGACTGGAGTCAAAAACCTTAGAAGTCTACCTGGTGTTCTATTTTACTGCATCTGAGTTGGCACTCAAACATGAAGTGTTGTCCTTCCCGCTCTTCTCTCCCTATTCCACAGGCAGAGGAGCTTCACCTCATGGCCACCACCACCACAGGCCCATGAGGAGTACTGGTGCGTTACCACTGCTATGCTGTTAAGGCACAAGGGCTTTTCAGTCAGCTTGAAGTGAATGCTGCCCGGCCTGAGACTCAGCCTTCAGAGCAGTGGGAGGGCTCCCAAGGGCTCTTTAGTCAGCAGGTGATGGGTCCTGCCAGGACTGGGTCCTTCTCTTCAATGGAAGCAGTTCCCTTCTGGCCCAGGGTGTGTCTAGAAATGTCATCCAGGAGCTAGAGCCTGGAATGGGGGCCTCACGACTCTGACCAGTGCCCTATCCTACTGTGGCTGAGCTAGTATTCAAGATGCAAGACAAAAGTCCTCTTTACTCTTCCTCTCTCCTCAAGCAGAAGGAAAGAGTCTTTTCTTGGGGTGTGGGGAAGCTATGCAGCAGAGGGTTGGGGGAGGAATGGCCCAAGCACTCTCTTAGCTGCCCCAGCTGGTCTCTCAGTAGGTCTTCTGCTCCTCAAGTCCACTAACTCTGAGCCCAGTTTAGCACTAGGACTCACCTAGGAATTGCTGTCCTTGTGGCCTAGGCTGCCTTTCAGGTTTATTTAGGGCACCAAAGAACTTTAGCCCATGGCGGTGAGGCTTGCTGGAACTCAAGTTTTGACTCCTGGAAAGGGCAAGTCTCCTGTGGTTAGGGCTGGTTTAAATACTCCCTCCAGGGGTCGGTGTCAGCTAAGTTCAGCCCAGTTTTGCTTGCTGCTGTATCAGGGCAGCACTGAGTTTAATGTAATGTTTCACAATTGCTGCAGTCTCCCTTTCCCAAGCAGGCAGATTCTCTCTCTGCACCATGCAGCCACTGCCAGGGGATGGAGGCGGGGTGGCATCAGTGATTTACAACTGTCTTTCCCACTCTTCAGTGCCTGTTTCAGTGATACAAAGTTAAAACCAGGTACTGTGAGTGCCCATCTGATTTTTGGTTCTTGTGAAGGCATTTTTTTTGTTTTGTTTTGTTTTGCACAGATAGTTGTTAAATTGATGTCTTTGCAAGAAGACAATCTGTGGAAACTTCCACACAGCCACCTTGCTCCGCCCCTCCTTCTCAGATAACTAAAGTTTTATCAGACACTCAAAAGATAATGTAGCTTCCAAATATATATATATATATATATATATATATATATATATATATATATATATATATTTACTAACTGTTGACATTTTCTCAGGTTAGTCAGAGATTACCTTTAAAACCTGCCTTTTATTTCACTTTAGTAGTTAATGAGCTGCCCACCCTCCTGGAAACCTTCTAAAGGCATAAAAGTTCTTCAGAATATAGATCACCTGTGCAACTGACCCACATTTTCTAGAATAATCTCCTCTTTAATACATAGAGACAAAGCACAGATTCTGTTGTTAAGCACTATTTCCAATAATAAACTACTGATTCTCAACTGTTGAATTAATAGGTATGGCTCAATGCAAATACCAGGGTTCCCAACGATTTTCCCTAAAGGAACCCAGAAAAAAAAAAAAAGGCTAAGATGAGGGATAAGGAAGGAGCTCATATAATGTTGAGTAACTGGGACTGTCCTTCCTCTGGGGGTATGTATAGGGTTTTTTAAAGTCAGTCCATCTCCTCTTCAAAAGAATGAAAAAAATTAAAGGAAAAGTATAGCAAACATCCTAAGAAAGGAAGGAAGAAAGGGAGGAAGCGGAGAAGAGAAAGGTCCAGAATCATCTTTTGCATGCTCACTGGAGAAAATCCAATTTGCTTTCTGCAATTTTGAAAATAAAATCAAGAAAAACGTTAAGAAAGGGGAAAACATTTTTTAATAAAAAGAAATAAACAGCGAAGAGCCCATGCCTGCCTCAGGACAAACAGCAGCTTCTCCAAGTCTCAAGTTTCAAGCACCCCAACGTCAAGCTGGAGCCTTGATTTCTGTCTCCATAAGTTAAGAGGAGAGAAGCACAAATAAAAAGATGAAGATTAAAAGATACAAGTAACTAAGAGAGCTGCTCCACAAGAATTGGATCAAATAAAAGGAAATCTGAAGGTTTCAGGATACGAATTCAAAGTTTCTATTTAAAATAAGCTAATATTGGGACTAAACACTGATTTCTAATACACTTAATGATATATTTTAAAGGAATGAAAAAAAGTAGTAAAAGCGGCTGTTTGGTAATGACAAATAGTGAAGGAAGAGCAAAGAGTTGCTTGGTTGAATTAAATTTTAAAAATTTAAATTCTATAAATAATCAACCCCATTTTACCTAGATTAGTATGGATTCATCCACTCTGTTCACAATCTGAATAATGCCCACCTTGCCATGCTTACCTTTAATCCATATCCTTTATTGTTCCTCTGTCCTTGGATTCATGAATTTATGTCACCAGTGGAAAGGACTTGCCTTGCTTAAGAGCCAGTTTGTATTTATTATTGACCTACATACTATGCACTGCCTAGTTACAATTACATATCAGAGCCATCTTCCAGAATCAGAAAATCAGAATCAGGCAAGTCAACCACCATCACAAGTAATACAAATACAGTCATGCATCACTTACCTACTTACCTCATAGGGTACAATTGCAGAAATTCATCATTAGGTGATTTCATTGGTTTATGAACATCATAGAGTGTATTTACACAAACCTAGATGGCATAGCCTCCTGCAACTAGGCTATATGGCAGGGCCTATTGCTCCTAGGCTACAAGCCTGGATGGCATGTGACTATACTGAATACTGTAGGCAGTTGTAACACAATGCTAAGTATTTATGTATCTAAACATAGAAAATGTACAGTAAAAATACAGAATTATAATCTTAGGGGACCACTGTAGAATATGCGGTTCATTGTTGAATAAAATGTTGTTGTTGCGGCTCAAGACTGCACAGTTATTGATCACTAACTGAGCTGTGAGCTTTCTGTTGGTCAAAGCAAAACTGGGAACATGATGGGAACATAATTCTCATTTGATTATTTGTCAGATTAAAAAAGGAAACACATTTACAATCCCAGATTCCTCACTCTTCCTTATTCTTAATAACAAATCAATTAAGCAAAGTCTGACAATTTCACATCCCGCTTTCCAACCCTGTTTGCCAACCCCAACCCCACACTTCCAGCTTGGTGTAAGCACAGCCCACTTTCACTTTTGGCAACCCACTAACCAGGCCTCCTGCTTCCTGTCTCAGCGCCTTCCAATTTCTCTCTCATGCTAGCCAATCTGATCATCTGAACACATTATTCCCCAACAGAAATCCTCCAGGTGGCTCTTCAGCATCCATATTAATCCTCCAGCTTGGAGATACACTTCTCCATTAGGTACTAAGAGTCATGCCAAGAGCTATAGGAAGCTGCAGAATAAACAGCAGGTTTTACTCAAAGATTTGAGTGGAAAAACATTTTTATCAATGTCTATATAACATAGAGTCATTCACAAATGTTATATAAAACTTAAAGTTGAAACCCAAGACTTTATAATATTGTCATGTCTGAATGGCCACTTTGGACTCAACTCTCTGAATGTATTTATTATTCTGTGTTGTAAAGGTATTTCAGACAAAACACTGAAGAAGGTGTGGATATGACAAAAGATTCTCTTTCTTTATGCCCTTTGACATACTCAACTCGTTTATGAAAATTTGTCCTATGGAAAGAACAGTCATATGCCAAAGATATATGCAAAAAGCGGTTCACCATAGCATTATTTGTGAAAGGAAAAAGTGGTATTTGAATGACCACTGTTCATTTTGGCTCATAAATATAGCAGAATACTTTGCATCATTTTATAAGATGTGGCAGAAATATTAATACATTATTGACATAAAAATATGTTTGGGATATATTGTTAAGTGAAAAGGCAATTTAGAAAATAGTATTTTATTGCTCACACACAGAAGAATAAGGATTGAGGCATTGCAGGGAGCCAAAGGCCCATGGGACATGACCAACTCAGCCTTCCACTGAGGCTATATGACCAAACAGCAAACTGTTCATCATGAATACAGAATGTGGGCAAACTCACGACTGTGCCTGCCCCAGAAGGTTTGCTGAGAGCAATCACTTCCTGGTGCCAAGCTCCTTGAGGTTATCTACTGGGACATCTAGAGAATGCAGTCTGGCAATCCTACACTTGACCGAGTAGCTGACACCTTCTTCCACCCCCCTTCTCACTATCTCTTTTGCCTAATAAATATGGAGGGCTGTGTAAAGCTCAGGGCCCTTGTCCACTAGAGGCAAGGTGCCCCCTGACCCCTACTTCCAAATATACTCTTTTGTCTCTTGTCTTTTATTCCCGCGTTTGCCCCCTTTGTTCAGTCCCCCCAGGTCCATGCAGGTTACATAGCGGTGCCCCAAACAGGGACAGAATCGGGTGCTCGACAAGGCATGAGGTTGATTATCTTCGGGTAGGAGGGATGATTGTTAATATTTTGGTTCTTTTTACTTGTTGATATGTTCTGTAATAAACAGGTATTGCTTTTATAATAGAAATAAATAATGGGATTTCTTTCTGTGGAGAGGGAGGTGGAGCAGGAAAGAAACTCGATCTTTTTGCACATGATACACATCATGAATGAGCTACACACTGCCTACCTTTCCTCAGCTTCATTTCCTGCTACACCCACCTTGGGCCTTTAGCCCCCAAGAATACTGCAACACCTGCAGCTTCTTGAATAACAGATGCTTTCTCACCTCTGTGTTTACCAACACTTTTCTTCTTGCCTGACCGGTCCCTTAGCTTCTTACTTGACAAACGTTTCTAATGATAACTTGGCTTCCCACTGAACCATCACCTGGGGAGAGAATCTTCTGGGCCATAGGATTCAATTGCTTGACTCCTCTTTACATGAATACTCTTGAATCTAAATTAATAAAGGCTGCTGCTTTTATAAACCAGCCTGTGGGTGCTTGGGCAGTGTGAGTCACCCTTGCCAGACAGTGCCACTGAAGAAGTCTCAACATATTCGGGATTTTGGGTTCACACGGCAGACATCTGGGTTCTCAACCGTGATGAAAGCAAGGAGTGTCTTTCTGTAAGCCTTCTTAAAACAGCCAAGTAGTTAGCCTTCATCCTCAAGCAATAAACTGCCATCAATTTTTAGCCAGGCTAGAGGTCCCAGTTTTCCACTGTCATTGAAAATCTCTATAACTTAATTATTTGAGTAGCCAGAAAGCATCACTCCAATGTGCCAATAAAGATGTCATCAAACTACAGATCAATAAGAGAATGTCCAAATACAAGTCTGTGTATTTTCATTTCTGAACATACAGTTTTGAGCACAGAGTGTATGAGTGAGTGCTAGGCTGTGTGTGTGTGTGTGTGTGTGTGTGTGTGTGTGTGTGTGTCAGATTAATAAAGAAAACAGTTTATGCCTACACTGTGGCTTATTCAACCTGACCTTTTGGCCTCTCTGATGGAGAACCACATTTCTTAGACAATTTTTTATTCTCCAAGCTGCCTCCAATTGCAAATATAAATGGGGAAAGAATACCACATGAGAAGACTTTGAGCAAGAATCCTGGTAATTCTTAGCTTTAGGGAACTGGTAGAAAATGATCCAACTGACCCCACCTATCCTGGTCAGAAATATTACTTCTAAAGCTTGATCACTCTAATACATGATGCTAGAGGTAAAGGCAGATACAAATCACCTGCTATAATTATCTTCAAACAGACAAGCACCCAGTCCTCAGGCAGCTGCTGCATCTTGCTTTATGAAGCAGTGAAATACCTGAGGATTTTCCCTTGCATTTAGAATGCATTGTTAATTCAGCTTTAGAAAGGAAGCCTGTGTCAGCACAGTTTACACTTCTGACCGCTTTGGTAAAGAGAGAAATGACAACCACACAAGGACGTTTCTCAAGCAAAAGAGATCCAAAGGCATAAGACAAATCTTGGGGATAAGGTTCTTCTCTTTGCCACTTATCAGGATAGATTTGAAGCCTCTGCCGCAAAACAGCTTCTGCCAAGTGCAACAGTGTACCCAAGCTTACAGCCTAAGCCACGTATTTTCAGTCCCACCTGAGTGAGCAAAAGCAATGAATGGTGATTATCATGGAGACGTGTTTATAGTGCTGCCTCATTGTCTACACTGCATCTGCCTCCAGAAGAATGTGTATTAGAAAATCTTCGAGCTCACTTGTAATCATGGAAATGCAAATGAACACCCAGAGATATCATTTTTCACCCACTAGTAGAGATTTTTTTAAATGCCATTACCCAGTGTTGACAACAGTGTGGAGAAAATGCTCAGATGTTTTGCTGGAGGAGGTGTAAATTGATGCTGCTTTCTGGAACAGAGCGTGCATTATAAACCTTAACATTTTGTATATGAATGCGCTTGGTATTTGTTTTCCAGCTGAGAAAACAGAAAACCTGATTCCTAATGACTTGGTCAATAGGAAAACTTATCATCTGACAATACAAGCATGGCTGTAGAAAGCTTCAGGGCTCATGAATTTGAAAACTCAGCATTATCAAAGGCTTCTCTCTGCTCTGCCAGCCTTAGCTTTTTGGCTCACTCCCCTTGGTCACAAGACCACTGCTCTGGAAGCACATTTTCACACACAAACATCGGAAAGCAGAAAACAAGCAAACACAACCCTGCCTCTTCCTTGGATCTCTTTAAGACCTAGGAAATCTTCTCCAGGAGCCTCCTTGAAACCTGCTCCCTCTACCATTTCATTGGCCTGAACCAGCGGTTCTCAGTATGCGGTGCTTGGACCAGCAGCAGCAACATCACCTGAGAACTTGTTAGAAATACAAATTCTTCCAGCCTGGCCAAAATGGTGAAAACCCGTCTCTACTAAAAATACAAAAATTAGCTGGGCGTGGTGGCGGACGCCTGTAATCCCAGCTACTCAGGAGGCTGAGGCAGGAGAATCGCTTGAACCCAGGAGGCGGAGGTTGTAGTGAACCGAGATTGCACCATTGCACTCCAGCCTGGGGGACAGGGTGAGACTCCATCTCAAAAAGAAAAAAAAAAAGAAAAGAAATGCAAATTCTTGGCCCACCCTGGACCCACTGAGTCAGAACATGGGGCTGATTCTGATGCTCAAGTTTGAGAACCACTGACCTAAGCCAACTACATGACAAGGGTAATGGAATTGCCACAACTGGCTTTAGACTAATCATGATTTTTTCCATTGGGTTGGGATGGCATCCCTATCTCTGGGCACAAGGCTCTTGTCTCTCTATGCTCCATTCTACTTGCCTACTTGCATGATAGCCCTAACACATTGCCTTCTGCAGCAGTTAAAATTTTGTCATCTGTGGGGACAGAAATCTAATTCAAAATGTCTTTAACAATAAAAGGGATCTATTGACTCAATAACATGTATGGGAGTAAGATGTTTAAGGGTTTCTGCATATGTTTACCTCTCACTCTAAAGCATAGGTAAATTTCCTCTTCTTGTATATTTGCGTATGTGTGTGTAGTGTCTTCACAGGTAGTGAAGGGGTGAGACCCTATATTGGTTTTCATATATGTCCACATATTCTTTGATCCTCTTCTTTTCAGAATGTACAGCCTGATTCTCCTCTCTTTTAATGTGAGCTGTACTTAAGGACTCACTTCTAACAAATAGGAGGAGGAAGAAATAATGGGGTATGGCTTTTGAGACTCCATCATAAAAGATATAGTGACTTCCTCCTTGCTTCTCTCTCTAGGATCACTTGTTCTGGAGGAAGCCCTCTGCCATGTTGTGATTACTCAAGCAACCCTAGGGCGAGGTCTGTTTCCTGAGGAACTGAGGCCTCCTGCCCACAGCCATGTGAGTGCACCACCTTGGAAGCAGATTGTTCGGCCCCAGTCAAGCCTTCAGCTGGTTACAGCCTAGGACTCATGAGAGACCCTGAGCCAGAACCACCCACCTAAGCTGCTCAAGAATTCCTGACCTACAGAAACTAGGAACTAATGTTCGATTTTTTAAGGCAACAAGTTTTGGGATGGTTTGTAATGCAGTAATAGATATCTAATGGACATCCCTAGTAGAATTGTCTGCTTGGCTCCCAGGGATACACAAATTTCAGTCTTACTTTACAGCCTTCTCTTCTTCCCAAAACAGAAATGATTCCTCAATTGGGGTATATTCAGGGTAACTTAATCCACCTTTCTTTTTACTCTTAGGCCCTGTTACTGGTCCATTGGGTAGCAAACCACTTCCTTTCTTACCTTGATTATTTGTCTTTTTTTGTTGTTTGTTTGTTTGTTTTTGAGACAGAGTCTCGCTCTGTTGCTCAGGCTGGAGTTCAGTGGCACCATCTCGGCTCCCTGCAACCTCCGCCTTCTGGATTCAAGCGATTCTCATGCCTCACCCTCCTGAGTAGCTGGGACTGCAGGTGTCTGCCACCAAACTCTGCTAATTTTTATATTTTTAGTAGAGACGAGGTCTCACCATGTTTTCCAGGCTGATTATTTTTCTTTTAGTCACCCTGACATTTGTTCCTGTATCTAATTTCTGAAGCTCTTTGCTACTCTGTTATTCTGCATTCTAACAGGGATTTACGGGAAGAAATTCCACCTCATCCTACAGCAGTGACTCCAGTAGTGAACTTTCTGCCATGAATCAGGGTGAGGTAAAAGTTAGGAAGACTTTTGATTCTACAGTGAGATTGTTAGTAAATTTCAAATCCCATCTCAGAAGAAAGGTGGGGATACCTGTGGCGACATCAGCATTTTCTGGAAATTTAAAGCAAATACATCGTCTTTCCTGCAGGCAACTCCATTTCTCTGACTTAGCTGTGCTTCTGTGTTCTGCCTGGAGTAGAGGTGGCCAAAGACTCTGGGCCTATGTCACTAGAAAGTGCCCCTAGAAACTTCTAGGTGGATGTGTGCTCAGCAAGGTCATCCTCAGCAATAGGGAGAGGAAGCCAGCCCATCTGATGCTTACACACTGCACAGAAACCTGTAAACTCCGAGAACCATGTCTGGAGTGCCCAAGCTGAAACTTGGAACCTAAGTCAGTGTCTCCCAAAGGATAATGAGAGAACCACCTGGAGATGCTTGATAAAAATACAGCTTCCTCCACCCATCAATGCTCTACTGACAATCTTCAAGGTTAAACCTCTGCAAAGTTATGAAGACTCTGGGCAATTCTGATGTATCCTAACTTTTAAGAATTACAGGTACTTTTTAATTGAAGTCTGATTTACATGCAATAAAGTGTACAGATCTTCAGTCTTCTATTCAATAATTTTTGACGATATAATCATCAAAAACGATTTTGACGATATAATCATCAAAAACGATTTTGACGATAAATCAAAAACCGACCTGTGGAATCACCACCCAAGACAAGATATAGAACATTTCCATCACCCCAGAAAATTATCTCTTGCCTTTTTCAACTCCCAGCCCCAGAAGCCATGACTTCAGAGTTTTTACCATTATAGAGAAGTTTGCTCAGAACTGTTGCTTTTTGAAACATCAAAGCTAACAATGTAAAAAGAAGTCAGTTATTTGAGAACTCTAAGTAAGCCATTTCAGTTTGACAGGAGGAAACGATTTCAGTAGTCCATTTGAGGAGACTGTTCCATTTTTCTGGGAAAACCAGCCAAATGGGCTCTTTAGCGATACAAACACAGAGCCTTCTGAATTGGTGATGTGATTGGAGATGATTCTGAGGAGCTGGCACTGCCTTGAATGGGAGAATGTTAAAGCTTTCTGTGTCACAGGCAGGGCTGCAGATCTTAAGTGTTGTAAAAAGAAACATGTGTCAAGGCCAGCAGAGGAGGTGCCATGGCATTTGTCCCCACAGAGCCCTTTGGACAGGGTGCAGCCCAGGGTGATGGGGCGAGAGGCCAAAAGTAAATGGGATTGTTTCCATGAGAGACCTTGAACCCAGCACCCCAGAAAGGGTGACTTTTATGAATGGTGCTTTTCCCCCATCATGCTTTCTAACTAAGGTATGCACATACACATAGGGAAGTCTTTGATATTTCTATCTTCATTTTCTGCCTGGCCATCTCATTGAATGAATTGTCTTATTAGTTCCATTCCAATTAATTCACTGGGATTTTCTAGATACATATCTTCTGAAAATAAGGACATTTTTATTTTTTTCTTTTCAATTATTATAGGATTTTGTATTGCTTTGTTTTCAGTTTTCTGCCTTATCATTTTTGCCATTATGTAGTTAAAGTTCTCTAGAATGAAGATATTGGTGTTGAATTTTTGACCAGCCTAAAAAGGATAGAGTTGGGTCTAGAACAGCTATAAGTCGGTGTAAACAGCAAAGAGGCCACGTCAGTAGCTTAGATGTGCTGTAATAATGGCTGGTGGTCATTTTAAATCAACCCAAAGATCCCTTATAACTTATTATTTATTTTAAAAGAGGAGAAAAGAAGGAAATTCAGCATGTGTCTCAGTTCATGACAGATTTTTGACTAAAGATTCAAGGCACATTAGCAAATAGCTTTATTTTCTACTGTATATCCAGTGTGATCCTTAATCTACCAGCAAGCAAAACATGTTTAATGGTTCATACTTGATTTTGATTATTCTAATTTGCAAAGCAACCTTTCTTTCCCTTTGGGATATCACATGCATGGAAAGAGAGCGAATTGCTTAATTTAACCACCTCAAGTCAGTTCATGGCACACAAGCATCAGGAGTTCACAAACAGCCCCATTTTCATGTTTACCATTTTGAAATGTTATGTACTGCCCTCCCCTTCACTCAGTCCCTAATCCCATTATCATTCCACTGTATGTGCACACGCCAACGAATTTAACATGTAGCTGCCCTGTACGGCTTTATTTACATAGAGAGGCATCCCTAACAATACTTTATTCACGTGGGTTAGTTTTTCTTCACAAATAGGACTGTACTATTTGACTTTTGATTTTTTTTCATTCAGTATTACATACTTGAGATTTACCAGTGTTAGGATATATAGAGTATTGAAGTTAATAAGAACACCTGGTGACCTACCACCTGTCAGATTGCCAGTATCAGATAATCCCCAAGGTGTCCCACCTGTCCCCAACATCCTTCCCCATAATAGGTAACCAGTATCACAAACTCTTATTGTCTTACCTTTCCTTACTTTATTTATTCTTTGCCTTTATCATATATGTCATATACTCATAAATAACATATCATTTAGTTGTGCATGCTTTTAAACTTTACATAAATGGAATTATACATATTCTTCTACAACACAATGCATGTGAGATTCATTCCAGTAGATGCTTGTAGCTGTTGTGTATTCATTTTCATAACTATGAACCATTATTTGTCCATTCCCCATCCTCAGACATTTGGGTTATTTCCACGTTTTTGTTATATAAACAAAGCTGGCATGAATGTTCTTAAGCATATGTGCGGGAGCATCCTGATGTCACAAAGGGGAATTGCTGAGTCTCAAGCACACACATCTTCAACTTCACTAGAGGATGCCAAATTATTGTCCAAAGAGCTTGGAGCAATTTGCACTCCCACCAGCAGAGGGCAGGTTTTCCAGTAGCTTCAACCTTCTCCAAGACTTGGTATCATCAGACTTAAACTTGTGCCAGTGTTGTACCTGCAAAATGTGGCTTTAATTCGAACTTCCTTGACAACCAATGAACTTGCCCATGTTTTTGTACGTGTATTGAACATTTGGCAAAGTGACTATTCAAGGCTTTTGTCTTTTTTTTTCTGTTGAGGCTTTTTGTCCTTTGCTTAATTAGTGAATAAATGATTTTTTAACTGCTGTGTGACATTCTATTTTAGGCATTTACCACATTTATCAATTCTTATCATTGGCCATTTGGTTTATTTCCAGCCCTTTGTTATTACAAACAGTGCTGTGATAAATATCCTTGTACAAGTCTCTGTGCATATAAGAAATTTTCTTTGAAGTGAAACTGCTGGGTCTTAGAGGATGTGCATATTCAGTTTCCCCTGAAGGCTGACAAATTGCTCTCCAAAATAGCAGCACCAATTTACTATCCTAGAAATTGATGAAGTTTTCCATTCATTCTCCCACACATTTGCCAGCACTTGATAGCATCCACAAAGCAATGTTAGATATACACTGTCTCATTTAGTCTGTAAATAACCCTGGAAGGGAGAAAATTAAAAAGAATCAACATTTTTTTCTAGCACTCTACAATTTGCAAAGCACTTACATTTGCATGCTCTACTTCATTTTGTGCTCAAATCCTGCCACTCACTCTCTTGCAAGTTACATTCAATCAAAACCCAATGCTCATTACCCTTGATCACTATACATTGTGTATATGAAAACATCACTATGTACCCCATAAATATGCACACTTATGCGTCAATTTGAAATGTTAACAAAAAAATGAAACAAAATAGCCAGGGGTGGTAGTATGCACTTGTAGTGCCAGCTACTGCAGAGGCTGAGGCAGGAGGATTGCTTGAGCTGAGGAGTTCAAGTCCTGCCTGGGCAACAAAGAACTGGATGAGGCCAGAGATTATTCTCTGCTGTTAGGGTCCTCAAGAGGGAGGACCTGGCTCTGTCATCCCCTCCCAGGAGATTCTGCCTCCTCCCAAACCTCAGAAAGTAGGGAATTCCTCAAACATAGAAAAGAGTTTAGCCAAAGATGATGATAAGTTGTCTAGCACATAGGTTGTAAATAGCAGGTCACTTAAGGTAAAGTGCTTCTGTCTTTTCCCTTAGATACAACTTTTCCCCTTCTTATTTTCCTCAGCCAATGTCTGGTGCGGGGTTTGGGATAAAGCTTGAGCCACAATATTATAATCACTCAACCATTCCTATCAACGGAGACTCCCTTCCTAAACTGCTTATTTTCCCAGAGCTTTGTGACAGTGTTCCTTATGTTGGCAATGTGTCATCTTAATGATCTCATTCTAACAGTAATGAGTTATGACTTGATTCCCCGGCAAGGCAGATGGCATCACTTTTCAATCCCAAGTGAATCAGTGGTGTTGTAATGAATACCAACTTCATCAATAACATTAGAAAATAAAAAATGGTATTCTCTAGTCACTGTCATCTCTTCCCATAATCTTTACATTTTCATCATTTTGACTCACATTTTCTAGATTTCACTTCCTTTTCACTTATACGATGTCCATGCATGTCTGCCTCAATTATAACTTCCAGATTCCTACATTACTAACAATTGTTGAGGCCTATGTTGGGCCTTACTCACATAACAAACCTATCATTTATAACTGAGGCTATCTGGGCTCAGAAACATAAAGCAATTTGGTCAAGGTCACATGGATGGAGCCAGTATTTTAACCCTGGGCTTCGAACTTAAAATTCAGTGCTTTTTCTTTTCTTTTCTTTTCTTTTCTTTTTTTTTTCTTCCGAGACAGAGTCTCACTCTGTCACTAGGCTTGAGTGCAGTAGTATGATCTCTGCTCACTGCAACCTCCGCCTCATGGGTTCAAGCAATTCTTCTGCCTCAGCCTCCCGAGTAGCTGGGATTACAGGTGCACACCACCACATCCAGCTATTTTTTGTATTTTTAGTAGAGACAGGATTTCACTGTGTTGGCCAGGCTGGTCTCGAACTCCTGACCTCGTGATTCACCTGCCTTGGCCTCCCGAAGTGCTGGGACTACAGGCATGAGCCACCATGCCCGGCCATCTAGTGCTTTTTCTACTATGCTACACCATGTCTTTGCTGTAGCATTTTGCTATTGTTGTTTTTTAAATTTCAGATACAGAATTTTTGATTCTTTATTCAACCTTCTTTATAAGCTCATTGAAACTAGGAGAGTATTACTTCAAATATTTGAATTCCCACAAGTGAAAGATCAAGCCAGTATTTCATGGGTCATCTTATTACAGTTCTCTGAGATGCAGAATGGAAGCTGTCAAACTTGGCCAGCTTTCATTCTCTGAAAGACATCATGGTTAAGGGTGGAGAGATCTCCACCAACCAGCTACCTCCAATGACATTTTCATTACCTTTCCTTGTGAGATAGAATCAATATCAATAAATCTGAGTCTCTGAATTTCTAGCTACACAGCTTTATAGATTTACACTTTTGAACATCTTAGGAATCTGTTAGGAATGGGTGAGAATACCCCCACAGTTTCAGATTTCAAATTTCAATCTTCTGAGAGGAATTTGGTTTTCAGAGCACTACTGCAAACCAAAATAATTGTGAGTCAGATTTTGCCATGCCTACAAAACTTCAGACTATTTTATAAGAACATGATATATTATTTACAAGAATAAACAGTCTGGGAACAGGCATACCTCGATGGCATAAAATTATTATAATAAGTGTGTTATAATAAGTGTTAAATTAACTCTTCCAGGCCCCAGTGACTTTATAATTGCCGTTCCCTCTACCTGAAAAGCCGCCCAATTCTTCTCCTTCCTCACCCTCCATCTGGAAAACTCCCAGCCCAGAAGTAGTCTCCTCATGGTTGAAACCTTTCAGACATTTACACTACCCCCTTAGGATAGTCACTTTCTGCTTTCTGCTCTGTGCACTGATACATTCATTCATTCAGGCATTTATTCACGCAGGCATTCATTCACCAAGCAAATATTCACTGAGGGCCTTCCCTATACCAGGTAACACTCTAGGTCCTAGATATATTCATAAACTGACAGGTAAAAATCCCTGCCATGTGGAGGTTACATTTCAACTGGAGAGAACAGCCAACAAACAACACATAAGTGAAATATACTACAGGTATACCTCAGAGATATTTTGGGTTCAGTTCAGACTACTGCAATAAAGCAAATGTTGCTATAAAGTAAGTCATAATTTTTTTGGTTTCCCAATGCATATACAAATTATGTTTATACCAGCCGGATGCGGTGGCTCATGCCTGTAATCCCAGCACTCTGGGAGGCCGAGGCGGGCGAATCACGAGGTCAGGAGATCGAGACCATCCTGGCTAACACGGTGAAACCCCATCTCTACTAAAAATACAAAAAATTAGCCAGGTGTGGTGGTGGGCACCTGTAGCCCCAGCTACTTGGGAGGCTGAGGCAGGTGAATGGTGTGAACCTGGGAAGTGGAACTTGCAGTGAGCTGAGATCATGCCACTGCACTCCAGCCTGGGCGACAGAGTGAGACTCCATCTCAAAATAAAAAAAAAGAAAGAAAGAAATTATGTTTATATCATACTGTAGTCTATTAAGTACGCAATAGAATTATGTCTAAAAAAATGCACACACCTTAATTAAAATACTTTATTACCAAAAGGTGCTAACAATGATCTGATCCTTCAGCAAGTTATAATCTTTTTGCTGGTGGAGGGTCTTGCCTAAATGTTGATGGCTGCTGACTGATCAGGATAGTGGTTGCTTAAGTTTGGGGTGGCTGTGGCAATTTCTTAAAATAAGACAACAATGAAGTCTACCACATTGGTTAAATCTTCCTTTTATGAAAGATATTTCTGTAACATGTGATACTGTTTGATCACATTTGACCCACAGTATAACTTTTTTCAAAATTAGAAGTCAATCCTTTCAAAACCTGCTGCTTTGGCAATTAAGTTGGTGGATTATTCTAAATCCCTTTGTTGTAATTTCAAAAATGTTCACAGTATCTTCACCAGGAGTAGATTCCATCTCAAGAAACTACTTTTCCTTCCTCGACCATAAAAAGCAACTCCTCATTCATTCAAGTTTTATTATGAGATTGCGGCAATTCAGTCGCATATTTAGGCTCCACATCTAATTCTAGTTCTCTTGCTATTTCCACTACATCTACAATGACTTCATCCACTGAGGCCTTGGACCCCTCCAAGTCATCCATGAGGGTTGGAATCAACTTCTTCCAAACTCTTGGTAATGTTGATATTTTGACCTCCTCCCATGAATCACAAATGTTGTTCATGGTATCTAGAATAGTGATCCCTTCCAAAAGGTTTTCAACTGACCTTCCAGATCCATCAGGGGAATCACTATCTATGGCATCTATAGCCTTAAAAATGTATTTTGCAAATAATAAGACTTGAAAGTCAAAATGAATCTTTGATCCATGGGCTGCATAGTGGATGCTGTAATTGCAGGCATGAAAACAACATTTATCTCCTTGTCTATGTCCATCAGAGCTCTTGCGTGACTGGGTACATTGTCAATGAGCAGTAATTTTTTAAAGGAATCTTTTTTCTGAGCAAAAGGTCTCAACAGTAGGCTTAAGATTTTCAGTAAATCCTGCTGTAAACAGGTATGCTGTCATCCAGGCTTTCTTTTTCCATTTATAGAACATGGACAGAGTAGATTTAGCATCATTCATAAAGGCCCTAGGATTTTCAAAATGGAAAACGAGCATTGGCTTCAACTTAAACTCACCCGATGTATTAGCCTCTAATAAGAGAGCTAGCCTGTCCTTTTTCGCTTTGAAGCCAGGCATTGACTTCTGCTCTCTAGCTATGACAGTTCTAGATGGCATCTCCTTTCAACAGAAGGGTATTTTGTCTACCTCAAAAATCTGTTGGATGTAGCCACCTCCATCAGTAATCTTAGCTAAATCTTCTGGATAACTTGCTGCAGCTTCTACATCAGCACTTGCTTCCTCAACTTGCTCTCTTGTGTTATAGAGAAAGCTTCTTTCCCAAAACTTCATGAACCAGCCTCTGCTAGCTTCCAAGTTTTCTTCTGCAGCTTCTTTACCTCTGTTAGCTTTCATAGAATTGAAGAGAGTTAGGGCCTTGCTCTAGATTAGACTTTGGCTTAAAAGAATGTTGTGGCTGGTTTGATCTTCTCTCCAAACCACTCAAACTTTCTCCATATCAGCAATAAGGCTGTTTTGCTTTCTCATCATTTATGTGTTCGCTGGAGGAGCACTTTTTACATTTCCTTCAAGAATTTTTCCTTTGCATTTACAACATGGCTAACTGGTACAAGAGGCCTAGTTTGTGACCTACATCAGCTTTCAACATGCCTTCCTCGCTAAGCTTAATAATTTCTAGCTTTTGATTTAAAGTGAGAGAGGTGGGACTCTTCCTTTCACTTGAACACTCAGAGGACATTGTAGGGTTATTAATCGGCCTCATTTCAACACTGTTGTGTTTCAGGGAATAGGGAGAAGAAGAGAGGTGGAGGAACAGCTGGTCTATGGAACAGTTAGAACTCACACATCATGTATCAATTAAGTTTGTCATCTATGAACACGGTTTGTTTTCAACTGCAATAGTAACAAACATCACCAATGGCAGATCACTGTAACAAATCTAATAATTGAAAGAAATAATAATAATGAAGTTTGAAATATGGTCAGAATTACCAAAATGTGACACAGAGACACAAAGCAAACATATTATTGGAAAAAATGCCACCGATAGACTTGCTTAAGGCAGGGTTGCCACAAACATTCCATTTGTAAAAATTCCAATATCTGTGAAGCTCAAAAAGCAAAGTACAGTAAAATAATGTATGTCAGTCTACTGGACAATGAGAAACTCCATGGGAAAAAACAAAGCAGAAAAAAGATGTACACGAGTACAAGGGTGGGAAGGCAGCTTCCCATTTAAAATAGGGGGTCAGTTACCAAAGGCTGGGAAGAAAGGAGGAAAGGGAGAATGAGGGGGAAAAGGGAGAATATAAATGTATTTACTGCCACTGAACTGTACACTTAAAAATGGTACAGATGGTAAATTACATATATATATATATATATATATATATATATATATATATATATATATCCTACTTCAATAAAAAATAAGTTTAAAAAGTAAAATAGGTGGTCAGGTAGACCTCACAGAGTAGGTGACATCTGTACACAAAGTTGAAAGAGGGAGTTACCCATTTGTAGAGGACAAATATTCCTGGCTGAGGAACAGATACAGGTTGAGCCTCCCAAATCTGAAAACCCCAAATCTGAGGTGCCCCCAGATCCAAAGCTTTTTGAGTAACAACATGATGCTCAAAGGAAATTCTCATTAGGCTATTTTGGATTTGGGGTTTGGGATGCTCAACTGGTAAGTATAATGCAAATATTCCCCCCAAAAAATCCCAAATCCCAAACACCTCTGGTCCCAAGCATTTCAGATAGGCTTAAGACAGGAGACAGGTTTGGCTGGAGCAGAGTGGGTGAGCAGGACATGGCATTTGGAAGAGACTTCAGGGAGCAGGCATGTGGAGCCTGGTTGGACATTCTAAAGTGAATTGAGAGACAACAGTGGATTTTGAGCAGAGGTGGTCAGATTCACCACCTTGGTTAGAAGCCAACAGGACGGATTATGAAATATGAGAGAAAGAGAGGAGTAAAGGGTGACTCCACTAAGACAGCCCTTATGGCACTGGGTCATAAATGTCTGTGTGTCTTTCTCCCTTATTGGACTGAGTCCCAGTGAAGGCAGATGCTGTGTTCAAATGTTTAATGTCTAGGCCGGGGCAGAACACACAGGCAAGAAATGTGTTGGGTCTGATGGTCCAAATGAGCATCTCTGCCATAAGACTAACCAATGAATAGCAAAGCTGAGACGTGCCTTTAGAAACTGCTTGGGAAAGCAAGTCACAGGTAGGGACTACCTGTAGCCCAGCCCTGCTAGCCTCTCCTCACCCAGATGGGTGTTCACTCGACATGGCAAACACTGTGTTCCTTCATGCAATGGATGTCAGAAGTACTGGCTACTAATAACCTCTTTATTGAAGGATGTGGGGACAGATGGGGCTCCTTAGATCTGTTGATATACAGGGGGACAGATTTGTCTTTTTCAGAGTGTTATAACCAGGATTCTTTAGAGCCAAGGGATTTCCCAATGCCTAGTTTCAATCTAGCAGGCTGGCTGCTTAGGGCCTTATGAGAACTTGAGATGGCTTTAATCCTGGGTGGGGGCAGCACTAAGAAGCCCACTGGACTGTCAGGAGATGCCCCTTTCTAGCAGGTTCCATGCTCCTGAAAGCAGAGGTGTCAGAAGAATTATAGCTCCTTCCAGATACTGAGCATTTCCTCTGATCCTGCCTGCTCTGTCAGTTCTGCTCATGATCTCTTTACTGCCTATGAGGGCAAAGCAAATAAGCCACTGGGAATGGCATCAATACGAGTTTCTTTAAAGCCTATTTTTCAGAGACCAGACCTAGAGCCGGTAAAGCCTGGAGTGAATATGGGCACAGGCTCTAGATGACCATAAAGCACAGGACTGGGTTACCCAATAGCAAAGTAAATACATACCCAGGGCACCGACAAAGAAGGGAGAGAAAGAAGAAACTCAAAAACCCAGTGAGAGGCCACTTAATTTCAGCATGTATGTAAGTTTTGTGTCACTGCGAAAACAAATCGCTGTAATGGTTTAAGTCAGTCTCATGCTGAATTCCACGTGCTGGGTGGTGTGGTAAGCTTGTTGCTGTGAGAGGTCTCTAACCCAGCCCCATCCACAAACCTGGAGGCTTCTTAAAGCTGCATTATGGACATAAGAAACAAAACCCATTCATCTGATCTAAAAGTCAAGCTCTTCTATGTAATAAACTCTATAATGTTTCCAAAGACCAGGGAGTGTTTGGGGTTTATCAACCCCTAACTGGATTTGTGGTCAGTTACAAAAGCAGTTTTGCCGGACTCTCAGCAGCATCTCCATAGACCAGCTGCCATCACAGGTGCCAAGCTGTGTGTGACGCAAGCCTCCTCCCCCATAAGGCACCCACAGGGTCTGTCTACAGTGGACAGAACAACCACTGGCCCTGGAGGGGAAGGTATTTTCACCCTCATGTGAACAACAACCAAGTATTATTTCTATCTTTCCTGTGCTCCTTGGCACTTGTGATATAATGTCTATTTATGCTCTTTGAAATAGGGATGGAAAATATGTAGCATTGCGCCCTCTTCCTGCCCAACTCGTCCATGATAGATGTTTTCTTTGATCACAGTGTTTTTTTTCCACTGACCTAGATGAAGTCTCAGAATTTTCTCCACACAGCACTCCAGGCAGCCATGACCAACCAGCCAACCAAACACCAGTGGCGTATGATAAGAAGCCTGCCTTTCATCCTGATATATGCTGGATGGTCAGCTTTTTGAAGGGCAAGAAACACATCTTCTGCATTTTTGTATCAAAGGTAGTACCGGCTCCCATCTTGGACATAAACAGCAATCTAGGCTCATTTTCTATTCCAGAAACTTAACACAGAACCAAGTCAGTGTGGTCTACTACCGCCGGAAGCTTAGATTCACTCAACAAACACTTATGAAGCCATCTTTGATGAAACAATGGTGTGATTATAGCATTGATCACAAAGAAATTATGTGTGGGCCACTCCAAAAGGCCAAAGAGATGGCTCCAGAAATTAGATTAAATGCAAGCTGCTATTTTAAACAAATAGCAATTAATGTCACCAATTAATAGCAACGAATGTCACCAGTTCTTTGAAGAATGGCCTCCCAGAAGCACTACTGTCATCTTCTCGAACATCCTGGCATTCTGTGATAAAATGGCTTTGAGATGGCATACATCATTACTGAGACATTCTTTTCACATTTATTTTCCTCATTACCATTGTTAAGAAACTGAATGGAAAAGGCTTCTATGACTGAGATAATGACTTCTGAGTCCTTTACACCAGTGGTTAAAAGCTACCCAAACTGGCAATCCGATTTGTTTTCATTTCTTCTTTAACCAACCCAAAGAAGAGTCAGGTTGGAGTTTTTGAAAGTACCTTAAAACTTATGTGAGCCTCATTAATAACAGGGCTGAGCAGCATGTCTGGGTTGGCGTCTGTTACTCCCATCAGGGCAAAAGCTGTAGCTCTCCTAACACCCAATTACCCTGGCTAATGAGGCTCATTAATCATTCCTTGTAGCTTTGGAGAATCCCAGGGGAGGGTCTGTTGACCTTTGGAGCAGACAGCACAGTCGTGGTCATATTTTATGTGTCAAACCTCTAACAAAGTTAAGTGCAGTTAGTTAAGTGCAGTCACGTTTACTAACAGTATGCTAATGGTTTTATTGCCCCTTCCCATTTTTTAAGTCAGGCAATGGCTGCTTGGGACAAATAGCCTGAACTGTGCTTTGGATCCTTCTAGATAAGCTCAGGTGTTTATACTTCTTTAGCATGGATGTGAAGATCAAGTGAGTTAACATACATGAGAATGCTCTGCATGGCAAATGGTGCATAGCAAATTGTGATCAAACAGTGACCAAGAAGTGGTCCCTTCATGCAGAAGGTCCCATGATGTTCCAGCCACCACCTGGGCCGACTCCAGCTCACATTGGCTGCTCAGAGATACTGGGGATCCCAGTCTCTTCTTATCTGAATGAGACCTTCTGGGATTTCCATCAGCTAATCTCTGGCAAATCTGTGGCTTGGTCAGATTAAGGGAATAAGTTTAAGGATTAAATAAATATCCATACATCTGTGATGTTGGGCATATTATTTCACCTCTCCAAGTGTTGGTGTCCTCATCTATAAAATGAAGATAACTAAATACTGGCAGACTCACAACATGCTGGTGGGATGCATGTAGTGACTTCAGCAAGGTGTCTTGAATGAAATAAGATCTCCATAAATGGTGCCCCTTATTATGTTGAATATTGTTCCTAATCAACTTGGACACACTTAAAGACAAATGAAATCTGCTTGGCCCATTAATAAACACATTCTTTTTGTCCCCTTGAGATAAGGTAAGTTCTTTGCTTGAGTGGATGGAACTGAGTAGATGGGGACAAAGCGACTCATCTCTTTCTTCAGGTAGGGAGAGGATTAGCTGAGACACAGAGAGCAGCAACTCCTCATAGCATGTGTTTTGGGGATTTTGAGGGTTTTATTTTTTCTTTTTGCAGATGAGAATCTCTCCGGAACTTAAGAAACAGACAAACAACAAACAAACAAACAAACAAACAAACAAACAAACAAACACAAACTCATGCTGTCCCTGCACAAGAAACAGAAGAGAATTTCTTTCTTTTCTAAAACAAAAAAGGAGGGGATAAGTATTCTGATCAATATTACCCAGGCAATAAATGACCATGCCAGATTGTCTGAGATTCTCGTTCAGAATGTTCACTCCTCTACACCAGATGCTTCTCACTGTGAGGCTTTGAGGTAGTTCAGAGAAATCTCAAAAGAGGACAGTTTCAGGAAGTGCCAACAACTGCAAAGCTAAGGGCTCTTCAAAACGGGTGTCAAAGTTAGTAACAATGGCCAACCTTACTGAGCACTCACTGTGTGCCAAGTCCTTTACCATGGCTCATCTCACAAAATTTCAACAATTCACAAAGTTGATGGCAGCAATATCCTCACTTGATCTGTGATGAAACTGAGCCCGAGGAAGGTAAAGCATATTTAGACATGTAAGTTTTTTTTTAATCTTCTACAAACTATTCCAGAGAGTAGAAAAGAAGGAAGGCCTCATTTTATGAGACTTTTGAATCAAAACCAGGCAATAAAATAAACCGTAATTTAATCTCATTTATGAACACAGATGTAAAAATGTTAAATATTAATATAAAGAAATTGAATTTGGCTCACGCCTGTAATCTCAGCAGTTTGGGAAGCTGAGGAGGGTGGATCACTTGAGGTCAGGAGTTCAAGACCAGCCTGGCCAACATGGTGAAACCCCATCTCTACTAAAAATACAAAAAAAAGTTAGCTGGGCACAGTAGTGTGCACCTGTAATCCCAGCTACTTGGGAGGCTGAGGCAGGATAGTCGCTTGAATCTGGGAGGCAGAGGTTGCAGTAAGCAGAGATCACACCACTACACTCCAGCCTGGGCAACAAAGCTAGACTCTGTCAAAAAAAAAAATTGAGGGAAAGAAAGAAAAGAAAAGAAAAGAAGGAAGGAAGAGAGAGAGAGAGAAAGAAAGGAAGGAAAGGAAGAAAGAAAGAAACTGAATTTGGCTCTATCTCATACACACACACACACACACACACACTTAATTAAAATATTAGGGCCTTCAGGTTGCACTGAGATGGGTTAAAAAAAACATTAGGGCCAACTAGAATTTATCCTAGGAGTGCAAAAATGGGTCAACATTAGAATATCTTTAAATATAATCTACTACAATAACAGATGAAAGGAGAAAATGATAGTCTCATCTCAATTATACTGGGCTGCATGTTGGCCCCCCAAAAAATATACATCCTCATCTTAATCCCTGAAACTGTGAATGTTAACGTATTTGGAGAAAGTATCGTTGTGTATATAATTAAGGATCTTGAGATGAGGAAATCATCCTGGATTATCTAGATAGGCCTGAATTTCAGTGACAGGTGTCCTTATAAGAGGCACACATGGAAGACAGAGGAGAAGGTGTTGTGAAGACAGATTCCGTGACTCGAGGGACACAGCTACAGGCCAGGGAGCACAAAGCATTGCCTGCAGCCCCCAGAACCTAGAAGAGAAGCATGGAATGGGTTCTTGCTCAGAGCCTCCACAAGGAACCAGTCCTGCTGACACCTGGATTTTAGACCTTGGTCTCCAGGAATGTGAGAGAATAAATTTCTGTTATTTTAAGTTATCCAGTTTGTGGCAATTTGTTCCAGTGGCCGCAAGAGACTAATCCACCAATGAATAAAGAAAAACCATTCAAGAAAATTCAGCCTTCATTCATAGAAAATAACTCAGTAACCCAGGAATGGAAAAGAAATGCAATTTAGAGACGAGGAGAAGATATCTGCAATACATACATCCAACAAGGGATTTAATATTTAAAATGTGGAAAGAATTGCAAATCAAGAAAAAAAGTAGGAAAAACTTTCAAGGAAAAATGTGCATTATAAATGAACAGGCAAGTCAGAGAAGAGGAAACCCACTTGGTCACACTCATAATCAAGGAAATGCAAATTAAAATACAAATGAGGTTCTAGTTCACACTCATCAAGTTGACTAAAAGTTTATGATGAAAATATCAAGTTGTCAAACGTGCAGAAAAATGAACTCAGCAGGCCTGATTGCTCAAATCTTGTGCATCCTCAGCGGGGCCTGCTGTGTGACAGCCCTTGGCTGGCTCCTGGTAACTGAGCTATTTCCTATGCTACTAACAGGGCATTTTAAACACTTGGAGCCTTTAACCATGTAGTACCAGCTTGTCTAGACAATTTGTGCAAATTCTGTGGTTTGTGGCGGACATTTGCTTTCCTTCTGCAGGTCTGGAGTTTCAATAACTATAGCTAGTCACAAAGGCTGTAGGACCAGACTCCATTTAAAACTCTAGACCTTTAGGCTTAAACAAGCTTCTCTGGGCAGAAAACTCACAGCACGGCTGGGCACAGCGGCTCACTCCTGTAATCCCAGCACTTTGGGAGGCCGAGGCAGGCGAATCACAAGATCAAGAGATCGACACCATCCTGGCCAACGTGGTGAAACCTCGTCTCTACTAAAAATACAAAAATTACCCAGGCACAGTGTTGGGTGCCTGTAATCTCAGCTACTCGAGAGGCTGAGGCAGGAGAATCACTTGAACCCAGGAGGTGGAGGTTGCAGTGAGCCGAGATCACGCCACTGCACTCCATGAGCTACAAGAGCAAAACTCTGTCTCAAAAAAAAAAAGAAAGAAAGAAAGAAAGAAAGAAAGAAAGAAAGAAAGAAAGAAAAGAAAAGAAAAGAAAAGAAAAGAAAAGAAAAGAAAAGAAAACTCATAGCTCTTGTTGCAGTGAGTTGCTGGAGGAATAAGCATGTTCTGTACCACTCCATTGTGAAGGGATTCTGGAAACTGGTCTCCCAAGTCTTGGCCTGTCTTGCCTTTTTCCTTTATCGATTTTGCTTTGTATCTTTTTGTTGGAATAAATCCTAGCCATGGGTAATAACTCTTACAGAGTCTTGTGAGTCCTTCTAGGAAATTGCTGAACTGAGGAGTAATCTTGGGGACCACCAAAACAGTAAGAATGCAGAGAAACAAGACTGTCACACACAGCTGGTATGCCAGTCATTTCGGAGGGCAATGTGACAAGATTTGGGGAAGTTCAAGATGCACGTGCACTAAATCCCAACACTTCCTTTTCTACTTTTCTAATCTAGAAAAACTCTCCCTCAAGCCTATGCACAAAAATGCTTGCTACATCATTGTTTCTCACTGAGCGTAATTTTAAAATCTATGGATAGAATTATAGAAAAATAAGCTGTCACATGTTTGTCTAATAGAAAATGGCAAAGCATTTCAAATGACTAAGAGCAATGCTGACATGGTTAATCCTCAAAAATGGTATGTAAAAGAAGGAAGCTGCAAAATATGCACAGTAGGATACCATTTATGCAAAGTTTAAAAACATGTAGAACTCATTCTTTAAGACATAAGAGTACAACACACCAACTTTATGGTGGAAGCTACTCCACAGAAAGAAGGAGAGGAAGGGGCTGGGGAAAGGGGAGGCATGCAAGAGGGGGGTTTACACAGATCTGCAGTGTTTTCTCTCTTACCTCCCAAAAAAGAGCCATAGCAAATATGAAAAAAAGTTAACACTTATTAAAGCTAGAAGGTAAGTTCGTTATGTTATTTTGCATATTTGAAGCATTCCACAGTTTTTTTAAAAAACATAAAAATGAAGAGTCAAGTAATTGACTTAAGGCCACAAGTTAATATCAAACTGAGATTTGAGCTCCGGCTCCCAAGCCTGGCTACAAACTGCACCAAGTGTCCCCTCATTTCTGCAGCCTGTTCATTAAAACCCAGGCGTATTACCCTAATCACATTTATACTATGCTCAAGCAGGCTTCTGAATTACATTTCAGCAAAATGCTGATTTTACTTTAAAACTTTGGTTGCTATTTACAACAACTACATTCTGAGTTCTCACAAACTCTTCATATGACAGGTCCCACATTAATGACAAAGGTCGTATAGATAGACTTCAGGAGGCAGTTAAAAATTCTAGAGAAGGCAAAGCTACTAAATCTCAAGTTATTGGACAACTTGTTCATTCAAAATATTGAATAAAATAAAATTAAAATCAATAGGAATGTCTGAAGACATACAACTTGGTCAGCTGAACATAAATTACAAGTTCCTAATTGAATAATGTGTATGAGCTGATGGGTTCATCTCATCTTTTGAAAAACATTAATGGCTTTCAGTTTGTCATCATATGACTGAAACCAATACCTTTGGTATTAAAAGATGAAAAGCCTGAGAGTAAGGATAAAAATCAAACACTTAAGTTCTCAAAAAGAAGTAAGCAGGAGATGTGAGTCATACATGCTGTGCTGTCTTATAATTTTAACTAAAATCGTGGGAGCTGGCTAGTTTTAATTAATATTTTAGAGTTTTCCTTAATTAAAACTTGCCAGAAAATACAAAGAGTTGTTTTTACATTCTTGTTAACATACTTGCTATTCAATTTCACAAATGTTTCATCACAACTACTTCTAAGGGAGGCATTGTTCTAGGCTCTGTAGAAGTAAGAAATCCCTTTAGTATGATAACAATAATCAAAACCACTACTACTATCACTACTCTAATGGATGCCTTTCATGTGCCAGCAACTCTGCTAGAAGATTTGCATCATTTGGAGGAAAATGAAATATGTGTGTGTGGAAGCAGAGACTGAAGAACATAAGGAATTAAGAATCTTACTAAGACCAAAGAGCAGAAATGGAGAAATGTGTTCACAGAAGAGAATTGGAACATTTGAGATATTAAAAGCAGAGATGGTCTTAATGATTATAAGTTTGCTAGAGTATATGAATTGTCTTTTACTGCTGTGACAAACGTAGTGGCTTAAGCAACACAAATTTATCATCTTACAGGTCTGCAGATCAGAAGCCCAACACAGGTCCTACAGGGCTAAAATCAAGGAATGCAAGGCTGTGTTCCTTCTGGAGCCTCTTGGGGAGAATCTGTTTCTTTGCCTTTTCCAGCTCCTGGAGCCCCTCCACCTTCCTCATGGCCCCTTCTTCCATCCTCATAGTCAGCAACAGTGGGTCAAATCCTCCTCACATCCCATCACTCTGAACTTCTCTGCTGTCTCCCTCTGCCACTTCTAAAGATGCTTGTGATTATATTGGGTACACCCAGATAATCCAGGATGATTTCCCTATTTTAAAATCCACTAATTAGCAATCTTGATTCCATCTGCTACTTTAATTTCCATTTGTTATGTCATGTGATATGTTTATAGGTTTCAGGGATTAGGACATGGATATCTTGGGTGGAGGCATTATTTTTAATATTTTACAGAAGTTACTAGAAAATCCCAATCCAAACTAGCTGAAGCAAACAAGGCTTTTTATTGGAAAGATGTCATAATAACACAACACCTTAAAGGCAGCCCAGTCTCTGGAACAGAGTCAATCCAGAAATCCCTCTTTCCCATCATATGACTGAAACCAATACCTCTGGTATTAAAAGATGAAAAGTCTGAGAAGAATAAAAATCAAACACTTAAGTTCTCAAAAAGCAGTAAGCAGATTTGAGTCATACATGCTGTGCTGTCTTATAATTTTAACTAAAATTGGTGGGAGGTGGCTAGTTTTAATTAATATTTTAGAGTTTTCCTTAATTAAAACTTGCCAGAAAATACAAGAAGTTGTTTTTACCTTCTTGTTAACATACTTGCTATTCAATTTCACAAATGAGTCTCTCATGTCTACTTGGCTACACATCAGCAGGCGATAACTTCTACTGAAGACTGGCTTCTTTCACTCTCAGTCCACACATCAGAAGAATATGACCACCAGACATTCTTTGAATTTTACATCTTACATTCCAGGCACCAAGAAAAGAAGCTTGCTTTCCCTCCACTCTCTTCCAGTTCCAATATACCAAAGAAGACATTACTTGGCCCATCTTGAGCCAAGGTCCTACATCGTCTTGGATGGAGGTTCAAAAGGGGGCCACCTGGAGCCATGGAAACAGGGTAGGGGTGAGATAAACAGTTTCCCAAAGAAAAAGATGAAGGAGTGGTAATGAGTAAACAAACCAATAGAGATCTATGATAGTGACTACATGGAGTAGACATCTTCCTGGTGATTGAGGACCACAGATCAGAGGAAGATAGAGGAATACATGGATTTCAACATAATGGGGTGTGAGTGATCATCATGGCTTGCACAAAATGCTGTGGGGACTCAGGGTTTCCTTCCAGCAGCAGAGCTCAGTGAGGCTAAAATGCAAGGTGAGGCAAAGGAAGGAGCCTGAGATGAAGCTGGACAGAAAGAGTGAGAAAGAGATTGCGGCCAAGTCTTCCATAACAAGCTAAGGTGTTTCTTTTAAAACAAGTGCCTGGCAATAGATGTACCTTGTGTTGTGTTTTAGAAAGATCATCCCAGGGATTAAAGGGGGGGTTGACAGCTGCTAAGCAGGGCAAGACTCTGTCCAATGGCACAAGTTAAGAAGCTGCTACCAGAGTCAAAAGAGTAGCCCAGAATTAGGCCAAAGCATCTGGATGGAGATGGGAAAGGATTGAGGCACATTCAGAATGGAATTTCAGAAGACAGAGGAGAGCAGAGTTGGTTAAGGAGAAGGGGAAAATAAGCCTAAGTGGTCCCAGGTGGTGACTTCAGCAGGATTTGGAAGCCTGGCTCAAGAGCAAGGACATCCCGCTAATTGGGAAGGAATTAAATCTAAACTGATTTTTGTGACTTTCACTCCTTTCCATGAGTGTGTTTGTAAATGTTTAACTACTGGCTAGCGGGAGGGACCAGGGTTGGAGGAAACTTCATCTGTAGAATTTACCACTTTCTATGGTATGAACACTCCTACTGTGGCCAATTTCAAACTACTAATGCAAAGTCACTAAACCCAGACTTGGGAAGCCAGCCAGCAGAAGCCAGCTCCAGCACTAAACTTACAGATTAAGTGTATGCTAAACTTACAGATTAACAGCATCTCAAAGCAGAACAATTTTTCTTTGTACAGATCTAAACGGAGTTTCTTTTGTCTTCCTTTTTCTACATAGACACAGTAACAGTCTGATCTCTCTTCCTTTCCCCCAAAAAGACATCAAAAAATTTTTTGTCACAAAGTAACTCCCTTCCTGCTCAAGCCTCGTATAAAAGTTTCCTGACTATTTGCCTTTTGGAGCAAATCAAAAACAAAAAAACCACCAATAACAACAACAAAAAACATCAAGATTCTACCTGCTCTGTCTTGGCAGCTGTCCTTGAAACTGATTTTTCTTTTCCTGCAGTTTCCTCGATATGAGCTGGACTCTGGTTTTGTGGATACAGTGAGAGTTTGAGAAAGTGCCTTCAACGGAACACCCGGAAATTCCTAGTCCATCCTGGACACACAGCTGCTGAGGTAACCACCAAACCCCAGCTCTCTTCTGTTCTCCAGTGTATGATCCTGGCTACCAAAGAGCTCCTGGCTTTTCATTCTTCATGATGATGATCCTTTGCAATTGTCGTGTCCCAGTCCACGGAGGACCAGGTCTGTAGAGCCAGGCTTCTCTGGTGGACTTTATGGGGCCCGTTGCCTACGGACCTCTCCTGTCCAATCTCCTCCTGTCCTCCTCAGCACCTGAGCATCTGACCACCACACAAAGGTGACAAGAGGACACAGTAGGATTTGCAAATGCTTGGCTGAATATTGACAAGAGCAGCTAGTCAATGAGTGGATAGTGACTACAGCAGATACAATGGGAGGCAATGTAGCACTGTGGATAATAACAATGGACTCAGAAGCCAGACCACCTGGTTTCAATTCAGCTACTCCACTTACTGGCTCTGTGACTTTTGGCCCAGTTATTTAACTACCCTGTGCCTCTGATCATAATCTGCAATGGGAATTTCCCAAGATGTTAAGGCATTTGTGTCTGCCACAAGATGGAAGCTTCCTAAAACCGACCAGCGAGGCAGTCAATAACAAGGAGTGCCCAAACATCTCCGAAAAACAAAAGCAAACACCTCTCCAAACACCTAAATGGCAGCTGAAGTGTTTTCTCTACTTTCATAAAAAATAATCAAATGTCAGCCTTGTAAATATTTATGATTCCAAGCAGACAGTTCATATTTGAACATCAATTGTTTAAAGACGATTTGAGTGGTTTTTAACAGAAATCTTATATCCTACACATGCCCTGTACACAATACTTAGAAAACATGCCTTTATAATGTTTTCCAAGATAAGGTCAGAAAGGCAACTAAATGTGATTACGTGAGCCCATTCAGAGCATCATTTATTCTGGTCATTGCATTTGCAAAGGTTAAAAGCAAAGGAGTTTTATTGGCAGGAGGCCACTCTGACTCTTCTCATTTATAATTAAATATTATTTGAGTCGTACTGTTTCTGATCCTCAGATGAATTTCCTCATAGACCACAACAAGAAAATGAGAGAAAGAACAAAGAAGTCATCACAACTATGTTTGTTCCAATTGTTCCAGTCGGGCATGGGAGTGTGCTGCAGTTTAGAGTCTTCTGCTAGTAACTGTTTGTGACTTTAAACAAATCATGTGATTCTCAGTTTCCCCCATACTAGGAAAAATAAGTTAAATCTTCTATCAATAATAAGCATTATTAAGGTACCATTAATCAGTCATTTAAAAATGAAATATTTCTGAAATTCTAATGTGCCTTTTGGTTCCAAAACACAGTGGCTCTGTGAATTTAATAGCAAGGATCTAAGAATCACAGGAAAAACAGGGATAGTTTACTCAAGTACTCAAGAATAAGCCCCCAAAGCTCTCTGAAATCATGAGTTTCAAGTGTTTCATCCCACCAATGCTCTGCCCGGAGTATAACTGTCTGGATATTAATTAAATTTCAGGTTTTGCCCATTTTTTTCTACTCTGCTAGAAAAAGCAAGAGAAAAGGAAGACATAGGGAAAGGCCCTAAAGACAATTCAGTAAGCCTGTTTGAGAATCAGCCTGACTATAAATTGGTCGGAGCTCAAATAATTACTTACCAAGATTTCTTTGGTATGATTGGCCAATTAGAAGAGCAAGTTATTCACTTACAATCATGTTTAATCGATGTGGAATTATCAGAGGATGAAGGTTCTATGAAAGTGAATTTTCTAGAAAATTGATACACAAAAGCTTTTGTTTTTAAACATAGAGGATAGAAAATATTCTAAAATATAGTACCTGCTTCCCTGGATGCTTATACTGATAATAATGAGCTCAATTAACCTTTTTTGGATATTCAGGTTCGGCATCATTGAACATCTCTGATTGCACAAAATTTGCCAGTTAATAGCAGGACTCACAGGCACTGTTGTAACCCTTCCCACCAACTCACCCACTCCTTTGCTGGTGAAGCCCATCTGCCATTGTCCAGACTGATATGGCCAGGCACCAGCTTCCTCAGCCTGCCTTGCAGCTAGAGCCTGAATGCATGACTCAAACTTGACCAATGGAACATTCTGGGGAACTTGTGGAAAAGTTGAGGGTGAAGGGAGTTTGTTTTGTTTTGAGTCTAAATAAAAAGAGATGAGAAAGAGATAATTTCTCTTCTGGACATAGCTGTGTCTACCTGATCAGGAGCTATGATAATACCCCAAGGAAAGCAGACACCTGAGTCCTTGAAAGCATCTCTAAGCTGCTGAATTATTCCCAGATAGAACCCCCTTTCCCACCTGGCCTTTCCTGAATTTCTGGGTAAGTGAAAAAATGAGTGTCTTCCTGTGAAGTCATTATAGTCAAGAGATTCTTTTTCTTGCAGCTAAAAGTACTTAGCTTATAAACAAAGTCTCTGGGAAAACCCAAACTGGGTTCAGAGTCTGTGGAATAGTTGGCCTGGTGACCCTTCTGAGGGTGTAACTACATAAGTTGATATTCAAGAAGGCCTTTAAATGGGCTACAAAGGAGAAAAGAGCTTATTTGAGGGTGCATGCTCTAAGTTCCATGGTCACAAAGGAAATGGACAGAAGGGAGAGACAGATAATGATGTGGTTTGGTGTGCAGGTGACCAGGGTAGCATAAAGTGCTTCCTTGAAGAGCTTGGGCTCTGAGCTGTGGCTGAATTACAGCTCAGCAGCGTACATAACAGAGATTCCCTAAATTCCCTGTGCCTTCTCTTGAGGGCAGGATAATAATAGCACCCTCCTCAGAAGGTTGTTGGCAGGGTTGACATTCCTATTCAACTGGGTCTATGATATCATTGTAGGATGCATCCCAATTTTAGAGATGTTAAAATGTAGGAGGTAGGGGAGAGTGTCTGGATTGATGAAATGAGGTGCATTTATTTACATAAAGGACTCAGAATTGTGCCTGGCACATAAGCAAGGGCCATGAAATGTTTGCTGTGGTTACTGGAGCTAGAGGAAAGGCCTTTGGGGACCCAGCAGGGTGCAGACCCTCAAGGACAGGTGATTTGGGCAGCTTCGAGAGGGAGCACCCTGGCACAGGGCCTGAGATCTCACTGAGAGCACCACACACTTCATGAGAGAGGCTCCCATGGAAACCAAAAAGGCTTAGGGCCAGGTGGGGATGGATGGAGACCATGAGCCAGATGAGGACAAGAGCAAGGGATTGGAGTCCCTGCTCTTCATGTAGCTTCATTTGCGCTTACAGGTGGAGGAGACCTGGGATAGTCCCTTCACAAAAGCCAGGTTTGCATGAGCTATTGAAGGGCTCACTTTCTTTGCCCCTACACTAAATGTCCCCAGGTCACTCTACACATTTGAGCTCTGATGTTGCCATGTGTCACCAGTCTTGGATTCCTCCCTCAATGGCCAATCTGCTCACTGTCAACAGCACCTCTTCTTCTTCTAATTGCCTTATTTCAATATCTCACAGTCTAGATCAGATAGCCAAATATCATCACCTTATGGATAGTCACTTCATCCCTCCATCCAGTCACTCAACAGAGACTTTTGAGCACCCAGTAAGTGCTAGACACTGTGCAGGCACCGAGGACACCATGGGACCAGGAGAGACCAGTCCTGCTCTAATGGGACTGACATTTTGGTGGGCTGCAGAGATAGACACACCTCATTAAAATAAATGAACAACATAATTCAGGCAATTATAATGTCGTGCAGAAAGGCATCTGTGTGTGGGACAAGAGGAACAGCGTGGGGAACTGGGGGACAGGAAAAATGTTATAGATCAGGAGACCAGGGATGGCATCTGTCAGGATGACATTTGGGATGGGACCTGAACAAAAGAAGAAGCCCGTCCTGCAAGGTCATGCAGCACTTCATGGGCAGAGGCCATGGCAAATCCTGTAACTGGAGACAGGAGGAAACTCCAGGCATTTGAGGGAGGGGAAGGAGACCACTGTGGCTGGCTGCAATGGACACCAGGAGAGGCCACATAAGGACTTGGTGTTATTCTGAGATCACCCAGAGGCCACTGGAAGGGGATTTGTGGTGGTGGTTCCAGTTTGGTTTTCCCTAGAAAGAAACACTATGATTTGCATTTCCAATAGATGACACTGGCTGCGGGGTAGGGAGTGACCATAGGGGGCAGGAGAGGATGCAGTGAGGCCCATCTGGAGGCCTGGAGTCACCAAGAGGGAGAAGATGGTGGTCAGGATAGGGTGATCACACTGGAGCTAGTGAGAAGTGTGAGGATTCCAGATACATTTTGGAGGCATGAGATTTGTGGTGGGTTGTGTCATATACCCTAGAAATACACATCCAAGCACTAATCCATAGTACCTGTGGATAAGATCTTACTTAGAAATGGGGTCCTTGCAGGTGTAATCAAGTAAAGATGAGTTCATACTGCATTGGGGTGATACCTAAAGCCAATGACTGGTGTCCTTGCAAGCAGAGAGAGATGTGAAGACGCGGACACACACAGGGAAAAAGATCAGAGTGATGCATCTGCAAAACAAGGAATGCCATGGATTGCAGGCAGCCCCCACGAGCTGGAAGAGGAAAGGAGGAGTCCTCCCCTACAGCCCTCAGAGGAGCATGGCCTTGCTGACACCTTGACTTCAGGCCTCTAGTTTCTAGAACTTTGTGAGAATTCATTTCTATTGTTTTAAGCCACCCAGTTTGTGGTAATTTGTTCCAGCAGCACTAGGAAAGAATCCAAGGCTGTAAGAGAGGATAGCATGTAAAAAGAATGGCAGGGGGCTGTGTAGACCTAGAGTGAAAGGGACACATATTTTATTGATGGAATGAGTTTTCTATGGAGGAGGCTGTAAGTCACATGCTCATCTGTGGATATCCATCAAATTCTTTGGAGTGCTGATGATGCAAATGGAAATTATTAACTTTGGGAGCACTGACTGTGTAGCCAAGTTCATTGCACATGGATGAGGAAGTCTCACGTGACACACCCACCCCTTTCCCCCTTCATCATCACTCTGCTCACTACCATCCTAATAAATTTATGCCACTGGGAATAGTGCTAGTAAATCCATCCTGGACAATGACCTGCAGAGCCTTATTTGAGCTTTGAAAAAATTTCCTTCTTTTGCATCAAGAGATCCATAGACACAGTTGATGAGCAAACTACAAATCAGAGCTTTGGGAACCATTGAAGTGAGCTCTTCAAAGAATTGTGAGACAAATCCAATCTGTTAGAATTTTGCACAGTAGAATTTTTGGAGAGCCATCCAAAGTGCACCCTACTCATTAGTACCTGCTTTCTAGGTGTCTTTCTGCTCAGCCAATGTAAACTCCTTGAGAACAGGGATCCTGTTTGTTTTAAATTTGTTTTCTTTTAAGTCCAGTACATTCACTTAGTCAATAAGTACTTATAGAGAAGACTCTGCTAAGCCCTGTTACCAATAAAAATTTGTCATATTTCTACCAAAAATATAATGCATTCAACAAATGTTTATTAAAGATAAATTTCTTTATATTTAATATTTAATAAGTTTATTAAATATTTAATACTTAATATTAATTTTAATATTAAATATTAATTTTATTTAATATTTAATAATAGGCTGCAACGGACACCAGGAGAGGCCACATTAAGGACTTGGTGCTACTCTGAGATCACCCAGAAGCCACTGGAAGGTGATTCATGGTGGTTGTCTTGGTTTGGTTTTCGGTTTATTCATTTAATAATAAATAATATTTAAATAAATATTAAATTTATTCAATATTGAATAAATTTATTAAAGATAAACATTTGTTGAATACATTATATTTTTGGTAGAAATAAAGTAATATAAACAGATGATGGAAGGAAAGGAGGGAAGAAAGGCAGGAGGGGATGAGGGAAGAACACAGGAAGGAAGGGACTTGCCCATATGTTAAAAAAAAAAGGAGAAAGAAAAAAATAGTAGAAAAGCCTTCTGGGAAAGACTATAGGGTCTCCATACCCAAAGAAGACCAAGATGAAAGTAGACAATTGAGAAATCCAGCTGGCAAGATACATTGGACAGGCCCAGGGATGTCAAAGTCCCATCCATCCAGCTCTAGGCTGTGCTGTACCATAGAGGAAGGACAGAAAGGTCAATTAAGAACATAGTCCTCAGAGACAGGCTTCAGTTTAGACAAACTTGGGGCCAGACCACCATGTATTAATTGTAGCCTCTTACTGTTCTTCACAGCACCCTGTCCTTTTCCTCCTGAACACTTATCCCCCTTTGGAATCACGTGTTTTTATTGTTGTTTGTGTATTATCTGTCTACATTGCGGGGGTACAGACTCCATACTTCATGGCTAAGTGTTCACGGTGGTAGACCCAGCACTATACTAGGAACATGCAGTCAGCCAATATATATTTGTGGAATACATAAATTATTGTAAGTTATATAATCTCCCTAAGCCTGAATTTCCTCATTAGTAAAATAGTAATTATAATTGTATTTACTTCCCAGGGCTGATATGATGATCAAGTGAGATAAAGTATTTCAAATGTTTTACTTATCAGAGACGTTCAGTAGATGATGGCTACCAGGTTATAACTAATATCATTATCATTGACATTACTATGGGTATCGTATTAGTCTGTTCTCATGCTGCTAATAAAGACATACCTGAGACTAGGTAATTTATAAAGGAAAGAGGTTTATTCAACTCACAGTTCCACATGGCTGGGGAGGCCTCACAATCATGGTGGAAGGCAAAGGAGGAGCTAAGTCACATCTTGCATGGCAGCAGGCAAGACAGAGTGTATGCAGCAGAACTCCCCTTTATAAAACCATCAGATCTTGTGAGACTTATTCACTGTTATGAGAATAGCATGGGAAAGACCTGCCCTTATGATTCAATGACCTCCCACCGGGTCACCATATCAGTCATAAAAGCTAATATTTTACTTTGAGTGTCAAAGTTGCTTGTTTTTCTTTAAAGACGACAATTTAAAAGGTAAACCACTGCAGGGACATTTGGAAAAACGGTTAATAAGATGTGAGGCCGATCAAATTAAAATGAAGGCATAGAGATGAAAATTGGATAAGAGGAAAAAGGGAATGGGAGTGCTAACCAGGTGCCAGAAGGAAGAGGTGACCAATATAACATCTTCCCTTGGATACTCCACTTTCTTTGGCAGCATCTACGAAGGGGTAATATAAAACAGCAGTGGCTATACTTTGTCATGGAAACCAAGTTAGGCTCTTCCTGCCGGCCTCAAGTTGGGCTTGTTCCTTTATCCTGGAATGAATATAAAAATATCAAAATGCTTTTCTAAATCATGCAGTTTTCTGCCTATAGGTTGTATTTTCATTATTTGTCAAGCACATATTTTCTTTTTAGTTTTTGTCAGATTTTAACTTAGAACTGCTCAACAGTTCGAGCAATGTTTAATAGAAGAAATTGTTTAGTCCACAGTTTACAATGTCACAATAAGCTACACCCAGATCCTGGTCATCATTCACACTCCCCAGTAGCTTGTTTATTTTTTGTCAAACTATTTGAACTGCAGCACAGACTGAAAACATTTGATACAGCAAATAAATTGGGTGGAGCCTAGTTTATTAATATTCTTTGAAACAAGTCCATGGCCAGATTCCACTATGAGATTGAGATGTTGGGTCTCTAAATGATTTCCTCATTGTAGACTCTTCCACCACTTGTCTTTTGACTCCAGAGCCATCTGAGGCATCACTCTGTGACCCACTGAGGTCAGAGAGTTCTTGTCTTAGCTCTTTAGTCCAGGGATCAACAAAGTTTCTGAAAAGGGCCAGATAGTAAGTATGTTAAGCTTGTGAGCCCCGTGGTCCTTGTGACAACTACTCATCTTTCCTATTGTCATGTAAAAGTAGCCATAGACAATATGTAAATCAATGGGCATGGCTGTTTTCCAATAAAACTTTATTGAAAAAACAGGCAATTAAAACAGGATTTAGACTGAGGACCATACTTTGTCAATCCCTGCTTTAGTCACATCTTGTCCCAGATTTCGAGAGCCAGAAAGCCAATGGACTCTTTTGTCCCAAGAACTAAAAGGAAACCCATTCTAAAGGTAAAGAAGACAACTCACTCATTTGCCACCAAATAAAGTACAATTATCCAAACTATCATCCCACAACTTAGAGTTTTTACTCTTTTGTTGTTTTAATCAATCCTTCTCAATACCAGTTCCATGGAAGCACAAAATAGACAGCAGAACCTCTTTTTCAAATGCCTCTCTTACACGGAACCTCAACTGACAAAGCCAAGATAAGACAGGAAGGGATTCTCCAGATGGTCTACATGTTTGCTGGTTTAGATAAATTCTTGAGTATTTGGGGATGCCCTGTGGCACCCCTGCAGAGCCCAGAGGTCTCACAGGTCTAGTTTAACAAGTACTGGTAAAAGGTTCAGAGGAGGAGACTTGGAGTTGTGAGTCCTGAACGCTAGACGAGGCTGTGTGCGGTTTCTTTGGAAACTGCAAAGATGAGAGGAGGTAAGAGGCCGAGCCCCACAGAGACGTGGAAGGTAATTTGGCCCTGACATGCCAGTTCCTAGTTTGAGTTCCTATAGATACCCACATAGCCTTCTGTGGCCTGTGTCCAGTTTTCTTCCAGTAAATTTCATTTTGTGTTTTGCTTAAGTTAGTTTGGCTGTATTACTGTTCTTTATGACCAAACAATCACTAACAAATTAGCAGCTGAATTGGGTTTAATGACATTTCAATCCTGTTTAGCTTATGCTGAGAGAGACATCAAATGGGCCAAATGAGTTTTGGGATACAATTTTATCTTCAATACTTAAATTAATAAAATATTTTTAGTATTTCATAAGGCAAAGTTTCAACATATGAACAAAAAGGATTTTAGCTCTTACACATTTTCCTGTAGCTATTTACAGCTTAAATTTCACCTCTGGAATAAAGGTGAATCAGAATATTCAGTGCAAAGTTAAGCTAGTAACTCAAAATCAGGAGAGTTGTGATTCATGAGATAAGATTAAAATAATTAATGCCACAAGCAAGTAAATAAAGATTAAAGGTGTGGAGATAAGTGAGTCTGACTATCTAAAAAGGGTAAATAACTGAATAATGAGGTTTTAGGGATGGCAATGAGGTATATTAGATAGGAAGAGGGCAGTAAGGCACAGAAAAATGCCCTGAACATACCTCATTCCATTAGAAGGTAGAATTATCTTTCTCTAAGAATTTGCAGAAGTATATTCAAAATTGACTGTGGGGTTTCTGAGGTTGACTCAGATAAGCAGATACAAGATGTGTTTTAGATCACTTGTTCTCATTTGCTGACAAATGCTAATGTTAGAGCTGACCTTCTGGGATTGGGTCTACCTTAAAGCCTATGCGGCACCTGACACAGCCCTGCTTCCAACACGTGGCACACACATGGAAACATAGCCTTGTGCACCCAGGATGGTGGTACCAAACCTAAGTAGAGGAGCCCTGTTATACAGAATTTACTACTGGTGCCTATGTGTAGCCCTTCAGAGAGAGGAGGACTAGATAACTCTCCTAGTTGGCTTCAAGAGCAAAAAACAGTGGAGCATGAGGCAGTGGAAATGAAATTGATTGGGACTCAGGGGTCTGAGATCTGGATTAAACTCTGCCAGTTATTACCCACATGGCCTGGTAGATCATTTTGACTTTCAATTTCCTTACCAAGGGCATAGGACTAGACCAGCGGTCAGAAAACTGGGGCCCAAGGGCTAAACCCAGTTGCCACCTGTTTTTGTGAATAAAGTTTTATTGGAACACAGCCACATCCACTTATTTATGTATTGTGTATAACTGCTTTTACACTACAACACAAAGTTGAATAGTTGCAATAGTCAGTACGGCCTGAAAGCCCTAAAGTAATTACTATCTAGCTATTTCCACAAAACACTGGCTAAGCTCTGTATTAAATGCTTTCTATGACATCTTCTAAGTTCTCTGATTCATCCCCATGCTGATATGCACTGAGAAAATTACTCCAATGTGTGTATAAGTATGTGTGTGCACACATAGAAGAATCTGCCTTTCTCATTCATAATAACTATTTGTAGACAATGGACTTGGGTCGTAGCCTCAGACGCTTCCCACAGGAGTGCTTAATTAACCAAGAAAAGGGAGATTCCTGGAGAACAGAGCAAACTTTCTAGTCTCTGATGAGAATGGGGAGAGAATGAATCCATGTCTCTCCTCCAGTAGCACACAGTCCTTCTGGTGATCCCTAACAGGTTCTCTTTTACCGAAGTATCAAAAACTTTGGCCCATGGTCACCACATCCCTACACAAACTCAGAATTGACATCAAACTGTAAACAATCTCACTCATTGCTCTGTTCTGTAATAGATTTGGCCAATCTTGCATTTATAGGATGATTTCAACTCCAGCCACTGAGAAATTGGAGATTTCTATTTTCTTCCTAGCTAACACAATTTATAAAGAACAGTCTACCACAGGAAGGGTAGCCAATTCTCATTCAACTTTGCCAAGTGCTTAAGAAGATTGCTTCTTATTAGAACTATCTGTGTACATAGTTAGGGGATACTTTCCTGCAGGAAAACCCAAATCCTGAGGAAGAAAGAAACAGCAGCAGGTCCCCCCTGCAACTACCGTTTCTGGTGGTCATGAAATTCTGGGTTGATGGTCTCTGCCAGCTGGCACTTTTCTGATACAGGTCATTTGTTATTTTGACAGGAGGCCTGGAAAGGAATTGAATGATAGCTAAGATCCATGTGATAGAAAGCATACTCTTATCAAACGTAAGTGACTGCATTTATGAAGCTGTTGGAAAAATTCATCAATCTCTAAAATCTTCCATCTGTCATGAAATAGGCCTCATTTGGGTATTTAACATAATTACAAAGACAGACTCTGATTCTGCTGCCCACATTTCCCTTGTGGCATCCTCTTTCCCCTCAACTCTGTGTAGCCAGCAACTTGACTTAGTTACCGTTAGTGCAAAGTGGAACTCTCTGCCCAATGTCTACACATCCATCCCAGGGAAAAGCCCAGTGGTCCTATCTGGGCCCTGTGCCCATCCTTCACCTCTCATTCTTTGCATGAGGAAAGAAATTCCTAATTGCCAGCCTGGGTCACATACCATTCCCTCTGGCAGGGGTGGGGATAAGGGATTCTGACTCACCCTAACAGGGCTATAAGGGATGGGACAGGGTCCCCAATAAACAAGAAAGACCTTTCAAACAGACAGAGCTGTAACCATCATGAGCTGTCATGCAGCCTTCAAACATGTGTTTCCAAAAGCATCAACAGAGATGGGAAGGGGAGTTAATATTCCAATATAGAAAATGGGGGAGCCAATTTGCCATACTAGCATCAAAAGATATCACATAGGTGATAAGAGTTTCATCTCACTGTTTTACCCAGGTTCTCTATTCTTCCTCCTTTTTCCTGCCACCTTATTCAACCACTTCTCCATAATAAAATTAGTTACCTAGTAGCTGTATTGTACTCAAGTGCTTGAGAAATAACAGGTCATTTTTCCTGAATTTAAGCAGTGAGAAAGGTCACTTTTTGTTGTTGATCAACATTCGCTTTGGAAAGGGTTTGCATGTAAATGGGTTTATATTTCCCTTGAGATCTCCCTTGGGATTATCAGTAAGAATCTTGGGAGATGGTCTGCCAGTCATTCTGAAGCCTAAAGGAATTCGAGGTGCAGGCATAATTTTGGCCCCAGCCTTCCATCCTGAGAGGACTCCAGCACACAGCCATAGGTGCTAACTCCCACCATTGCCACTGTCATTTCCATCATAGAAAGAGTATTTTTAGAACTAGAACTGCTCTCCCAGGGCTCAGAGGTTTCTAATAGCCTTTCTCTGACACAAACTTATTAATATTCTCTGATCTTTGTTCCTTGAACAAGCTTTCCCATACTAAGTTTAAAGAGATTCCATTTAAGCTTAACTCCTTCAAAGTGGTAATGGTACATTTTCTCAAGACTGATTTTATTTGACTATGCCTTGTGCTTTTTTATTCCCTACTTTACTTTATTATCCTAAATATATTATTTTAGCATTAGGCATACCAGTAACTTGGGGGAAATACAACGTTCAAATGTAAAGATCCCAGTTGCATTTAGATTTTGTGGTTTAGAAGAAAAAATTTCTCATTCCAAAATGACTTGAAAACTCAAAAGCTCTGTGATAAACACATGTGGAGATTTGCTTTCTAGAATTCTAAAATATTCTCTGCTATTCACAAAGTTTCCAAGTGCACATGAATAAAACATCGTGATTTCACATAGGAACTATGCTCAAATGTTGTCCAAACAAGAACAGTCATTTGGAAGTCCTTAAGGTTATCTAAGTCCACAAATTTCAAACCTCAGACTCTGCAGGACCTTTCGGGGCGTCTCTGATGAGTCCCACACTCCCCAGTTCTCAGGGTGTTTGGCACCTAGTGTTTGGAAGGCATTATGGGAAACAACAATTTTTGCCTTAACCCAGCCTTCAATTTGTATTGGCAGGGACACACAAAATGCTACAGATTTATAACACATTATAGTCATCCTTTGGTATTCATGGGGATTGGTTCCAGCCCAAACCTCCCGCCCCCAACCCACTGCAAATAACAAAGTCCTCAGATGCTCAAGTCCCTTATATAAAAAATGGTGTAATATTTGCATATAATGTACACACATCCTTTTGTATACTTCAGATCATCTCTAGGTTACTTATAATACCTAATACATTCTAAATGCTATGTATATAGTTGTTATACTTTATTGTTTAGGGAATAATGACAAGAAAAAGGTCTGTATATGTTCAGTATCGATACAAGCATCTTTTTCTGTCTTCATATCTGTCAATCTTTGGTTGACTGAATCCATGGATTCAGAACCCATGGATATGGAAGGCCAATGGCACTTTACATCATGTTTCTATTGCACAAACTTGGACCTTTGCATTTTATTTCAGGACACTTTCTATACCCAGATTTCAGAGTCTCTCAAATTCATGCCTTTTCCAGGTCCTCATTGCCTCATGTTATGGCTTTGCATGAGCCTCCCTCTCTCCAATCTCTTTTCTCCTCCGCTGAACACTACTAGAGTTGTCTTCTGGATAGCCAGAACTGATCACCATTCCCCTGGTTTAATGTTTCTGCATTGCCTAAACAATGAGATTTAAACTTTGCAGTCTGAAACTTATACTTCCGGCCAATATGGAATAAGAGGGTTTATCCTCCCACCTAAGTCAACCAAATACGAATATAATGTAGGAAATAAAGGTTTTCAAAGAACGGGCAATGAAGAACAGTGATCTCTGAGAGACAAGAAACAAACAGGATGAGTCCTGCAATTGGTCCAGTTTACTGCCTTAAGTGAGTTTCCAGGCTACAATACCAGTTGGAGATACTAGACAGAGCCTGGCAGACTCCCTGAATTGAGGAGACAGAGCTGGGAGTCCAGAGAAACCAAGGCAGCCAGAGTTCACCGGAAAGAGTACTGAGAGGAAAGAGCTCCACAGAGAGAGAACTCTAGAGATTTTCAGAGTGGTCCCTTCATATACGCAGCTGAACACTGGTCAGCAAATGTGTTTGCAGAAACTTCCTGAGGCTAGGGGAAGTATCACCTGAGAAGATTAGAGGTAACAGTGAGTAATGTTTATACAGAACTGAGGATATATCTGTCCCTCCCAGTCAGACCACAAAACCCCAAGAATCATGGAACACTGGTAAAGCACACAAAAAGACTTACTAAGGTAGCACGAAATAATTAGCCCTAGACTGAGCATGGTTCTGCTCTCATCTAAAAATATTTCGAGAGTAAGACCCAAAAGAATCAAACTGTTTCCAAGTTATGTAACTCTGTCACGGTACAAAGCTCAACAAAATTTATAGAAGCCAGGCATGGTGGCAAAGTGCCTATAATCTCAGGTACTCAGGAGGCTGAGGTGGGAAGATTGCTTGAGCCCATAAGTTTGAGGCCAGCCTGGGCAACATAGCAAGACTCCATCTCTAAAGAAAATCACATTATCAGAGATTAAAAAGTTTATGGAAGGGATTAATAGCACATTAAACATAACAAAAAATATTAATGAACTCAAAAATATCATAGTAGAAAATATCCAAAATGAAACACAAAGAGAACAGAATCTTGAAAATTAACAGAGCATCAGCGAACTGTGGGAAGAGTTTAGATGGCCTAACAAATGTGTAATTGGAGATCACAAAAGAGAGGAGAGAGAAGGGGAAACATAAAAATATTTGAAGAAGTAATGGCTAACGTTTTTCAAATTTGATGGAAACTGTAACCCACAAGTCCAAAAATCTAAACAAATTTCAAGCACAAAGAAAATGAAGAAAACTACACCAACGTATATCATAATCCAATTGCTCAAAACCAGTGAGAAGGATAAAATTTTAAAAGCAGCCAAAGGAAAAAAAAGGTGTTTTAAATATAGATGATCAAAACTAAAAATTACAGATTTCTTGTTAAAAAAATTCACCCAAATAGACAGTAGAGGAACATCTTTAAGGTACTAAAAAAAAAGTCAACTGTCAAAAAAAATCTTTCAAAAGCAAAGGTGAAATACTTTTTTAAAGATACACAAAAGTAGAAAAAAAATTGTAATCAGCAAAGCCACACTACAAGCAATTTTATAGAAAGTCCTTCAGGAAGAAAGAAAATTGTACTAGTTGGAAATATAAATCTATACAAAAGCATGAAGAGTACCAAAAATGTAACATCCTGGGTATAGAGAGTTTTTTTCTTATTGTTTAAATTTCTTAAGATATTATTGATGGTTAAAACAAAAATAATAATGTACCATGGGGTTTATAACATATGTACAACTAAAATACATGACAGTAACACAAAGATTAGAAAAGGAGAAGTGGACATGAACTACTGCCAAGCTTTTACACTATATGTAAAGTGACATAATATCACTTGAATATACATTATGATAAGTTAAAATGTATACCATAAACCTTAAAGCAAACACCAAGAAAACAAAATAAAGAATTACAGATCATAAGGAACAGAGAAAATAAAATAGTAAAAGGTATTCAATTAATCCAAAAGAAGGCAAGAAAAGAAGAATAAAAGTAACAGTGAAGAATTGGAGCAAATAGAAAAAGGACTGCAAAATGACAAATTTAAATGCAATCATATGAATAATTACATTAAATGTAAATAACCTAAATGCTCAAGTCAAAAGGTACAGGTTATTACACTGGACTTTTAAAAAGTAAGACCCAACTATATGCTGTGTATAAGAAACATGCTTTAAATATTCAGATACCAAAAGGTTAAAAGTAAAAAGATGGAAAAATATATATCATGCTGACACTAGACAAAAGCTGGAGTGGCATTACTACTAAGTAACAGGTAGAACAAAAACAAAATAGATGTTAAAGCTGAAAAATATTATCAGAGGTAAAGAAAGTCATTTTGTAACGATAAAGGTATCAATTCAACAAGAAGATAAAACAACCTTAAATATGTATGCCCTAATAACAGAGATCCAAAATACAGGAAATAAAAACCAATAGAACTGCAAGGTGAAATTACACATGTCCACAATTATAGTCAGAGATTTTAATACACCCCTCTCAACAACTGATTAAACAAGTAGACAAAAAATCAATAAGGGTATAGAAGATCTGAACAACATTATCAGCCAACTTAACCTTATTGACATTTATAGAACACTCAACCCAACAATGACAGAATACACATTCTTCTCAAATACACACGGAGCATTTTCTAATATCCTCAGTCACAAAATAAGTCTCAGTAAATTTAAAAGGATTCAAGTCATTAAGAGCATATCTCTAACCGGACTTGAATGAAATTAGTTATCAAAAACAGAATGCTATCTGGAAAATCCCCAATATTTGCCAACTCTGCAGCCTGGCTTTTGACCTCTTCACAATACAGCCTCCACTTGTGTTTATAACATGGCCTCCAACTGCTATAATAATACTGCAAATTTTCATGGTACTTACCACATGCTAAATCTAGTGTTCATCATGACCTTATAAAGTAGATAATCTGATCTTATTTCTATTTTAAAGGTAAAGAAACTGAGCCACAGAACACTAAAGGAATTTGCCTGAGGTCACAAAGCTAGGGAATGCCAGGGCTGAGATTTTCACTGAGGCAGTCTGGGCACACAGTCTATGTTCTTAGGTAAAACCCTCCTGCCTCTAAATCCCATGTCTGACCACCATCCGTTTCAAAGACAATGTCATTTCCCTTTAAATGTTTGCTCAGACTGCTTCCTCTTTAAATTGTGGATATCCTGCCTTCTCCTGGTGGTCTCCTGGGCACTTCTTGACTTCTCCATTGGAGCATCTCTCAATACTCAGCTCAAAAGGCACCTTAATTTCATTCAACAAGAGTTATCTGCTCCCCGTAGGGATGAGACAATTCCTCTTCTGAACTCCTGAAATACTCTGTAATAATGGCTAACATTTTTTGGCATTTTCTATGATAAAATAAGAGAGTTAGATCCACAATAGAAACAGAGTTCATCAGAAGAGAACTATAGGAGGGGCAGGCTATGGCTTCTCTGAGACAAGAATTAAAACAGGGAGAATTAAAAACCAGCACTACTTTCTTAATCCTCTTTCCCACCAGGTGAAGCTATTCCCCTAGTCTAATCTGTGGTTACTTCCTGGGCAGCTGCACATAGGAAGTCCATGGCTGGACTAGCCACTGCCTCAGAAGTAGGTTCACTTCCCGTCTTGCTCTTTCTAGTGTTTGGCTGCTCAACCCAGGTTGGGATGGCCTTGTTCCTGGATTCCCTCTTGTCTACCAGGACACTTGATGCTCTGCTCAGTCTGACTCCTCCTACCCCCTCTTGTGTGGCTCTTACCATGTCAAAGTCATTGCTGTGGCTCTTATGTTGAAGTGACCTTTTCAAAAGTGAAAATCTCATCACATCACTTCCTGCTTAATACCCTCTAATAGGAGGGTATTAAAGGCTTGACCTACAGGGCTCTGCATGGTCTCACCCTGCCAGCCTCTGGGCTCCATCTCATAGCACACTCACCAGCCCTCTGAAACCCAGAAACACAGCCTCCCTCTCCACCCCCACCTCCAAATCCCTTCTCCTAGTTACTTCCTACTCTTCCTTTGAATTTCAGTTCAATCCTGTCTTCCTTACGGAAATCACCCTTGACCTCCTCAATGAGTCAATTCCCCCATTATAATTTCCAACAGCATTATGTTCTGTCTTTTCACAACTCTTCTTGCAATGACAGTATTGCATTCACTGTGTGGTTTTTCGGTGAGCATTGCTCTGTACCACTAAACTGTAAAGTCCTCAGGGCAGATATCCTATTTTTGCTTCCCACCACCTAGCTCACAGTTGGCCCTCCATAGGCATTCATTCAATGATCAACTGAATGAGTCCAGTCACCCAGGTGTAAAATGAATGATATAAACTATGAAATAACACTATTAGCTCTCTCATCTTTCCCTTGACACATTTTTCTCTCTCTCTCTCTCAATAAGCTTCCTGCCTGGGTCTGAGGAATTGAAGGCTTGAGGGTGTATCTTCCATTCCTGGTTCTCAGAGAAGCCCAGACCCTAATGCATTTAGAACACAATTTCTTTTAACATTTGTTCTTTGCCTTCACATTAAATTAATCAAAAACCCATAGTGTGGTGTTTGCCACTGTTCCTTCAACGCACTTTCACTGTGATGTTCTGTCTTTACAGCTAAGTGGATTTACAAAGCACATCCTCCCCAGAGCTCAAGATTTATGTACATGAAATTGTACTGATGGAATTACTGATCAGTGACAGAGCACAACTGGATCAAAGTGGTCATTCCAAATGAAGGTAAATACATTTAGGATTTGGGAAAAGCTGATGCTAGCTTGATTTATCCCTCCCTTACGTTGAAGACAACGACGGAAACTTTGATTTATTTAATTATGTCATTGTCAAGAAATAATAGAACTCACTATAAGTCTTGAGTTAAATAGATTTCAGGTAAACAATCTCTGCTCTGCGTTGACCCAAAAATCAGACTCTGCAGAGGCTATGACCTTCCAATCCCACAACCCGATCCCTGAATTCAGGTTCTTGTGAATTCATCTAGTTCCAATAGCTTTCAGGATTTGGGGTTGGGTTTAAATTAGCTTCCCTCTACTGGCACTTTATTTTTTTCCTATTTAAAAAAGGAAAAAGGACTGGATTACTTGTTTCCTAAGAATCTCTTATTTTGCTATAATAACATTTATATACTCTACTCCATAGGAGGGAAGGAGGCAGAATAGGTTGAAATAGTGATTTTCTAAACAGAAGAGGCAACAGAATTGCTTTGCATGGCCTGACCTCCCTACAATCTACAACCTCTGATCTGATGTTGGGGTCATGAGAAGGGAAAGGACAGATACAAGTTTATCATGCTCTTTACTACTTCTAGAGATGTCTCAAAGAGCCAAAAGTCCCATAAAACTCCATCCAAAATCATCAGCTCCTGGCTAACCACCTACTGGAATGAGAGTTCTCACATGTCCCAGAAGCCTGCCTTATTGCATGGCAGCAGCCTTGTATGTCACAAGTCCCAGAGTCAAACTCATTTGACATCTCAAGGTTCCTTTTTTATATTTATGGCTTTTACATTCAACTCATTTGATTCTCAGAATACAGTGAATAAAGCAGGGCAGATATTATGATCCCCACCTTAAAGTTATGGGAACTAAAGCCCCGTAATAGACATCTGGTCTTTCTGCTTGCCCAGCCTCCCTTCCCCTCTCCTAATACTGATGTCTCCTTTTCCCTTAGGAAAGTTCTCCTCCCACATCCATTTGATTTTAATAAGGCTGTTAATCATAAGACTCAGCTGCTGCTGCTGCTGCTTCCTGTACCGTCACCCTTGCCACCACCACGTCCCTAAGCTAAAAGAGAGGATCGTGACTAAGAAAAACCAATCAGACTCTGTCGCCCAGAAATTTGAACCAAGCAGAGAATGCTGAGGCAGAAAGCAGTTGGAACCAAGAAACAGCCCACAGTATCTACTGCTGAGAGCCCTGGAGTAGCCTACCTGGTTGCTCAAATCCCCCGTTTTTCTATAATATTCCTACCGTCCTAAAAAATCATTTTCTTGCTTTAGTTAATCCATTAGTTTCTGTTGCTTGTGTAAACCAAAAAGTATCTGAGACAGGTTTTAATCCATTTTGAAGTTTATTTTGCCAAAGTTATGGACCATGACCTATGACACAGCCTCAGGATATCCTGAGAATATGTGCCCAAGGTGGTTAGGTTATAGCTTGGTTTTATAGGTTTTAGGGAGATGTAAGACATCAGTCAATACATGTGAGGCATACATTGGTTTGGCCTGGAAAGGCCAGACAACTTGAAGCAGGGGGCCTACAGGTCATAGGTAGATTCAAAGATTTTCTGATTGGCAACTGGTTGAAAAAGTTATTATCTAAATACTTGGAATCAATACAAGGAGTGTCTGGGTTAAGTTAAGGGGTTATGAAAACCAAGGTTCTTATTATGTAGATGAAGTCTCCTAGGTGGCCACACCGAGAGGCAGTAGATGACAAATGTTTCCTATTCAGACCCTTAAAAGGTGCCAGATTCTCAGCCAAACTCTTCAGGATCAGAAAAAGACCTGGAAAGGGCATAAGATTCTCTATAGAAAGAGAATTTCCCCCACAAGAGACAGCTTTGCAGGGCCATTTCAAAATATATCAAAGGAATATATTTTGGGGTAAAATACTTTGATTTCTTTCAGGGCCCTGCTATCTTTGGCCAGAACTCCAAGGGGAAGGTATAATGAGGCATATCTGACCCCCTCCCATCCCTGCCATGGTTTGAACTAGTTTTTCAGGTTTCATTGGATCCCCTTGACTGAGAAGAGGGTCCCTTCAGTCAGTTGCAGGACTTAGAATTTTGGTTTTTGGTTTACACATGTAACCAAAGGACCCAGCAACAGGCTTGTGATTTGCCCAAGCTCTTAATTTTACATCCAGGTCTCTTGACCGAATCTAGTGTTCTCTGTGGTATGCCCATGGAGTAGGATATAATGTTACTGGTGAAGGGTGTCCAGGTTCTTGGCATCTTGAACAAAGAATTGGACAAAATGCACAAACAAAGCAAGAAAAGAGTGAAGCTACAAAAGCAGAGATTTATTGAAAATGAAGTACACTCCAAAGAGTGGGAGTGGGCCCGAGCATGGAGGCTCAAGAGTCCTGTTACAGAATTTTCTGGGGTTCAAATACCCTCTAGAGGTTTCCGTTGGTTACTTGGTGTATGCCTTATGTAAATGAAGGGGGTGAAGTAAAGTTACAAAATTATTTACTTGGTGTATGCCCTATGTAAATGGAGAGGATATTTCCTGTCATGGCTGAAGTGGTTCCATTTGATTTAGTTCTAGGAAGTCAGCATGAATCAGCCTTATGTTCCCTGCCTCCAGACCCTATCCTCCTGCCTCAGTAATATTAATCTCTTACCCAGTACAGTGAAGGAGATAGTAGAAACAATACAATAAATACAAAACTCACTCATTTATCCAGAGCAGTGATTCTTAATTAGGGGTAATTTTTCCTCGAGAGACATGTGCCAACGTCTGGAAACATTTTTGGTTATGACAACTGGTTGGGGAGGGAGTACGTTATTGGCATCTAGTGGTTAGAAGCCAGAGATGTTGCTATATCCTACAATGCACAGGACAGATATCTCCCCTCAACAAAGAATTATTTGTCCTAAAATATCAATAGTACCAAGGTTTTGACACCTAGAAAATAGGATTGTCTACCATATTATTCAGGATAACAGGCAGTGGTCCAAATAATAAACATTTTTCAATGTTCTCCAAATTCTCAATGGCTTGACACCTAAACGTTTGCAATTTGCTTCTGCAAAGTCTTTCATGGACTGCTGATTCTTATTTCTGTAGTGGCTCAGCAATCCAGACTATTCTATCATATGACATTGACATCTTAGCACATGGCTTCCAGGTGGCTAAGGCAGGGTATAGGAGAGATGGAGGACTGCCTACCAGCTTTTAAGTGCTCCAGCCCTGAAGAAACACCAATCACTTCCATTTAGGACCTAACTGCCAGGAGGCTGGGAAGCATGTGATGGAGTAAGGGCAATGCAATGGATGTTGAAGAATAAATGATTCTGACACACCATCCATATAATCCAGCACTGCTATATTTTTTAAGGTACAGAAATCTACCCACACAATGCATTACTAGGCTACACATTTAATTATCTGCATATATTCTATGTAGTGCATTACTAAGTTATCTCCTGGAACCCCAGGTTTTATTTTTAACCTCAAAGCATTATTTTGCCATAGCAGCTCCTCCTGAAGCCAATAAATCTTATTTCTAAATAAGTGTCATTAAGGCCTGCTTTGCTTTGTGGTGATTGGACTATGATCTGTGATGGTCAGGCCACAGCCAGGCTAAATTCTGTTGACTCAAAGAGCATCCCTTCTAAGAAGGACAGAGTCACATAAATGAAATTATGTCCATTGCTTGCAACCAAAGTACAGATGCAGAACATTTGTAAGTGAGGCCAACATATTTTCATTACAAATAATTAGTTGGACTCCATTTATACAGAGATGTTGTATTTCAGTTAAAAGTCTTTAAATATTCATAAGGTAGAGTTTCTCAATCATTTTGGGCAGTGTTTTTTAACTATGGTGCAGAGCCATTCCGGCCACCTTTTCCAAACATAAAACATCCCTCCAAATTTCTAATTCAACAGAGGTATACTTATCAAGATTACTGTGGTTGCAAAGAAAGGATCTGATTCTGGCTAACTTGAGAAACAAAAGGGGGAGAGTTTCTAGAAGGACAGTAGGGAGCTTATGGATGCAAAGATGGGACTGAGCAGTCAGGGCTTGGGAAGGACAGAACCAGAGGCAACTCCAGGAAAGGCAGCAGCCAAGGTTCAGGAACCTTCTACTAAGTTCTAAGAGTTTCAGGGTAACTCAGCTTCATCACCCTCATCTATTTGTGAATCTCCATGTAATTTCACATTTCCCAGGAGTTGCAGGATTGGCGAGGCTGAGAAGGGTATCTCTGCCCTGCATCAATCAGCTATGGGAGTGTGTCCTTCCTTAAGCTGTGTAACACTGGGAAAGTTACTTGACCTCTTTTTGCCTCTGTTTAATTACCTGTGAAAGGGAGATGATCATAGTACCTGCCTCTGGAGGAATTGTTGTGACTGGGTCTTTAAGTTCCAGTTGGTGTTTAATACTGTTTGGACCTAGAACATGTGTAATTTGGAAACTCCCTCTAGGCACTTCTAATGGGTAAATATTCTGAGCACTTACAATGGGCCAAGTGCTACATAAAGCCTTTTAACTGCTGATATAGCTTGGATGTGTGTCCCTGCCCAAATCTCATATTGAAATGTAATGCCCAGTGTGGGAGGTGGGGCATGTTGGGAGGTGATTGGACCACGGGGACGGAGTTCTCAAGAATGGTCTAGCACCTTCCCCTTTGGTAGTGTCCTCGAGATAGTGAGTGAGTTGTCGAGAGATCTGGTCATTTAAAAGTGTGTAGTGCCTTCCCCCTCACTCTCTCTTCCTTCTGCTTTTGTCATGAGACATGCCTGTTCTTGCTTCACCTTCCCCATGATTGTAAGTTTCCTGAGGCCTCCCAGAAGCTGAGCAGATGCTGCTATGAGTTCTGTACAACCTGCGGAACTGTGAGTCAATTAAACCTCTTTTCTTTACAAATTACCCAGTCTCAGGTATTTCTTTATAGCAATGCAGTAATGGACTAATACACCTGCATTATCTAATTCAATCCTCAAAAGAGATGTACAGGCAGGTACCGACAATGCCTGATACCTTGCCTGGTGCTCTATGACAGGTGCTCCATAAATCTCAAATGAATCGATGAATGGACTAATGAATAAATAAATGATGACACCACTTCCAACCACTTCAGCCAAGAATGCAGGTGGTGATGTGCAGACGTGATGGCTCCCCACCCCTTAGACCCATGCTCCATTGGAGACCCCGGACCCTGTAAATGTCCAGAGCCTGCTTCTCAGTGGAATGGAGCTTGCTCCTCTCATGAGGCCACCATTCTAGTTGGTGCTTCTTGCAGGGACCAACAGCCCTTCTCTTTCTAACATTTGTCTCAGATATGTACGAAAGTTTAGGACTACACTTTTTCTTCAATTTCATGCAGAGTTTATGTGTATGGCAAGGGCTACAACCATGACCCTTCATACTTCTTGGGAAGTCTGTGTAACTTTGGGCAAATTATCATCTTTCCCTGAGGCTTAGTTTTACAATCTGTGAAAGAGGGATAAAGATGATAAACACCTCAGCTGTTGTCACGTGAGCAAGTGCATGGAAAAACATCGTAATTCTTGAAATATAGTAGAGGTTCAATCAATACTGGCTAACATAATAATAGTATTTAATTATCAATACCATAGATGATGGTACCATAGCTGGTAAAGGAAATGGATGGAAGTGAACTCCTCCCAAACAATAGCTTATTTTTGAAGTATTTTTCTGTTTTCTTGATATGTTCTTTTGTTAAGATTTTCCTCATCCATAAAACATGAATTCTGGAATCAGACAGCCTGGGTTTAAATTCAGATTTACCACTTACTAGCTGTATGACCGTGGGCAAGTTTATTAACCTCTCTGGATTTCAGTTTTCTCATCTGTAAAATGCAACCATGTTACTATTTAATCCTTAGAGCTGTTGTGAGGATTAAAGGGAAGAGTATTTGTTAAGCAGAATGGTAGCTCCACATGAGAAGTACTATTTAAGTTTGTTAAATGAATGAAACAGAAGGCAGTGGGGGAGTTTCTGGTCAGTTTGTATATTCAGTTGATTGGTTTCCAGACATTACTTGTTGGTAAGAATGTCAGTTAGACTAAGCTTGCCCCATTGTATTTCTGGGCTCACCATTTGATCATTTTTCAAATTTAGATTATAGAAAACAATTACACCTTTGCTATGTTTATCATCCGGGTCTATGCAGCTTGATGAAAAGTAACATCATGAGACCTCGTACGAATCAAAATATATTGAAATGCTTTGATCATTGGGAACTACTGGAGTCCAGCTGTCTCCTGGGCTCAGTACAAATAAGTGACACCTACTTCTGGTTGGCTTTGAGATTGTGAAAGTCTTAGGGCACAGATGACAAAAAGGCATTGGGAGCCAGCAGATGGTACCTGCTAAACAGACCCTTCAAGATGAGCAACAGCTGGAGAAGGCAGGCAAAATGCCCCAGAGCAAGTTGTTTTGCACATGAATTGTTGCATTTATGATCAAGTTTCCCTGAGGCTTACCAGAAGGAAGACTTCATAAAGCTGTCTCTATAGAAGATGCTGTAGAGAGGAAAAATGTCTAGTGAATACTTTCAACTTCTTTTGACTTTCCATCCTCAAGGGGAAGGATCAGGAGGGCTCCTAGAGCCCCCTCCCTAGAGGACCCAGGAAAGCCCAACCCGCCAAGGAGGAGAGGAGTTTCCTTTGCACATTTTCCATTCTGTGCCATGGTCATTGCTAGACTTGAGTTTCAGCTACAGCCCTGACTTTGCTTCCAATAGCTGGATATTAAACTGTTTTCAGTTCAGCCTTCTAACCAGAAGGAATCAGGTTGGCTTCACTGGTTTTCCAAGATTTCTGAAACAATTCTCCATTCAATCCACAACGTGCAGAAACCAATTTCCTTTGTCAAAATTTAACTGACCAGGTTTCATTTCATCTTCTGGGTACCTATTAATCAGAATTAAGAGTTTTCCTTTTCCTAACAGATGGAATAGATGGTAGACTCAGCAAAATACTAGTGACGTTCTTTTCAAAGTTTCATTTTATTTGTTCATTTAAATTGCAAAGTCACCTGCAGCAGCTTAATGCTGAATAATTTTATCTTGTTTCTTGAAAGGTTTAGTTTAGAAAAACTGACAGATAATAAAGCTACCACAGTCCAGCCCTTGTCAACTTGGCATCTAAACACACCTCTGTTAGCCGTACTTAACTTCCAAATAAAAAAGGCAGCAAAATCATTCTTCCTCCTCACATGTATACCTGAAAACACACTTCCCAAAAGACACAGAGACCCTTTATCCATCTTTGGGTCACATTCATTCCTCATTTGGCTGAGTCAAACTCCCCTTGTGAATATCTAAAACTTAAATACTGAGATACAAGATTAACTACTATTAGCCCAGGTGCAGTAGTTCATGTCTGTAATCCCGGCACTTTGCGAGGCTGAGGTGGGTGGATTGCTTGAGCCCAGGAGTTCAAGACCAGCCTGGGCAACATGGCAAAACCCCATCTCTACAAAAAAACAAACAAACAAACAAACAAAAACACCCAAAAATTAGCTGGTCTTGACGCCACAAATCTGTAGCCCCAGCCACCCAGGAGGCAGAAGTAGGAGGATCACCTGAGCTTGGAGGTCAAGGCTGCAGTGAGTCATGATTGTGCCACTGAACTCCAGCCTGCCAGCCTGGGTGACAGGGTGAAAGCCTGTATCAAAAAAAAAAAAAAAGTTAACCACTATTAATACATCTTAGGTAAGATGGTAAGGGAATGAGGAAGGAGAGAAGAAAACAGTTAATATGCACACAAACATAGGTCTATCAAAATAAGGAAGAAACACTCTTAACTATTATAGTCTCTGCAGCTGGCCACATAGTCAAGCTGGTACAACTATCTTCCTTTACCACTTATGGCTTAGTGGGTCAGACAATACCCAATTTGTAATAGGTTGCTCAGGTCACATGGTCCTTTGGTGGCCTGTCATTAAGCATTTTATGTTGTCCGGAAGAACCTGCAGACACTTCCACCCCAATTCACTTACAGCTAACCAACCTAACCATTAAGTTCCTGACTTTCACTAAACTATTCTATGGCAGAAACTACATAGTCACCTACAAAACTAGGAGCAGGTGAAAAAGTCTAAAAAGGCTGTTGACTTTGCATCTGGTGATAAGTTTGACGTCACTATGGGGTGGCAGGAATGAAGTCAGGAAGAAAAGCTGGACATGAAGACAGGGAGAGATCAAGGACAAGACATAAACTGCAGACACTCTCTAGATCACACAGGGACAGACTGGAACCCACAACACGAACTGGAATGTGTGTCTGCCACTCACCACAGTAACCTGATGATACAGTCACTAGCAGAAGGAGATGGCATCCCTTGCCATGGAGTTGCACACGTACCTGCCCCAGGACCTGGAGAAGTTGGTGGAGGAGCTCTGGTGGGAACTACAGGAGGTGTGGGCTCATCTGCTGCCCTGTGCCAATAAACTGAGCCAGTAACAAGGTGAGAGGCCATCGGATGCCCTCTACACTGACCTGCAGTACACAATGGCCACCACTTTATCTCGGCTTCTAAATCATATGCAAATTCCTCTCGTGACCCACTCTAACCCAGAACCAGATATGGCAAGGAATTCTAAGAAACATTTCCACCTCAGCTGATGGGACATAAAGTCAATACGAGGATGGAAATCATTTATTAGATTGCCGGAAATCTCTGGGAACAACTTTTCAGGAACAAGTTTCCTATTCAATGGCACTTTTTTTCCTACACACATATTAATATGTTTTATCATTATGATCATCATCATAGCTAATATTTATTGCATATTTACTATGTGACAGATATTAGCCAGCTACTTTGCATCCATCCTTTGCATCAATTATCACAATCACCCTATGAAATACCTCCTATTATTTCATTTCACAGATGAGGATATTAAAGCTTGGGAAGAGTTTAAATAGATTCCCAAGAATGCACAGGAAGTAAGAGGCTGCATAGGCATCTAAACAGAGTAAGCTTTATTTCAGAGTCCTTTCTCTTAACTGCTAAGCTATAATATTCCTAACTTCGAACAAGATCCAAATGTTGATAAAGGTCTTAATCATTCAAAAATAAGAAGCATAGACTCTCTTTATAAATTTGGTTTCAAAGAAAAAGGGATATGTTAAGAATTGTTTGTAATCATAAAAAATCTAAATTTACACATCACTTATACTTAATTTAGGGCCACCATTACTTGTTTCAAATTCCCAGAAAAGTACGAGATTTCAATACTAGTTTTAAAAAGGCATTAGGCATAAAATAATTTCTATTCAGGTCAGATAGGATATGAGAGCAATACTAACGTAAATCAGATGGGCTGATTTCGAAACAAGGTCAGAGCAATGTTCATTCACACATTTTTTTACTTGCTCCTTGAGCTAACATTTAGGAACATTGATGGTAAATGTCTGTGGGGCAGACACCAAGGACATTGAGGTTCTTAGGGGAGACAAAACATCTTGAAAGGAGTCATGGCATTTCCCCTAACTAGAAACCAGAGCATAGGCAGACCAAGTGTCTAAGAGAAAGAAAGATCAAGTAGTGAACCAGAGTTTAGAGAAGGAAGAGAAATGTCTAAATTTGATTTCCCTTCACTTCTGGTGTTCATAGACATCCAGGTCTATGGGTTATATGGTTTGATCTGTGTCCCCACCAAATCTCATGTTTAATTGTAATTCCCAGTGTTGGAGGTGGGGCCTGGTGGGAGGTGATTGGATCATGGGGGCAGAGTTCTCACGAATGGTTTAGCACCATCCTCTCGGTGCCGTTCTCATGATAGTTAGTGTGTTATCATGAGATTTGTTTGTTTAAAAGCATGTAGCATCTCTCCCCCCTTCCTCCTGCACCAGCCATGTGAGGTGTTCATGCCCCCTTTGCTTTCTACCATGATTGTAAGTTTCCTGAGGCCTCCCTAGAAGCTTAGCAGATAGCGGAATCATGCTTCCTGTACAGCCTACAAAACTGTGAGCAAACCTCTTTTCTTTATAAATTGCCCAGTCTCAAGTATTTCTTTATAGCAGTACAAGAAAAGACTAATACAACAGGGGATCTCAAAATAATTTTGATTTAGGCCAAAGAGCCATAAATTCTGGGGAAAAACAATGACCGGGGGAGTCATGAGCTCTAGATTCCATTTTCCTGTTTCTCCCACTAATTCGCTGGGTGGTCTTAGGAAAGCTACTTCCATTCCTCTCTGGTTCTCAATTTTATTATCTGCAAAGTTGGGGGAAGGACTCCTGAGATCAACAGATTTCTTTTCTGGTTTCAACAATCTGGCATTTTATGACTCTAAACTTTTTCCTGTAAAGAGGAACCATCCTAATCCTTCGCTCAGGAAGACACACTCTTGATGCTGACGATGCTGCTACTGCTGTGTTCTGGCTTTTATTCCGTGGTGTTTTTGTTCAGTGTCAGTGATGGGTTCACCTAGATCCATCGTTACTCTGCCATTTTTCTTTAAGGTCACCAGATGGCTCAAATCACAACAGACCAAGAGAAGATGGGCCACACTTAGAGTAAGCCCCTGACACTGGCCCTGGGAAAAGAGCATTATATTCAATGGAAGCCAGTAGCCCCCAAGCCATGAATGATAGGACCCTTCATACATTAGGGAGACAGATTCATTGTACAGAGAGAGGCATTGCTGGTCAACTGTTCTTAAGACTAGTGCAAACTTCACGGACTGAATAAAAATGAGAGGAAACATGATATTTGACAACCATTTTTAGAACTGAGCTAAAAGCAGATTAGCTGGATAATCTGGGTAGAAGAGCAAATAGCTTGAAATACACATTACAAAAATAGTCATTTGTGTGTGTTCTGGGGGCACATTTTAAGAGGGGAAAGAATTCAGGTCCAGGTTCCATGACTCTCATGTTAAGTCCTGGTCATGAGATCATGCATATTACATGCATTATTTCATCAAGCTCATGACAGGTGCTGTTTCTGTCCCAGAAGAGGAAACAGCCTTAGATAGGAGAGTGCTTGTCCAAGGTTAAATGGCAAAAGAAAGAGGTGGGACTTGAATCCAGGTCTAACTCTAGACCATTCTGTCCTTGTATAAGTGATTTGGGCTCTGCCTATAGAGCACCAATGCATCTGGATGAAAAGTTGAAACTTGCATGCTTATGCCATGTACACATTGACCTAGGTCAGGTCAAAGGGCATGTGGAGATCTCTGTTGTGTATGCGAAACATGGATGAAGAGGCACACTCAACATTTCATTGAATAGACACCACCTGAGAGGCACTGTGCTAGGAATTGGAAATACAGAAACGCAAACAACAAAAAACAATGAGGCCACTGCTACCACACACCAGAAAGATGTGTGAAAACTGTAGAATGACCCAGGGGACTGTGTAATTACGCTGGGGTGGATTGCTGACATCTCAGAGAAAGCACTCTTTGAAATGAACCTCAAAGCACAGTAAGCACTCCCTAGTGGAGGGAGAAGTAAGGCAAGAGGGGAAATGTATTTAAGACAAAACCTCAGGAAATAAAGGTAGGTATGAGAGCACCAGAGCTGACTTTCCCTGTGTCCTACAATTCTCTAAAGCTGCTCCCCTCGGCTTGTATTAGGAATGCTCTGGCTCTCTTTAATAAGCAAGACTGACACCCAGTCCACGGCTTTGCAGCGTGATTGGAATTAGCAATACTAAGGTGAGGCACCTGTGGCCTTGCTGGGCTGTGAAATAAATCAAGCATGGACAACTTCTCTATCATCCTGCTGCGAGTCAAAAAACACTTGGTCCCAGAACATGTGGGTGGTCATAATTTACTCTGAAAGCTGAGAAGAAAGGGTTCAGTGAGCATTTAACATTTAATAGGAATTATATCACAGCCACTAAATATTTGGGGCCTAGAAAAAGCTTTCTGTTCCAGATATGGCTGCTCAAAAGAATAAAATAAAATAAAATAAAATGGAATAATAAAGAAAGCTCTAAGTGAATCAGTGGGGAATTGAGGAAGTCATTACTAGAACTAAAGAATCCTGCTTGATTCTTCTTCCTGGACTGGCTCTCGTGGAATTTAAATAAAGCCTTATAGAGATAGTTTTAAAAATCTGGAATTATGCTTAAAGGTAACGAACTACAACTTTTAAAAGAAGCTATGGAAAGAAAATTAAAATTGGCTTCAAATGCATCATTTATGGCATAGACCATTATCTTTTTGTGGCAGTTTATCAAGTTGTAGTCTTCTATGTAATTCTCCACCCTCTTCTCCTTTCTCCTTGTTTTCTATACTCCTTCCTAACCACATCCCCAAATCATTTGCAAATTTTCCAAGCACCTTCCTAGTCTATCCATTGAATCCCCTTTGGGACTCTTTTTGGGTTTTACCTCTTCCTTCAAACTCTTATGCAAGAAAGAATAGTGTTTAGTCATGGCCAACACAACTAAAAAGCTTGAAAACCTGACACTCAGCAAACTCATAATTATGACTTTCTGTTTACTTCACCTCTCAGATCATCATTGTGCCTATTCCTCATTTTCGTAATCATTTTGTTCCCAAAAATAGTGTCCAATTTTTAAAAAATAAATCAGATCTTAATAGGAGGGGATTTTCTACTTAGGGAAAACCTTTAGTGAACTACCTTATAAAGCAAATAAAATGTTCTATAAATATTTGCATCTGGCCGGGCGCGGTGGCTCACGTCTGTAATCCCAGCACTTTGGGAGGCTGAGGCAGGTGGATCACAAGGTCAGCAGATCGAGACCATCCTGGCTAACACGGTGAAACCCCGTCTCTACTAAAAATACAAAAAAAATTAGCCGGGCACGGTGGCGGGTGCCTGTAGTCCCAGCTACTCGGGAGGCTGAGGCCGGAGAGTGACCTGAACCCAGGAGGTGGAGCCTGCAGTGAGCCGAGATAGTGCCACTGCACTCCAGCCTGGACGACAGAGTGAGACTCCACCTCAAAAAAAAAAAAAAATCGCATCCTCACAAATCCACTTATAAACCATACTTTAAGTGTATTAAAAAATCAGGATACCACCCCCTCTAAATGCTTAAAGCATTTGACATTTTGCGTGGGCATATCATACATATTTGTTGATGATTATCATTAATATTAAGCCTCAGAAAGAGTTTCATTGCATCAAAGTCATTGTTCCCTTAGAGACATGGCAAAACAATGTCAGCTTTCAAAACGTGGTAAGAAATGGGAAGTGCAGGCAGGAGATCACGAACTTGGAGGGCTTTCCTTGCTCACTGATGTCAATTCGTAACAGAATAATTTTTAAGGCACTTCTGAAAATTAAACTAATTAAAATTTTACCTACCTTGGAGATGATTTTGGGAGGGTAGTTTCAGTTTCAAGCGAAGTTCAGTTTCCTAAGGTATGCTTGCTAAAAAAAAGTCTAGAGAAAAAAGGAACACACATGAACTTAAATGAGTTGGATTAACAGGAAAGCTGTGGCGGTGGTGGAAAAAAAAATAGTCTATGTGGTCATTATTACTCAAATAAGAAGCTTTTTTTTTTTTTTTTTTGAGACAGAGACTCACTCTGTTGCCCAGGCTGGAATGCAGTGGCATGATCTTGGATCACTGCAACCCCTGCCCCCCGGGTTCAAGCAATTCTCCTGCCTCAGCCTCCCGAGTAGCTGGGACTACAGGCACCAACCACCATGCCTGGCTAACTTTTGTATTTTCAGTAGAGACGAGGTTTCACCATGTTGGCCAGGCTGGTCTCGAACTCCTGACCTCAGGTGATCCACCCACCTCAGCCTCCCAAAGTGCTGGGATTACAGGCATGAGCACCCGGCCTCAAGTAAGAAACATTAAAAAGTAACCAGATATATTGCCCAGAAATTCTTTCTGCATATCACAGAACTGGACTAGCACAGTTAAGAATCACATGCAGCTTATCTATTTCTTTTTTTGTTTTTTGTTTTTAGTTTGCCTCCATTTCTCCTTTCCCACCCTCTTGGGGGACCAATGCCTTGTGTCTCTACCTAGAATCTCCCGTAAGTAGTCATCTTGGCAAAACATTTGTGGTACTAAAATGCTTGGTGAGACTACCTCACCTGGCCCTCCTTCCCAATAGCCCACTGAAGCTTCTCCTTGCACAGCTGCCCCCAAAAATTCTGCCTAGAGCAGCGTCACCTGACATGGGCTCCCTGGACCAGCAGCAACATCAGCTGGGAGCTTGCGGGAAATGCAAATTCTCAAGCCCCACCTTGATCCACTGAGTCAGAATCAGGGGCCCAGAACACTGTTTAAGCAAGCTCTCCATGTGATTCTTATACACATTGAAGTTTGAGGACTGCTGACTTAGAAAAAACATCAGAAAGGGAATTCCAGCAATGGTGGAGACAAGAGGTGCCAGGTGATCTCCAGGACCCCTTTCAACAAAGAGATTCTAGCCCAAAGCACTTTGCCCACTAACTGTAAGTACTGAAGTACGTGATGCAAAAGGAAACAACTAGAAAATGATCTAAAGTCTTATTGAATAAGTTCCCTGAACTTTGGACATGAGGATTCAAAATTAATGACTCAAAGTTTTTGGCAATGAACGGTACATCTCAATTCTCTGGGTCTCTGGAGAGAGGCTAATTGGGGCCCATAAATTGAATTACTTAGCGAGTTGATTAATGTTCTGAGAATGGGATGGGGGGCCAAAATGGATGCATTCTGCTGATTTCTAGAATGAGGACTTGGTTAAAATCAATGGCTTCACCCCACTGTAAACAAGCTAGATCAATCCAGGCTGTGGGCAGTCACGTTAATATACAAGAAGAAGACAATCAGGCTGCAGGCAGCAGGATATCAGAGAAATTTTGTATTTGTCAGAAAACTATTTGTCACCTTCAGGAATATAAGAGTATGGAAGGAAAAATCAAACAGCAATTTCGGCCAAGAATAGATTTTCCTGTATGTGGGAAAGGGGATGCCTAGGCCCTGGTCATGCAGAGTTAAGTCAATTATTCTCTTGGGCTAAATTGCTGTCAGCCTCCACTTCATAAACTGAATATTTGCTGTGCCTTTTCCACAGTCTGCGTAAATGGTGGTGTGGATCTCTGGGAATAGACAGCTAGGCTGCACTGCTGACTCGGGGCCAGCACAGGGAAGTCCTCACTGTTCAGCAGTGAGCTCTTGGCATTGCAGATTACCCAAGTGCTTCGCACAGGCCCAGGTCTGCATCCCACACTGCCACACCCTATTACCACCACCTGGAGCTACCTCCTAGACAAGAGAGGCTCATACCTTCAGCAGGTACCCAGTGAGAGAGGGCCACACCTGCAGCACATACCAAGTGAGAGACGGTCACACCTTCAGCAGGTACCCAGTGAGAGAGGGCCACACCTGCAGCACATACCCAGTGAGAGATAGTCACACCTGCAGCAGGTACCCAGTGAGAGAAGGTCACACCTGCAGCAGGTATTTCATGAGAGAGGGCCACACCTGCAGCAAGTAGCTAGTGAGGGAGGGCCACACCTATAAGAGGTACCTAACGAGGCTCACACCTTTAGCAGGTCCTGCTCTCCCATCTTTCCCATAAAGGCCCAGAACTCCCATTCCCAGTTTCTCTGCAGTCCTACCTCACCCCTCCAACCTCAGGGCCCTCTACAGGTTAACCATGCTTCCCTGCTTCCCCAGGCTTCAGCCACTCCTGCTACAACTCCGAGAGAATTCTGCCAGGTAAAGAAGCTGACGTACATTCAAAAAGTGAAAAATGTGGGCACCCAGCACAGTTAGACTGAGCAGAGAGGACACAGGACACAGAGCCACAAGAGAGGCCTAGGTCACTGTGGTAGGCAAATAACAACCTCCCTACCAAAAAAAAAAAAAAAGATGTTCACATCCTAATCTCAGAACCTGCAATATGTCATTTTACCTGGCAAAAGGGAATAAGGTTGCAGGTGCAACCAAGGTTGTGGATCAGCTGACCTTGAGAAGGCATGAGCATCCAGAATTACCCAGATGGGCTCAATCTAATCACAAGTCCTTAAAAATGGAAGAAGAGGCAGAAGACAGATCAATGTGAAAGGCACCCTACCCACTCTTGCTGGCTTTGAAGCAGGAAGGAGGTAGGCCTCGAGAGAGAGAGAGAGAGAGTGGTGGCTTCTAGAAGCTGGAAAAGGCAAGGAAATATGTTCTCCCCTAGAGCTTCCGGAAAGAAACCAGCCCTGCTAACAAATTATTTTAGCCAGCACAACCTGTATGGGACTTCTGGTCTAAAGAGCCATAAGATACTAAATGTGTTTCGTTTTTAGCCACTCTGTCTGTTGCCACTTGTTACAGCAGTGACAGGAAACTCATGCAGTCAGAGGAGGCTTTGGTGGGCTTGGCAAGACCCGCTCTGGCCGGTGTCCCAGCATGGGACAGGCACAGCCACCGCCTAGCTGGATGGGAAAAGTGGAAAGAAAGCAAGAAGAATAAAAGATGCTTCATTTTGAACCATTAATTCATCCCTGAAATTTCACAAACACTTAACTGATGGAAACTCAAGAAAAAAAAGAGGTCTTCACTTTGATCTTAATTTGAGTTGAAGCTTTTAGAAAATGAAGCTGTTTACCACCGGAAACAATCTTGACAAAACAACCTCAAATAATGTCACAAAAACACACTACAGAGCTAGTGACATTGTTTTTAGCACATCCATAAAGGGAAAATAGAACCTAGCGTCTAGTATTCTATAAATTCCGCTGGCATATTAGGAACATCTTGACTTCAATAATTATATGCCATAACAGTATCTAAAACATACAGTATCCTAATTTTGCGTGGTCTTGGGGTTTTTTGTTTGCTTTGATTTTTAGAATTGTGTGAATTCACACTCGGGTGCCTTCCTGCGTGGTGGAAGTAAGAGACACTCAAAAAAGAGCAGATGTTGTACTAGAAGATATAACATACAAGGATGATTTTTAGTGGGCTCTACTGGAAGAATCTCAAGGCTTCTCTGTCTCCCTCCACGCTGCCTGCCCGGTGGAAAGGACCCTTTGTTAGGTGGAGTATTTGGCCTCCAGGGCAAGGCCAGTGCCACGCTCACTGGTGAGAGCTGCGAGTGAGAGGTCTCTTCTCTCACCCCTCTAAGATGAATGGCTTTGGTTTACTCTGTCCACACAGCGGCCAGGCCATGTCAGCCCTGGGTGTGGGGACCAAACAGGGCTTTCTCTTGCTATTTCGTGCTCTCTGGTGACAAGTCCCCGTGGACTGCTGGGAGTGTTGAGCCACTTAGATTTAGGAAACAAAGGTCCTCTATGTCCTCAAACCCATTTTACCAGGGAGGCCTGCCCCGGCTCTCAGATCCAAAGGCCCAGTAGCAGGAAGTGCTCAGCGACTGTGCTCCAGCACCCTCTGAAGAGCAAGTGAAGAGGGTCTTCAGGGGGCTATGGCTGCACTCCACTGGGTCCTGAGGCCACAGCCAACTCACCCCTCAAATGTAATATCTAAAGAAGAGGGAAAGAGGTGGGGAGAAAAGAGAAGAAAAGGAGGAGAAGCAATTATTTCTGACTAGTGGTCCGTTGCCTGCCAGCCAAGGGGACTCTTGAGCAGTGTCCAAACCACCTGCAGAACCATTCAAAGGAGGCCCCACCAAGATGTGCACATGTAGGGAGGCATGCGTGGGTACTGCTTGCTAGCACCTTCTCCTTTAGAGCCATTTCCGTGGAGCTTTTGAAACACATTAATGATTCCGATTCCACTGACTCTTGCAGACACAAAGTTCAGCACAGCAGGATGGGCAACGCATAGAACTCATGCATTTTCTTTAAAGAAAATGTGTTCTTCTGAGCACTGAGAAACAAGAAGCTTTTCTTTTTCCTTTTTTGTACATACAACTAGATATTTTGTCTGGGGTGAGGTAATAGCTTGTCAGCCCAGCCTGTGATTTTGAATATGAATCAGTTGAAAAAACTACAGCTTTCAAAAAGGAAACCTGGATCTAAACAGATAATAGTATAACTAACATACTTTGAGGTTGTACAATATAACTTACACATGTGTCACATCTATCAGATGATGCATGTTTAAGTGCAAGTTTAATTCTTCAAAGCTTCTAGAAGCGAGATGGTGTGGAAGTGAGGAGGGGACAGTAGGGACATTTTATAATTCATCAGACTAAGTACAACAGCTTAGGTATGTGTGTTTAAAAGCTGCTCCTTCCTATGCCTAAAATTCTTGTCTCAGGCTAGAGAGTTCACCTTAAGGCTTAACCACAATTCTTTCAAATGTGGAGGCTTTTGCCCCCAGAGAAGATATAACCAAGGTAATTTAATCAGAACAGAAATAATCCACGTCTCACCAAGCCCATGGCAGGCTTCTGCTGCATGTTAACAGAGGCAGGCATTTATTATCATTGAAGACTTGTCTTTTAATTTGACATTTAATACAGCTTCTTGTCTCTGAGGCCTTCGAGATGTACATACATTTTTGTTTCGCTCTAAGTTAACATTCTGCCTTTCTTCAGAGATCATCACTCTTAATCTCCTTTAAACACTTCCTCAAAATGAACAGCTGTCCTTAGCCTGTCTGCCTAAAGTCTATTCTTGATAACGATCACAGGTTGCAGTGAGTTTGAACTTCAATACTCAATGATTTCCGTCTTAGGCTTGCAATCCTTGGGGCCAGGAACCTCATCTTTTTATACATTCTGCAAAGCATCTTGTGAACTTATAGCCCTCAATAAATCACATACCGTAGCAGGGGCGATCTCTTTCCATTTCCACCCTGGGGACTGTGGCCATCTATATTTTATGGAGATCTCTGTTAACCAGGTCCATTAATTTTGCAGGAAGCATCCTAAGTGCAGATCTGCTCCTGTATCACATGAGTTGCCAACTGGCCTTTTCCACAGAGGCACCATAGGGACCCCATTTATAACAACATCCTTAAGCAAGGACTGTGATTTGTTGTTGTTTTCATTCAGGAGCTTTAAGGTGCATTGTGGATCACTCTCTATGCAGGAGCAACATTGACCTGGGCTATGCTGAGCACGGGTCCCCTACAGCTGTGGAGTCTGGGAAACAGAATGCGCCGAGATGAGCTTCACTTTGTGGGCAGCATGGGCTAAGCCCACCCAAATGAACACCTTTACCTCAGCCAGGAGTTCACCTGGACAGACACCATGACAGCTGGTTGGTAGTGGGGACAGGAGGTAGGGATGGCGTCGGTCCCAATGGGGGGTCCTGAACCTAGAGTTTAGTCCCTCAGGGACGGATGAATTGGCTCCAGGTGTGGGGGTGGGGCCCTCCTACTCTTGGTTCACTTTTCCAGATCCTGAGCATCTAGGTAAACTCACCTGAAACCGATCTCAGCCTCCAAGCGAGACAGCCACTGCTCAGGAGCCAGGCACCCTGCAGTGTCTCCCTGAGCACCCATCTTCCATCTGTTGTATGAAGATGCCAATGCCCCTCTCATGGGACAGTGGTGAAGATTTAATGATAACACATGTACAGTGCACAGCACATGAAGCACTCAATACATATAAGGTCCTGATATTTATCATTTTTATTGCTGCTGGGCCAGATCTGACTCCTGCTCTGCAAGTCTTCAAAGGCCCACTTAAATTGACCTGGTCAGTACTGAGCATTCATATTCCTCTGAAAGACAAATGGCTGTGCCCAGCCAAAAAACTCTCTAATTCTGGGAGCTGAGATGTCAGCTATTCCACAATGCCTCCTTTGGACTGTGATATGGACTAAATGTTTGTGTGCCCCCAAGCTTAGATGTTAAAACGCTAACCCCCAATGGGATGGCATTTGGAGGTGGGCCTTTAGGAGGTAGCAGGCTCAGAGGAGGTCATGAGGGTAGAACCCTCATAATGGGATTAGTGCCCTTATAAGTAGAGATAACAGAGATTGTGAGCCCACCTCTCATGCAGGGGCACCAAACAAAGGCCATGTGAGGACACAGTGGGATGACATAAGCCAGGAAGAAGGCCCACACCAGAACGCGGCCATGCTGGCACTTTCATCTTGCACTTCCAGCTTCCAGGATGGCGATAATACAAATTTCTGTTTGCTTGGTTTTCTTTTTCTTTTTTTTTAATTAAATACTTTTACTTTTTAACTTTTAGGTTCAGGGGTACATATGCAGGTTTGTTTTATAGGTAAATTGTGTTTCATGGGTTTGGTTTACACATTATCTTGTCACCCAGGTAATAAGCATAGTACCCACAGGCTGTTTTTCAATTCTCTCCCTCCCCACATCCTCCACTCTCAAGTAGGCCCTGTTGTCTCTTGTTTTCTTTGTGTCCTTGTGTTCTCCATGTGTTCTCCACTTATAAATGAGAACATGCAATATTTGGTTTTCTGTTCCTGCATTAGTTTGCTTAGAATAATGGCCTCCAATTCTATCCATGTTGCTGCAAAGGATGTGATATCATTCTTTTTTATGGCTGCATAGTATTCCATGGTGTATATGTGCATTTCCTTTATCCAGTCTACCACTGATGCACATTTAGCTTGATTCCTTATCTTTGTTTTCGTGAATAGTGCTGTGATGAACACAGTCATGCATGTGACTTTATGATAGAATGATTTCTATTCCTTTGGGTATATACCCAGTAATGAGATTGCTGGGTTGAATGGTAATTCTGTTTTAAGTTCTTTGAAAAAATCACCACACTGCTTTCCACAATGGTTGAATTAATTTACAAATTTACACTCCCATCAACAGTGTATAAGTGTTCACTTTTCTCCACAACCTTGTCAGCATCTTTTTTTTTTTTTTTTTTTTTGAGACGGAGTCTTGCTCTGTCACCCAGGCTGGAGTGCAGTGGCATGATCTCAGCTTCACCTCCTGGGTTCAAGCAATTCTCCTCCCTCAGCCTCCATAGTAGCTGGGATTACAGGCGCATGCCACCATGCCTGGCTAATTTTTGTATTTTTAGTAGAGACAGGGTTTTGCTATGTTGGCCAGGTTGGCCTCAAACCCCTGACCTCAGGTGATCCGCCCACCTTGACCTCTCAAAGTGCTTGGGATTACAGGCGTGGGCGAACACACCCAGCCCGACTTTTTAATAATAGCCATTTTGACTGTTGTGAGATGGTATCTCATTGTGGTTTTGATTTCTCTTCCTCTAATGATTAGTGTTGTTGAGCATATTTTCATAGGCTTATTGACCATATGTATGTCTTCTTTTGAAAAGTGTTTATGTCCTTTGCCCACTTTTTATTGAGGTTGTTTTTTGCATGTAATTTAAGTTCTGTATAGATTCTGGATATTAGTCCTTCATTGGTTGCATAGTTTGCAAATATTTTCTCCCATTCTGTAGGTAAGGTTGCCTGTTTAATCCATTGATAGTTTCTTTTGCTGTGCAGAAGCTCCTTAGTTTAATTAGATCCCATTTGTCAATCTTCAGTTTAGCTGCAATTCCCTTTGGCATCTTCGTCATGAAATTTTTGCCAAGACCTATGTCCAGAATGGTATTTACTAGATTATCTTCCAGGGTGTTTATAGTTTAGGTTTTACATGTAAGTCTTTAATCCATCTTAAGTTGATTTTTGCAGGTGATGTAAGGAACGGGTCCAGTTTTAATCTTCTGCATATGGATAGCCAGTTATCCCAGCACCATAAATAAAAGTGGTGGAGTCTTTTCCTCATTGCTTGGTTTTTTGTCAACTGTGTTGAAGATCAGATGGTTGTAGATGTGCGGCATTTTTTTCTGGACTCTCTGTTCTGTTCCATTCATCTGTTTTTGTACCAGTACCATGCTATTTTGGTTACTGTGGCCTTGAAGTATAGATCGAAGTCAGGTAATGTGATACTGCCAGATTTGGTTCTTTTTGCTTAGGATGGCTTTGGCTATTCTGGCTCTTCTTTGGTTTCATATGAATTTTAGAATTAGCTTTTTCTAATTCTATGAAGAATGTCATTGGTAGTTTGATAAGACTAGCATTGAATCTGTACATTGCTTTGGGCGATATGGCCATTTTAATAACATTGATTCTTCCTATCAATGAATGTGGAATGTTTTTCCATTTGCTTGTGTTGCCTCTAAACTCTTTCAGCAGTGTTTTGTCGCTCTCCATGTAAAGATCTTTCACCTCCCTGGTTAGCTGTATTCCTGGGTATTTTATTTTTTTTGTGGCTATTGTGAATAGGAGTGTGTTCTTGACTTAACTCTCAGCTTGGACATTGGTGGTGTATAGAAATGCTACCAATTTTTGTATCCTGAAACTTTGAAGTCGTGTATCAGATCTAGGACTTTTTAGTAGAGATTATGGGGTTTTCTAGGTATGGAATCATATCATCTGCAGACAGAGATAGTTTGACTTCCTCTCTTCCAATTTGGATGCCTTTTATTTCTTTCTCTTGCCTGAAATTCCTGTTTAGCTGCCCAGCCTATGGTATTTTGTTGTGGCAGAGGAGACTAATATAGTGCCAGTACTTCTTCCTCTTGGCACCTTGCAGCCCTGTGACAACAGCTGCAAACTAAGTTTTACAGCCCTCTAGAGACCAGTCTTTCCTCTTTTTTTTTTTGCATCTAACTTCTTAATTTTTTAACTGACATAATAATGGCATATTTATGGGGTACACAGTGATGTTTTGATACATATACTAATCTGATCGCCAATCAGTATAAGTAAAACATATCCATCATCTCAAACATCATTTCTTTCTTTGTGTTGCAAACATTCGATATTCTTGTTCTAGCTATTTGAAACTACATAATATGTTACCTACATATATTCATCCTACAGAGGTAGAGAACACTAAAACGTATCCCCCTTATCTAGCTGTAATTTTGTATCCTTAACAAATCTCTCCCTATCCCTCTCTTCCTTTTTACCATTCAATTTTCTATAATAACAAAGTAATCCTGACCTGAGCCCCCTCCCACAAAGCTACAACAAGTGTTCCCAAGGACACTTGGGAAATGCATCCATATCCCATGGCTCCACCTTGCCCTGCTCCCCCAGCTTCCCACCTGTCATACCTGGTCACCTCTTACCTGCTCTGCCACTTTACTCCAGTTCTCTACAATCTACCCAGTCTCTAGTTGCAAAAACTTTACTCCAACTGCAAATGCAGACCTGTTGCCAAAGTTTAAGGAGCACGTAATAGAAGTCAATGCATAAGTTGGAAAGAAATCAGGTATCACAACCCCGTGGACCAAATAATTTCACCGGGGATCCTCAATGACCCTCTTTCCCTTATCTCCAATGCAGCAGTCAGGTCTCTGGAGTCAATTCATAGGCCCCATTAAAAATAAATAAATAAATAAATAAATAAAAGAAAAAACCTCCGTGATCATTTCCTTACTCCCTGAGGCCAAATCTGTTTGAGATAAAATCTCTGCAGAGTCACTGTACTCTCAATGGAGTCACCATCCTTAGGCAGGGGATGCCTCATTACCCATTCCAAACTCAGACCATAGTTTTGTCTTTTGTACAGCCAAATGCATCAAATAATAATTTCCCCCAAGGTGAGGAGCTTTGAGCCCTAAAGACAACTCAAGCTTCCATCTCTGGCCACACAAGGAATGTGAAAGCCTTGACTATCTTTTCTTTAAAGGTTACAAAAATCCCAAGTTCATATACATAAGAAAGGTGCTCCCAATAGCAAGAGGCAGGTCCTTAACTTCCATCTGCATGACCAAACGGGCTCACTAAAGGGACCCCCAAAGCAAGGGGAACATCTCTCCCAAAGATTGCTTTGTTTTTGTCATAAACTGCTAAGGTTTCCAAAATAGCATTTTCCCCTTGTCCCAACTGCAAATGGATCCCATCATCTAATCAGTTATCATGTTCTGTTTCCCTTCCATGCCAGGATTGACACTTTTTTTTTTTTTTGAGACAAAGTTTCTCTTTGTTGCCCAGGCTAGAGTGCAGTGGCACGATCTCGGCTCACTGCAACCTCCACCTCCCAGGTTCAAGCGATTCTCGTGCTTCAGCCTCCCAAGTAGCTGGGATTACAGGCGCCCGCCACCATGCCAGGCTAATTTTTGTATTTTAGTAGAGACGGGGTTTCACCGTGTTGGCCAGGCTGGTCTCAAACTCCTGACCTCAGGTGATCCACCCACCTTGGCCTCCCAAAGTGCTGGGATTACAGGCATGAGCCACCGCACCCGGCTGACACATCTTATAACCCATTGTTCCTGCATGCTTTTCTACGAATATCACTAACCGAGACTTTGCAGAACTTCACCTTCTACAGATTGTGTTAAAAATTGGCATTTTTTAAAACGTGTTTTTAACCACTTACCTCTGCCCCAGAGATTCATATTGGCTGTCTTGGCATCTGTTTCTTATTCTACCCCAGAAACTAAGAATCACTTATATTAGACTATGAGCTCCTTGGAGGTAGGGGCCTTTCCCACTGTCCCCTGCTCCTTGGAACTGGGTCTGGGTGAGATGCCTGATGGTACTTAAAAGCTTTACCCACATATGTGGGCCACCCATATAATTATTCTCTAAAAGCAGTGGGCTCCTCTTCTAAATATTCTTTATTTTATTTTAAGTTCTGGGGTATGTGTGCAGAACCTGCAGGTTTGTTACATAGGTAAACGTGTGCCACGGTGGTTTGCTGCACCTATAAATTCATCACCTGGGTATTAAGCCCTGCAAGCCTTAGCTATTTATCCTGATGCTCTTCCTCCCCCCACCTCCCTGACAGGCCCCAGTGTGTGTTGTTCCCCTCCCTGTGTCCATGTGTTCTCATTGTTCAACTCCCACTTATAAGTGAGAACATGTGGTGTTTGGTTTTCTGTTCCTATGTTAATTTGCTGAGGATAGTGGCTTCCAGCTCCATCCATGTCCTTCAAAGGACATGATCTTTTTCTTTATGGCTGCATGGTGTATATGTACCACATTTTCCTTATCCAGTCTGTCATTGGTGGGCATTTGGGTTGATTCCATGTCTTTGCTATTGTGAATAGTGCTGCAGTGAACATGTGCGTGCATGTATCTTTATAACAGAATGGTTTATATTCCTTTGGGTATATACCCAGTAATGGGATTGTTGGGTCAAATGGTATTTCTGGTTCTAGGTCTCTGGGGACTCGCCACACTATCTTCCTCTAAATATTCTTAATTGTTGCATTTCCTCCCTTTGGGCTCAGCTGCTCACTGCAACAGCCACTTCAATGATCCCTGCCTCTACTCTTGCCACTCTCTAATCCATGGTCCATGCTGTAGGCAGAGCAAGCTTTATAAAATGCAAATCTGACCATGTCACTCCTCAGCTTAAATGCTGCAATGGCTTTCCTGGCTCTTAAACCAAAGTGCAAAATGTCTCACAAGACTCTTAATGGCCTGGCTGCAGCCCATACCTCCTGCATCATTTCTTGCCACTGCTCTCTTCCTACTCTGTGCTTAGCCAGTCTGGACCCCTTTCAGGCCTTCGAATTTGCTGTTCTCTCCCATCTCACATCCTCTGGATGTGTTAGTCCCAATGTCTGACCCATGGTGAATAGATGTTAGTCCTCAATGCCTGTATAGTAAATAGATAAAGCAATCCATAGTGGGCTTCTCATAGCCTGAGCAGATTCCCAGTAAATATCTGAAGGGACAGGAAGGAAGGTAAGATGAGGATGGAGTGGGGCAGAGGGAAGAGAATAGAGGACAAGTAGCATGTTAGCTGATGAGACCACAGAGCTCAAGAACCAAATCAGTAGGTCTGGGGAGGATGAAGCATGCAGGATGAGAAAGAGGTAAAGCCAGAGCTATCACAGTCAAAAGGAGGGTCTTGAGACCTTGGCCAGTCCTCTTCGGTTGGGTTCTAATGACAGTGCTCAGCCTTCCTAAGCCCCAAATGGTGCAGGCTGGTCAGGAGGCCTCCTACGCCCTTTGCGCCATCCATCCAGCAATGCACTAGCTCTCTGTTGACCTGAGGCACCATGGTATGGCCAACTGAATTTCTCATTCTTCCCATAAATAACCTCCATTCCCTGTCCTCATCTACCAGAGGTCAGAGCTGAATCTGGGTCTGGGTGAGATCCCTAACTGTACTTAAAAGCTTGACTTTCACCCACAGCCACATCAAAGTCCCATCAGCTGGCCCTTTGACCAGGGACTCGATGGCTATTCTGGCTATTCCGACCTCGACGTGATATGAAAACATCTAGGCAGAGAAACCAAAATTCAGATGGATGTCTCGAGCATAATACTTTATACCAACCACAAAGCAATTAGATTGTCATGTTGTTGTACAGCAGATCAGCATGCCACCTTCATGACCAGCTATAAATATTTTCTTCTCCTAGAAAATGTTTTCTCCTGCTGAGTAGTCAACTCGTATCTATGCATCAGCATAGCTGTAAGAGATTCAGTCTGTGTGTCGGGCGTGATGGCTCACGCCTGTAATCCCAGCACTTTGGGAGGCCAAGGCAGGCAGATCACCTGAGGTCAGGAGTTCAAGACCAGGCTGGCCAACATGGTGAAACCCTGTCTCTACTAAAATACAAAAATTAGCTGGGTGTGGTGGCAGGTACCTGTAATCCCAGCTATTTGGGAGGCTGAGGTGGGAGAATCAGTTGAACCAAGGAGGTGGAGATTGAAGTGAGCCAATGTTGCACCACTGCACTCCAGCCTGGGTGACAAGTGTGAAACTTCATCTCAAAAAAAAAAAAAGAGAGAGAGAGAGATTCAGTCTATGTATGTCAATATTCTCTAGGTAAACAGAACCAATAGGATATACATCAATATAGAAGAGGACATTTATTAATTACGGGAATTGGCTCTCATGGTTATAAATGCTGAGAAGCCCTACAGTCTGTAAGCTGGAACTAAGAAACCTGGTGGTATAATTCCATCTAAGCACAAAGGCCTGAGAACCAACGGATCTGATGGTGTATCTCCCAGACTGAGAACAAAGGCCTGAAAAACACACGGGGGTTGTGGAGGAATCTGGGGGTAAAGTCTGAAGGCCAAGAACTAGGAGTGCCAGCTTCTGAGGACAGAAGATAGGTATTGCAGCTCAGGAAGAGAGAGAGTTCACCCTTTCTCTGCCTTTTTGTTCTCTCTGGGCCCCCAACCAACTGGATGATGCCTACCCATGTTGCTGAAGGCAGATCTCCTTCACCCAGTCTATTGATTCCAATGCTGATCTCTTCCAGAAACGCCCTCACAGACACACCCAGAAATAATAGTTTGCCAGCTATCTAGACATTCTTAAACCAGTCAAGTTAACACAAAATTAACCATCACAGTCTGCAAAAATGTATACTTCACATGGAACTCAAGACCTACAAGGGAAGAGGCAGAAATGTAAACAATGTATGCCAAAGAGTGTTCTGGAACAGGGCCCAGCTCATAGCAGGCACTTGGTAAATAATTGCTGCAAATGGAGGAATGAATGAATAAATGGGTGTTACAGTAGGTATGGAATACAAAACCCAGTTGGTCACCAAGAAAGGGAATGATTCATAGTGGAAACGGAAGTTGGGTTAAATCATAGAAGACAGGTAGGATGTACTTGGTGGTTAGTATTTGGAGAATTTGGAGGAAGTTCTGATTATAAATGTCTTATTGGAAAACACTCTTACATTACACAAAGCATAAAGAAGAAAATTAAAATCACCAACAATTTAGGTGATATATGAAATTCAGTATATGAGGAAGATGTGGCTTAGCAGGGATAGAAATAAAGTCAATAAGGAAACTGGCCTGCTGGGCCAGACTAGTGGATGAAGAGATGGCATGGGGGTTGTTCCTGGGAAGAATGGAAATTGCTTTCCATTACCATGGTGCCTCAAGTCAAAGATATATCATTGAGACTTGAAAAATACCGAAGACCTCACACTGGTTTGTCAGAAGGATGGAGCAATAGGGGTATTTCAGGATGATTGGTACTGCCCAACTGTAGTTCTGGGAGGCTGGAGAGTTTGTGTTTGAGCTAGGATGTCCCCCCACTATTACCCACGACATGGTCAAAAGCCCCTGCCAAGTCATCAGGGACTTGCTAGCAAAGGTGGAGGCAGTGGGCATGCGGAAAGAAAGATGCTGGTTCACCTGACTCACTTCTACACATCCACCTGTGCATAGGTAGATCCGCTCCTATGTGTGTGTTCAACAAAGTGCAAGGAAAACACTTGAAAAGGGTGTTGCACCAACTGGGGTAGGGGGCAGTTAAATAGAAGCAGTGTTCTGTCCCCTAATTAATAGAGAGGATGGTTAAGCCTCTTGACTGATGACACACAATCCCCCATCAGCTCTCCTCCAGCGAGCACAGATGCATAACAGTTTCAGAATCCAGAAGGCAAAAGTATTTTCATCCTGGACATGGAGAAACTGGAAAACAGCAGAGCAAGCCAAAATTTTCACTTACACGGTCTGCTGGATGAAATGACACCTTATCAGTTTTCAGTTTTGTGTTCCTTCTAGATCCACACACCAGAGACCAGCACTGCTTCAGGTGGATTGCTGATTTCCCCTGTAAAATTCTACCGTTTCGATACCCCTTCTTTGATAATAGTCCAGATACCAGAGCAGTGAAGCAGAGAGGTTCAGATGGCTAAGCTCTATTGCAGGCTTCCAAGAAAAGAGCTTCACTGATCACACCATTATTTCCCATTAGCCTAAGAATGGTGCCCATTTTTCCCTTAGAGAGCCTTGTATAGATAGGTGGCTGCTTCCAAAGGCCCATAAAATGAAGAGGAATTCAAAGATACGTTTCCTGTCTTCAGCTAACACTCACTGCCTGCTTCTCTGAATTATTCATTATTGAAATTATGCCATCAGCAAGACCAAACCACCTTTCTTAAGGAAAATTTACCCACAGGAGTTTTAGAAAGTAGAACATGGATGAGGGCCCCCAATTCTGCTTTTCTCCTAATTATTTTTCCTTAAAATCCAAATATCACCATGATTAATGCTACAGAAAAGCAAAATCGGATTGAGTATGTATAGTCACTGATAGATACTTTTAACGCTCAAGGGTCAAAATTTGTTATTAAATGTTAACTACTTTTTCTCAGCTTTAAGAGAATTTTCAGCTATGTCATATTTTAATCTTCTTCAGGGGAATGCCATCACCTAAAATACGTGCACAGAATTTTTTAAATGTCAGAAAGGTCTTATTCTTGTGCTTCCAGACAGAGTCATTACGAATTCTCACTGGGATTCTGAGGTTGCTGTTGCTGGTTCTCTCTGCCCTCTCTCCATTATGCCCAGGCAAGGCACACACATGTGCCCTTGTGCATACACACACAAGCACACATGCATATATACACACACATATACACACACAAGCACACATGCATACACACACATGCATACACACATGCATATATACACACATGTATACACACAAGCACACATGCATATATACACATGCATACACACACAAGCACACATGCATATATACACACACGTATACACACACATGCATATATATTCACATGCATACACACACAAGCACACATGCATATATACACACACGCATACACACACAGTTGAATTTATTTGGGCCTTCACCATTTCTGTCTTCAACTTGGATTAGAATCATAAGGTTAGGAAAAGTACAAAAGATAAAATCTATCCTTTTCCAATTTTTCCCACATTGAAAAGACCTGGACTTACAGAACAGGCTGTCCTTGTAAAAATCATGTGATTAAGGCATAGAAAATAAGGTTACACAAGCTCCATAACTCGCCAGCTGTGGGACCTCAGGCAATTGCTTAACCTCTCTGTGTCTCAGTTTCCTTGTCTGTAAAAAGTGGATAATAATAGTCTCTCTCATAGAGTTATTAGAATTAAATTTATGAATACAGGAAAAGTATTTTTAAGAGAGGAAGGAGTATAATAGATGGGTGGACAGACAGATGATACAGAGATAGGGGTTTTTTCTAATAGTTGAGAGAGAGTAGCACTCTTCAGCAATCAATCAGCCACTGAACAGATATTGATTTAGTGCTGAGAAAGAGGCAAGCTCTGGGCTTGTTGCTATGGATATGATCATAAACAGTCAAGCTTAGTTCTTATTCTCACAGGGCCCTCAGCCTAGTCATCCCAGAGAGCACAAAGTCTCCTTGTAACTGACACAGTCAAATCATTGCCACCTTGATGTGGACTAAGAAGTCTCTCATATGTGCCACTGGCTCAATTATCTGTGAAAAATAACACAAAAGTGCCAATTGATGGGGGTATTACAAAATTCTGCTGATTTCTCTTAAAAATACTCTGATTGAAGGCATTATATTATAGAACAATTTGTAAACAACAATGCAAAGATAGCCCCATCAGTCATAAAAACAATAAGGGTTTACCCCCTCCTCTATAGCAGTTTGGCATTAGGATCAAAATCTGATTACAACATACCCAAGATAAATATTATTCAATGATGTTACCATCATTCCTACAAATCCAGCACAACGTCAAAGCACCATCCCGAGCACTGTAATTTCTAAAACTTTTGTAAAAGTACAGGCAGGCTTCGCGAGGACTCAGTAAGTCAGGCTTAAACTAATAGGCATCTCTCTGTATTAAATGCTTTCACAAATCGACAAACCCATTCTTACAGGAAGTTGCTTTTGGAACAAGGCAGGATTAGTGCAATGGGGGAATCGTGGTCCCCAGCCTAGTCTCTAGAAGCTGGCCTTATTTTCAACTGACTGGAATTAACCACAGAGAGATGCTTGTTCCTGAAATCTTAGAGACAGATGCAGCAATGCAGAGATTCCAAAGGGAATGGTTCCTGCCTGGTGTAAGAATAATGTCATATTTTCTGCAAACAAGGCTTCAGGGCACATTTGCATTCTTGTTGCTGAGCAGAAGTGAGGAGGCTCAATTTCAGAATGTGGCAAGATCACTTAAAGTGAGAAACCAACCTCATGGGTCTTTTCATTTGCATCTGACACACTGAACTAGTCTCCCATTGAGCCAAAAGCACATTTCATAAGAACTATCCCTTCATTTTCCAAATATGTGCTAATAATAATAAAAAGGACTGATGATTGAGTAGTTACTATGATGCACACAATTTATACATGTTAGTGCATCTGATCCTCACCACAACCCTGTTGGAGAGGCATTATTATCCCCATTTTGTATGCAGAATATAATATTAATTCAACAGTCTGAGCCTCTATAATGAAGAAAGAGACTTACAGAAAAAAGTAGTGTCCAAGGTGCAGGATTGGGTTTGAACCCAGGCATGTCCACCTCCAATGCCCATGTTCTAGAGCACTGCACCAGTGGTGAATGATGGTTTCTTTGGCATCATTTCTGTGAACCTTTCTACTGAGGTATAAGACATACAATAAACCACACATACTTAAAAAGTTCATTTTCATAAGCTTTGTATACCCCATGAAACCAACAACGCAATCGAGATAATTTATCTATCCCACATGGCAAAAGGTTCCTTGTATCCGTTTATAATCCCTCCCTCTATTCTGCTCCATCTGCCATCCCCTACTCACCCACACTCCCTCAAGCCACTGATCTGCTTTCTGTTACTACAGATTAGTTTTCATTTTCTAGAAATTTATATGAAGAGACTCATACTGCTATGGATTGAATGTTTGTGCGCCCCCACTCCCAAATTCGTATGTTGAAATCCTAACCTCCAAGTTGATGGTATTAGGAGGTAGAGCCTTTGAGAGCCGACAAGGTCATGAAGCAGAGACCTAATTAATGGGATCAGCACCCATTATACAAGAGACCCCAGAGAGCTAACTCATCCCTTCCATTCTGTGAGGTTACAGTGAGAAGCCAGCAGTCTGCAATCTGGAATGGGGCCCTCACAAGAGCCCTATGACACTGGCACCCTGATCTGAGACTTCTAGCCTTCAGAACTGTAAGAAATTTCTGCTATTTATAAACTACCCAGTTTATGGTATTTTTGTTAAGGCAGCAGAAACAAAGACAAAGTATCATGCTAATTTTTTTGTCGAGCTTCTATCACTCAGCCTAATTATTTTGAGATTCATTCATGTTGTTTCATACATCAATAGTTCATTACTTGTGTTGGTGACTCTTATTCCATTATATGAATATATCATAATTATTCACTTATCTGTTAATTGTCATTGATTGTTTCTGGCTTTCGGCTGTGACAAATAAAGTTGCTATAAATATTTGCGTACAAGCCTTTGTATGAACAGATGTTTTCATTTCCCTTGGGGAAATTCCTGGATCACAAGTATATGATTAACTTTTAAGGAATTACTAAACTATTTTCCAAAGTAGTTGTACCATTTCACATTCTTGACAACAGTGTATCAGAGTTCCAGTTGCTCTACATCCTTGCCAACATTTGATAAGATCGGTTTTAAAAAAAATCTTTGGATATTAGCATCTCATTGTAGCTTTAATTTGCATTTAACTGAGTGATAATAATGTTAAGAGTCTATTCATATGCCTATTTGCCATTCATATATTTTCTTCAGTGAAATATCTATTCAAATCTTTTGCCCATTTTTTATCAGACATTTTTGTTGTTGTTATTGAGTTTTATTAGTTTTAATAACATATCCTGGACATATATCTTTTATCAGATGTATTTATTTGCAAATATTTTCTCAATCAGTAGCTTGTATTTTCACTCTCTTGAGTATCTACCAAAGAGCAGATGGTCTTAATTTTGACAAAGTCTAATTTATCTTTTTTAATGAACTGTGCTTTTGGTATCATTTCTAAGAAATTCTTGCCCTATCCAAGGTCACAAATATTTTCTCCTATATATTCTTCTAGAAGTTTTATAATTTAAAATTTAAACTTTTACATTTAGACCTATGATACATATTGAGTTAATTTTATACAGGTATAAGATAGGAATAAAAATTAATTTTTAAAATAGAAGTTACAATTATTTCAATAGCATTTGTTGAAAAAGAATGTCTTTCCTAGACTTAATTGCCTTTATACCTTTGTCAAAAATAAATTAACTACATGTACCTGGGTCATTACTGGACTCTGTTGCATTGACTACTTGTCCATTTTGATGCCAATATCATACTGTCTTAATTACTATAGCTTTAATATAAGTCTTGAACTCAGGTAGTATAAGTCCTCCAACTATTTTCTTTAATATAATAATGCTGTTTTAATTATAGTAGATATCTTGCATCTCTGAATGAATTTGAGGCCCACACATTAGTTCTAGGGAAAAAAAGCCTACTGACATTTTAATTGGGATTGTGTTGAATCAAGTTATCAAGGTCTACCAAAAAAACACAAATGCCTAATGGAGTTTTAATTGCAATTGCATTAACTCTAGGTCACTTGGGGAATAACTGACATCTGAATAATATTGGTTCTTCTCAAAATTATTATGTGAACACAGTAAAATTTCCATTTATTTATGTCTTTTATAATTTCTCTCAGCATGGTTTTTATTGTACAGATCTTATACATTTTTGTCAGATTTATCCCGAAGTATTTCATATTTGTATACTATTGAAAATGGCACTGTTTTCCTTTAAATTTCTGTTTGTTGCTAGTTTATAGTACTACAATTTTTTTCTGTATGTTGATCTTGTATCCTGCAACCTTGCCAGCCTCACTTATTAGTGCTAAAAATATGTTTGCAGATGCCATCAATTTTTCTACATAAATATGTCATGAGCGAATAAAGATAATTTTACCTCTTTCATTCCAGTCTGGATGCCCTTTTTTTTGGCAGGGGTAAGAGAGAGAAAGTGTGCCTTATCAACTGGCCAGTTGAATAGAAGTGGTAAAAAAACAGGCATTCTTGTTTTGTTTCTTATCTGAGGAATACTGCATTTGATATTTCATGATTAAATATGATGTTGGCTATGGGTTTTTGGTAAATGACTTTTATCAACTTGAAGAAGGTCTCTTCTGTTCCTAATTTGCTGAAAGTTTCTAACAGTAATGAATGTTGAATTTTTTTCAAATGTTTTTTCTGCATCTATTGAGCTCTTAGGGCTTTTTCTTTTTTAGTCTGTTAATATGGTAAATTACATCAATTTGTTCTCAAATGTAAAATCAACCTTGCATCTCCAAACCAAACCTTACTTGGTCATGCTGTACTATCCTAATTATATATTGTTGAATTCAAATTGCTAACATTTTGTTGAGAATTTTTGCATCTATTTTTCATAAGACACATTAGTCTGTAAGTATTTTGGAAATTACAGAGTTGGAAAGTATTTTATCCTGTTTAATTTTCTGGAAGTGTTTGCATAGCTGTGACATTATTTCTTCCTTAAATGTTTGGGAGAATTCACCAGCGAAGACATTTGGCCTGGGTTTGCTTTGTGGGAAGGCTTTTAACTATAAATTCAAATCGTTAGATAGATATAGAGCTATTCAAATTCAGTTTCTTTCTGAGTGAGATTTGAGAGTTTTGGCCATTCAAGAAATTTTCCCATTTCACTTAAATCATCAAATTTATTGGCTTAAAGTCATTCAAATATTTCCATGTTATCCTTTTAGTATCTGTAGAATTAGAAGTAATGTCACCTCTCTAATTTTCTGAATATTGATCATTTTTACCTCCTATGTTTTATTCCTGACCAGTCTGACTAGAGGTTTATCAATTTTATTAATCTTCTTAAAGAATGAAATTTGTGTTATATTGTTTTTCTTAATTTTTCCTATTTAATTGAGTTCTGTTCTGATCCTTATTATTTCACGTCATAAACTTACTCTGGGTTTAATTTGCTGCTATTTTTCTAGTTTCTTAAGTTGGAAATTTATAGCACTTAGTTGAAATCTTTCTTCTTTTTACTATAGGCTATTTAGTGCTATAGACGTTCCTCCAAATACTGTTTTAGCTGCATCCCACTGATAATGATATGTTGCATTTATATTTTTATTCAATTTAAAGTATAAATTTCTTTTTTGATACATGAGTTTTTCAGATGGGGTTTATTTAGTTTCCAGATACTTGTGGACTTTCCTGATATCTTTCTATTATTGTTTCTAACATAATTCCATTACATTCAGAAACCATATTTTATGAGTCCTTTAAAATTTATTCAGACTTATGTTATGGTCTAGAATTTAGTCTATTTTGGTAAATGTTCTGTATACCCTTGACAAGAATGTGTATTCTACTTTTGTCTGATTAAGTATTCTATAGATGTTGATTAAGTCCAGTTGGCTGATAGTGTTGTTCAAGTAATTCATATTCCACTTAATTTTCTGTCTACTTATTCTACTGGTTATTAATAGAATGGTTTTTAAATCTGTGATTGCAATCGTGTAAATATCTCTTTCTCCTTGTAATTATTTCAGTTGTTGCTTCAGATAATTCGAAAATCTGTTATTAATTGCATAATTATTTAGGATTGTTATGTTCTCTCAATTTTATCATTATGAAATTGTCCTTTTCATCCCTGGTAATATTCTTTGCTATAAAATCTAATTTATGTGATATAATATTACCACTTTAACTTTCTTTTGATTAATATTAACATTATATATATTCTCATTCTTTTACTAACATATATTTGTATTTAAAGTGAGTTTCCATATAGCTTGATCTTCCATTTTTATCCAATATGACATTCTCTGCTTTTTGATTAGTGTTTAGACTAAGAACATGTAATGTGACTATTGATATCGCTTAGTTTAAATCTATTATCTTGCCATTTATTTTCTGTCACATCTGTTCTTTGCTCCTTTTTTCCTGTCTTCTTTTGAACTAATGGAGTATTTTTACGGCTCCAATTTTTCCGCTTTGTTGGCTTTTTAGCTCTAATCCTTTTGACATCATTTTAGAGATTGCTCCAGGGCATATGGTATGCATGTTTTACTCATCACAGTCTGTGTTCAAATGATATTATACTGCTTTGCATATAGCATAAGAATCTTATAATAGTATATTTCTATTTCCTCTTTTATGACATTTGTACTATTATCATATTTATGACATTTGTATGATTATTGTCATATATTTTAATTCTACATGTTAGAATCCCACAATGTAATTATTATTTTTTGCTTTAAACAATTTATTGTTTAGAAACAATAATAGATATCAGGAAAGCCCACAAGTATCTTCTAAAGAGATATGAATAATTAATTTTTCAAAGTATTTTATACCTATCTATGCAGTTACTTTTAGGGGGGGCTCTTCATTCCTTTGTGTAGATCCAGATTTCCCTCTGCTGTCATTTTCCTTCTTCCCATAGGACTTTCTGCAGCATTTCTGATAGTAGAGCTCTGAGGATAATGAATTCTTTCAACTTTCTTATGTCAACAAAAGCCTTTATTTCACCTCCATTTTTGAAGAATGGTTTCAGTAGGTGTAGAATTCTCAGTTGATAGTTTTTCTTTTAGCATTTTTCACATAGTGTTCCACTCTCATCTGATTTGTATTATTTCCAACAAGAACTCCAGTGTAATACTCATCTTTGTCCTACAGCATGTAATAAATATATTAAAGGTGCTCCTGCACAGGAATAATTTTAAAATGCAAGTTAAAACTAGAAATTATTGTTCTCCTATTGCATTTGCAAAGATTTAAACTATTGGCAACATCTAGCTGTAAGGATATCCACACTATCTGCCACTATCTTGGGAAATATTGGTACAATTTGGGAGACAGTAGTTGGATATAATCTACTAAAATTTAAAACATCTAAGCCTTTTCTGTTTTTCTGCTATGATTTTTCCCTAGAGATATTCAACAGCTGTGCAAATATAAAAGAATGCTCATTGCCGCGTTGTCTAAAGTCAAAGCTTCAAAATAATGCAAATGATTATAAATAGAAGAGTTTTAAAATACGAGTTCACATATTAATAAACTATAAGCCACCCAATAAAAATGGACAATATTGATACATTAGCATAGCAAGATGTATTAATACTCTTTTGAATATAACCAGCAAGAAATATAATTCAAACTAGGTTAGGAGGAAAAAAAGAAAAGCTACTGGCTCCTCCAAATTAAGGAAGTAGAATGTGACTGATCAACCAAACTGAGAAAAGAACAGCTCAATCCAGCGGCTAAGACGCTACTGGGACTCACCTTGCCAGCACCCACTTTGTGTTTCTGCCATTGGCTTTATGTTGGCTTCCTCCCTATTGAGAGTACCTAAGCCAAATATCCTCATATCATCTTCAAAGGGAAACATATTCCTCTCATTTCGGTTTCTAATATGCCAGGGAAAGATGTTGACTCACACAGCTTGAACCAGTCAACTCTTTCTGCGGGGGAGGTTATATAAAAACATAAGGAGTCGCCTAGCACCGATGTAAGTTAGGACAGGGAGCATGCAAGGGAGCTTCAGGGAGAAGGGAGGTGGTCTAGGCTCATAGACTGTGTATATCTGCTACAAAAGTATCCAGGATATGGTGACTGAAAAAAAAATGAGTTGCAATACAATATAATTGAATTTTCCCTGCACAAAGTGCAAAACATGCTATCACAGAGATAGAAAGGGGAAAATACTGGAAAGCTCTATACCAAAATATATAAAAGATTATCTCTGAGGTCTAAGACTGTGAAGAATTCACACCTTCTCTATTAAACATTTCTCTAGGGTTTCAACTATCACAATGTAAGTAGAAAAAAAATTATACATTTCAAAATAAATGAAACTTCACAGAAATCCAAAATCTTCCCATCAGGTTCTGAGTATAAATTCTTTATGCTTGCAGTGAAACGTGATTGAACATGTTTAATTTTTAATATTCTAAGAGAAACATGGAAATATTTTCTTTAATTTTTTTTGAGTCTGATGTTCTTAAATTTACCAGATTGACAACTCAACGCACTGCTCTCCTTTTACACAAAGCATTTAAAAGCATAGCTATTGGTCAAACAGACTCTGGAAAATTTAAATAAAAAATGCACCCCTCCTAATCCAAATGCCTCCACGACACTTTATAGATGAGAAGAATGATATGCGCCTCTCCGTCTCTTATGGTCACCCCACCTATAGTGGTATGACTATAGTAAAAATAAAAATAGGTCATTTTCAGCAGAACCAAATGTATAACACAATGATACTCCCTGACATCCCACTAACCACATGGTGTGAGAGCAGCGAACACAACCTCCAGCACAGCCGTGTCCACACGGCGCATCCCATCCCCTCCCTACATGTTCTATCATGGCAAAGAGGTCCCAGAATTTTTAATTTACATTTTAAATTATTTTTTAAACTTAATTTTAATTTTAAATTATACCAAGCAGAGGGAATCTGGTACAGTTTTTTAGGCCATTCAACTGAATATGTGATTCACAGTCTCCAAGGTTTCTAGGTTTTACTCTTTCATTTTTATTCACTCTTCAGATGTTCCTAGCCCTCACCCACTCCACCAGAGTCCACTAAAGAGCCTGATGCTAGTAGCTACAGGGCTTTGAGGAAAGGGGGAACATTTTCCTTCATCTTCATGTTTCCACATAGAGGGACATAAGTTAGAGTAACACTCCTGGCCTCTCTCTGCCCCTTACTTTTTTCTCCCCATGGGAGGAGGAGAGATTTCTCTGACTGGTGGAGTTGGGATACTTATACATCATGGCTCCATCTCTTTGCTATCCCTTGGCATCTGCCTTCCTGCAGAGTGGAAGCACTTTGGTCTCCCATGGGCAAGGCCATAAGCTTAGCAGTAGTGGCTCTGCCCATTGAGAGTCTGCCCACAGTTTTCTAGAATGGCCTGCACTGGGTGGTTAAGACTGCTCCAGGGATTTAGTATAGGAAGCATCTGAGCCACCTTTTCCAAATGATCTAGGGGTAAGAAAGCCGACATTTTCCTCTCCATCTGCCTGACTTCTCTGTTTCAAACTGACTCAGAATGCAAGTGGCTAATTTATTACCCAGAAATCCCCCTTCTAGAATTTACCTTGAGAAACCACCTCTACAAATAAGAAACAGCATATGCAGAAGTTATTCATTGCTGAGTTGTTTGTTAGAAACAGTCCAAATGGCCAACTGTAGATGAGTCATGTACTTGTGGTATGTCCACACACCAGAGTAATGTGTAGCCATTAACAGAAAGAATGAGAACACTTTCTATAGAGTGATATGCAATAACTTCCAGGATGTATTGTTAATTTTCAAAATCAAAGTTCCAAAGAATTATTTAGCATGCTACTTCTTGCATGAGAATGAAGGGGAAGAATAGACCCATATTTACTTCATTTATCATAAACATAAAGATTACCTAGAACCTAATAAAAAGTTATCTATGGGAAGGGTAGAAATGGAGGTAGAAAGAAAAAAGATGGCAGAGAGACTTCTCTGAATACATCTTTTGTGTAGTTTTGACTTGAAACGTGCAGCTGTTTTTCATTTTCAAAATTAAACGAGATAGAAAATCCTAAAATGTAATGTAAAAAGAAACAAATTAATATAATTGTATATCAACTTGATATCAGTGCCACACAGAAAACAAAAAATAATTCACATAATGTTTTAGCACAACCATCTGATTACATACACTTCATGGGACATATTTTAAGAGCCAAAAGAACTGCCAAAAAATCTTGAACTTTGTTCAGTAGGTTTGTTATTGGTAGTGATATTAGTGTTATAATCCTGAAACCACTTGCATGTATTTAAAGATAGAAAAAATTCACAAATGTATTGATTTAAAAAGTTATCAAAAAGGAGAAGGGAGATGTGAATATAGAACATGAGAGAGTGAGGAAGAACTAGATGAGATTTTTAATTAGAGGGAAATACACCTTTTTTTCCCAGCTCTGTCTACTGAAACAGCCTAGAATCCATTTTAAATTTCTCGGGTTCAATAATTGTGTTGTAGCCATATAGCAAAGTGTTCTTGTTCTCAGGAGACACATATTAAAAATTTTTTTCAAACTGGGAACAGGGGAAAAGGGATACTACTTATTGTCTCCCTAAAACTCCAACAGAAGAGGTTTCTCCTAACCAGACAGTACCAATTTATTTTAAACTAGCCAAAAGTACTGTCAACTTCTAGCCCATTTAAATGTTTTTGTCAACATTCCTAATTAGCATCCTATCTCATTACTCTAATTATTTGAGTTCTCTCTTATTTCCTCTGCTCCTGTGGGGCAGGGAATATATCTTCTCTCTTGGACTCTGCATGACCTCTAACATCTTGCCTTCCTGGCTCAAAAACACTCAAAGTCTTACTGAATGAAAAGGTGACTAATGAAATTTGTATATTGTCTTAAGTAACTTGCCGGTACTAACTATGCCACCTAACCATGGAACCCCTACAATTCAGGCATCATAACCACCTCTCTTTCATGAGGACCTAAGATCAAGATTAATTGATCCATTCAAAAATATTCACAAAATACAAATTATGTACCACATACTATGCTGGGATCCTGAGGAAAGAAGGACAAGTATACAATCTTTATACTCACAGGGCTCTATATAGCGGGAGAGACAAACAGTCATTACAACACAAAATAATATATGCCACAATAAAAATAAGTACAGGTGCTAAGAGCCACACAACTCATAGCCGAAAGAGGCTGGTTCAGTTGCTGAAGGAATTATAGTTACAGTGACCATCATCTGCTGAGTGCTATAAGGACCACAGGACAGATCCTGCCTAACAAAAGCTGTCCTGAAATATCTAAGACTATATGATTATACGCGTCCTGTGGCTAGACCATATCTGGCTAGAACTAAGACATTAAAAACAAGGTGACATGAAGCTTCACTTGTTACCCAAAACATTCCGTTTCTTCTCACTCCTGATTTGCAAGGGAGTTTCAGTCAAGGGTTTTCAATGCAGATGTGGAAATCAACGAGTTTCCCCAGTGATGCTGCATAGAAGGGCTGTGGTGAAACGGTCCTTGTAGCACAGAACAGGCTCCGTTTATCATCTTCTCTCTACCATCAAAATAATTGCACTGTGCACAGGCATGTTATTAACAACTGGGCACCACCACAGAAAACATGTTAGAAAACACCTGCATTGGCAAAGCAAAGATGAGCTGACCCAGTTATTTCTTCCATCTCTAATTCTGGATGGGATATTAAGAGTAATTGAAAAGAACACATTGGCAAGAAATGGGTGATAGTTCTGCTGGGGTTGCGGGGGGAGCTACCCACAGAGCTCCATTGGACAAAACTCTGAAGAATCGTCTAATTATACTTTTACACACCCCTTCCCTCTCCCATGAAAAACACCAGGGGTGAAAACATGTCATCTAGAGCCTTTCTCCTGTCAACAATTTCCCCCACGTGTCAATGTGAAATTTTTAAAATTCCAGTCTAGAGCTCTTTGAGGGATAATGATGGGAATGAGACCCTGCCAAGCATACAGGATGGGATGTGGTGCACTATGACTAGAACAGATGGCTGGAACAGAAGCCACTTACTCAATATGACAGCCCAAGATTAAACTGCTCCCTTCAAGTCTTCAGCAGTTTTGTGGCCCAATTCTTATTAACTTCTCCAGAAACACAAAGAGGCTTGGGTATACATAAGCTTCATCAAGGCGCTTTTCAAGTAATGTATCGACTTGGCCAAAAGTCGAACTGGAAGGTGACAGAGAGTCATCTATTCTGTCCATTCCCAAACCTAATAGCACAAAAGAATAACTCTAGAGCTTTGAAATATCACTATAAAATACTTCAAACACACAGAAATGTCATGCATTAAAACAGCCAAGTGCCCAGCACAGATCATTTATGAATTTTGTCATTTTTCTGCGTTTTCTCTGGATTTTTCTGCATAAAAACCTATTACAGATACTTTTCAAGGATTCTTGGTATCTCTCTTCTGTCTCATTCCTTATTTTTCTGCAAGGACAACCATTATCTTAAAGATATGTTCCATTTTTATATTTGTATATTTTTTAGTATGTATATGCAAGATTGTGTATTGTTTTGTTTACTTTAAAATACAAACATACCTCATCTTATTGAACTTCACTTTATTGTGCTTTGTAGGTATTGTATGTTTTATAAATTGAAGGCTTGTGGCAATCCTTCATTAAGAAAATCTGTTCACGTCATTTTTCCAACAGCATGTATTCACTGTGTGTCTCTGTGTCACATTTTGATCATTCTTGCACTATCTCAAACTTTTTCATTACTCTTATATCTGTGATGATGATCTGTAATCAGTGACCTCTGATGTTACTATTGTAAATGTTTTGGGGCACCACGATCCACACCTATAAAGGACAACAAACATAATCAACAAATGTCTGTGTTCTTACCGTTCCACTGACCGGCCATTCCCCTGTCTCTCTCCCTCTCCTTGAGCCTCCCTATTCCCTGAGACACAAGAATATTGAAATGAGGCCAATTAATAACCCTATAATGGCCTTTTAAGTGTTCAAGTGAAAAGAATAGTCACAACTCTCTCACTTTAAATCAAAGACTAGAAATGATTTAGTGAGGAAGACGTACTGAAAGCTAAGACAGGCCAAAAACCAGGCCTCTTGCACCAAACAGCCCAGTTGTAGAGGTGAAGAAAAAGTCCTTGAGGAAATTAAAAGTGCTGCTCCGGTAAACACATGAATGATAAGAAAGCAAAACAACCTTATTGCTTATGTGAAGAAAGTTTTAGTGATTTGTTTGGATAGAAAATCAAACCAGCCACAGCATTCTCTTAAGCCAAAGCCTAACCCAGCGGAAGGCCCTAATTCCTGTTACCTCTATGAAGCCTGAGAGAGGTGAAAAAAAATATATATATATATCTGCAGAAAAAAAGTTGGATGCTAGCAGAGGTTGATTTAAGAGGCTTAAGGAAAGAAGTTGTCTTCATAATAGAAAAGTGTAAAGTAAACCAGCAAGTGCTGATGTCAAAGGAGCAAAAATTATCCAGAAGATCTAGCTAAGAAACCTGATGAAAGTGGCTATACCAAACAATGGATTTTCAATGGAGTAATAGCCTTCTATTGGAAGAAGCTGCCACCTAGGACTTTCATAGGTACAGAGAAGATGTTAATGTCTGAATTCGAAGCTTTGAATAATAGGCTGACTCTCCTGTTAGGGGATAATGCAGCTAGTGACATGAATTTGAGGCCACTGTTCATTTGCCATTTCAAAAATCCTAGGGTTCCTAATGATGCTAAATCTATTCTGCCTGTGCTCTATAAATAGGATAGTAAAGCCTGGGTGATAGCACATCTGGTTACAACAAGGTTAACTGAAGATATCAGACCCACTGTTGAGACCTACTGGTCAGAAAACAAGATTCCTTTCAAAATATCACTGCTCATTGACAATGTATCTACAGACCCAAGAACTCCGATGGACATGGACAAGGAGATGAATGTTGTTTTGATGCCTGCTAGCACAGTATCTATCCTGCATCCCATGGATCAAGGAGAAATTTCGATTTTCAAGTGTTATTATTTAAAAAAATATATTTCATAAGGCTATAACTGACATAGATAATGATTCCTCTTATGGTTCTGAGCAAAATACATTCATAACTTTCTGGAAATGATTCACCATTCTAGATGTCATTAAGAACATTCATGATTGCTGAGAGGAAGCCAAAATGTCAACATTAACATGAATTTGGAAGAAGTTGATTTCAGCCCTCCTGGGTAATTTGGAGGAGTTCAAGACTTAAATGAAGTAATTGTAAATGTGGTAAAAATAGCTCATGGGTTAGAAGTATCAATATTGTTAAAATGGCCATACTGCCTAAAGCTATCTGCAGATTCGACACTATGCCTGTCAAGCTCTGAATATCATTTTCCACAGAACTAGAAAACACTATTCTAAAATTCATATGGGCTCACAAAAGAGCCCAAATAACCTAGGTAATTCCAAGCAAAAACAACAAAGCCAGCGCATCACATTATCTGACTTCAAACTGTGCTACAAGGTAACAGTAACCTAAAGAGCATGGTACTGGCACAAAAACAGAACACAGACCAATGAAACAGAATGGAGAGCCCGGAAATAAAGCTGCACATCTACAGCCATGTGATCTTTGACAAAGTTGACAAAAATAAGCAATGGGAAAAGAACTCCCTATTCAATAAATGTTGCTGCGATAACTGGCTAGCCATATGCAGAAGATTGAAACTGGAAACTTATGTTTCACTATATATAAAAATCAACTCAAGATGGGTTAGAGATTTAAATATAAGACCTAGAAACATAAGGATCCTAGAAGAAAACCTAGGAAACACCATTCTGGACACTGGCTTTGGAAAAGAATTTATGAATAAGTCTTCAAAAGCAATTGAAAAAAAAGTGACAAGTGAGACCTAATTAAACTAAGGAACTTCTGCATAGCAAAACAAACTATCAACAGAATAAATAGGCAACCTACAGATTAGGAGAAAATATTTATAAACTATATATCCAATAAAGGCCTAATATCCAGAATCTATAAGGAACTTAATTCAACAAGCAAAAAACAAATAACCCATTAAAAATTGGCAAAAGACATGAACAGACACTTCTCAAAAGAAGACATACAAACAGCCAACAAACATATGATAAATTCTCAGCATCTCTAATGATCAGATAAATGTAAATCAAAACCACAATGAGATACCATCTCCCACCAGTCAGAATGGCTATTAAAAAGAAAAAAACAGATGCTGGCAAGGCTCCAGACTGTTGGTAGGAAAGTAAATTACATTGTTGATGGGAGTATAAATTAGTTCAACCATTGTGGAAGACTGTGGCAATTCCTCAAGGATCTAGAACCAGAAATACCATTTGACCAAGCATCCCATTACTGGGTATATACCCAAAGGATTAAAAATCATTCTACTATAAAGACACATGCACACATATGTTTATTGCAGCACTATTTACAATAGCAAAGACTTGGAACCAACCCAAATGCCCATCAATGATAGACTGGATAAAGAAAATGTGGCACATATACACCATGGAATATTATGCAGCCATAAAAAAATAATGAGTTATTTTTTTATGGAACAATGAGAACACGTGGACACAGGGAAGGGAACATCACCCACCAGGGCCTGTTGGGGGTCGGGGAAAAGGGGAGGGAGAGCATTAGGACAAATACCTAATGCATGCAGGGCTTAAAACCTAGATGATGAGTGCACAGGGGCAGCAAACCACCATGACAAACCTGCACGTTTAGCGTGTGTATCCCAGAACTTAAAGTAAAATAAAAAAATTTTTTTAAATCTCCTCTCATATACAGAGCCAGTCGGTTTCTCTACAGAAACCTAATACACAAACATCAATTTTCCCCACCAAATGCTTCTTGCATACTACTATTTCCTTCTGTATTGTGCTTTACCATGAGGTAAATATCTTTTTTTTTTTTTTTTAGACCGAGTGTCGTTCTGTAGCCCAGGCTGGAAGACAGTGGCACAATCTCAGCTCACTGCAACCTCCGCCTCCAGGGTTCAAGCAATTCTCTGCCTCAGCCTCCCAAGTAGCTGGGATTACAGGCACCCACCACCACGCCCGGCTAATTTTTGTATTTTTAGTAGAGAAGGGGTTTCACCATCTTGGCCAGGCTGGTCTTGAACTCCTGACCTCGTGATCCACCCGCCTCTACCTCCCAAAGTGCTGGGATTACAGGCGTGAGCCACTGCGCCCAGCCTCCATGAGGTAAATATCTTTCAGACATTCCTTTTAGCAGGGTCTGTGAGTAACAAACCCTCCCAGTCTTCATATACTGTTAGATGTCTTTATTTCATCGTCCTCTCTCCTGATTGGTAATTTGGGTGTAAAATTCTAGGTGAACTCTTATTTTCCCTCAGCGTTATACATTCATTATTCCATTATCTTCTGGCATCTATTATTTCTGATAAGAGCCTTGTTATTAGTTGATTGTCATTCCCCATACATAATCAATATTTTATCCTTGGCAGCTTTTTTGATTTCTGCTTTGAAATTCATGTGCTGCCATTGCACTATGTTGCTGTCTGGGTATACACATTTTTCATTTTTTCTATTGGAGCCTCAGTATGCCTTTCAGTCTCTGCTTCACGTCTCGTGGCTTTTTTTTCATATTTTCTTTCTCCTTATCTCTCTATGCTACATCCTGAATAATTTCCTGAGATCTTTCCCCTACTTAAATAATTCTCTTTTCAGCTGTGTCTAATCTACATTTAGACTCATTATTTGAGGGATATTCTCTCATAATGGCCATATTTTATTTTCTATGATTTCTATGTAGTTTCTTTTCAAATCTTCTTATTTATGTATCATATTATCCTGTTTTTGTCTTGTGGTTTCTAGCCCAACTTTTCTCTTTTTGGAAATTTTATTGCTATTATTTCTAATTCTCTTTTTTTTTTTTTTTTTTTTTGAGACAGAATCTCGCTCAGTCACCCAGACTGGAGTGCAGTGGCACAATCTTGGCTCACTGCAACCTCTGCCTCCCAGGTTCAAGGGATTCTCCTGTCTCAGCCTCCTGAGTAGCTGCGATTACAGGCACACACCAGCATACTCAGCTAATTTTTGTATTTTTAGTAGAGATGGGTTTTCACTATGTTGGCCAGGCTGATCTCGAACTCCTGACCTCAGGTAATCTGCCCACCTCAACCTCCCAAAGTACTGAGATTACAGGCATGAGCCACCACGCCTGGCCTATTATCTCTAATTCTTGTGACGTAAATCCACCAGTGTGATAATCCTCATGGTGTTTTTCTATTCTCATGTGAGCTTTTCATTTTTTAAATGGGTCATTTAGTGATTCTATTTTTCATGGGAATACTAATTAATGTCTGGGAAGTGTCAAATTTCTCAGACTCTTCTTTTTTCCCATCTACCATCCTGAATAGAGGCCCAGCTTTCTTACTGCGCCCTAGACAGGTGAATAGAATTTCTCATATCCTTTTCATGGCTCCCTGCAGTATGAAGACTGCTATTTTTCATGGACTGAAGACTTTGCCTCCTGTCCTTCAGTATGCATTAGAATCTGGTCAGGGACTTTTTAAAAATTCGTTCCTGGGCCCCACTCTAGACCTTCGGAAGCAGAAATCTGAGCATGGGGTCCAGGAATGCACATTTATCAAGCCCTCTGGGTCCAGCCACCCTAGTATTGGCAGAGCCAGGATGAGAATCCACATTTCCTGAAAGAATGTCAGTGGTAGAAGATACTGGGGGGCAGTTTAACTTAGCACATTCATGAAACATATTCTGTCACTCCACAGAGGGAGAGCAAAATATTGTTCAATGTCCTCCCGTCAGAAGTAATAAGCACAGACTACATGCTGTTCCTTTCCTAAATAATGTTCTTTCATACAAAGGCATTTCCACTTAACTTACAAATCTGTCATTTAACTGACCCATTTTGCCCACTTTTCACAGAATAATTCTAAAATCCTCAAAATTATCACCAAAAAAGGCCATGTGACATAAAAAAGAGGTTTTTTTAAATCCTTCATGGCAAAATTAAATAGCTTTAACCTCTACTTTTATTTAGATATTCAGACTTTATCCACAGCTTTAATTATTGTTTTATTTTATACAATAAGTTTTACCTCTGTGGCTTCATGTAAATATCAGAATAAAATTTGAGACTAAAAAAATAGATTTATTTGATGTGTAGTAAGACAAACCAAACAACCTTTTCTAACTAGTAAATACATTTTCTCATGCTATGAGCACTTCTAACCTAATGGTTCAATTTCATTTTGAAAGAAAAGTGTTATTACATTATGCAACATAATGTTTTGAGCAGCATTTAAAGCCAATCATATTCTGCACATAATCTTCCTCAATTTTCTCCCTTTCCACTACCCAACTTTGGCCTCAGCTGTATCAGAATAACCTGTATTTCCCTGAACATGTCTCTCTATTTAAGGCTTTTGAGCCTTTCTACTCAGTGACTCTGGCTAGAGTGCTTTCTTTCCCACACTCTCATCCCATCCCTATCACCACGACTACCTCCACATACACATGGACACATCATAATCCAGAACCTCCCTACCCATCCTTCAAAACTCCCTACAAAGATGTACAAATATACGTCTCTCATAGCAATGTTCATACTCTACTACAATAATTGATTCACTTACAGTAGAGCATAAACTCCTTGAGGATAAGGACCATGTTTTATTTAACTTCCATGTGTTATATGAAAAGTTAAATGTAGTCTGAGACAACATGGCCAAGACGTGCTGGGCACTGAGGGTATGATGGTGAGGACCCAGGCCTCTTGCCCGATGGCACTGAGAGTCTAGTGGCAGAAAAAGACAAGTGAATGACCAAATAAGTAAATATATAAATACATACTGTGAAAAGCCTACAAACAAATAGAGCAGGATGTACAACAAAGGGATCTGGTTTATTCAGAAGGTTCTAGAGGGCTTCCCTCAGGAAGAAATATATGAGCTGAAGGAAGAGTTGAGAGAAATTAGGCAAAAGGATAAACAAGAGCATTTAATGGAAGCAGTAACCAACCCAAAGTTCTCAAGATAGGAAGGAGCATTTAAGGGGAAGAACAGGGGCCAGTGTTGCCAGAGTCCTAGGGCAAGGAGCAGAGTGCCACAGATGAGGCTAAAGAACAGCAAAGGTAGGTCTAGCAGGAGATTTTAGGCAAAGGTAGGTCTAGGAGGAGGTTTTAACACAATCCACCCCCTGTGGCGTGTTGACATGTATCCAGCCCTTATCGTGGTGCCTGGGAAATAGGGCTCAATAAATATTTGCAAAAGAATTTATAACCCATGAACAAACACAAAATCAACCTTGAGTTTGAGGCCACACAAGACTGAATTATAATCTTAAGAAAAATCAGCTCTTAAAAACAAACACTGAAACATATTCATATACTCATTCAACAAATATTTGTCAGTTCTCTGCTTTCAACAAGGTATTGCAGGGCATTAGAGTTTTCAGAGACCAGTCAACAGCACAGAAACATTTTCGGAAATCCAACAATTCTTTTCATTTCATTTCACTTTTTTTCAGTTAAATTCAAGAAAAATGAAACTTCATGGTTTTGCTAATAAAAATATACTGTAATCCCATTTTTTTCCAAACTATTTTTGTCTATTATTCTTTCTGTACATAAGGAAAGAACTTGAATAATATTAATCAAATATTAATAAAAGTTGTTTATTTGGGGTGGTAAGATTTTTTACTTATTTCTTACCTCTCATCTTTGTGTTTTTCTGTCTTGTCTGATTTTCAAAATACAATGAGTTCATATAAATTTTACAAAAACAAAAATGTTTAAACTACTAAAGTAAAAGGGATTCAATTTCATCATATCTAATGTAGCCATAAAAACTTATGTCTCTCCCGGGAAGGGTGTGGAGGAAATGAAGAAAGGTGGGCTAATGGGTACAACCATACAGTTGGATAGAAGGAATAAATTCTAATGTTTGACAGCAAAGTAGGGTGACTACAGTTAACAACAATGTATTACATATTTCAAAACAGCTAGAAGAGAGGACTTGAAATGTACCTAATACTTAGAAAGGATAAACCTTCAGGTAATGGATACCTTAAATATGCTGACTTGTTCATTACACCTTCTATACATATAACAAAATTTCACATGTACTCCATAAATATGTATGAACATCATGTATAAAAGATAAATTAAATTTTTAAATTTATGTCTCTCATAGAAATTGAAGAAGAAATTTCAGTCCACACAGGTTAAATGACAAAGTCCCAGAGTTAGACAAAACAGCTAAGATAGTCTTGATAAGAAATTTTTCCCATTCCTTAAAAAAAGAGAGAGAGATCTAAAAATCTGCTATTGGAAGGCTGAACCTACTCCTCCCTGTCGTTCCCACAATTCCCAATTACCATGGCAAGTAGCTGGCACAGACTCAACAGCCTTGTGGCCGTTGCCACATTCATAGGCTCTTCCTGCATACAGAATGTGATGTGACAGATACTGAATCTGAAACAGTGACAGTTAGTTATATCCTTGTGCAGCCCGCCATGCCCCAGTCAACCCCCCTTCCCACCCCCTTCCCCACTTCCGGCACCGCACCCCCTCCCCGTGCCCCCGTGGGCTCCCACACGGCCCGAGCCTACCTGACGGGTGCCTTCCCCTGTCCCCTGTTCCGCGGGCCCAGTCCCATTGACCACCCAAGGGCTGAGGACTGCAGGTGCTGCGGGACTGGCAGGCAGGATTTACTAGGCAAAGCCAGCTGGGCTCCTGAGTGGGTGAGAACTTAGAGAACTTTTATGTCTAGCTGGAGGATTGTATATACACCAATCAGCACTCTGTCTAGCTCAAGGTTTGTAAACACACCAATCAGCACTCTGTGTCTAGCTCAAGGTTTGTAAATGCACAAATCAGCACCCTCTGTCTAGCTCAAGGTTTGTAAACACACCTTGTGCTCTCCGTCTAGTTAATCTAGTGGGGACTTGGAGAACTTTTACCTCTAGCTAGAGGATTGTAAATACACCAATCAGCACTGTGTCTAGCTCAGGGATTGTAAATGCACCAATCAGCACCCTGTCAAAACAGACCAATCAGCTCTCTGTAAAATGGACCAATCAGCAGGATGTGGGTGGGGTCAGATAAGGAAATAAAAGCAGGCTGCCTGAGCCAGCAGCGGCAATTCGCTTGGGTCCCTTTCCCCACCGTGGAAGTTTTGTTCTTTCACTCTTTGCAATAAATCTTGCTGCTGCTTGCTCTTTAGGTCCACACTGCCTTTATGAGCTATAACAGTCCCCGTGAAGGTCTGCAGCTTCACTCCTGAAGCCAGCAAGACCATGAACCCACCAGAAGGAAGAAACTCTGAACACGTCTGAACATCAGAAGGAACAAACTCCGGACACACCATCTTTAAGAACTGTAACACCGCGAGGGTGCGCGGCTTCATTCTTAAAGTCAGTGAGACCAAGAACCCACCAATTCCGGACACACTTGCATGACTCCAGAATGTTGCTACCCAAGTGTGGGGATGAACAATCAACCTCTGACTAATGTCCTATTACAGCTCTCTTCTTTACCAAAGAATTAAGGGATGTGTCTTTGAAGAAGGGTTAGAAAAAAAGAGACCAGGAGCTTCATATCATGTGCCTCTCACATTTCTTCCACGGATTCTATCGTGCTGCAGATAAAATAAAATCCCTATATTCATAATATTTCCATTCTATTTCTACTGTAATCTTTCAGAAAGTTACTGTTTTCCTGTGACATCAGCGATGTGCTGTAATAAAATTATTTTTATTTATTCAACAAATACATGTTACGTGCCAGAACCGTTTCAGAAAGTGTAAAGAAAAAGAGGGCATTGTATCTGCTCTCAAAAAGCTAGTCAGGAATCAGAATTTTTACTATTAAAAAGTCATTAAATATTATTTATTACTACAATATTGATTACATATTAGAAAATTCTAGAAGGAAATTTTAGATGCTATTCCAACTATCATCTTAAAGATAATTTGGCCAGGCGTGGTGGTTTATGCCTGTGATCCCAGCACTTTGGGAGGCCAAGGCAGGTGAATCACTTAAGGTCAGGAGTTCAAGACCAGCCTGGCCAACGTGGTGAAACCCCATTTCTACCAAAAACACAAAAAAATTAGCCAGGCTTGGTGGGGTGCACCTGTAGTCCCAGCTACTCAGGAGGCTGAGGCAGGAGAATCGCTTGAACCAGGCAGGCGGAGGCTGCAGTGAGCCAAGATCACGTCACTGCACTCCAGCCTGGGTTACAAAGCAAGACTCTGTCTCAGAAAAACAAACAAAAAAGATAACTTACATGCAAATAAAGGCCTAGACTAGGAGTTTGGCCTAAAAGAAAAAAAGAAGAGAAAAAAGATTAGGGTGAGAAAGCTTACCAAGAGAACTATAAATAAACTGTGTGATTGATACATATCTCAGATATTCATTCTGAGACTATCTTCCTGACAAGCACATTTATCACTGGACAAATGGAAAAGTTGTTCTGGGTTGAAATATACTTTTGGGGTCACTATTTATGGTGTGTGGAGAGCACATTTTCCAGCAGAAATTGTTCTTCCTTGAGTTTCTGTTTCTTATGTCTTTCAGGAATTTAAGAAACCATTCTGCTTAGCCATAAGTGAAATCAAATTACCTCAGGCTGCAGGTGGTAAGACACTAACTCACTGGAGCTCAGGAGGTATAATGTTTGGTAGCTATTGCTATCCACCTAGAGATGACTGTCAACTCTCCCAAAAGAGATAAAAGGAAAATCAATATAAAATAGGTCATGGAGAATCTTTTAGACCAAATGTGTCCACCTAGGCCTAAATCACATACTGGAAATGGGTCCATGAAAAGTTTGGGGATGGCCAGGCACCCAAAATTCAGCCTTTTCTACATCTAGTAGAGATTTTTGATGACTTTACCTGTAGAGACCTATTGATACAAGTTGTGTGTCTCCCTGCTTTACAGATGTCTCCAATATGTCTTATGAAATCCACCAAAGTGTCTTTTTGCAGAAAAATAAATCAATGCCCAGAGTAGAATTGGAGAGCCATAACAGATTTTTAAAATTTGAATGCCACAAAATTATTCTTTGAAACCTTCACAAAAAAAGAATTCACTCATGTAAAACTTGTTTCAAGCCACTCTTTCTCAACACTCTTATTTTATTAGAAGAGTTAGAATTTATTAAGACAGGAAAATCAGCTTTCCACAAACATACCCTGAGGATTTGAGAGGATAACCATTCTAAAGTCCCTGTTCATGTTTATTCATATTTTATGGTAATTTCTTAAAGTGAATATTCAATACAATAAGAAAATATTCTTTACCATGTCAAAACTATAATCCCCAGTGGTGTCACGGACAGTCAGCTTCCCCTGATGAAAATTTAAACACAATATAGTTTCTCTTTCAGACACAGTAAATAACAGTTATTATTCCATGTCACTGTTTAACTTCTCCCCCTTTAGAAAAACCAAAATAATAATAATAAATCTTTCAGTTAAAAAATATTTGGCTAGCCATGGTAGCTCACACCTGTAATATCCTACCACTTTGGGCAGCTGAGGTGGGAGGATTGCTTGTGCTCAGGAGTTCAAGACCAGCCTGAACAACAGAGCAAAACCCTGTCTCTACAACAACAACAACAAAAAATGTAATTCTCCAGACATGGTGGTGCACTCTATAGTCCCAGCAACTCTGGAGGCTGAGGTGGGAGGCTCGCTTAAGTCCATCAGATCGAGGCTGCAGTGAACCGTGATTAAACCACAACACTCCAGCCTAGGTGACAGAACAAGACCCTGTCTCAATAAATAAATATTTCACTGATTTGGGGGATTTGATTTTGGATATATGAAGTATTTTAGCTAGGTAGTCCAAGCAGAGTGGACATCTTCCCTTTGCAAGGACCTCTCTAATCAAAGGCCCTGAGGTCAGCAACTCTTCAGAGCCGGAGCGCCACAGGGTGCTGCTGGCTCCCCTACAGACAGATGTCAGGAACCTAAGTAACTCCAGAAAGCACATGCTACAGCGCCAACAGTCTTCAGTCTTATGCTTAGAAATCCAGTCTTCCCTCCTCCAAATCCCTGCTCTTCTCTAGGTTCAATTATCCTTCTCTCTTGGGTTCTGGAATCCTCAGGAAAATAGGACATTTAAACTTTTTCTTGAATGGCATTATAAGAAGCTGCATTTCTATTGCCTACCCTCTCTCCAAAGACTCAAAGGAAAAAATGGAGCTTTAGACTCACTTCCTAAAAGCACATTTAAGGATTTGACCTTGGAAACACTCAAGTGGAAGGGAATGCATCTGATGTTATCCAAATCAGGCATTTAGAACACCTCTTCCTAATAGTCCAATGGTGGGGGTGAGGGAGGCAGGAGGAAACCAGATCAGTTACATACAGGGAAAGGGAGGGTTTACATAGGGGAGAAATTTAATCACTGGAGGAAAAAATTAGGGACTCTGAACAAGTATACTCTTCCCCCATGGGAAGAATCTGATTTAAAACCATGCATGCAGTCATTCACCCATTCATTCACTAAACGTTTCTTGACATCTACACTAGCAGTGTCAATATCCTGGGCCCCAAAGGCATGAGACAGACCTGCCTTCAAAGAACCATAGTCTGGGAGGGGGAGCCAGACTAGTAAACAGATTACAATATAATGTCATATGTGCCCAAGAGCTGACAGCAGCAGCTCAGAATTAGGAATGACTATTGCCACCTGAGAAGAAGGTGATTTATGAACTGGAATTTGGAAAAGGAAAAAAGTTCATTACGTGAAGAAGTAAAGGAATGGAGTGTCCATGGGGTGAAAGGAGCAGTGCCTGCAAGGACACCAGGGCCTGGAATAGGTAGTGCCTGGACAGGATGACCAGTAGCCCTGCAGGAAGAGGAATGTGGGCTCTGAAGTCCATCCTACCACCAATTCTAGCTTATGGCCTGGGAGGACATTGGGCAAATCACCAGACTCAGTGGTCCACAACTCTACCTGCATGTTAGCCTCAGCGCAGGAAATTAAGAAATAAAAGTCAATGTTTGAGTCCCACTCCAATTATTTCAGAATCTCTAAGTGTGGGGTCCAGGCATCAGTGTTTTAAAAACAACCCAAGTGATTCCAATGTGGCATAATCCCAAGGGATTATTGTAAAGGGGGTTAATTAAAGAACCCAGTTGCATGGATTGTCATAAGGATTACATGAAGTAATAAATACAGAGTTCCTAAGGAGTATTAATAAAGATGATGATGGATTCTGTGGGAGGGATCAGGATGGAAATGAGACAAAGATAGCCCAGAGCCTACCATCACAGCTGAATTTTCTTGTTCTTTCCCTGCATGCCAGGCACCGTTCTAAGCTCTTCACTTGTGTGAACTCAGGCAGTCTGGCTCCATTGACCAGGCTCTTTATCCACATCTCTATACCATGAGAGGATGACAGTCCTTGACTCAGATATTAAAGCTATATGGCTTACTTTGTGGGAGTTGGTGACTCAGGTTATCAGGGAGTGATGTGATCAGAATTGTGTTATATAAAGTCATCTTGACTTTAGTGTTGACAATAAGTTTGACAGGGAAGACATGGAGGTAGAGAAATTATTCTACTCCACAGATATAAGCCAGAAACTGAATTGGTCTATAGAAGAAGAAAATCAGATCTTGAAAATCCAGAGCCTGAAAAGAAAAAAGAAAAACAGGCTGACAGATTTTCTCATCCTATCTGCAGGACTTACTAAAGTCTTAATAAACCCACAAATGTATTCTGACATACAAACATGTTCTGTTTCTACACCACCACTTCTTGTGCAACTTCAAGCCTCAACATTAATACCATCTGAAACATTTTTAATCATGTCTCAAGAAAAGTCTATGAATAATATGCTCAGCATGCTTCCATCATCTTTCAAAAATCTCTTCTATTCAAAGGGTTTTTTTAATGCTCTTGCATTACCATCATCTGTTGAGGGGTTTGATTTAAATTAGTTCCTCTACAGCAGAGTTTCATTAATTGGCAATTCACAGTTAAACTGTATTTTTCCATTAGTAATATATTAATAATGTGCTGGAATGGAGAGTATGTTAAGCCTCAGAGCCACGGGAAAATGATTAAACTTCTGCTTGGTTTTTGGAGGTGGGAAAACAAGGCTAGCAGAGGCTGAGAAGCTACTCTGTCCTAATCACTTTTCTTCTGCTGCTTTCATTTACTTTAATGCTGACAATGACCCTCTGAGATGAGAACAAGTCTGTTTTCTGTCCAAGAGCACCCAGCTGGAAAACCATGGTAGCCCAGAAGCTGTACTCTTCATCATCTCATGGTGTCTCCATTCTGTTCCATGACACCTTTTGGAGGCACAAGGTCTTTTCCTCAAAGTTGCTTGCTCAGTTGGTCAAGTTTATTTTTCAAAAACCCATCATCAAATATTTTAGTATTATTGTGGGCCTCAAGTATTCTATCTGGGTATTTATCACTAGTATAAATTTTCTTAAAACAGGAATAACTATTCAGCATTAACTCCTGCATTAGTGTGTTTTTGCATTGTTATAAAGGAATACCTGAGGCTGGGTAATTTCTTTTAAACAAAAAAAGAGGTGAGGAATCTGTGAGGGGGTTCCCCTTGACATTGCCATCATAGAGTTCCTCTGTGGGAGTTTCACCCCTGCAGCAAGCTTTTTTCTGTGCACCCAGACTCCCAGACTTCTTCTATCCTTTGAAATCTAGGTAGAAGCTGCCAAATCTCCTTCACTTTTGCACTCTGTGCACTTGCAGGCTTAACACCACATGGAAGCCACCAGGGTTTATGGCTTGCACCATCCAGAGCAGCCCAAGCTGTATCTGGGTCCCTTTGACCTGAGGCTGGAATCAGAGCTGCTGGAATGTGGGAAGCAGGGTCCCAAAGATGCGCAGGTCAGTGGAGCCCTGGGCCTGGCCCCCAAAACCATTCTTTCTGCCTAGACCTTGGCCTGTGGTGGGAGGGGCTGCCTCAGAGACTTCGGAAACACCTTCAAAGACTTTTTTGCATGTCATGTATGTTAGCACTTAGCTCCCTTTTAGTCATGCAAATCTCTCTAGCAAGTAGAACACAGCCCACTTGTGTTCCTCAGCTGAAAATGCTCTTTCCTTTACCACATGGCCAGGCTTCAAATTTTCCAAACTTTTACTCTATGGTTCCCTTTTAAATATAAGTTCCAAATTTAAGTCATTCCTTTGCTCCCATATCTGATCATAGGTTGTTAGAAGCAGCCATGCCACATCTTGACTGCTTTGCTGCTTAGAAATTTCTTCTACCAGATGCCCTAGGTCATCACTCCCAAGTTCAACCTTCTACAGAGTCCTAGGACATGGATACATTGAAGCTGTTTGCTAGGGCATAATAAGGGTGACCCTTACTCTACTTCCCAATAAATTCCTCATTTCCATATGAACCCTCCTCAGCCTGGCCTTCATTGTCCATACTTCTGTCAGCATTAAATGGTCACAACCATTTAACCAGTCTCTAAGAAGTTCCAAACTTTCCCTTCCTGTCTTCTTCTGAGCACTCCAAACTCTTCCAACCTCTGCCCATTACCCAGTCCCAAAGCCATTTCCACATCCTCAGGTATCTTTGTAGCAATGCCCCACTCCTTGGTACCAATTTTCTGTGTTATTCTGTTTTTTTGTTTGTTTGCTTTTTGTTTTTTTATTTGTTTGTTTTGCATTGCTATAAAATAATATCTGAGGCTGGGTAATTTATAAAGAAAAGAGGTTTAATTGGCTCATGGTTCTGCAGGCTGTACCAAAAGCACAGCACAGGCATCTGCTCAGCTTCTGGTGAGGACTCAGGAAGCTTCCGATCATGGTGGAAGATGAAGGGGAGCCAGCATGTCACATGGAAAGAGCAAGCAAGAGAGAAGAGGGAGGTATCAGGCTCTTTTGAACAACCAGATCTCATGTGAACTCAGGTAAGAACTCACTCATTACCATGAGGAGGGCACCAAGCTAATTCATGAGGGATCCACCCCTATGACTCAAACACCTCCCAGGAGGCCCCACCTTCAATATAAGGGATTAATTACATTTCAACATAAGATTTGCGGGGGACAAACATTCAAACCGTATCAACTCACCTCTGTTGTCAGAATCCAAATATATATTCTATACTATAAAGTAGGTGCCATCTTTCCCATTTTACAGATGATGACTGAGCTGGTTCCCCTCTAGAGAGGTTATCATTACAGAAAGAATAAACTACTCAAATACCAATTATTTGTATGCATTGCTAGTATTTCAAAATTATTATTTAACTCCAGAAAATAAATGTGGCAACTCAGTACTTTCTAGTTGTTAAATTTAGTCTCCTATGTACTAGATGAAATATTGTGATTTGTAATAAGAAATATATTTTTTTCTTTATCCGCAGTTCCTGGCACAGAGATCCCTAAAACTCTTGTAATTTCCTGAGCAACAAGGTGCTAGGAGAATCTTTTGTTCTAATAATATTTGGTCTTTGATACTTCTCCCTCACACAGAGCTCATAAATCCTTTGGAATTTCCTGAGTAATAGGAACATCTTTTGTTCTAATGAGGTGACTCCGGATAGGAGCTGATCCCCAGAAAAACCAGGCCATGATTAGAAACTTAGAACTTTCATCCCTATTGCCCATCTCCAGGAAGGGGATATGGGCTACAGACTGAGCTAATAATGGATCATGCCTACTCAACAAAGCCTCCATAAAATCCCCGAACTGAAAGGTTCAGAGAGTTTCTGGGTAGCTGAACACATGGAGGTGCTGGGAGGCTGGCACCCCCAGAGAGGGCATGGAAGCTCTACAGCCTCACCATACCTCACCTTGTGCATCTCTTCCATATGGCTGTTCTGAATTACATCGTTTTGTAATAAGTGAACAATTAATAAGTGTAAATAAAGGGTCTCCCTGAATTCCATTCTAACAAATAATCAAACCCAATGAGGAGATCAGGAGGAGGCAGGTCTGATTCCCTCTGTCAGTCAGAAGCACGGGTGACAACCTGGAACCTGGTACTTGCTACTGGCATCTGAAGTGGAGGGCAGCCTTTTGGGATTGAGCCCTTAAGGGGTTATCTGATGCTATCTGTAGGTAGATAGTGGTAGAATTCAATTAAATTATAGAAAAGTTTGCTGGTGTTGAATAAATTGTCAGTGTGAGGACACTCCTACACATTTTGGTGGCCAGAGTATTAAGTGCTGAGTGTAAATACAGAGGAGAAAGTAGTTTGGTTTTTTCCATTACACTAGGTAAAATGCTAATCTATTCCTAGGAAGAAAAATGGCTGTCCTAGGCAAGTATCTTGTACTTAGAAATACTATTATTTCTAGGTATGAATGTTCTTAGAAATGTACTCAATATTAAATGTGACATTTTTGTAGGTCAAAAATAACAAATATTGGCAATTTCATATTATTTTATCTAACACATTATTATATTAGTATGGCACCATTCAGAATGTTCAGTAATCCAGACTGACTTCTCTTTCACTCTTCCAGTGATCCAGGTGGAACAAGCTGGATCCTGGCAACAGCATTTGAGACCCTGAGCACAGGGGTCGGGAGTGCCATTCTAGAGTAAGAATATAAGAGAGGCAGGGTCAGCCTCAGTTACCCAGTTTTGCCCTCTGGGCTGATTAGACCTCATGTGTCTTTGTACTCCCAAGAGCAAATGCCTCTTTCCTTGGCTCTTGGCAAACAGGTCCAGTCTTTGCCCCCCTTGATGTTGACCCATACCTCTCACTGCCTGATCCATGGCCTCCCAAGCCCTTGGGTGGCTGTACATCTTTCTCACAGGAGGGTCCCATCAATGTTGGTAACATTGCCACTACGAGTTGGGTAGCTAAATGTTTAAAAATAGATAGGAATAATAATAATTCTGAAATAGAATTTTTATCCCTATACCAAGCCTCCTTGTCAACCAGCAAGAGAAATATTTTTAACTCCCAAGCCACAACATTCTACACAATGATTAAGTAAGAAAAGAGGCATGAAAATGTTTTGTAAAGAATAAAGCACTCTACAAGTGCTAGTGGCTATTTCTATTGTGTCCATGACAACAAAACAGAAAGAATTTGAGCCTTGATTTCTAAACTGTGTTTCATAGTCAGAGTCCGGAGAAAAAATAGGATCTAGATTTATGTCAGTGGGATACACTGGGGTACAGGAATACCTCTCATGGAATTACCGTATAGCCACTAGGATTAGGTGGATCAACCAGCATATAGCAATAGCCAAGGCATGCATACATATGCACATGTAAAATGTATCATATATATCAACATAAATAGGTACATTTTATATGTGTGCATACGTCTCTGAGATATAAGACGGTCTCAGAGCCTAAATAGTAAACACTTGAAAATGGTTCCCTATGGGGAGAGAAAGAGAAGTGAGCGTGGAAGAGGAAATTTTAATGTATTTCTTCAACAAATAATTTGCAAAAGGGAGAAATTAGGGATCAAAATTGGTAAGCAAAATATCAACTTACTGCAACATGTGGGCCTTATTAGACCCTGATTTAAGCAAAGTTTTTTAAGAAGTATGAGATAATGGGGCATCCTCACACTGGACATTTGCTGATAAGGAATTACTGTTAATTTGGGGAGATATGATATTGGCATTGGGTTTTGCTCTTTAAAGCCCTTATCTTTCAGAGATGGCACTGAAATAGTTACAGATAAAATGGTATTTGCTTCCAAACTATTCCAGTGGCAGGTATAGATAAAACAAGATAACCCAATAATTATTGAAACCACATATTGGGCTCCTTACATTATTTTCTCTACTTTTGTGTATGTTTGAACTTTTCTATAAAAAGTGTTATAGAAAGCTTTTTTTCCTGAGTTTGCCATATCCCTAGTTGTATGATTTAGGGTAAGCTATTTAACCTCTATAATGCTCAGCCTCCTCTTCTGAGAAATAGTGATTATATGGTCTGGCCCAGAGTAAACTCTCAAGAAGCTCTGACCTCCACTGCTCCCTTGGTCATGCCCTTATCAAAGGGTAGTAGCTATTTTATAGATACTGGTCATCTTTCTTTGGAAATGCAGAAGGAACTTCAAACCCAATATGTCTGAAATTGAATCCATCAAGTTGGTTGAATGAATTAATGAGTGAATGAAAGTGATCCACATCATCATTCTAGTCTATGCTCCAATGTTCCCTTTTTCATAGCTGGTTTTTCATGACAGCTGTTTGGAATACTCTAACTCCCTGACTTCAGTTGCTCATAGTTTAGATTTTATATTAAGTCATGATGAACTGAATTTTCTCTAGTTTTGCATCCTCATTTCAATTAGCAACCACAAGAATCTCTGCAACTACTGATACTGATCATGGGAGCTTTGCAAAATGCATGCTTCTCACCATAACTGGCTTTTGTCTAACTGAGAAGAGTTCTACTTTCTAGACCCTTGGTCTTTGGCAAGAAGTGAACTTCCAAATTATACATTTCCCAGCAAGACAAAAGTCATAGACTTAACAATGCCTTTAGTGTTCTTTGATCAATCATACCCATGACCTATGCTTTTACCCTTAACTATTTCATGCCACCTTCATAAGATCCAAATAAGTGTGATGACCATATCTTAGACTTTCCTCAGGAAGGTTAACATTCAGGGACCATATTATGACCAAAAAAAAAAAAAAAAACCCGGGATGAGACAACATCCCAAGAAGACTGTTTTCTAGGCATCATCTGAAATCTGAGCAATGTAATGAGAGCCTTGTAAGCATATTGTCTGAGAATGTGGTCTCCTCATGAATTTCATACTAGTAATAATTCCTCTATCACTGTTCAGTAATGAGCACCTTTCCATGTCTTCAGGAATAAATAATGTGCTTCTCATGTGCACAATTGTGAAAAATTGCTTCAGATCCATTATCTCCTTGGCCAGTAAGCATATTTATTTCCAGAGAGATAGATACAAACATTGAAATTTTGCTGCACCATTAACTCACCAAGGAGCATATGGGCTATGTATTTCCATATTGACCTTTTGTTCTCTTTCTATGGTATGTGTATAAAACAGCCCATATCTTGCATTTACTCAGCACTCAGCTTCTCCTAGGTGAGGTTTTCATGGCTAAGTAAAGCATAAGAATTATAAAATCATCATACCTGAGAGCTAGAAAGCACACTAGAAATGTAGTCCACTTCTGTTTGCATGTGAAAAAATGAGGCACAGAGAGCTTCTGTGCCTTGCCCAAATCACTACAGCTGGTCAGTGGTAAAACCAGGGCAAAAATGTCAAACCCGACGATTCCTAGTTCAAGCCTCTTTGCCCCAAACAATGCAAGTCTGATGCCCTTGGACTTCAACCTATTGAAAACAAATTATTCGGAGCCAAGATGGCCGAATAGGAACAGCTCCGGACTACAGCTTCCAGCGTGAGTGACGCAGAAGATGGGTGATTTCTGCATTTCCATCTGAGGTACCGGGTTCATCTCACTAGGGAGTGCCAGACAGTGGGCGCAGGTCAGTGGGTGCAAGCACCGTGCGCGAGCCGAAGCAGGGCGAGGCATTGCCTCACTTGCGAAGTGCAAGGGGTCAGGGAGTTCCCTTTCCGAGTCAAAGAAAGGGGTGACAGAGGGCACCTGGAAAATAGGGTCACTCCCACCCGAATACTGCGCTTTTCCAACGGGCTTAAAAAACGGCGCACCACGAGATTATATCCCGCACCTGGCTCGGAGGGTCCTACACCCACGGAGTCTCCCTGATTGCTAGCACAGCACTCTGAGATCAAACTGCAAGGCCGGCAGCAAGGCTGGGGGAGGGGCGCCCACTATTGCTCAGGCTTGATTAGGTAAACAAAGCAGCCTGAAGCTCGAACTGGGTGGAGCCCACCACAGCTCAAGGAGGCCTGCCTGCCTCTGTAGGCTCCACCTCTGGGGGCAGGGCACAGACAAACAAAAAGACAGCAGTAACCTCTGCAGACTTAAATATCCCTGTCTGACAGCTTTGAAGAGAGCAGTGGTTCTCCCAGCACGCAGCTGGAGATCTGAGAACTGGCAGACTGCCACCTCAAGTGGGTCCCTGACCCCTGACCCCCGAGCAGCCTAACTGGGAGGCACCCCCCAGCAGGGACACACTGACACCTCACAAGGCAGGATATCCCAACAGACCTACAGCTGAGGGTCCTGTCTGTTAGAAGGAAAACTAACAAACAGAAAGAACATCCACACCAAAAACCCATCTGTACATCACCATCATCAAAGACCAAAAGTAGATAAAACCACAAAGATGGGGAAAAAACAGAACAGAAAAACTGGAAACTCTAAAACGCAGAGCACCTCTCCTCCTCCAAAGGAACGCAGTTCCTCACCAGCAATGGAACAAAGCTGGATGGAGAATGACTTTCACGAGCTGAGAGAAGAAGGCTTCAGACGATCAAATTACTCTGAGCTACGGGAGGACATTCAAACCAAAGGCAAAGAAGTTGAAAACTTTGAAAAAAATTTAGAAGAATGTATAACTAGAATAACCAATACAGAGAACTGCTTAAAGGAGCTGATGGAGCTGAAAACCAAGGCTCGAGAACTACGTGAAGAATGCAGAAGCCTCAGGAGCCGATGCGATCAACTGGAAGAAAGGGTATCAGCGATGGAAGATGAAATGAATGAAATGAAGCGAGAAGGGAAGTTTAGGGAAAAAAGAATAAAAAGAAATGAGCAAAGCCTCCAAGAAATATGGGACTATGTGAAAAGACCAAATCTACGTCTGATTGGTGTACCTGAAAGTGATGGGGAGAATGGAACCAAGTTGGAAAACACTCTGCAGGATATTATCCAGGAGAACTTCCCCAATGTAGCAAGGCAGGCCAACATTCAGATTCAGGAAATACAGAGAACGCCACAAAGATACTCCTCGAGAAGAGCAATTCCAAGACACATAATTGTCAGATTCACCAAAGCTGAAATGAAGGAAAAAATGTTAAGGGCAGCCAGAGAGAAAGGTCGGGTTACCCTCAAAGGGAAGCCCATCAGACTAATAGCTGATCTCTCAGCAGAAACTCTGCAAGCCAGAAGAGAGTGGGGGCCAATATTCAACATTCTTAAAGAAAAGAATTTTCAACCCAGAATTTCATATCCAGCCAAACTAAGCTTCATAAGTGAAGGAGAAATAAAATACTTTACAGACAAGCAAATGCTGAGAGATTTTGTCACCACCAGGCCTGCCCTAAAAGAACTCCTGAAAGAAGTGCTAAACATGGAAAGGAACAAGCGGTACCAGCCGCTACAAAATCATGCCAAAATGTAAAGACCATCGAGACTAGGAAGAAACTGCATCAACTAATGAGCAAAATAACCAGCTAACATCATAATGACAGGATCAAATTCACACATAACAATATTAACTTTAAATGTAAATGGACTAAATGCTCCAATTAAAAGACACAGACTGGCAAATTGGATAAAGAGTCAAGACCCATCAGTGAGCTGTATTCAGGAAACTCATCTCACGTGCAGAGACACACATAGGCTCAAAATAAAAGGATGGAGGAAGATCTACCAAGCAAATGGAAAACAAAAAAAAGGCAGGGGTTGCAATCCTAGTCTCTGATAAAACAGACTTTAAACCAACAAAGATCAAAAGAGACAAAGAAGGACATTACATAATGGTAAAGGGATCAATTCAACAAGAAGAGTTAACTATCCTAAATATATATGCACCCAATACAGGAGCACCAAGATTCATAAAGCAAGTCCTGAGTGACCTACAAAGAGACTTAGGCTCCCACACATTAATAATGGGAGACTTTAACACCCCACTGTCAACATTAGACAGATCAACAAGACAGAAAGTCAACAAGGATACCCAGGAATTGAACTCAGCTCTGCACCAAGCGGACCTAATAGACATCTACAGAACTCTCCACCCCAAATCAACAGAATATACATTTTTTTCAGCACCACACCACACCTATTCCAAAATTGACAACATACTTGGAAGTAAGGCACTCCTCAGCAAATGTAAAAGAACAGAAATTATAACAAACTATCTCTCAGACCACAGTGCAATCAAACTAGAACTCAGGATTAAGAATCTCACTCAAAACTGCTCAACTACATGGAAACTGAACAACCTGCTCCTGAATGACTACTGGGTACCTAACGAAATGAAGGCAGAAATAAAGATGTTCTTTGAAACCAATGAGAACAAAGACACAACATACCAGAATCTCTGGGACGCATTCAAAGCAGTGTGTAGAGGGAAATTTATAGCACTAAATGCCCACAAGAGAAAGCAGGAAAGATCCAAAATTGACACCCTAACATCACAATTAAAAGAACTAGAAAAGCAAGAGCAAACACATTCAAAAGCTAGCAGAAGGCAAGAAATAACTAAAATCAGAGCAGAACTGAAGGAAATAGAGACACAAAAAACCCTTCAAAAAATTAATGAATCCAGGAGCCCGTTTTTTGAAAGGATCAACAAAATTGATAGACCGCTAGCAAGACTAATAAAGAAAAAAAGAGCGAAGAATCAAATAGACGCAATAAAAAATGATAAAGGGGATATCACCACCAATCCCACAGAAATACAAACTACCATCAGAGAATACTACAAACACCTCTACACAAATAAACTAGAAAATCTAGAAGAAATGGATAAATTCCTGGACACATACACTCTCCCAAGACTAAACCAGGAAGAAGTTGAATCTCTGAATAGACCAATAACAGGATCTGAAATTGTGGCAATAATCAACAGCTTACCAACCAAAAAGAGTCCAGGATCAGATGGATTCACAGCCGAATTCTACCAGAGGTACAAGGAGGAACTGGTACCATTCCTTCTGAAACTATTCCAATCAATAGAAAAAGAGGGAATCCTCCCTAACTCATTTTATGAGGCCAGCATCATTCTGATACCAAAGCCAGGCAGAGACACAACAAAAAAAGAGAATTTTAGACCAATGTCCTTGATGAACATTGATGCAAAAATCCTCAATAAAATACTGGCAAAATGAATCCAGCAGCACATCAAAAAGCTTATCCACCATGATCAAGTGGGCTTCATCCCTGGGATGCAAGGCTGGTTCAATATACGCAAATCAATAAATGTAATCCAGCATATAAACAGAGCCAAAGACAAAAACCACATGATTATCTCAATAGATGCAGAAAAAGCCTTTGACAAAATTCAACAACCCTTCATGCTAAAAACTCTCAATAAATTAGGTATTGATGGGATGTATTTCAAAATAATAAGAGCTATCTATGACAAACCCACAGCCAATATCATACTGAATGGACAAAAACTGGAAGCATTCCCTTTGATAACTGGCACAAGACAGGGATGCCCTCTCTCACCACTCCTATTCAACATAGTGTTGCAAGTTCTGGCCAGGGCAATTAGGCAGGAGAAGGAAATAAAGGGTATTCAATTAGGAAAAGAGGAAGTCAAATTGTCCCTGTTTGCAGATGACATGATTGTATATCTAGAAAACCCCATTGTCTCAGCCCAAAATCTCCTTAAGCTGATAAGCAACTTCAGCAAAGTCTCAGGATACAAAATCAATGTACAAAAATCACAAGCATTCTTATACACCAACAACAGACAAACAGAGAGCTAAATCATGAGTGAACTCCCATTCACAATTGCTTCAAAGAGAATAAAATACCTAGGAATCCAACTTACAAGGGATGTGAAGGACCTCTTCAAGGAGAACTACAAACCACTGCTCAACGACATAAAAGAGGATACAAACAAATGGAAGGACATTCCATGCTCATGGGTAGGAAGAATCAATATCGTGAAAATGGCCATACTGCCCAAGGTAATTTACAGATTCAATGCCATCCCCATCAAGCTACCAATGCCTTTCTTCACAGAATTGGAAAAAACTACTTTAAAGTTCATATGGAACCAAAAAAGAGCCCGCATCGCCAAGTCAATCCTAAGCCAAAAGAACAAAGCTGGAGGCATCACACTACCTGACTTCAAACTATACTACAAGGCTACAGTAACCAAAACAGCATGGTACTGGTACCAAAACAGAGATATAGATCAATGGAACAGAACAGAGCCCTCAGAAATAACGCCGCATATCTACAACTATCTGATCTTTGACAAACCTGAGAAAAACAAGCAATGGGGAAAGGATTCCCTATTTAATAAATGGTGCTGGGAAAACTGGCTAGCCATATGTAGAAAGCTGAAACTGGATCCCTTCCTTACACCTTATACAAAAATCAATTCAAGATGGATTAAAGACTTAAACGTTAGACCTAAAACCATAAAAACCCTAGAAGAAAACCTAGGCATTACCATTCAGGACACAGGCATGGGCAAGGACTTCATGTCTAAAACACCAAAAGCAATGGCAACAAAAGACAAAATTGACAAATGGGATCTAATTAAACTAAAGAGCTTCTGCACAGCAAAAGAAACTACCATCAGAGTGAACAGGCAACCTACAAAATGGGAGAAAATTTTCGCAACCTACTCATCTGACAAAGGGCTAATATCCAGAATCTACAATGAACTCAAACAAATTTACAAGAAAAAAACAAACAACCCCATCAAAATTGGGCGAAGGACATGAACAGACACTTCTCAAAAGAAGATATTTATGCAGCCAAAAAACACATGAAAAAATGCTCATCATCACTGGCCATCAGAGAAATGCAAATCAAAACCACTATGAGATACCATCTCACACCAGTTAGAATGGCAATCATTAAAAAGTCAGGAAACAACAGGTGCTGGAGAGGATGTGGAGAAATAGGAACACTTTTACACTGTTGGTGGGACTGTAAACTACTTCAACCATTGTGGAAGTCAGTGTGGCGATTCCTCAGGGATCTAGAACTGGAAATACCATTTGACCCAGCCATCCCATTACTGGGTATATACCCAAAGGACTATAAATCATGCTGCTATAAAGACACATGCACACGTATGTTTATTGCAGCATTATTCACAATAGCAAAGACTTGGAACCAACCCAAATGTCCAACAATCATAGACTGGATTAAGAAAATGTGGCACATATACACCATGGAATACTATGCAGCCATAAAAAATGATGAGTTCATGTCCTTTGTAGGGACATGGATGAAACTGGAAATCATCATTCTCAGTAAACTATCGCAAGAACAAAAAACCAAACACCACATATTCTCACTCATAGGTGGGAATTGAACAATGAGAACACATGGACACAGGAAGGGGAACATCACACTCTGGGCACTGTTGTGGGGTGGGGGGAGGGCGGAGGGATAGCATTGGGAGATATACCTAATGCTAGATGACGAGTTAGTGGGTGCAGTGCACCAGCATGGCACATGTATACATATGTAACTAACCTGCACAATGTGCACATGTACCCTAAAACTTAAAGTATAATAATAAAAAAAAATAATAAAATAAAATAAAATAAACAAATTATTCCCTGGTAATCAGAGAGCAGAGACTCTTTTATTACTATTATTATTATTATGAGACAGTCTCACTCTGTCGCCCTGTCGCCAGACTGGAGTGCAGTGGTGCAATCTCGGCTCACTGCAACCTCCACCTCCCGGGTTCAAGTGATTTGAGCAGAGACTCTTTTTTTCCCAGACTATTCAGGTGTCAGATAATTATTTATGAGACTACATTAAGAACACAGTTTTCAAAAGCCTGTCCCGAAGTTCCATTTACACATAGGGAACACCTCACTGTGGAGATAGACATACCCTCCCCATCCTCAACCAGTCCCACCCCACCACAACCAGAGGCTCTATCTTACCCCTACTGATCTCTTTCAAAAATCTTGTATGAAATCCTGAAGACAGCAGGCAAGAAAGTCCCCAAGAGAGATCAAAACCAGAAGACTGTGCTCACATGCCAATGAACACTTATTCTAAAATTGTAAATATAAGAAAGATTTGAACACTTGATTTCTTCACGTGTTTATGATTTCTCCTTCAAGATGGATATAAGATGCTTCTTCGTTGGTTCCTTTGCCTATTCCCTTGATTAAAATCAACCTCTTTGATATTATTTGCAACCAGTAAAAGTGATCAGTTGATGATGAGAAATCAATACATTTAAAATTAAACAGAGTAGCTCCCTCTCTACCTGCTCTCTGCAAAGCCTATCCTCAGTTCTGTTGTCAACGGCACATCCATCCACCAGATGCCCATACTTGAAACTTCAACTTTGCCTTCCACCTCTCCCTCACCTCCCTCTCATCCAATCTGTCCCCATGCCACACTGATGCCTCCTAAGAAATGTCTTTTGATTCCTGTAATAGAGATATGTTGGTTGTGACCTCACTCTCCCCACCACTTGATGTACTGAGACCCAGGTCAAACTTCACTTTGAGTCCACTTCTTCTGCCATGACCCTTGGTACTTTGGTTCTATTTAGGGACTGACTGGTTGAAAGGAGCAAAAACTACCTCAAGGGAGCATAGATAAAGGGGATATGCATGGAGGAGACATTAGGCAGACTCACCAGCATCCAAGGATGGGAAGTAAAGGACAGCTGAGCCTTTACACAGGAACTCAAACCAGCAGTAGAGATACAAGGCTTCTGGCTCCCATACGGTTGCCTGAATTCTCATCTGTCTGTCTCTCCCTCTCCCTTTTGCCCCCTCTCTTCCATTCATCTGCTTCTCCCCACAGATTGTCTTGCTAGCAAGGCTCTTCCTGTCTGCCATATTCCACCCACCCACAGGCTTTACTCTTCCTGCAGTACCCATTCTAGCTCCCACTTTAGCAGGCCAATGTCCAGGACCACGCCCACTACGACTCCAGTTATTCATTCACATTTCCAGAGAATCTCATTTTCTCAAGCCACCCGCATTGCTTCTTCCTTGGTCAGGTGTGCCCTTGGTCCAGTCAACAGTCACTGATTAGGGTCCTAAGATAAGCCCAGCTGCCTATGTCTAGCTTTCAATAGGGGCTGTGGGTGCCCTGTCCATATGCCCTCCCAATTACGCTTCCTGTATGCACAAATGCAATGGTGTCCTTCCGCACAGCTCAGGAGTGCTGAAACTCTCTTCTGAGGCTGTCTCTGGCTGCTTCACAGAGCATGTCAGATGTGCTGGGGAATTAAACATTTTCACAACCAATGCCCTTGACCAATGACTGACGGCAGTTGATATATAACCCTGTCTAGATCTCTGTTGAGATAGCAATGTAGTGTTCTTCACTCTGCCCCAGAATTGCCCAGCAGAATTAAGTCTCAGCTGCCCAGAACATTAACCCTTTTGATCCCTGTCTCAGTCCATTTGTGCTGCTGTAACCGAACATGTGACGCTGGGTAATTTATAAGGACCAGAAATTTATTTTTCACAGTTCTAAAGGCTGGGAAGTCCAAAATCAAAGCACCAAAGTCCAAGATCAAAGCACCGGCATCTGGTGAGGGCCTTCTAGCTGCATCCTCACATAGTAGAAGGCAGAACGGCAAGAAAGAAAACCAACTCTCTCAGCCAAGCCTCTTTATAAGGGCACCTAACCCTCATGGCACCTCCTAAAGGTTCTATGTCTTAATACTTCCACATTGGCAACACCTGAATTCTGGAGAGGACATTCAAACCACAACAATAACACACACTCTGTTGACTGCTTTTTGTGCTCTCTCTCCTTATAGGGTTCCCAGGATCACATTACAAAATACGCTACCTGCACTCCCATCCTTGTCTCAAGATATGCTTCTGGGGAACCCTAAATGAGGCAGTAGGGCATATTCCCTCAGAAAGGAGTGCTTGCAAATTTGGGAAGCCAAGGCAGGCAAATCATTTGAGGCCAGGAGTTTGAGACAAACCTGGCCGACATGGCAAAACCCTGTCTCTACTAAAAATACAAAAATTAGCAGGGTCTGGTGGAATGCACCTGTAATCACAACTACTCGGGAGGCTAAGGTGGGAGAATTGTTTGAACCCAGGAGGCAGAGGTTGCAGTGAGCCAAGATCACACCATTGCACTCCAGCCTGGGCAACAGAACAAGAGTCCATCTCAAAAAAAAAAAAAGAAAAGAGAGAGAGAGAGAGAGAGCACCAGCAAGCAAGTGAAAAGAAAAAAGAAAGGAGTGCTGGAGTGCTTGCAGGGCAGAATGACATCTCAAGGACTCCACTATGACAGCACTCTATTTTATCTCACATTCCCTTTAGTTGTTTGCACACCTGTCTCCCCAAATAGAATGTAAGCTCCTGAAGGGAAGTTGTTGTCTCTTCTTCATCTTCTAAACAGGGTTCCTAGGACAGAGCCTTGCATACAGCAGGCCCTCAACTGTTTGTTGACCAGGAAATTGGATTGAATCTGCCAAGCAAGGCATTCCGCAGGAGACATTTCCATAGTGAACTATACTATATACCTAGACAGTCCCTGAACCAGGCTACACTATCATAAGATTCTCCTATGAATCAGCTACCTTTTCAAACACTGATTACATGCTTCATTTGCAAGTAACATCTAGGCATGATTGTGCAGTATGAGATATTGCAGAATACTGCAATCTGTTAAATCTTGTAAACTTTTAATAGAAAACAAGCCTAAAAGCATAATTCCACTGTAATTGCATCAAGAAAAGTATGACTTTTGCATGACTCCTGAGATTTCCTCAATGGCCTGGTTATGAAACAGGCACCATTGCAATATTTGCACTTATTCTCATAAACTCGATTAGATTGATAATTATCTTTTCACTTCCCAGCTCAAAATACCCTAATGCAAAATTTTACAAAGGTTCAGAGATCAGGTGAAGGCCTCCTGTCATCCATGTGCTACTAAGCAATGAAATTGGCATGATAATTAAATGCCCAGTATTCTAAAGTATAAGTGCAAAAAAAATGGATGCTGGTTGTAAATAAAAATAGGCCAATGGCTGGAAAGAAAAGTCCAGGTGGGCTCACATCACAGTTTTAATTATTTTAATTCATTGGTATATGTTGAATAAATCACTAAATTAAAATAAACCTACCCTGAGTAGGTTTACTTAATCTCCACATGGACATATATAAGACCATTGGAATGGCAATATAAAAAGGGAAACCTACTGGCAAATATGTCGTGGACTCTTTGGAGAACTGGACTCATGGGATTTCTTAAGTATGTAAAAGGAATGAGAGGCAATGTCTCATACATAAGACTCAAGAGCCAAGTTTCAATCCAGCTCCACCATTAGCAACCTCAGTTTCTCATCTGCAAAATGAAGATTTTAAATAGTACTCAACTCATAGCATTATTGTGAGGACGAGGAACAAGTTATTGTGAAGACTGGGAACACAGAGTTATTGTGAAGACTAGGAACAAGATAATGGCATGTCAAGCCTCTGGCACACAGTAAGTGCGCAGAAATTATTAACAGAAGGAACGGAAAGTTCTGTTCAATAAGAGAAGAGAAGGAAAGTATTCAGCTAGCTCTTCAGGTTTATTTTTTAATCTTTACTGCCTCTATATTTAGTGTTTCTGAGGATCTCATTAATGCTCCCCAGGAACTTTATGCCCAAGCATCTACTAAAGTTGACCATAGTCATACAGTATGGCAGAAAATTTATTCCTAGGTATTTACCCACCAGAAACGTGTACAGATGTTCATAAAAGACAACCGCAAGAATGTTCACAGTAGCACTTTTTGTAATATCCCCAAACTGGAAGCTACCTAAAGACTAGAATGGATAGTACCTAGCCATCACCAATAGAATGAAGAAAAGGACTGCTATGGGCGCTCCATCAGTAGTAGAATGCATACGTGGTGGTATGCTCACCAACGGATTACTATCCGGCTGTGAAAATGAGCAAACCACAGTGACAATACAAAAGAATCTCATAAACATAACATTGACAAGAGAAGCCAGACAGGAAAGAGGGCATAGTGCATGGTTCTATTTACACAGTATACAAAGATGGGTGAAACTGTTCTAAGCTACACTGTTAAGTCAGGAGACAGGTTACAATGGGAGACTAGAGACTAGAGGGAACCAGGGTCTCTGGGAAGAGGATAATGTTCTCTTATTTGAGCTGGCTGCTCAAGAAAGGGTGAGTCTCTTCTAGAAAACCCAAGTAGTATGTTTAGAATTTGTGCACTTACCCGTAGGTATAGGACTCTTCACTAAAAAATTCCCCAAGTGAATGAGTTGGGCCCTGAGACTCAGGAATTATACCTTCTCAAAACTAGGCTGACTCTTGTACAGATCTAGTAGTGCTGGTGGATGGCATGATGCTAGAGACCTGGGTGAACCTAGTAGACTCTACCCATGGCTGGTCCTCATTATTCACCTCTCCACAGCTGAAATCCATGCAATGGCATAAATATGCAGCCAGCTGTGGCTAAGACATTGGCCTCTCAGCCAAGACCAGGGCACTTAGAGACTCTCTCTAAGCCAAGTTCTACAGCCTCTCATTTCTCCATTGTCCCCCAGATGTGTGGCCTGAAATATAACACAGGGGTTGTTCCAAATCATTGTATCAGGGGACACAGTGACCTACCAAGCACCAGGCATATGGAGAATGTATCATTCTATTCAGAAAAAAAAAAGATAGATGAATGGAAACAAACAGCAATGTGGCTTTCAGTACAGAAACCCTAAATTCAGCATCTTCTGGAACAACAGTAGACTTGGCCCTTGAATTGCATGGGTCCACTTATACATGGATTTTCTTCTGCCTCTGCCACCTTTGAGATAAGAGGACCAATCCCTCCTCTTCTTCCTCCTCAGCCTACCGACATGAAGACAGTGAGGATGAAGACCTTTATGATGATCCACTTCCACTTAATGAATAGCAAATATATTTTCTCTTCCCGCTGATTTTCTTAAAAGTATTTTATTTTCTCCAGATTAAGTTATTGTAGGAGTACAGTATATAATACATATAACATACTAAATATATATTATTCAACTGTTTATGTTATCAGTAAGGTTTCCAGGCAGCAGTCAACAGTAGGCTATTGGGGTGTCAAAAGTTTTATGTAGATTTTCTACTGCAAGAGGAGTCAATGTCCCAACCCCTGTGTTGTTCAAGAGTCACCTGTGTATATACACACAGACATATAGTTATAATTTTTATATATGTGCTTACATGTAGTTATATATTTTTCATGTATGATTATATATAGTTTTAAATAAATGTTGATTTTCTATATATGCCCTTGATATGAAATTGTTTCTGGCCTCAGGAAAGCAGTCTTTTAAAAGTTCTCCAATGAGTTAGAAAAGTTATTTTTGACCACAGGTGATTTTAAGTACAGTTTTTATATACAGCTTCCTAATATAGTTAATACTTTTGTACAGCAGTCATTTATTCAGTGATTACATTTATTTAAATGGTCACACAGACTTTCTTGAAAAATATGTTGAATCCTGTCATTTTTCTCCTCCAAACACTGTGATGGCTCCATAATTCTCCCAGGAGTGGGTGCAAATCCTTTGCTATCCCCAAGTTGCCAGTGTTCAGTCTCCATTCACTGAGTTTAACGTGAGGGGCCAAGCTCCCTGATGGGTGAAAATCTCTTCAAATCTCAGGCACAAGGGCCTGGGAGGAACCTTAGGGCCATCTCCTTCAATCTCCCCTCCTTTAGCATCTACCTCATGAGGTCACTTTGTGGATGACAGGACAGCCATGGAGTCAAGCCCTGACCACCCTCTGGTCCCATTTGCAGGTGTCTCCCATTAGCCTTCAGGACTTCCAGCCACAGACCCTGTCCTGCTGCCTTCAGGCCTTTCTTCTCCACACTAGCATCCCACATGTCCATTGTCCTTTCCTAAAACGGCCCTTCACCATCCTGTTTATGCCCCTCTGCATGAGCTCCAAATTCTCTCTATCCCTCTCAGGATGTGGGGCCCCAGAAAGAAGAAATAATTCAAGTTGAAGTGCCAGCCAGAGGAGAATAGAGTAGAACTGTCACCTCCATTGCAGTACTAATCTCTATTTATGCAAACTGCAGTGGCCTGATAATGGCTCCCAAAGGTGCATCCATGTCCTGATTCCCAGAACCTGTGTTAACATATTTGGAAAAAGAGTCTTTGCAGCTTTGCAGGCGTGATTAAGTTAAGGAACTCATTATGTAGGGGGTGGAGAGATGATGCTGGATTATTTGGGTGGGTCCTAAATGCCATCACAAGTATCCTTATAAGGGAGAGGCAGAGGGGGTTAGACACAAAGAAGAGGGGAAATGAGGTGAAGACAGAGGCAGAGATTGCAGTGATGCGGCCACAAGCCAAAGAACACCTGGAGCCACCAGAAGCTGGAAGGATTCTCCTCTAGAGTCTTAGGAGGTAACCAATACCTTGACTTAAGCCTAGTGACACTGATTTTAGACTTCTGGCCTCCTAAACCATGAGAGAATGGTTTTGTTGTTTTAAACCCCATTTGTGATTTTTTTTACAGCAGCAATAAGGAAAGTAATATTTAACCCAAGACTTCATTTGTTTTCTTGCTTTTTTTTCTCTCCATGATGCTGACTTACTAAATCTAATCAATTCTTTCCTTCTACAAAAAAGCCAATAATGAAGTGGCACAGCTGAGAGGAAGATGTGCTATTTTTTTTTTATTCCTATGCACAGAATATGGAAAGAAGGGCCTTAGTAGAAGTTGGAGACTGATTGGCTGTGTGACCTTGGATAAGTCAGCCTATCTTTGGGTCACTTTCCCCATTTGTAAATGAAGAAATAACCTCTATAGTCTCCCCAGATCATTCCATGAGTCTGCATAGCTTTTTACTCAGTTATCAATTTCACAGTCTCCAGCTGACCACTGACCTCACGTCACCTCCTTAAGGATCACCTCCCCTGGGAAGTCTTCTCTGATTCACCTCCATTCTCTACGCTCCAATAGATCTTGTGTGTATCTATATTGCAACATGTATTGCACTGTGCTCTAATGATTTGTGTCCAAGACCATCTTCCTCACTAGACAAGAGTTTCTTGAGGGCAAGAGCCTCATATTATTCATATCTCTCCAGTGCTTAGTTCATCAATAAATGGACAAATGAAGAAATTAATGAGTTGCTATGAGGTAATGACTTTCTCATTGTACACAACTGACTGATGTAAATGTCTGAAAACCAGAGTTCTGGAGCCCAAACCTCTGCTGCAGGGGAGCCATTGATCAAATAGTCCTGGCATCCATACTGCATTTTATGAGTGATGTATGTGTTTTCATCAATGCAATCTGACTTGTTTTATCTATTTCATAAGGTTAAGTCATAATTCAAAACCCAACTTGACTACTTGTATGCTTGAATTTTATAATTATGACTAATATATCCATACTTGAAAAATCAAATATCTGCTAGAGATGTCTTGTCCTTGGCCATTGAAGTTTTAGAAAGACTTTCCTCTTTTTTTTGAGATGGAGTCTTGCTCTGTCACCCAGACTAGAGTGCAGTGGCGTGATCTCAGCTCACTACAACCTCCACCTCCCGGGTTCAAGTGATTCTCCTGCCTCAGCCTCCCAAGTAGCTGGGACTACAGGCGCCCGCCACCACACCTGGCTAATTTTTGTATTTTTTGTAGAGATGGGGTTTCACCATATTGGCCAGGCTGGTCTCAAACTCCTGACCTTGTGATCTGCCTGCCTTGGCCTCCCAAAGTGCTGGGACTATGGGCGTGAGCCACCGGGCCTGTCCTAGAAAGACTTTCTTAAACATCTTTCATATATGTTCATAATTCCAAACTACAGATATAAAATTCAATGGCAATAGATGAAAAGCTGCATATGCAGGAATCTGAACTAGAGCCTGGCATTTTTCTATTCCCTCTGCTGGTTTTGGTTTCTTCCTCTGGAGACGTTGAAGGGCTCATCACTGAGGCAGATGCTCCAGCTGCCACAGAGAGCCAAGGAGACTTGGCTCGGTCCAGTAAACAAATGCAACCTGCCAAGATTTTGACTGGAGCCCCCTGGTTTTGACTGAATTTCAACATGATCTATGAACCTTTGTAAAGTCAGCTGTCAGCATCATAGTTGGAACTGAACACAAAGCCATTTATAACAGAAATTAGGAACCTGATTTGGATTTACAAAATAAACACCCAAATCTAGACTTCTCTATGAAACTCTACATGCATCTAATACAATTTAATCTAGAATTTGTCTGGTGTTATCTTATTACTCAAAATTACTGATACGGGAGGGGGGCAGGGAAGTGCTGGGTAGAGAAGGGCGGGGTCCCTGGTGAGGGCTCCACCCTCAGGCCTGTGCCCACGGACATAAGTGAAACAGGCACTCCTGTTTTCACGCCCAAATGTTGCATTTTCCAAGACCACTCTGGCCTGCCATGCACCCCCCATCCTGTGCCCATATAAACCCAAGACCTCAGCAGGCACAGATACAAGCAACTGAACATTGAGAGGAGCACAGGAACAGACCGGCAGACCGGCAGACCAGTAACGGTGGAACGATGTGTCAGAGAAAGAAGAAGAGGGATGTCTAGACACTGCGGGGAGTTTGGCTGGGGTTTGTCAGAGAAGAGTCCAGCCGCTGGGTGGCCTGACTCCAAGGGAAGACTACCTTCCCACTCCATTGCCACCTTCCAGCTCCCCATCCATCGCGCTGAGAGCCACCTCCACCACTCAGTAAAACTTTGCACTCATCCTTCAAGCCCAGTTTGATCCGATTTTTCCAGTACGGTGGGCAAGAGCTAAGGATACAGAAAGCTGTCACACTGGCCCTCTGCCCTTGCAATCAGGCAGAGGGTCTAGTGAGCTGATTAACACAAGCTGTCTGCAGATGGCAAAGCTAGAAGGGCACACTGTAACACACGCCCACTTGGGCTTCAGGAGTCACAGACACCCACCCCTAGACGCTGCTGTGGGGCTGGAACCCAAAAGCGCTGCCCACGGCCTCTGCTGTTGCCCATGTGCATGCTCCCCCTAAGAGTTTGATCAGCTAGGTTACGTGACCAAAGGGAATAAGGGAACACAAGTGCCTGCCTGTCCCTTTAGGAAGGTGAAAATCAACATGGTTAGTCAGACTAACAGTAGATTCAAGAACGTGATAGAGATGGGATTTACCCCAGGACTTCTCTCTTCTGAAATAATGACCAAGCAGGCTTTTAAATGGGATGCATTCACAGGCAGTGGGAACACAGGTGCCTCTCCTCCTGTCTGCGGTAATGTTGCTGGAGATGCTAGGCCTTGGAATTTGCTTGTCATATTTATTTATAAATCAGGATTTTCATATTTACCAATGGAAACCTTCTAGACATAAAATTTCCTTAAGTAAGTAAGTTATTAAATACAAATGTAAAGCCCTCTAGATGTAATTTTTCTAACGTCGTTTTAGGAATTTAAGGTCCCTGATGACATAAGCCAAAATCCCCGTTTTGTTTCACCTCATAGCTTTAAATGTTTTCCAGAATTATCAACCCCTCATTTAAAAAAAAAAAAAAACTGTATCTATACCAGTGACTCTCACATTTTGCTTTTTAGAGCCCAGGTATTCTGACTCAGACTAAAATGTTTCCAACGTTGGCTAACTTTTCTTAAGTCACATAAGGGAAAATAGAAAGAGGCAGTTTTCCCAATTACACATTTTCTTCTATTTTATTCCAAAAATTTCAGCAAGTGCTATTGCTTGAAGGATAGCAGATAAAATTATTGAATTACTAATAAGCAACTACCAGGGAATATAGAATTTATTTCAATCAAATGGTTAGTTCAATATGGTGTAAAGAAAGTTCTAATTCAATCTAATTTGTATGGCACAACTAAAATGAGTGAGGCCTATAGAAGACTTTTTTTTAAGTTTAAAAATTGTTTCTGCAAATCATTGCTGAATCCCTGGTGAAACTTGTTGGAAAAATAGGACAGCTGTGGGAAAATGTATCGGTGGAATGCAGCATACTGGATGAACAGTCTTTCTCCTCTGGGAGTCAGGAGAGAGCGGTAGACTGCAGTTGAATATAGCAGTGTGGACAAAACCAGGAAAAGGTGGGAGCTGAGAAGAAGAGGTGATGGGAGGACTTTCCAGCCAGATTGGAGAGAAAGAATAAATCACTTAAGAAAATGGGAACACAATGCCTGTGTGGAAAAATGGAAAGCAGAACTTTTAACTGGAGTAGAGGACTTATTTGGAAACTAGAGATTGGAAGCAGAAAATGAAGGACCTTGTATGCCAAGCTAAAGCATCTGAATGGTTTCCTTTAGGCAATTGCAAGACAGTGGAGCTTGCTGAGAAGGGGAATGACATGACTTAGAAAGATTAATGCCCCTGCATTGTGCAAAGTGCAGGTAGGTGAATTACAAGATGGGCAACCAGTGTAAGTCTACTGAAATAGATCAGGCACAAGCCAGGTTGGCGAGGGAGGGAATAAAGGAGTTATATGTGAGAGATGCTGAAAACAGAATGTCCTGGCTTAGAGGCTAATTGGATGGGGGAACAGAGAGAGAAAGCAGACTCTATATTTTTAGGCCCCTATGACTAGGGTCATTAATCAAAATAATACAAATTCAAGTGGAGGAAGTATGATGATTGCAGATTTTAGATGTGTTCAATGGAAGGTAAAATATCCAAGAAAAATGTTCAACAATTAAATAGTCACATTTATTCAGAACTCACCACTGAGACAACATTCTAAGTCATGTATATATGCATATTAACTCATGAAATTGCCATGGAAGCTCCATGAGACAGATACATTATTCCCCTTTTACAGATGGAAGAACTGAGGCCTGCATCGTATAGGGAGTGAGTGGCAGAATCAAGACATGAACCCAGACCACGGTTCTGCATTCCACTTTCAAGTGTCTAAGAAGAGGCTTGTGACATGGGTCTGAGGCCTAAGAAAATAATCAGAGTTTGAGACAGAAATTTTGGAGTAATAATGGCAGCCTGAGAGGGGATAAACTGAGAGCTAAGGGCAGAATTCAGGAACGCATCTTTGGCCCTCAGTTTCGGTTTCAGTAGCAGATTTCAATTTAATAAAAGTGACTGTTGGTATTCTGTGATAAATGACCTGAAAGCAGAAATAGTGACTTCCTTGAGAAATAAAGACACTGATTAGGTTTTCCTCCCATTCCATGCTGTTGTCATTTTTCTCTTTCCTTTTCAAATTCCCCAGGATCCATATTGCAATGATCAGAGATTAATTGTCTAACTGGGAGAATTTCCAAACCAATCTGAGCATAACCAGGAGAGAGAAACCACACAGAAATTTGAACAGTAAAAGGTTAATATAAAGAGTATTAACTAAAAAAGGAGATTTGATTTACAAGGAACTAGCTAGCATGTAGTAAAATGAATTTTAAATAAAGGAATAGCTTCTCTAGGAGAAGCCACTACTCCTAGAGCTAAGATTCGGTTGTGTTAGAAAAGGCACAGCTGTGGCTCATTGGATGGCAGGGAAGACATTGGTGGGTGTCTTCTAAGTTGCTGGGGAAACCCGTTTATGGGAGGTGTCTCACCAGAGGCACTCTTGCCTGAGGCAGGGGTGCTGGGGAAGTTTCCGGCTGCTGAATGCTACTGGCTGCAAGCCCTGCCAGAAGCAGAGATACTCTTCTGCAAAGCCACCCAAGAGGATGCTGGGGAAGCTGATGGCTGCTGTGTACTCCAGAGCTGAGTGTGCAGAGGCTGTGGGCATGGCAGGAGCTGGGTGGTGCTGGAGAAAGCCATTCCTGCTACAAGAGGCTGCTGAGCAAGCACACCCAGATCCAGGAGGCAAATTCTTTCCTCCTACAGTGTCTCACCAGCACCCTCTACTGGCAAAACATCAGTGGAAAATTATGTAAAGGACCCAGATCCATTTCCACAGAGCAGGCAAAAAGGATGAATTTGGAGCTGAGAGACCATTAGTCCATAACCTACTCAAGCCGGTTCACTTCTCTGGTAATACTTAGAAAGCCATTCCATTTGTTTGGCAGAAGGTGGTGTTGGTGTTGGTGTTAACAAAGAGTCATATTAAAAACCTCGAGCTATCCCATTTCCTTCCAAACCTAATAGCCAAGCATAATCAGACTGCTATAAAGCACTAAGTACAAAACTAAGAACTCAGCTAGAGAGGGGACAACCCTTGAAACTTGATAGTCTTTCATGAAAGGAGCTTTGTGTGTTCCCAGCATTCATTCTGTTCCTTAAGAATAAGAGTTCAAGCATTAAAACAGCTGATGTCCCAACAAGACCCATAAGAAAGCATTTTTATAGAGCCTCGTTCTGTTTTGTTAACAAAGAAGATAAACCAAACAGTCACTCTTATTAGCAGACAGAAAGGGTGGGTTTTAGCTAATACGTCCTGAGTAAAACTAAAGCTGGAAAAAGTTCACATTCTGTGTGAATTTGCTCAAATTTAAAGTAAAAGAATAGAAGCCACACACCACCAAATGAGATAACCCCTTAATTCCTTACACTTATAACTGATGCCCTGCCACTTTACAAAACAATCTAAACTATTAAAACACATATAAGAGGTATGACAATTGAACAGGAAAAATAAAACTTATTTGTAGGAATTGTGGTTATGTCTTTAGAAAACCCAAGAAGCCACTTGAAAAACTGTGGTAATAATATTAGAATTTGTAAATGACTGGACACAAATTATACAAAATTTGTAGCTCTCCTATATAATATATTAAATATATATTGCATAAACTCCCCTTTCTCTATAGCAAGAAAAACTGAAAGACCACACAAAAAATCTGTAAAGTGGCTGATTAGGTGGAATTGAGCTGGCAGAAGTAAAATATTTAAAAGTTTACTTCCAAAACTGCTTAAAATTTTAAAAATCATATTTGTAAAAGAATATGTCTATAAAAGCATACGGGGGGAAAAGCATAGGAAGGGATTCATCAGAAAACCCGAAGGTATGAAGAATTATTGGAAGATAGAAAGCAAATGAAAGCAAACTGACCAAGAAACATGAGTAGAGAAAGGAAAAACTTCCCAGAGAGACCAGAGGTGTGCTGGCTTCTGGGGCAGGAGCAGATACAGGACATGGCCAGCCTCATAGGCATAGGCCCAAGGGGCCAGAGATGCCCATGAGCCCCTCACAGGGAATCTAAGAAATACATTTGGGTCACCTTTAAGAGACTGACCTACAATAGCAGTAATGTTAGGCCTCAGGGTGGAAACTGAAAACAGCCCTGAAGAAATGGAATTATTTGCCTTCAAAGGGCTTCCAGGCTATAGGAGCTGAAGCCTCAGAGCTGACTTGGAGGTACTCATGGACTCCGCACGGAAGACATTGATGGAGCAAGGTAGAGGCAGTCTCTGTCCAAGGGAGGAAAGCACCAAAACCCTGCCCCCCACCCCCAGAAAATAACCCCCACCTCCATCACAAAACCACTACCCCCAGCACAAATACCTTCTTATTTTGGTCATCATGGGTCTTTGGACTGCCGTTCTACTTCACAGCCAGGCACCCCAAAATGCAGCACTCCAGACAATAATTAGTGAACCCCATCAAGTTACACAGAACCTGCTATCAGCCCCCCCACATTCAAGGAGAGGCCTGTTGGGAAAACAGAACAAGAAAACTATAAACACAACATCAGCCCTGCCCAGAGCTCCAACCACCACTTCCAGACATTCAGGGCAAAACAACAGGCTAAAGAGAAGGAACCAAGATAAACGGGAACAGCAAAGATCCGCCACGGGCAGAAGAGCACCTGAAAAGAAATTCGAATTTACATCCTCAGAGAGATCTGAGTGCCTACTGCATTCATAAAATAAGACAAGGATGCTATGAGAAAAAAGCCAGCAGAGAACGGGAGGCCCAAACATATCAGAAGTCACAATATCAGTGGGTTAAAGTCCCATACGAAAAGACACCACAAAATCTAACTTTCTACTGTTTATAAGACAGTACACAAGTTCTTAAATGACAGAGAGATTGAAACACAGTAATTATAAACACACTCATCTGGAAAACTAACAAAAAATAGGAATGGTAATATTAATATCATGCAAAATATAATTCAGAGCAAAAGCATTAAGTCAAAGCATGATATGTTCTATGGCTAAAGGTATAACCCACCTACAAATGACACTATTAAGAATCTTTATGCCTCTGGGGAAAACATTGACAATTTCCTACTCCATATCTATTCCCCTTATCTACCTTAGAAATCAAACCCCAGTTTTTTTCAGGGTAGTCTTATGCCCAGCTATTAAAATCCATTTCCTGAGCTCCATGTGGCTGAAGTGGTCATGTTTGGGGCAGTGACATTTAAATGGAAGTTACTAGATGAGGTTAGCATGTGTGACTTTATCCCTCACCCTTTCCCTTCTTCCTGTAGGATGATGTGATACAGTGGGTGGAGCTCTGACAACCATCTCATGTTCATGAGGATGACAGTCACATCCTAAGGCTGGTGGGGTAGAAAGCTAGAAGGAACCTAGGTCCCTGGTGGCTTCGTGGAGCTACCATACCAGGCCTGGCAGCTAGCTTTAGACTTCTTTTATGTAAAGAAAAAATAAACCTTTACCCTACTTAAGTATCTGCTTTTTAGGTCTCTGTAACCTAAAGCCAAATGCTGTTTTTAACTCATAAAGCACATAACTACTTAGCTTTGAAATATGTAAAGCAAAATCTGTTAGAGGAAAAAAATAAAAATAAAGTAAAATTGACACATCAACAATCAATGTGGGAGATTTTAGTATAGCTGTCTCTAAAATCAACTGATATTAAACATTACAATTAAAAGACAGAGATTGGCTGGGTGTGGTGGCTCACACCTGTAATCCCAGCACTTTGGGAAGCTGAGGAGGGCAGATGAAAAGGTCAGGCGATCGAGACCATCCTGGCCAACATGGTGAAACCCTATCTCTATTAAAAATACAAAAATTAGCTGGGCATGGTGGCACATGCCTGTAATCCTAGCCACTCAGAAGGCTAAGGCAGGAGAATCGCTTGAACCAGGGAGTCGGAGGTTGCAGTGAGCCGAGATTGCGCCACTGCACTCCAGCCTGATGACACAACAAGACTCTGTCTCAGAAAAAAAAAAAAAAAAAAAAAAGCAGAGATTATCAGACTGGATTTAAAAGAGCACCAATTTGATGCTGTTAAAGATGGAATTTAAATTTTTAAAATGCAGACAGGTAGAAAATAAGATGGATATGCCCTGCAAACACTAAGCATAAGAATCAACCAAAGTAGGCAAGAGAAATACTACTGAGAAATGAGAATCATTCCATAATGATAAAGTGGTCAGCTCATCAACACATAATTCTAAATGTGACACATCTAATACAGCTTCAAAATGCATGCAGCAAAAATTGGCAGAACTAAAGGGAAAAACAGACAAATCCACAACCATGGAGATTTTGCCATTCCTTTCTCAGAAACTAATAGAAAAAGTAGACGGAAAATCAGTAAGGATATAGAAGACTCGAATAGCACTGGCTAGCAATACTACCTCACTGACATTTATAGACCATCTACCCAATAGCTGCCTAATCGACACTCACTTCAAGTGGACACGGAACAGTCATCAAGATAGACTTTATCCTAGGCCAAAATCAATTGACAAAGCAAGCAAAAATGAGAGATGAATTCTGAGGACTTAACGTAATTACAAAGTTAGAGCAAACAGATCTCTATGGAACATATCCCAATAACAAGCTCAAAACATTCTTGTTAAACCAGACAAACCAATACCAAAAAACCAACCATGTGCCTGGCTGTGGTAGGCAGCCTCCAAGATGACCCCTAGTGACCCCTGCCTCCTGGGAATCACACCCTGTGTAGTCCCCTCCCACTGAGTATGGGCTGGACCTAACGATTCCCTTCTAATGACCTGATGGTGTAAGACTCAAAAGACTAGGTCACAAAAGGATGTGTGGCGTCACTCTCACTGATGGCTCCTTCTAGGAGAAGCCAGCTACCATATGGTAGAGGCCAGGTGGTGAGGAACTGAGGCCCCTACTAACAGCCATGTGAGTGAATTATCGTGGAAGCTGCCCTCCAGCCCAGGCTAATCTTCCCATGCTTGAGTCCTGCTGACAGCTTGTTGAGATATCATGAGAGATCTTGAACCAGAACCACCAACTAAACTGTTTCTAGATTCTTCACCCTCAGAAACTGTGTGAGATAATGTTTGTTGTCTTAAACTACTAAGTTTTGGGGTAATGTTTTATGACAATAGATAACTAAGCCATTTTTTAAAACTCAGTACATTTCCCCAACTGAAATTTATACAATCTACTTTGCCTGACCACAAAGCAACACAATTAAATATTAATGATCAAATAGTAACAGAAAGAAAATATTTCTTAGTATTTTTAAACCCTTTTAAAGAGGCAATCAAAACTGAAATTACAAACTACTGTATTTATAAATGAATAAAATTGAAACACTCCATCTCAAAACCTATGGGATGCAGCCACATACATGAAGGAAAGTTTTTAGCTTAAAAGTCTTGCCTTTTTCAGAAATAAAGATTGAATGTAAATGAACTGAGCACCTAAGACACTAGATAAAAAGAACCACAAAATAAACTTCAATAAAAGTAAAAAAAAGTTGGCAATAAAGATTAAAATATTAATTACGGCCGGGCACGGTGGCTCACACCTGTGATCCCAACACTCTGGGAGGTCGAGGTGGGTGGATCATCTGAGGTCAGGAGTTCAAGACCAGCCTGGGAAACATAGCGAAACCCCATCTCTACTAAAAATACAAAAATTGCCAGGCATGGTGGTACATGCCTGTAGTCCCAGCTACTTGGGAGGCTGAGGCAGGAGAATCGCTTGAACTCAGGAGGCAGAGGTTGCAGTGAGCTGAGATAGCACCACTGCACTCCAGCCTGGGTGACAGAGCAAGACTCTGTCTCAATAAATAAAAAAATACATAAAATATTAATTACATGTTTTAAGTAACAGACCTAATAAAAAAACATGTACTTTGAGAAGTCCAGTGAAAGAAATTTTGGGGCCAGGTGTGGTGGCTCACGCCTGTAATCCCAGCACTTTGGGAGGTGGAGGAGGGCAGATCACCTGAGGTCGGGAGTTTAAGACCAGCCTGACCAACATGGAGAAACCCCGTCTCTACTAAAAATACAAAATTAGCTGAGCATGGTGGTGCATGCCTGTAATCCCAGCTACTCGGGAAGGCTGAGGCAGGAGAATCGCTTGAACCTGGGAGGCGGAGGTTGCAGTGAGCTGAGATCACACCATTGTACTCCAGCCTGGGCAACAAGAGCGAAACTCCATCTCAAAAAAAAAAAAAAAACCTTTTGGGATTTGTAACTTCTAACTGGTAAGAAGAGAGAGAAAGAGAAGGTGTACACAAACATTAGGAATGCAAAAAAGATTATAACTCTAGATAAAGAAATTCAAGTTCTTAATTTTATTTTATAATTATTTTCCACAATTACACAATATTTTAAAAACTTGAATTTAAAACTGGAAAATCTAATTGAAATGATACTTTTCCAATTCTGCCCAGTAGAACTTTCAGTAAGAATGGAAATATTTTGTATCTGCATTGTTCAATATGTTAGGCCCTAGCCACATACAACCACTGAGCAATTGACATACAGCTAATAATACTGAGGAATTGAATTTTTAATTTTATTTGATTTTAACTAAATTTCAATAACCACATAATGCTGATGAAAACTATAATAGACTAGACGGTACTCAAGAAACAATACAAAGATTGAGTTAAGAAAAGGTAGAAAATTTACTCCAAAACCTTTGTAAGAATTTGAAAGACAGCTCTCGCTCTCCCTCTCCCTCTCCCTCTCCCCCTCCCCCTCCCCCTCCCCTTTCCACGGTCTCCCTCTGATGCCGAGCCAAAGCTGGACTGTACTGCTGCCATCTCGGCTCACTGCAACCCCCCTGCCTGATTCTCCTGCCTCAGCCTGCCGAGTGCCTGCGATTGCAGGCGCGCACCGCCACGCCTGACTGGTTTTCGTATTTTTTTGGTGGAGACGGGGTTTCGCTGTGTTGGCCGGGCTGGTCTCCAGCGCCTAACCACGAGTGATCCGCCAGCCTCGGCCTCCCGAGGTGCCGGGATTGCAGACGGAGTCTGGTTCACTCAGTGCTCAATGGTGCCCAGGCTGGAGTGCAGTGGCGTGATCTCGGCTCGCTACAACCTCCACCTCCCAGCCGCCTGCCTTGGCCTCCCAAAGTGCCGAGATTGCAGCCTCTGCCCGGCCGCCACCCCGTCTGGGAAGTGAGGAGCGTCTCTGCCTGGCCGCCCATCATCTGGGATGTGAGGAGCCCCTCTGCCTGGCTGCCCAGTCTGGAAAGTGAGGAGCGTCTCTGCCCGGCCGCCATCCCGTCTAGGAAGTGAGGAGCGCCTCTTCCCGGCCACCATCACATCTAGGAAGTGAGGACGTCTCTGCCCGGCTGCCCATCGTCTGGGATGTGGGGAGCGCCTCTGCCCCGCCGCCCCATCTGGGATGTGAGGAGCGCCTCTGCCCGGCCGCGACCCAGTCTGGGAGGTGAGGAGCGTCTCTGCCTGGCCGCCCCGTCTGAGAAGTGAGGAGACCCTCTGCCTGGCAACCGCCCCATCTGAGAAGTCAGGAGTCCCTCCACCCGGCAGCCGCCCCGTCTGAGAAGTGAGGAGCACCTCCGTCCGGCAGCCACCCTGTCTGGGAAGTGAGGAGCGTCTCCACCCGGCAGCCACCCCGTCCGGGAGGAAGGTGGGGGTCAGCCCCCGCCAGGCCAGCCGCCCCGTCCGGGAGGGAGGTGGGGGGGTCAGCCACCCGCCCGGCCAGCCGCCCCGTCCGGGAGGTGAGGGGCGCCTCTGCCCGGCCACCCCTACTGGGAAGTGAGGAGCCCCTCTGCCCGGCCACCACCCCGTCTGGGAGGTGTACCCAACAGCCCATTGAGAACGGGCCATGATGACAATGGCGGTTTTGTGGAATAGAAAGGGGGGAAAGGTGGGGAAAAGATTGAGAAATCGGATGGTTGCCGTGTCTGTGTAGAAAGAGGTAGACATGGGAGACTTTTCATTTTGTTCTGTACTAAGAAAAATTATTCTGCCTTGGGATCCTGCTGATCTGTGACCTTACCCCCAACCCTGTGCTCTCTGAAACATGTGCTGTGTCCACTCAGGGTTAAATGGATTAAGGGCGGTGCAAGATGTGCTTTGTTAAACAGATGCTTGAAGGCAGCATGCTCGTTAAGAGTCATCACCACTCCCTAATCTCAAGTACCCAGGGACACAAACACTGCGGAAGGCCGCAGGGTCCTCTGCCTAGGAAAACCAGAGACCTTTGTTCACTTGTTTATCTGCTGACCTTCCCTCCACTATTGTCCTATGACCCTGCCAAATCCCCCTCTGCGAGAAACACCCAAGAATGATCAATCAATCCATCAATCAATAAAAAAAGAATTTGAAAGAGCAGAAATATACTCTATTATATGTGTGTGTGTGTGAATATGTATATAGCCTTAGATGTTTTTATCAGTTCTACTGAATCTTCATAAACAATGTTTATATAATAAATTCTCAAAGTACAGGAAAATGTCAAAACTTCCCATTTATTTCTTCAAAGCTAGCTCTGATACCAAGTTCCAACAAAAAAGTGTGCGCGCACACACACACACACACACACACACAGAGAGAGAGAGATATGCTGCAGTAACACACAATCCCAACATCTCAGTGACCAGGAGTCAGCAAACCTATCTGGCCTATGGACCAAACTGGGCCTTTTACCTGCTTTTGTAGGGCCTATAAGCTAACTTTTTAACCGTTGGAAATTAGCTTTTGCCCCAGACGTGATAATGTTTCTTAATGAATTCAACCTAAAATTACAAGGCAAAACAACAGTTATAGGTGAAACATATACAAAAACTCATTTCTTTATTATTACACCCCTACGAAACTGTTCATATTTGGAAACTAAAGCACAGAGAGATAAAGTAACATGCCTAAAGTCATACAGAAAGTTTTTGGGAGGGCCAGGACTGGAACCCAAAGAGTGTGCACTCTTAAATACTATGTTCTGGGTGATGCCACATAAGCATTAAAAAATCAGTCTCCCTAGACAATAATAAAAATTTGAACAAAGAGCTGTGGATGCACATAGGAGTGGGGGTCTAAGGGAATGAGAAAATCTTCTTAGAGGAAAAGATGCACTGTCTTGGAAGATGAGGAATGTATTTTATATCACTACTTTACAGATACTACATAGATATCTCCCTTCCAGACTGTGTGCTCCTAGGAGAGGGGCACTATCTAATTTATCCACCTTCCAAGCAATGAATGTGCTCCACTGAAAGCACATGCTGGCCAGGTACAATGGCTCATGCCTGTAATCCCAGCACTTTGGGAGGCTGAGGTGGGAGGATTACTTGAGGCCAGGAGTTCAAGGCCAGCCTGGGCAACATAGTGAGACTCCCTCTTTACAAAACGTTTAAAAATTAGCCAGGCATGGTAGTGCATATCTGTAGTCCTAGCTACTCAGGAGGCTGAGGCTACAGTGAGCCATTATTGCGCCACTGCATTCCAGCCTGGGTGACAAAGTGAGACCCTGCCTCAAAAAAAAAAAGCATATGCTAATAATTGGTATCAGCATTTGATAGTGCTTATCTGTGTGAAAAGACATTTTTAAACTGAAATATATAAAATCTCATTACAAGCTACCATTAACAAATAAACACTACAATTGATTTGATCATAGGGAATACTAACTTTAAGCTCCAGTTAAGTGAACTGTTGTCCCCCTGCCAAAAATATAATATTCATTCTTCTTATTAGTAGACCTGTATTATAAAAAAATTATCCTCTATTATGGTATTTTGGATTTCATCAAAAATAATTGGAAATTTTATTTCTCTCTTATGATCTAAGTCCCTATGTAATATCTTTGATTTCACTGCTTGGCCTGAAAAGTCTAAAATATTTATTACCTGGTCCCTTACAGATAAACTTTGCCAACCCTTCATTTAAACAATGATAGATTATTTCTTGCTCATGCTACATGTCCATTGCTGGTTGGCAAGAGTCTGTTCATCATAGTCAATCAAGGGCCCAGGCTGGCCTTGAAGGTTGCTGGTCACTGAGTCAAAGGGAGGAAAAGACAGCCCTGGATATCTTGTAGTGGCAATAAAATGCTTGGCCCAGAAAAGTGACATTATTTCCACATCTAACTCATTGGCCAAAACTACTAACATGGCTCCATCCAGCCCAAGGGATCCAAGAAATATAATCCCACCACATGTTCCAAAGGCAGAGTGCCACGCTAATGACAAACCTGCAGTGGGTTAAACGGTGGCTCCAAAATGACATGTCCATGCTCTAATCCCCTAAGCCTGTCAGTGTGACCTTATTTGGAAAAAGGATCATTTGTTACAGCAGCACTTGGAAACTAATACATCACCCTGGAGGACTAGCTCAAAAACTGATACAGATGAAACCATTTTAAATTAAGTTCTGGCAAATCAAATCCAAAAGTATATTGCAATAACCCTTTAATATGGCTAAAAGGGGCTTATTACAGAAATAAAGAAATGGTTGGTTCAACATTAAGTTGATGTTGAACTGATGTAATTCATCACATTAACAAGTAAAACAAAAACAAGATCTCAATAAATAATAAGAAATATTTTAAAAAATATTATTTGGCATATTCCCAATGAAACTTTTAACAAACGTGGAATAAGAGGAAGGATTTTTAACTTTATAAAAATTATCTAAAAGAAACTAACATCATACTTAATGAAAAACATTAGAGAAGATCTAACTAAATCAGGAATAAGGCAAAGATGCCCACTATCAGCCCTGCTATTCAAAATTGCACTGGAGATCTTTGCCAATGCAACAAGAATAGGAAAAGAAAAGTTGATATAAATATTGGGGAAAGAGAAACAAGATGTAATTTTAAAACAATATATTTATCAACTTAGAAAATCCAATGGAATCAACATTGGAACGAAAGGAGACTTCAGTTGGGTAGCCGTACCCAAGAGGAACAAATTCACCATAAAAGTAATTAGAACATGTCATGGGAAAAGATTGCATTCGCAGCAGCAACCCAAATTGTCAAAACCTAGAAATAAATTTATCAAAAAATTCATAAAACAAATATGGAGAAAACTAGAATTTTTTTCTATAGGAGAGAATTACAATGATCCCAAATAAAAAGCTGTAACACTGTTAAGATTTAGTTCTTCACAAGTTTACCTATAAAGTCAATGCAATTTCAATCCAAAACTCAAGAATATCTTATTAATTCTGGCAAGCTAATGCTAAAACTCATGTAGAATATGCCCACAAATTTCCAAGAAAATAGTTTATAAAACAATGAAGGGCAATTAATGAATTAATGAGTTATCTTTGTAAGAAGAGGAAAAGAGACCAGAGCTAGAATGCTCAGCACACTCAGCCCCTCGCCATATGATGCCCCACACCATCTCAGGACTCCAAGAACTCTCCACCACCAAGAAGGCCCTCAACAGACGTGCCCCCTTAACCTTGGACTTTCCAGCCTCCAGAACTGTAAGAAATAAATTATTTTTCTTTTTAAATTACCCAGTTTCTGATATTCTGTTATAAGCAAAAGAAAACAGATGAATATATCACCTAAGAAAAAAATCCAGGTGGATTATTAAAACAGTGGCAGAAATTATAGACCGAAGCTTTTAAAGTCTTGACACAGTAAAGAAACACACAAAATTCAGAAAAGACAAGACTAACCAAGATAGATTTAAGACCTACAGATTTAAATCGATAGACCACATAGTTTAAAATTTGATAACAAAAGATCCTATAAGCAATATTAAAATATTAGGAAAAGATGAAGAAAAATAACTGCAAATAATTAAGTTAAAACACATGAATGTAATATATAAAATTTATAGTACATAAAGCATTCCTTTAAATCAAGAAAAACATAAACTATAGAAAAATAAGCAGAGAATATATAAAGAAAACTCAGAGAAAGAAATAAAATTCAAATAAACTTTTAAAATAATGTCATACTTCAGTTGTAATAAAGTAAATGCATAGTAAAACTACAAGAGAACTATTTTTATCACCCAAATTGGCAACTCTTTGTCAGTGATGGCATTAGCAAGGATGGTCAGATGGTCATACTCATACATTACATTTAGAAGGACAGGTTGACAAAAATGTTGTGTTCTTTCACCCAGTAATTTGACCTCTAAAAATCCATTTTATTACCTTTTAAATCCCTAAAATGATTTATATTAAAATAATTTTCATCAAAATATTACTTAGTAAAATAGTTAACACAAATAATAACAACCATCAAAAATTTTAAAACATGAGGAAATGTTCATAACAAAATGAAAAAGCATGATATCAAATTGTGTAATAGTCGCCATAGGAAGAAAACAGTAGTAGTAACTATTAACATTTGTTGAATACTACTATGGGCCAAAAACTATTCTAAGCCCTTTCTGTGTATTAAGTTATTTAATTTACACAATCCCATTATGAAGGTACTTTAGTGGCCATTTTAAAGATAAACCGATGCAATTAAGGTTTGAGTGGATTTATCTATGCTGGAGGGCAACGTTCACCTATATGAAGTAACTAGGCAGTAGCTGCATTGTAACTGCAGAGATTTGACATGCTCTGAGCTCATTCAGTGAAGGTTTTCAGGTGATGAGGCCTCTTGTCTGGTGACCTGGGGAGCTACAGGTGGAAATTCCACTGCTCACCCTGGACTGCTGGGTGAAAGGAGAGTGAGAGACACCAAAGCCATGTCCAGGCTGAAGATGCCTCACCTTCCGGAGTAGGTTGGCATTACCTACTATCTGAGTTCTCACCTCCTAAAAATAACACCAACCTGCCATGATTTCACAACCAGGCTGACCTGGTGAGGCAAAGCCCCTACCACTTTTCTGTCCCCCTCCCCGATTTCCCAACCGGAGTCTCAAGGACCCCCAACACTCAGTTTTGCTTTCACCTGCCCAAATCACTCAAGAAGGAAGCATGGGATTTTGAAACTTTATTATCACTCAATGAATTATCAGCAGGAGATTAAACAAAGAATGGCTCTGGAGCAGACAGTGCACAATGCAAGAAAATAATTCACCTAGGGTAAGCTTTGAAGCCTCAGTAGGGGAATATTTAAGAAGGACTTGCCAGCCTCCACCCCCTAAGCCAACTTGGTAGATGCTGATACAGCTGATCCTGGTGGCAAACTGCTCAATTAGCAATCAGCTCTGTCTTTTCACCTCATGAAAAGGCAACCTGATTTCCCTGCAAGTGTAATATATTGGATAATGAAAAACGCTCTGAAAGCCCCCGTGGAATAATTAAAGAGTATGCGACTAGAAATGTGAAAATATCGTGATAGATGGCAGCAAACCAGCCCTGTAAAACACAGCTGCAGGAAAGGCGTGGAAGTAATTAACGAAAACTTCAGACATTTTAAAACTTCCCAGCAACACAGGTCAAAGGCTAACACCATCTTTGGGCTTTTCTGTAAGGAGGCAATTTAAAGCTCATAATAGAGTGTCATTAAAACACCATGTGTTCTGTAGCTCCTACCAATTTATGACTTGGCAGTTGGACACTGTGACATCTGAGACACCCTAGACAGTACAACTCAGGTACCAACCTGGGAGACAAACGGCCAAAGAAGATTGAGCTTATTAACTACAGCTACAAAGCAGCTTTAATTTAGAAAGTAAAAATGGCACTTAATGTTAAAGCCCAAGACACCCTAGCAGGGGAGCATTAATGAAGCTGGTGAAGAGATGAATTGAATGCTGATGGAGTGGAATCGCTGGTCCTAGTGCTGTGGGACTTTACACCATGCTAGAGACTGGTCTCATGCTACTCAGGGGAAGCAAGGATGGAACCCACTTTCTTTCTTACCTGGATGGAGACACTGGCTTAATACGCAATTCTACTTCGGCGACCTTAACTTGCTGCATGGTGCACCCATGGTTTGCCAGGTAGTGTTCCAAGAAATAAGGACGCAGAGATGAAGAAAACAAAAGTGCTCTCAACCTTCTCGGGGCTTTCCAATTACAGCAAGTGTTTTCTGTAGAAGACCAGAGAATAAATAATTGAGGCTTTGCAAGCCATGTGGTCGTAACTACTCAACTCTGCTATGGTAGCATGGAAGTACAATCAACAGTACATAAATGACTAGGCGTGACTATGTTCTAATAAAACTTTGTTTACCAAAGCAGGTGGTGGCTGAATTTGACCCACAGACAGTAGTTTGCTGACCCCAAGTCTAGAAAGCCACTAAATACATACATAGTAAATAACTACAGTTACAGGAGCCTGCTCTGTGTCAAATACTGTTCTAAATGCTTTACAGATGTTTACTCACTTTATCCTCACTAAACCCCTCTGAGCTAGTAGTAGTATGCCCACTTTACAGATGAAAAAACTAAAGCACAGAAAGGTTAATAACTTAGCCAAGGTCACACAAGCAGCAAATAGGATGCGCCAGATTTTGAACCCAGCAGCTCCAGAGTCTGCGTATGTGAGTATTGCACCAGCTCCCCCATGCTGTACTGCCTCTCAAAAAGTATACATGGCAAATTGTGGCTGATGCTAGGAAGAAAAAGAAGATGGCCTGAGAGAGAATAGCAGGTGGACCTACTTTAGATGGGCTAATCAGAGACAGCTGAGCTTGAGCAGGAGACTGTGCCATCGGGAAACTAGTAGTGGAAAAAGAATAATATTCCAGGCTGGATCCATTTTCTATTGCTGTGGTGCAAATTACCATAACCTTAGCAGCTCAAAACAACATAAATATGTTATCTTGTAGTTCTACAGGTCAGACTCCAGGGAAGCTCCCTTGGTTTTTCTGTTGTAGGTCTTAGAAGGCCAAAATCAAAGTGCCAAACTGGCCAGCCTCTTATCTGAAGCCTCTGGGAAGAATCAGCTACCAAGCTTATTCAGAATTGTGCCAGGTGCGGTGGCTCATGCCTGTAATCCCAGCATTTTGGGAGGCTAAAGCAGGCAGATCACATGAGTGCAGGAGTTCGAGACTAGCCTGGGCAACATGGCAAAACCCCATCTCTACAAAAAAGTATAAAAATTAGCTGGGTGTAGTGGCACACGCCTGTGGTACCAGCTACTCTGGAGGCTGAGGTGGGCGGATCACCTGAGCCAAGGAGGTCGACGCTGCAGTGAGCCAAGATTGCGCCTCTGCACTTCAGCCCAGACAGGAAGGGGAAAGGGAAGGGGAAGGGGAAGGGGGGAAGGATTGCTTGTGGCCGCAGAGCTGAGTCTGGTTTCCTCACTGGTTGTGAGGGACTCTCCACTCCCGAGGCTGCCTGTACCCCTCACCAGGTGTCCCCTCTATCTCGAACCAGCTATCGTGCCTGAGTCCTTCTCAGGCTCCTAATCTCATTGACTTCTTTCTACTCTGCCTCCAGCTGGAGAAACTTCTCTGCTATTAAGGGTTCATGTGATTAAGTGGACCCATCTGGATAAGAGAGGCTTCTCTAGATTAAAGTCTGTAGCATTAATGACATCTGCAAAGTCCCTTCTGCTATGCCACATTAGATGTCACAGGTTATGGGGATTAGGGCATGGACATTCCTGGGGGCCCTGAGGAAACCGCAAGTGCAAAGGCCTTGGCATAGAATGGAAATAAGGCTAGTGTGGCTAGATGGGAGGGCAAGGAAAGAGCCAGGCAGGGCCAAGCTGAAGAGGTGGCAAGGGCTGGCTGCTCCAAGGAGGCCTTGCAGGTTGTGACACAAAGTGAGCTTTTGTCCTAAGTGCTATGGGAAGCTGTGAAAAGCTGGTACACAGGAGAAATATTATCCGATTCACATTTTTTAATGATTAGCTGCTGAGGAGATAATAGATGGGGCCTGGTGGGGGCCAATTAAGTGGGTCACTGCAGCGGTCCAGATGCAAGGTGGTGGTGGCCTGAGATGATGGTAGCAGTGGAGCTGGAGGGAAGGAGGAGATTTGAAACACAGTTGTGGAGGAGACTTGTTTGCAGATGAGATGCAGGTTGTGAAGAAAGGAAAGATGATAAGAGTAAGAAGGAAAGACTTTTGGGAGAGCAGATGTGGGGCTGAAGATTAAGAGTTCAGCCTTGGACATGCACTGCCAAGATGGCTATTCAATATCCAGGCAGTGCTATAAAGTAGGCAGATACAGTCATCTCTTAGTATCTGCTGGGGATTGGTTCCAGGACACCCCGCGGACACCAAAATCCACAGATGCTCAAGTCCTTTATACCAAATGGCATAGTATTTACGTATAAACTACATACGTCCTCCCATTTACTTTAAATCATCTCTAGATTACTTATAATACCTAATACAATGTCAATGCTATGTAAATTGTTGTTGTACTGTATTGTTTAGGAAACAATGACAAGAAAAAGACTGTACATGTTCAGTACAGACATAAACATCCTTTTTTAAAAAAATATTTTCAATCCTTGGTTGGTTGCAACCACTGATGCTGAACCTATGGATATGGAGGGTCGATTGCATATTATTTGGGAGGCAAGTAGGTGCCACAGGTTATGCTCATGCCAAAAAAAAATTTCAGCCAATTTTTGTCACTGACTTCATTTGTTTGGATTAAGGTTTTCAGGCTCCAGAAGGATGCTACTGAGTGGCCAGCAAAGTGTTGCACACTCACATGACACAACTGCTCAGTTGATTGGATCTGCAAGTGCTCTCATTAGGAGGTTGGGAACCTGGAGGGAAGAGAGAGACACGGGAAGGGGCAGGGGCACTGTTGATGATGAAAGACAAGCCTAGGGCAGGTCCTGGGAGGTGGGGCCTGAGCAGGGAGGCATCTCAGGAGGACACTGTCAATTAGGGCCTGCATGAAAGATCTGAACCAAATCACCTTTGCTAAACCCAAATCCCTGACTGCAGAAACAAAGTCCTCAATTAAAGAGAAGCACAGAGATTTCTGTGAGGTGATTGTCAACCAACAGAGGGACAGAATACTGGCTTAGACAGAATCCATATCCACCTTTTGGCATGCCCAAAGATACATGCCCAGGTTCCCTGCAGGATGCCTCAGGCCTGATCAAAGAAGTCAGCGTGACTTGGCACAGGCCTCAGCATGCAGAAGTGTCCAGGTGAGCAGCAAAGCTTTTATTACAGTTCCTAAGAATTATTTGCTCTGGATCTCTTCTCCACCTGAAGATTTCTATGTGCCATTTCTTGCAAGTTTCCTTCCTTTTGGCCTGGTGCAAACTCAAGGGCCAAAACTGCCTGGCTTTGTATTCCAGCTGTACCTTTTACTAGGAAACCTCAGGAAAGTCAGATTTATCTGTTCCTCAGATGTCTCATCTATAAAACGGAGATGCTAACACTAGTACAGGCATGCCTCATTTTGTTGTGCTTCACTTTATTATACTTCACAGATGTTACATTTTTTTTTACAAATTGAAGATTTGAGGCTACCCTGTACCAAGCAATTCTATCAGTGCCATTTTTTTCAAACAGCATGTGTTCACTTCATGTCTCTGTGCCACATTTTGGTGCTTCTCACAATATTTCAAACTTTATTATTATGTCTGCTAGTGTGATCAGCGGTCTTTGATGTTACTATTGTAATTGTTTGGGAGTACCACAAACCACAACCATAGCAAGATAGTGCATAAAGGTCAACTCTGTGAGCTTTAATTCAAGAAGGAAAATGGGAATCCACCAGAACCGTGAAGGACACCCCAAATCCCAGGGAGGAGAACTCATAAACAGCCCCTGTGATGGCATCCAGCTGATAAAAGTAAGTGAAGCCCCGGTACATGAGCGAAGCAAAGAACCTCCCTCTGTGACTCACCTTTCCACTGGGTGTGCGAGGAGCTGGGGCTGAGGGAGAGCACTTTGTTTCTCGCAAGCCCTGGAGCGAACTTGGAGAGAGGCTTGGAGATGCTGTGAAAGAAAGACACCAGGAAAAGCTGCAATCATTTCCCCAGACCTGGGACTCAGAGGAGGATACTCTTTTAAATCCAGACAAATACAAAGTCAACCATTCTTTGGTGACCCAGCCGTGTGGCCATGCAGGCATTTTAGTCTAGGGCCAGGGATTGAAGTACTTGCTCTGGAGGGGGGTAAGGGCCTCTACAGCCAGAACTATAGAAAGCTCCTCAGAAGTAGGTACCAGAATTGTGCTGTCCCCCATCACAGGCCTGGGGCAATTGGAGAGCTGCTACAGCTGCAGGTTTTCCTAGGTGACAAGACTTGCAGCCTTGGCGACCTAGAAACAATCTGCATGTGCCAGGGTGTCCCAGCCTGCTGCTCTCCTGAGATTGTGGTACAGTGGGACCCTCTCTGCTCCACCCCCTGCCCCCCGGCATAAATCCAGGTATTCAGAGAACCCGCTCACTAGGACCAGAATCCTGACATGCCCCACCCTTCATGGACACAGATCATGGTGCAATGGGGCCCTTTCCGCTCCACATCCAGGCAGATCTCCGGAGGCATTCAGAGCACCTGTTCACCTAGAATAGCAGCCTGAGCTGCCCCACCCTTTCTGTGCAGAGATCCTAGTGCAGAGTGGCCCTCTCTGCTCCACATCTGGGAAGATCTGCAGGCATCTGGAGCACCCACTTTCTTGGATTAGGAGTTTAGGCCACCACATTCCCGTCCAGAGAACTTGGGACCAAGAATGTTTCCTAGCTCCAGGCCTAGACACACCTCTGGTCACTTGGTGGCCACCCAACTGGATTCTCCCTCGGTGCTGGTGCTTGTGCCTGTCATTAGTGGACTTATAAGCAGACGTGCTAAGTCCAGCTCCACCTATCTTGCACTCCCCTCCCGCAACCCTGGGGGATAAGCAGGGAGCTCAGACCTCTTGTGTACTCCACACATCAGGCCATTGCCTGAAGCAACAGAGAGCTTTTCCCAGTAAGCAAATATCAAATATACACTCAGCTATGTTGCCCACAGTTGCCTCTTACCTATAAGCACAATCTACCGGCTTGCAGGTAGAACGACACAGCCTATTAAAAACCCTATCAACAGAAATGCATAGGAATATAGAAACAAACCAGAAAGATCCTACCCAGCATTTTCTACTGTAACAACCCCTAGGGAGGAGGGCAAAGAGTAAGGGAAAAACCTCGATGATAATATAAGAAAGAGAAACAAAAAAAAAAATCTACCCAAAAGAAAATAATTACAAAAATATAAAGTGTAAGTGTCTCTGGATGAAAGGGAACCAGCACAATAATTCTGGCACCATGAATAATCTGAATATAGTGACAACACAAAAGTACCATGCCAGCTCTCCAACAGTGATCCCTAACTAAAATGGAAATGCAAAAATGACAGATGAAGAATTCAAAGCATGGATTGCAAGGAAGCCCAACAAGATGCAAGACAAAGTTGACACAAAGAAACTTCTAAAGCAATCCAGGAAATGAAGGAAGAAATAAACACCTTAAAAAGAAATCAATCGGAGCTTCTGGAATTGAAAAACTCACGTAAGGAATTTCAAAATACAATTAAAACAGTATCAATACACTGGACCAAGCAGAAGAAAGAATTTCAGAACCTGAAGACCAGTCTTTCAAACTAACCTAGTCAAACAAAAATAAAGAAAAGGGAACTTTAAAAAATGAACAAAGTCTTTGAGAAATATGGGATTATGTAAATCAACCAAACCTACAAATTATTGGCGTTCCTGAGAGAGACAAAGGAAAAGAAAACAACCTGGAAAACATATTTGAGGGACTAATTCATGAAAATTTCCCTAATCTTGCTAGAGAGGTAGACATCCAATACAAAAAATCCAGAGAACACCTGAGAGATACTATACAAAATGAGTAACACGAAAGCATATAGTCAGTCACCAGACTGTCCAGGGTCAACAATAAACAAAAAATTTTAAAGGCACCTAGAGAAAAAGGTCAGGTCATGTACAAAGGGAATGCATCTGGTTAACGGAAGACTTCTCAGCAGAAACCTTATGAGCCAGGAGAGATTGGGAGCCTATTTTCAGCATTCTAAAAGAAAAGAAATTCCAACCAAGAGTTTCATAAACTGCCAAATTAAACTTCATAAGTGAAGGAGAAATAAAATGTTTTCTAGATAAGCAAACACTAAGGAAATTAGTTACCACAGGATAAGCCTTACAAGAGATCCTTAAGGGGGCTCTAAAAATGAAAAAAACAGAACAATATTACTACCACAAAAACATACTTAAGTACATAGCCCACAGACTCTATGGAGGAACTACATGATAGAAACTACAAAGCAACCAGCAAAAAATGTCACAATAGGATCAAAGCCTCACACATAAATATTAACGTGAATTAGTATTGGATGTAATGAATGTAAATAGTCTATATGTTCCACATAAAAGGAACAGAGGGGTTAAGTTGGATTTTTTTAAAAAGACCCATCCATCTACTGTCTTCAAAAGACTCATCATGTAAAAACACCCATAGGCTCAAAGTAAAGGGTTGCAGAAAAATCTACCATGCAAATGGAAAAAAACAAAAAAAGCAAGGGTCTTACATATTCTTAAATTAGATAAAACGAACTTTAAACCAACACCAGTAAAAAAAGTAAAAAACAGTTAAAAAAAAAAAGGACAAAGAAGGGTATTACGTAACAATAAAGGATTCAATTCGACAAGACTTAACTGTACTAAATGTATACACACCCAACATTGGAGCACCCAGATTCATAAAATAAGTGTGTCTACACCTACAAAATGACTTACACAGCCACACAATAATAGTGGGGAACTTCAACACCCCACTGATAGTATGAGATCATCAAGGCAGGAAACTAACAAAGAAATTCTGGACTTAAATTCAACATTTGACCAATTGGACCTGATAGACATCTGTAGACTACTTCACCCATCAACCACGGAACACACATTCTTCTCACCTTCACATACAACACACTCCAAGATTGACCCCATTGTTTGGCCATAAAGCAAGTTTCAATTAATTTAAAAAAAAATCAAGTCACACCAACCATACCCTTGGACAACAATGGAACAAAAATAGAAATCAATATCAAGAAGATCTCTCAAAACCACACAATTATATGGAAATTACAAACTATCTCCTGAATGACTTTTGGGTAAGCAATGAAATTAGAAGAGAAATCAAAAATTATTTAATATAAATTAAAACAGGAAAAACATACTAAAAATCTTTGGGATGCAACAAAAGCAGTGTTCAGAGGAAAGTTTATAGTGCTAAACACCTACCTCAAAAACTTAGAAAGATTGAAAATTAATTATCTAACATCACACTATAGGAACTAGAAAAACAAGAACAAACTAACCCCAAAGCAGGCAGAAGGAAAAAAAATAACTAAAATCAGAGCTGAACTGAATGAAATTGAGATCCAAAAATCCATACAAATAATCAACTATACCAAAAGTTGGTTTTTTGAAAGGATGAACAAGATTAATAGGCCCTTGTATTAGTTCATTCTCATGCTGCTAATAAAGACACACCCAAGACTGGGTAATTTATAAAGGAAAAAGGTTTAATTGACTCACAGTTTAGCATGGCTGAGGAGGCCTCAGGAAACTTACAATCATGGTGGAAGGGGAAGAAACTATGTCCTTCTTCACGGGGCGGCAGAACAGAGAAGTGCCCAGCAAAAGGAGGAAACCTCCTTATAAAACCGTCAGATCTCATAAGACTTATTTGCTATCACGAGAACAGCGTGAGGGTAACTGCACCCATGATTAAATTACCTCCCACCAGGAACCTCCCACAACACATGGGGATTATGTGAGCTACAAGTCAAGGTAAGATTTGGGTGGGGACACAGCCAAACCATATCAGCCCTAGCTAGATTAACAAAGAAAAAAGACAAGATGCCAATAAGCACAACCAGAAATGACAACAGTGATATTACAACCAATCCCACAGAAATACAAAAGGTCCTCAGAGACTATTATGAACACCTCTATGCACACAAACTAGAAAATCTAGAGGAAATAGATAAATTCTTAGAAACACAAAATCTCCCAAGATTGAATTAGGAAGAAATTGCAACCCTGAACAGACTGATATTTAGTTTTGAAATTGGATCTACAATTTAAGAAAACCTACCAACCAGAAAAGAAGCCCTAGACAAGATGTATTCATAGCCAAATTCTACCAGATGTGCAAAGAAAAGCTGGTACCAAATCCTACTGAAACTATTCCATAACCTCAAAGAGGAGGGAGTCCTCCCTAACTCATTCTATGAAGCCAGCATAATCCTGATACCAAAACCTGGCAAAGACATAATGAAAAAAGAAAATTACAGGCCAATATCCCTGATAAACATAGATGCAAAAATCCTCAACAAAATACAAGTAGACAGCATCCAACAGTACATCAAAAAGTCAAAGAGGCTTTTGGTCTTTGGTCAAAGAGGCTTCATTCCCGGGATGCAAGGTTGGTTCAACATATTCAAATCAATAAATGTGATTCACCATATAAACAGAATTAAAACTATTATTAATTATTGTTTATTAAAACATATGCTCATCTCAATAGACAGAAAAAGCTTTTGACAAAATCCAACATTCCTTCATGAAAAAACCTTCCAGAAAGTAGGCATTGAAGAAACATACCACAAAATAGGAAGAAACATACCACAAAATAGTAAGAACCATCTATGACAAACCCATAGCCAACATCATACTGAATGGGCAAAAAGCGGAAGCATTCCCCTTGAGAACGAAAACAATACAAGGATGCCCACTCTCGCCACTCCTATTCAACACAGTACTGGAATTCCTCACCAGGGCAATCAGGCAAAAGAAAGAAATAAAAGCATCCAAAGAGGAAAAGAAGAAGTCATGCTATCTCTCTTCACTGATGATATGATTCCATATGAAGAAAACCCTAAAGACTCCACCAAATGGCTCCCAGAACTGATAAACAACTTCAGTAAAGTTTCGGGATACAAAAATCAATGTACAAAAATCAGTAACAACTCTATACACCAATAACATTCAAACTGACAGCCAAATAAAGAATGTAATCTCATTTATAATAGTTACCAAAAAAATACCTGGAAATACATCTAACCAGAGAGATAAAAGATTTCCGAAAGGAGAACCATAAGACACTGATAAAAAGAAAGCATAGACGACCAGGCATGGTGGCTCATGACTATAATCCTAGCATTTTGGAAGGCCAAGGCGGATGGATCACTTAAGGCCAGGAATTCTAGACCAGCCTGACCAACACAACAAAAACCTGTCTCTAGCAAAAAATACAAAAACTAGCTGGGTGCAGTGGTGCACAACTGTAGTCCCAGCTACACTGAGGGACACTGAGGCAGGAGAAACATTTGAACCCCAGAGGCAGATGTTGCAGTGAGCCAAGATTGTGCCACTGTACTCCAGCCTGGGCAATAGAGTGAGATTCTATCAAAAAAAGAAAAGAAAAGACAAAAAAAGGACAGGACAGGACAGGACAGGACAGGACAGGAAGGAAAGGAAAGGAAAGGAAGGAAAGGAAAGGGCAGAGCAGACAATACAAACAAATCGAAAAAAATTCCATGCTTATGACAGGAAGAATTAATATCATTAAAATGGCCATATTGCCCAAAGCAATCTATAGATTCAATGTTATTCCTATCAAACTACCAATATTATTTTTCACAGAACTAAAAAAAAAAGTTATTCTAAAATTTACATGGAACTAAAAACAAACCAGAATAGCCAAAGCAATCCTAAGTAAAAAGAACAAAGCTGGAGGCATCACATTACCTAATTTCAAACTATACTATAAGGCTACAGTAACCAAAATGGCAAGGTACTGGCACAAAAAAAGGCACATAGACCAATGGAACAGAATAGAGAACCCCAAAATAAACCACAAACCTACAGCCATCTGATATTTGACAAAGTGGACAAAAATAAGCAAGTGGGGGAAAAGACTATTCAGTAAATGGTGCTGAGATAGTTGGCTATCCACATGCAGAAGAATGAAACTGGAAACCTACCTTTCACCGTATATAAAAATTAACTCAGGATTAAAGATTTAATGTAAGACTTCAAACTGTAAGAATCCTAGAAGAAAACCTAGGAAACACTATTCTGTACATTGGCCTTGGGAAAGAACTTACAACTAAGTCCTCAAAAGCAATTGCAACAATGGCAAAAATTGACAAGTGGGACCTAATCAAGCTAAAGAACTTCTGTAGAGAAAAAGAAACTATCAAGAGTAACAGACAATCTATAGAATGGGAGAAAATATTTGCATCTGACAAAGGTCTAACATCCAGAATCTATATGGAACTTAATTTAACAAGCAACAACCAAATAACCCCATTAAAAAATGGGCAGAAGACATGAACAGGCACTTCTCAAGACATAGAAGTGGCCAATGAACATACAACAAAATGCCCCACATCACTAATCATCAGAGAAAAGCAAATCAAAACCACAATGAGATGCCATTTCATGCCAGTCAGAATGGCTATTATTAGAAAGTCAAAAAACAACAGACACTGGCAAGGCTGTAGAGAAAAGGGAATGCTTATACACTTTTGATGGGAATGTAAATTAGTTCAGCCACTGTGGAAAGCAACTTGGAGACTTCTCAGATTACTTAAAACAGAACTACCGTTCAACCCAGCAATTCCATTACTGACTCTGTATCCAAAAGAAAATAAATCGTCACACCAAAAAGGCACATGCACTTATATGTTCATTTCAGCACTATTCACAATAGCAAGACATGGAATTAACCTCAATGCCCTTCACCAATGAACTGAATAAAGAAAATATGATATATATACACCATGGAATACTACACAGCCATAAAAAAGAAGGGTATCATGTTCTTTGCAGCAATATGGATGCATCTAGAGGCCATTATCCTAAGAAAATTAACATGGCAACAGAAAACCAAATACCACATGCTCTGACTTACAAGTGGGTGCTAAACAATGAGTACTTATGGACATAAAAATGACAATAATAGAAATTGGGGACTACTAGAGGGGATAAGGAAGGAGTGGGGCAAGGGTTGAAAAACTACTGGGTCCTATGCTCAGTACCTGGATGACAGGATCAGTCGTGCCCCAAACCTCAGCATCATGCAATACACGCAGGTAACAAATCTGCACATGTTCCCTCTGGATATAAAATAAAAGTTGAAATTATCTTTACAAAAAAAAAAGGAGATATAAAATCCAGAAATCTGTTGAGCATGTAATCTATTTACAAATTCCATTTTTATGATGGTACTGACAGCTATCTGAGAGGGCTTTCTTGAAAACAATTAAATCAATTTAGAGATAAAGGCCTAGGCTGAGCACAGTGGCTCATGCCTATAATCTCAGCACTTTGGAAGGCCAAGGCAGGTGGATCCCTCAAGCCCAGGAATTCAAGACCAGCATGGGCAACATGGTGAAACCCTGTCTCTACTTAAAATACAAAAAAGTTGGCAAGGCATGGTAGCGTGCACCTATAGTCCCAGCTACTTGGGGGGCTGAGATAGGAAGATTACAGGAGCCCAGAAAGTCGAGGCTGCAGTGAGCCATGATCATGCCACTGCACTCCAGGCTGGATGATAAGTGTGAGACCCCCATCTCCAAAACAAAAAAAGAGAAAAGGAATAGCCCAAAAATGTTGTATATGTTCTGACTGATCCACAAACCATTCATTCCCCCATCTCTCTCCCCTTCCCTGGGCCTACCTATTCCCTGAGACACAACAATATTGAAATTAGGTCAATAAATAACCCTCCAATGGCCTCTAAGTGTTCAAATGAAAGGAAGAGTCACACATCTCTCACTTTAAATCAAAAGCTAGAAAAGTCCCCACTCAAAACAATCACTGTGAGGCTAGCACTTAAAGATGGTTGACTGGAGGCACCAGGCACTGACTTCCTCCACAAAGAAAAACAGAAACAGTGAGTAGATCATCACTCTTTGAATGGAGCATCTAAAAGAACACTGGAATTCAGCAGAGAAGTGATAGGAAATACCTGAGGCACACAAGGAGAGAAAAGTGAGGCAGCTGGCTCAGCTGGGATTGGCTGGAAGCCCAGAGATTTTCTCCAATGTGGGAAAATGATGAATGAGAGATCCCCACTGGTCCATATTCCCACAGCCAACTCTTGCAATCTTCGTGACAGGAGAGCCCCTCAATCCTCACAGGCCAGCCCTGAGACTAGCATAGGAAACTACCTGGAGTCTACAGGATGGCATTGCTCCAGAGAGGGAGCTCACCCTAGGTCCCACATAACTCCCAAGAATAAAGCAGCTGCAGCATGATGTCATTTTGAGAGCCCACCTCCCACCAGACTGTATTCTGCCCTCAGGCCCAATAGCCCCTGCATCTCCACTGATATACCCCCATGTTCACCCAGAGAGCTACAGGACCCAGCAGTGCAGTTGGGTCTCTGGCATGCTAGCCCATACAATGTCCTACACCTTGGGGAAAGAGTGGTGCAGTGTACCAGGGAGGCTGCCATGAGGACAAAGGCAGTCAAAGCAAGTGTTCTCCAGAGCCTGAGAACTACCAGCCTGCAGGCCACTACCACTAACAGCAACCCCACTGCCTCAGCAGCAGTGCTGCCATGTACTTGCATGTGCCCTGAGTACAGGCTTTTCCCACCTGCTGCTGCTGCTGTCACCACTACCCAAGCATTCCGCACAGAGGCCTGGGGATTGCCTATCCCTACCCACCACAGCCTGTGCCAATGTATGCAATCAGATAGACCTAAGGACAGGCCTTCTCTGCCTACCACCACCTCTTCCACAGCTCAAGCATGCCACCTGGGGATCACCTCATCTCATTCCATCATCACCCTGTGCACACACACACATTATCAGGTCTGACAAAAGACTCAGCCCATCTGCGATTGGCTCCTGAGCATGCTGTCTGGGGGCCTAGGGATCACCACAGCCTAGGCCCATGGGCACCACTGGGGGACCTGAGGACAGGCCTGTCCCACCCAGCCACCTCCCCCATTGCTTGAGCATATCATCTGGGGACTGGGAATAGCCTCACCCATCATTCACCTTGGATGTGTGCACACACAATCAGGGGGCCTAACAATGAACCCAGAACTCCTGCTGCCTGCACACAAACATGCCATCCAGAGGCCTGGGGATCATCCTGCCCTGCCCACTACAGCCCAACCTGGACACACCATTGAGGGGCCTGAGGACAGACCCATCCTGCCTAGCATCATCCCTCCCAGTGCTCAAGCACACCACCCAAGCATCTAGAGATCACCTAACCCCATTTGTCATGCTGGGCATGTGCATACACCATCAGGAGGCCTGACAGGTCCAAAACGCCTGTTGTCATTGCCCAAGCATATTAATTAGAGGCCTAGGGATTGACTCACACTGCACATCATGGCTTGTGCCTATATGCACCATCAGGGGGCCTGAGGATAGGCCCACACCACCTAATGCCACCCTCCCCCAGTGTCCAAGTGCATCATCTGGGGCTCTGGAGATTACCCTGCCTCATCCACCACTGATGGCACCTGTGTACTCCTCCTGCAGGCCTACAAAGATTGAACCAGAAAGAAATGGAAAACCTGAATGTCATAAAAATTCTCCCAACAAAATGAAGTCCAGGAACAGATGACTACTGCCAAGTTCCACCAAACTTAAAAAGAAGAACTAACATTAATTCTTCTCAAATTATTCCAGAAAATGGAAGAGTAGGGAATTATTCTCTACTCATTCTATAAGCCCAACATTACCCTGATACCAAAACCAGACAAGGACAAAACAAAAAAAGAAAACTACAGACCAACATCTCTGATGAACACAAATGCAAATATCCTCAACAAAATGCTAGCAAGCCAAATTCAGCAAGACTTTAAAAAGATAATACATCATGATCAAGTGAGACTTATTCCAGGCATGAAAGAATGGTTCAACGTATGCAAATCAATAAGCAGGATACATTACATCAACAGAACGAAGGACGAAAACCATGTAATCATCTCAATAGATGCACAAAAAGCATTTCATAAAATTCAACATTCATTCATGGTGAAAACTTGCAACCAATTAGGAACAGAAGGAACATACCTCAACATAATAAAGGTAATATATGAAAAACCCACAGCTGACATAATACTGAATGGGGAAAAGCTGAAAGCCTTTCCTCTAGAATTAGAATAAGATAAGGATGCCCATTTTTACCACTCCTATTCGACATAGTACTGGACATCCTAGCCAGAGTAATTAGGCAACAGAAAGAAAGAAATAGCAAACAAATTAGAAAAGAAGTCAAATTTTCCCTCTTTGTAGATGACATGATCTTATATTTAAAAAAACCTGAAGACTCCATAAAAAAATAAATAAATAAACATACAAAAGTCAGTTGCCTTTCTCTTTTTTCCTTTTTTTTTCTTTTTTTTTTTTTTTTTTTTTTTTTGAGATGGAGTCTCGCCCTGTCACCCAGGCTTGGGTACAATGGCATGATCTCGGCTCACTGCAAACTCCGCCTCTCAGGTTCAAACAATTCTCCTGCCTCGGCCTCCCAAGTAGCTGGGATTACAGGCACCCACCACTACGCCCAGCTAATTTTTGTATTTTTAGTAGTGACGGGGTTTCGCCATGTTGGCCAGACTGGTCTCGAACTCCTGACATAGTGATCTGCCCGCCTCGGCCTCCCAACGTGCTGGGATTACAGGCATGAGCCACCATGCCCAGCCAGTTGCATTTCTATATACAAACAATGAACTAACACAAGAACAGAAAACAAAACACCGCATGTTCTCACTCATAAGTGGGAGTTCAACAATGAGAACACATGGACACAGGAAGAGGAACACTACACACTGGGGCCTGTTGGGGGATGGGGGACAGGGGGAGGGATAGAATTAGGAGAAATACCTAATGTAGATGACGGGTTGATGGGTGCAGCAAACCACCATGGCATATGTATACCTATGATACAAACCTGCACATTCTGCACATATACCCCAGAATTTAAGTATAAAAAATATATATATAGAATACAAGCTTAAAAGAAAAAGAAACAAACAAAAGGTAATCCCATTTACAATAGCATAAAAACAAATAAAACACCTAGGACTAAATTTAACCAGAGAGGTGAAAGACCTCTAAATGGAAAACTACAAAACACAGCCAACTGATTTTCAACAAAGATGCCAAGAACATACACTGAGGAAAGAACACCCCTAGAATGAGTGGTACTGGGAAAACTGGATATCCATATGCAGAGAATGAAACTAGACCTCTGTGTCTCACCATATGTAAAAATTAACCCAAAATGGATAAAAGACTTAAAAGTAAAAACCTAAGTTATAAAGCTACTTGAAGAAAACATAAGGGGAACACCCTGGTCTAGGCAAAGATTTTATGGCTGAGACTTCAAAAGCACAGGCAATAAAAACAACAATAGACAAATGGGACTACGTTAAACTAAAACGCTTCCCCACAGCAAAGTAAACAATCAACAGAGAGAAGAGACAATCTGTTGAATGACAGAAAATATTTGCAAACTATTCATCCAACAAGAGACCAATATTCAGAATATATTTTTAAAAACTCAAACAATTCTACAGCATAAAAACAACCCCATTTAAAAAGTGGGCAAAGGTTCTGAATAGACATTTATCAAAAAAGATACACAAACAGCCAACGGATATATGAAAAAAATCACTAATCAGGGAAATGTAAATTAAAACAGCAATAAAATATCATCTTACCCCAGTTGGAAATAGCTATTACCAAAAAGGCAAAAAAAAAAAAAAAAACAGATGCTGATGTGGGTGCAGAAAAAAGGGAACTCTTATACAACTGTTGATGGAAATGTAAATTAGCACATCCATTATTGAAAACAGCATGGAGATTTATAAAAAAAAATAAATTACAGATAGAACTACCATATGATCCAATGATACCATGACTATTTATCCAAAGGAAAGGAAATTGGTATATCAAAGACTCCCACGTTTTTTGCAGCACTATTCACAATAGCAAAGATATGGAATCAACCTAAGTGTCCATCAACAGATGAATGAATAAAGAGAATGTGGTATATATATGCAATGGAATATTATTCAGCTATTAAAGGAAATGAAATCCTGTCATTTACAAAAACATGATGAAATTGGAGGCCATTATGTTACGTGAAATAAGCCAGGGACAGAAAGACAAACACTGTGTGTTCTCATTCATATGTGGAAACTAAAAAAGTTGATCTTATGGAAGCAAAGAGTAGAAAGATAGTTCACAGAGGCTGGGAAGAATGTACGGGTGGTTAAAGAGAGGTAGATTAATAGGTACAAACATTAAAACAAGAAATATAGAAGAAATAAGTCCTAATGTTTGATGGCACATTAGGTGACTATAGTTAATAACAATGCATTGGGTATTTCAAAATAGCTAGGAGAAAGTATTTGAAATGTTCCTAACACAAAGAAATGATAAATGCTTGAGGTGATGGATATCCTAAGTGAACTGACTTGATCATTACACATTCTGTGCACGTATCAAAATATCACATGTACCCCATAAGTATGTACAAACATTATGTATCAAAAAATAAATACAAAAGCTAGAAATAATTAAGCTTAGTGAGGAAGGCCTGTCAAAATACCAGATAAGCTGATAGCTAGGCCTGGATTGCCCCCAGATAGCTAATTCAAGCGGTGAATCCAAATGAAAAGTTCCTGCAGGAAATGAAAAGTGCCACTCCAGTGAACTCACAAATGATAAGAAAGCAAAGCAGCCTTATTGTTGATGTGAAAAAAGTTTTAGTGGTCTGGATAGATCAAACCAGCCACCACATTCTCTTAAGCCAAAGCCTAATCTAGAGGAAGGTCCTGACTTTAATTCTATGAAGGCTGAGAGAGGTAAGGAAACAGCAGAAGAAAATCTGGAAGCCAGCAGAGGTTGGTTCAAGAGGTTTAAGGAAAAAAGCCCTCTCTATAGCATAAAAGTGCAAGCTGAAGCAGCAGGTACTGATACAGAAGCTTCAATAAGTTACTCAGAAGATCTAGCTAAGATCATTGTAAAGGTGGCTACACTAAACAACAGATTTTAATTGTAGATGAAACAACCTTGGTGTGGTTTGGCTGTGTCCCCACCCAAATCTTACCTTTAACTGGTAGTTCCCATAATCCCCACATGTCATGGGAGAAACCCAGTGGGAGGTAATTGAATCATGGGGGTGGTTACCCCCATGATGTTCTCGTGATAGTGAGTTCTCACGAGATCTGATGGTTTTATAAGGGGCTTTTCACCCTTTTGCTCTGCACTTCTCCTTGCTGCTGCCATGTGAAGAAGGATGTGTTTGCTTCCCCTTCTGCCATGATTGTAAGTTTCCTGAGGCCTCCCCAGCCATGCTAAACTGTGAGTCAATTAAACCTTTTTCCTTTATAAATTACCCAGTCTTGGGTATGCCTTTATTAGCAGCATGAGAATGGACTAATACAAACCTTCTGTTGGAAGGGGATGCAATCTAGGAGTTTCATAACTAGAGAGAAGTCAGTCCCTGTCTTCAAAGTTTCAAAGAACATGCTGATTCTCTTGTTGGGGGCTAATGCAGCTCATAACTTTAAGTTGAAGCCAAAGCTCATTGGCCATTCTGAAAATCCTAGGGCTCTTAAGAATCATGCTAAATCTACTCTGCCTGTGCTCTATAAATGGAATAACAAAGCCTAGATGAAAGCATGTCTGTTAAACAGCATGGTTTACTGACTATGTGAAGCTCACTGCTAAGACCTACTGCTCAGTAAAAAAATTTTTCAAAATACTACTGCTCATTGACAGTGCACCTAGTCACCCAAGAGCTCTGATGGACATGTAAAAGGAGATGAAAGCCATTTTCATGCCTCCTAACACAACATTCATTCTACATCCCATGGATCAAGAAGAAATTTCAATTTCCAAATCTTATTATTAAAGAAATACATTTCATAAGGCTATAGATACCATAGACAGTTATTCTTCTGATGGTTCTGGGGAAAATACATTAAAAATCTTCTGGAAAGGGTTCACCATTCTAGATGTCATTAAGAACAAGCATGATTCATGGGAGGAGGTCAAAATATCAACATTAACATGAGTTTGGAAGAAGTTGATTCCAACTTTCATGGATGACTTGAAGGGGTTGAAGACTTCACTGGGGAAAGTAACTGCGGATGTGGTGGAATTAGCAAAAAGAAGTAGAATTAGAAGTGGAGCTTGAAGATGTGACTGAATTACCGTAATTTCATAATAAAACTTTAACAGCTGAGCAGTTGCTTCTTATAGATAAGTAAGGAGAGTGGTTGTTTCAGATGCCATCTACTCCTGATGAAGTTGCTGTGAATGTTGTTGAAATGACAATAAAAAATTTAGAATTTTACATCAATTTAGTTGATAAAGCAGCAGCAGGATTTGAAAAAATTGACTCCAATTTTTTTTAACAAAAAGTTATGCTGTGGGTAAAATGGTATCAAACAGCATTGCATGCTATAGAGAAATTGTTCATGAAAGAAAGAGTCAATCAATGTGGCAGACTTAATTGTTGTCTGATTTAAAGAAATTGCCTCAGCGACTCCAGTCTTCAGCAACCACCACCCTTATCACTCAGCAGCCATCAACATCAAAGCAAGACACTCCACCAGCAGAAAGATTACTACTCACTGAAGACTCAGGTGATTGTTAGCATTTTTAGCAATAAAGTATTTTTAATAAACATATGTATATGTATACATAATGCTATTATATGCTTAACAGACTACAGTATAATATAAACATACCTTATATTCACTGAGAAACAAAGAAAAAACATGCGTGACTTGCTTAGTTGCAATATTCACTTCACTGTGGTGGTCTGGAGCTGAACCCGAAATATGTCCATGGTATGCCTGTACCGGGGAGTTTCACTTCCTGGATGGCAGTGTGAGTTCTACAGACCTATTCCCCGGTGAAACAAGTATACCTGGTAAAACTGTTAAAAAAACAAACAACCATTTAAAGTCTCTGAAAACTGTCCTAAGGGCATATAGCAAATGAAGAAGCAATTTATTCAAGGAAATCTACTAAAACTCAGTAAGAACTGCAAGAGTCTGTGACTTGAACCACAACCCACCCTCTGTCTCCCATCCAGCTCAGCTCCCATCCCTCTCATCCACCCTGGGCAGCTGTGGCCAAGAAGATGGGGGTCCCTCTCCTCTCAGGTCCTAAACAAAGGGTGTAACTCACCAGGAGAAGCAGGCTGCCATCTCCAACTGAAGAGGTTAAATTCCTGGTGAGTGAAGTTAAGAAATCAGGGGCTCCCTTCTTCCATCCAACCTCCATTCATAGCACAGAGCTCTACCCCCATGCTCATCAGGCCAAGAATACTGAGGCCTCAATTGCCCTTGCCCCGGCTCAGTCAGAAGGCAGAAGTTTCACACCGATAGAGGCAAACCAAGAAGACCAAAGACTAGTGCCTCACCCACTGCCTTGAGTGGTGGCTCAGGGATTTTGCCCAGGGTGAGAAGCAGACCCCCAAAGGAAATGACTTAATTTAAAACAGAGAGAAAGTTCAGGCCTAAGGGCACTTTCAGAAACAATGGAGATTTTGGTGCCAAAAAAATAAGAGGAGGCTGATAGCTCTTCTCAATTAATAGCAGTCATCTAAACCATAGGCCAGCTAGTTCACCAGGGAGAACCAGGGAAAGAGACAGCTAAGAAGAGCCCTACTGGAGTCAGAAGAAACCTCAAACACTGACCTCAAAAACTACCTCTTGGATTAAACCACAGAGTAATCTATGCTCCAGGGCATTGTTGAAATAATATAGCAATCAGCTGGCAATTAGTGGAGCCTAATAGCTGGGTGTGATACCAAATGAGGCAGACAGTTTCTTTTTTTTTTTTTTTTTCTTTTTCTTTTTTTGGAGACAGAGTCTCTGTCGCCCAGGCTGGAGTGCAGTGGCACAATCTCGGCTCATGAGGCAGACAGTTTTACAGAGATCAGAGAAGGAGATAAAGAGAGCCCTGTAAAAACTACCTTATCTCAGGGCGATTGTGGATGTGGCCTTCACTCTGGGCCTCAATCATTTTGGTTTTCCTCTATGAATAAAGGAGGTCAATAATTAAAGTGAGTACTGCAGGGACTAAGGACAATTCTAAATTACTGCATTTGGGGAATTATGCTCAAATTAGATAACGTTTGGCAAAGCACCTTACAAACTGTAAAGTATGCCGTGTATATTGAGTAGCATTATTACTTAACAGGGCAACCAATAGAAGGTAGAAATTGAGAACATAAATTCTAGTGTGGGGCATGTGGTTCAACACCCTTCCTAACATTGAAGGTTACCTAACTTCCCTAAGATTCAGTAATCTTATCTGTGAAATAGATCATGTATCTTCCAGGGAAAGTATTTGTAAAGTCCTAAGACATTGCCTGGTATAAAGAATACTGAGGCCTCAATTGGCCTTGCCCCAGCTCAGTCAGTTGTAGCAAAATATACGGTAGTGCTAATATCCAACCATGTCCCAAACCCAAATCTGAAAATAGAAAATTGATACTAATTCATTAATTTGTTGGAGGTAAATAAGATCTATGGAAATAGACACCTGCCACTTTTTAAAAATTCAGTCATTGGTCTGTTAAATGTTACTGGTACATTTGCATATTTCCAATACTCCCAAAAAGTTTCACTTTGTAAAGGTAGTTCTAGGGTGCATCCGAAGGGTATTTGCTGATGGCGCACAGTGATGTACCTTGTAGTGCTTTAGATTGACATTAGAAAGACTTCCAACAGCTTCTCATAGGCACTAAATGATGATTCTTTTGTCCTTCAACTTCTCTTTAATACAGATCAGGTGAACATTATTTAGCTGGAGCCGTGTTGCTTCTGGCAGAAACACTGAGTGACCTTTTTGCGTTTATACCTTAGGTTGGTCCCTGCCTGGCCACTTTGTTCTCTAGATGAAAAGGTGACTCAATTTCCATAGAAGAAATGGTTTGATGGTTTCAGCCCATGCAAGAGGAAAGCAACGTAGCTTACTCTTTTTTAAGCAAGCTGCCGTAGGAGTTTTCTTTGCAGACTCTAAAATGGAATTAATGTCTGAGTGTTGGCCTTTACTAGATATTTTGTAGATAATAAATCATCCCCGAACACCCATATTTAGTGAGATATACCACATTCTGTGTATGCATTAATTCTTTACCTACTGAATTATCTTTACCTACTGAAAATATCCCCAGTAAAGTAATGCTTCATTCTTTTTTACATCCCCAAGTACAAATGACTTTTTTTGCTGCATGTTGGCGGGTGGAGTGGATCCGACTTTTGTTATGAAACAGTTTCTTCAGTTCTTGTTGTTAAGTAGCTTTTCCCAAGAAATATATGAAGTTCACTAGACTATAGAGTACATTTATTCCCTCATGGTTTCCATTTTTTAAGCATGCATATCACTGGCCTATGCTCTTTTAGCTAAAAGTGAGGTCTCTGGGCCATTGCTCTGGCCGAAGTCTGCCATCAGGCACCTCTCCAACCCCACCTCCATGCTCACACTCAGGCCTCCATCATCTCAACCCCACTTCCATGCTCACACTCAGGCCTCCATCATCTCTCACCCCCACCTCCATGCTCACACTCAGGCCTCCATCATCTCAACCCCACTTCCATGCTCACACTCAGGCCTCCATCATGTCACCCCTACCTCCATGCTCACACTCAGGCCTCCATCATCTCACCCCCACCTCCATGCTCACACTCAGGCCTCCATCATGTCACCCCCACCTCCATGCTTACACTCAGGCCTCCATCATCTCTCACCTGGACTGATGCTGCAGCCTCCTCACTGATCCCCCTGCCTCCAGCCTCAGGCCTCTATAAGCTGAAAGAAGGTTCAAGGGTAGGGAAAAAGGTGAGTGCAAAGTGTTACTCCTTCCCAGTAAGTTCAAAACAAGTGAGATTCTGCAAACAATAGAGAAAGGATGACTAGGGACATGTTCAATATTCCTTCCTCCTCGTGAACCTTTAGAGTGAACAATTGTCAACAAGCAAGCTTTCATTCTGACAAAGTGGGCACCAGCAAGAGGTTATGTTTCTTTTTAGTTTAAATTTTGTGAAATGCATTTAGGACTGACATAAAGTAATGCTATCTTTCTTTACTGAGAAACTGACAGTGAACTGTACTTTTATGCCTACAGGCTAAAAGTGCTCTATTCCCACATCTGAGCCCTACTTGACAATGCTTCAAAAGCAAGTAGCTGCAGGCCAGGATGTCTATAAGGACCTACTCTTAAGCTATTAATATCCTTCAACCTTGAAAAGCCACTTGAAGCACCACTCAGGAGTGAATTTGATATTGTCTCCACCAGAAGTGGGAGGCGAAATGGCAGCTACAGTGAACATACTACTCTCTTCCAGCCCTGTCAGATTCTAACCTCTGGTGTGCTGGACCTAGCTTGTACCAGCTTGAGAGAGGTGACTTAAATTTTCAGGAACTTTGTGAGCCAGTTGTTAAACAAAGCCATTATTAAAAACTAAGTTACATAAACTTACAATGAAATAAATTGAAATAAATTATAGAAAAAAGATAATAATTATTGAAAACTCATCACTTTCTAAGTATTTTATTTCCCTTTGTAATTGTCTATACTCGAGGTTACTTGCATCTGCTATATCTCATTGGAGAAAATACCATTAATATATAATGGTGCACTACCAAGCATCTCTTCCCAACCTCATCTTCAGTACTGTCATGTTGGCAGCTTGACATATCACCCATACTGGGAGTGGCTGCACCGTAAAAATCAGAAGATAACACAAATCACAGGCCCCCATCCCCCTTCAGCAGAATAGGTTGTTAACATTTCTGAGCACACCTGTGGGTCTAACCCATCCTTAATGGTCAGGATTCCATAGAGTTGTCAAGAAGCTTCCCCTGTCTCTTCTACCATAGGGGATATAGCTCCTGGAAACAGTGATTGGTCCAGGAAAGATCATGTGATCCAAACAGGGCTAATCAGAGATCTTCGGAAAGGGGACAAATATGGATGCTGCTAGAGGAAAACTCCTTCTCCCTTTGAGATCATAAGCTGAAAGGTTCATGTTACCCTGGAGTTGCTGGAGATCTTCATGTAGAGGAAGCATGTCAGAAACCAACAAAGAAGAAACTAGAGAAAAGAAAGAGAACATTTGTGATGTCATTTGAGCACCTAGATCCACCTATACCTGAAACTGGAACCAATTCCTGGAATTTTCAGATATTTAAGAGAAAAAAAACTTTGGGGGCTTAAGAAAGTATAAGTCATGTTTCCGTCTCTTGTAACTGAGAAAGTTCTGACCTATCTACCTTTCTTGGTAGGATTCAAGTAGACCCTTGGGCTCTAATTTAGGTTGTGTACTTTTCAAAGAGTGAAAAATATTCAGCCAGCTGCCAGGAAGGAATAGGAAGAAACAGCAGAGAGCAAGGCCAGCCTCCTGCCAACTGAGTACACCCTAACAGTACAACTGTTGGCGAAAGTGCTCTGAAGATGCCTTAACGGAACCTCCATTCCCAATACCCGGGCACAGAAAACACAAAAAGTCAAACACGCCCTAATCACTAAGACCTCTGGATCCTAACCTCACCCCAAGAGGTTAAGGTTCCACAGGTCCAGGATGGAGCAAATGAATTAGTATTTCTATCAGGTTTCAGGCGATGCTGATGCAGCTGGTCCAGGGGTCACACTTTGAGAACTATAATTTGTACATTGGAAACATAGACGTAGAAGACAAAAGCTTCAAGAGCAGGAAAGAGGGGGACACTCCCCAGATCCTATTCTTCCTCCCCTGGAAATGGTTCAGTACACAGAGTGGGCCCCCAGGGGTCGTATTTATACCACTTGACTCTGCCTCTTGTTCAGCACTGATTGAGGTCGAGCCAACTTAATGGTTTTTCCCAAGAATTTGAAACTTAGAAAGGAGAGAGACAGACTGGATGCCATCGTAGCTGACTCTCAAAGGTGGCAACCTAGAAAGTTGATCCAGAAGGCCTGCTGCAGAGGCATCCATGTGTGTTCAAAATAGAAGCTCTGAAGTCAGCCTGCCTGGGTTCTAACCTCTCTGCCCCAAGTAGCTCAATGGCAAAATGGGGATGATAAAAACGATAATGACTTCATGGGGTTGCTGTGAAAGTAGATCAGATGACATTTTTGGCCCAGAGCCTGACATGTAGAAGTGTTCAGTAAATGTTAGCTGCTATTACTGTAATTGTTGTCCTTGTTCCATCCTAGAGCTGACCTGGCTCCAGCTCCTCCCTCAATTCCATGAGCTTTCACAGTAGCCTTCCAGTATATTCCCTTCTCTTAAGTTACCCAGAGTCAGTTCCTATGGTTTTCAATCAAAGGAACTTAAGTAAAATACAATTATGTAGGAAAGCTGCAGACACGGCTACCCTGTTACAGCATCATGCATCACCAGGTACAAACCAGCCCAGGAAATCTCTTCATCCTTGTTCATGTAGCCTGCTCTTCATCCAACAAGCATTGATTGAGTAGCTCTTATATGACAGGCATTGCACCGGGCCTAAAGGGAAAAACATAATCCCTGCACTGAACAAGTTTCCAGCCTGGGAAGAAATCCAGACTTGCACACAGTGAAATGAGGTGCAAGGTGAGAAGCAGAGTTGACCACTAGGAAGACAGCTAACAAAAGTACAATATTCCTGCCTCCCCTGTGGGCGACTGGAGCTTAATGCTGCAGGGGAGGCTTGGGGAGCCAGTATAACACTCACACATCAGAGGTCCCCTGCCAAGAGGCAATGGAGCCAGGGCCTGGCTGCATAAATGCTTCTCTGTGGCTGGGTGAGGGTAGCTCCCAAGGGGCATCCATTTCCCCACATTCTCTGCCTACTGTAGGGGAGGAAGAGCGCGCTCCAGGGGCAAGAGAAGGTGCCAATACCAAGAACCCAGGCCCTGGCAGTGAGAAGACAGGCCTTCGGCACTAGAGTGGCAAGCCCCAGGGACACAGGCAGGGCACCAGCAGCACCTGCCACCGCACAGCGTTGGGCAAGAGGAAGGAAAAAGTGGAAGCAGCAGCTCAGAGAGGTAAAAGTCACTATCCCTGGGGGTAGAACTGAGCGGCTCCAGGGAAGACTGCTCATTTTCCTGACCTTGCTATTGGAGTTTTAAAAATTATGTGCCTTGATTTGTAAAAGTTATTTTATAAAGAAATAAAAAGAGACCATTACTCCTCCCAACCTCCACTGTTGGGTGACTCAGCAGTTCTGGAGTGGGATACAGACACTACTAGTGATTGCCACGTACATGGTAGGAGCAAAGGACGAGGATTTATTAATAATAACAATAGTTGAGTACCTATTTTAATGTGAGTTGGGAAAAAACATAACTGGCACATAAAATCTTTCATTGTGTGGTATTGCTTGGGATGACATTACATTTTTAATTAAGTAAATAATAGCTCATGTAGTTTGGAAATACAACAAAAATTGTAGAGGTGGTGTTCAGGTGACTAGAGCCTAAGAGAACATTGCCTGGGCTAATAAGCCTGCCAGAACTATCACTTTCAAGTATGGCAAGTTAAATGGAACTTGAAGGAAATAGGCATTTTAACCTCAAATGGGAGTGGGCATTTAATTGAGGGCAGAAGGAACATCTGGCCTTTTCCAGTTGGCTTGGACACCCCACCGCCACTTTCGACACAACTCTCCACCCTCTTACTTGACCCCTAAAACTCCAAACAACTATACCAGTAAGATAGACGGAGAAGGGGCATAGCACAGGAAGAGATGGCTGTTTGAAGGAGGGGTCCACCTTTCTGCAACCTGGTTGTCTCTCTCAAGCCTGGTTTTCCCTCATCACCTGAGAAAGGGTGATATCATGGAATGAAGGGAGCATGGACTTGAAGACCAGGCAGAGCTGGATTCAAATTGGTACCGGAGCTTCCTGGAGAGCTGGGCAGGTCACTGTCCTCTGAGACTCAGTTTCCTCATCAGCAAAAATGGCATATACTTGATATGATGTGATGAGAATGGTACTTTATCTCTGTGTCTTTCTCTCAAAAACCCATCACCCAAGTCTAATCATGAGGAAGATGTCAAACAATATCTCCAATTAAGGGACAATCTACAGATACTTGAACAGTACTCCTCAAAGCTGTCAAAGTCATCAAAGACAAGGAAAGTACAAGAAACCATCATAGCTGAGAGGCACCTAAAGAGACATGTCAGCCAAATGGAATGTGGGATCCTGAATAGGATCCTGGAACGGAAAATAAGACTATTAGGCTAAAAACTAAAGAAGTTTTGAATACAGTGTGGACTTTGGTCAATAATATTATGTCAATATTGATTTATTCTTTGTACAAATATACCATACTCATGTAAGATGTTAACTAGAGGGCCATCTGGCTATGGGGTAGATGGCAACTCTCTGTACTATCTTTGCAATTTTTCTACAAACCTAAAATTGCTCTCAATTTAAAAGTCTATGTAAAAAAATGGAGACACACTCTCCTCCTTCCCAGGATTGTTAGAGGGCTCAACATGATGCTATATGGAAAGTGACATACAGAGGCTCCCAATAAATGATAGGTTTCTTTTACCTTTTGAAAGCAAAATCAAATTACAAGATGTCACTATATACATCATTCCACACCCCAGTGCCCAAACCAGCTGACAATCTCATTCGGTGGCACTCCAGGGCAACTCTCAGACACAGATCAGAATGCCCACGAAGACCTAAGGCCAGTAAGATTCCAGACCACAGCCACACATTATTGACAGGAAGGATGAGCTTCTCATTCTTTTAAATGCAATGGAGAGCTTGATTAGAGGCGAGTCCACGCTCTGAGAAGGGCTGCCAAGCTGTGACACTTCCGTCCCTGCCTATGCGGGGCCTGTTAGGACAGGCCAGCTGATATGAAATGAAATGTGTCTTCACACAGATTTGCTACCAAGCAGGGAGAAAGTAGAGAGAAGCCCTTCCTGTCACCCCACCTCCCATGATATCAAGGTTAAATGAATGCTTCTGAATGACAGAAAGAGTGCCCAGGGTCCCCCAGCAAAAAGCATTGATTACAGGCTCTAGGACTCTCTATTGAGTTTTTCAGTCTGAATTGAGCTCAGAGCCACTTTGGAGAAAGAAAGAAATTATCAGCTGATTACACAAATGGATTTCTTAGGATCGCCTTGGAAATGTGTATTGTCAGTATAGAGTCTTTGGTTGCTTTTTAGAAAGGCTTTTTCCCAAGGACATTTAGATCTGTCTTCCTCATTGCTTTTACAAAGTGATGTCTGCCTTTTCTTTCATGGGTTGAAAACCATAGGCACCTCCAAATGGCACATTTGTTCCCCACACCTTGCCTGCTTTCTTGTGCTGAAACAGATTGGGGTTGCCAGGCTAGTCTCAGGCATGGGTCTGGCACTTGCCAACTGTGTGACACTGGGGACATGGGAGAGGGAAGGCAACAGGGAGACGGAGAAAGTGGAGTTTGAGGAGCTCTGTAGACCAGGCCCCTCATTCGGTGGGGGCTGTGCTGTGGTTAGAATGCTGAGACTCTGCCATCTCCAGGTGTCCTGGTGATCTGAGAACAGCATGGGGCTCCAGACCTTTTTCTCAAACCATGGCGAAGACTCTTCAGCTCCTCTACTGGCCTGGCAGGGGGTGAACGGGCCAAGGCAACACCGAGACACTTCCTCTGCCAGCCTGCGGTGTGGCTCCGAGCAGTCTGCACTTCAATGAACATCTCCTGGCAGGAAAGACTTCCCTCACTAGCCTGTAATTAAAGCAACACAGAGACGATAAACCACAAAAGGTTTGATTGATATAGCTAGAGACTTTCCACTTTAAAGGTCTTTATTTTATAAAGGATACTATAAATATAGAAAGCAAGCCACAGCTGAAGATATTTGCAACTTACTTCACTGACAATGGATCAATATCTATTACATACCACATAAAAGGATAAAGGATTCTTTATCCTTACAAATCAATAACAAAAGAGGACAGCCCAGAAAAGAAAGACTGAACTGCCAAAAACAATATGAAATGATGCCCAATCCCACTAATAATGAGGGATCTGCAAATGGCATCCAAGGGGTATGGGATGGTTGGGAATATGGGCTGGCTGGGCCCTGGAGATAGTTACAACAACAATAATAATAATAGTAGACTGGGCAAGAGAAAGCCCCTCACATGGTTATAAATAACCTCAGAGAATGAACCAAAGGCTGGAGTAGGGACTTGAGGTCCTGTCCTGCTCGTCTCCAGAAATACTCTTCTTTCTCTCTCTCTCTCTTTTGTTTTTTTTTGTTTTTTTTTTTTGAGGTTTCTTTCTTACAAAAAAGAACAAAATCTGAAGCAACCATGATAAAAATATAATATTTGAGAAAGCTGTGAGACGGATATATGAATGTTATTGTTTGAACTGCATGCTTGCTTGAAATATTTCACAATTTTTATAAAGTGAATAAAAGGTGAAAATGAGTGAAACTGTGGCATTAAAAATAAGGACAGAGTTGGAACAGGACTCCAAGATGAGGAAGCAATTCCGTGGGTCACAGGCCTGAAGGACGGCAGTACAGGTGTCACCTCCCCATCCCAGTGCCCAGTGCCCACTCACCACAGTTATTCCCTCTGGTGTTCATGACCGTGGGAGGGACCTTTCTCCTGCCCTGAGTTCCCAGCCCACATTCCAACCACCATACTGACTTTGATGACAGGCCATAAAGACTGAGGCTAAGATTTTTGGTATTAAGAAAGTGTGTAGCTTTCAAATTAGCCAAGCCCTGATGTTAATAAGAATATTCATTATTCATTGTAAATGTAGATACTGGGAAATGCCATGAGCTGAGTTCTTATCATCTGTTACAGGCTGTGTTTTGGTAACAGGACTTTCATTTAAATATCCCAAGTTTTGGCTTTTTCTTCAATTCTGATATATACATATATGTATATATATGTGTATATATATATATGTATGTGTATATATATGTGTATATATACATATATATATAAATTCACTGTAAAAGAAAATCAGTACAGGTTGGGGCAAATATAATGATATGACTTTCTGAAATGTCAAGGATTAGTGCTTTTGTATTCTGTGAGATATCTGATCACAGCAACTTGTGCTTCTTTGTGATAGCAATTAAGTCAAAGTTGCAAGAACCTATAATTTTAGGCTTGAAGTTGACTCAGATGGGTGAAATTATTTATTTTTCCCTTGCTCTTTCTGTGGACTCACATAATGAATTAAACGCAGGGCTCTCTTTCTTGATTATTGCTTTAGAAAGAAATTGTCATGCCTCATTTCTCATTTTCAAAAAGAGATGATAGCATACTTTATTATAGGATTTTTATGTATTGCTAATGTCTAGAAAACTCAGCAGATTGATTCTCTCTACATAAGGTGAAACTGATTGAGTGAATTAGATATCTATTCAAAAAAAAAGCCCATCAATTGTGACCTGAAAACTTTATAGAAGAGGGCACACAAGGATCCAATGGGAAAAGTATAAATCTACCACCAGATATGTCAGATTCCACCCAGAGAATTGTCTAAGATTGATCTAAGAACCATGCTATCCAATAGGTAACTTCTAAATACTAAGTAGTATAAATTACCTATGGGAGATGGAAGACATGTGAAAAGCAACTAAAAATATACTCTGAGGTTTATAAGGAAGGTCCAAATTAAAGAAGTTAAATTATAGGTATTTAAAAGCCAGGCATAAATAAAATTTCAGGTGCAATTTCCAAGGAGTCTCATAAGATATGACATCAGTAGTCACAGGACAAGTTCTGAACATCAGGCAACTGTGTAGTTGAAGAACATTGGACTCAACATCAAGAGATGCTGATTCCAGTAGCTTCTCCATGTAGATGAGAGATCTCCATAATGTGTGTTTGCCCAGCATGCCTTTCTCACCCTTTCTCCTTAAAAGGAGCTCCTTCCATGGGGTTCAAGTGAGGTGAACCTTTGAGGCTATCTATGTTTGGCCCTCCAAACCCAATCATCACCCTTCCTCACCCTGCTCTGATGCCTGGAACCCACAGTCTGGCCTGTGTTCACAGCTCCTCGGCATTCTGGTTTCCAGCTAGGATTGTCCAATGGGAGTCACCAGTAGGAGAACCAAAGACAGGAGGAAAGTGAGGTTTAGGGTTTATTTCCCACCTCCTTCTCTTCCACTGCCGAAGGCCACAGCTCCTGTCAGGAAGCCTCCTAGGTTCCAGTAACTGCCCCCTCCTTGCTCCGGCAGGCCTAGGGAGGTAAGAGCAGCCAAGGTACTGGATTATCCCTTATTGGTGTCTCTAAATCCTTTCCTATATCTTGGCAAATAATCTATTTATGATGCTTAAGTGACCCACATTGAGTATGCCATCCACTTCCCACTGGGAGCCGGCTAATGGCCCTCCCTTGACACCAGCTCCACCAGTGGGTAGAGCCTGGAGGTTCTAGACTTAGATCATTCAGACAGCTGGTGCTCCTGGTAAACAAAGAGCACCTCTTTCTTGATTGCGGTAAGCAAGCTGGAAACAGGTTTAGATTTGCATTTAGAAAGAAAACATTGGCAGTAAAACAAGACTAGGAAGAAGGCAAAACTGGAGGCAGGGAGACCAGTTGTTGGGTCATTTTTATTGTTCTTTTATGCCTACTATATGCCAAGTACTGTGTTAAGTCCTAATAATGTAAACTTGCACAAAAAAATAGTGGTGTCTGCAGCCTAGAGAACTTGTTGAATTTGAAGTATTATGATTGCCTTGACCTGGACTTAACTTCATTTGGGACACTGACACCATTTGCAAACTCATCCCAGATTTAAATGTCCTATGCAGAAGTTTCTGGATTATTTTTCTAAAGCCATATTTAAATAGACCAGAATACTCCAACTCTGGAGGTGCAATTCATCTGGCAATTTCCGTCATTACAGGAACAGAGCATTGTCAAATCCTCACAACAGCTGGAGGAGGAAAGTTCTGTTGTTTTCCCAATTTTACAAAAGTGGAAACTAAGGCCCAAGATCACACAACCAAAAAAAATGATAGGACTTCGATTGAAAACCAGGTAATCCTGATTTCTATAACTTTGATCTCGACCTCTGATCTCTACTGCTTCTCTAATCATTTTCGGAATAATCACAAAAAGTCGCCAAGGAATGGTTTTATAGGAAAAATGGGAAATCCCCATAACATTCAGACCTCAGAAAACATTATCAAAATTAACAGTCAGGCACATTTTCAATATTAACATTTCAAGCCAAGATGTTATTCATGCCATTTTAGGGATATTCTTGCATACGTCTCAACAGAGGGTTCTTAGGATGGAGCCCTAGCACGGCCTGGTGAGAATCTAATCTATTTTTTATTGCATCCAGAATATCACATTGACAGCTGGAGGCTCTCCAGTTCAATCGAGTATTAGCACTGAGCGTTCAGTCAGCGCTTCATTATCATTAGTTATGACTGAGCTACAACACACTTGTTAATGGAGTGCGTAGTGTTCTCTTCATCATCTGCATTTGCCATCAAACCACGGTATTGTGAAGCACAGCACATTCAGGTTTCAGTAAGACGTGTGCGTTTAGCACTGATTAAAGCAGCCTATTCTGCACCTGCTTCTCATCAAACAGGAGGGGCACTCAGGGGCTCCTCTCTGGAAATCGAGGGATGGTGTTTGCTATGTTAAAACTTACACTTGGCTTGGAGTGTCTCACTCCATTCAGATGTTCAGGGGTTATGAGTTAAGACATAAGTCCTGGAGACAGAGAAGGAAACAGATCCAATTAGAGGAGAGAAGGATGTTTCAGATAGTTGCCTTGCAAATGGTGAAAGTACAACTGCTTGCCATTTCCATTGGCTGGGTGGGAATTTGGGGTTCCTTGAAGGCACAAAACCATGAAACCAGAAAATATGAAAAATCGAGTGTTTGGGCTAAGTTGGTAGGTCAACAGTTGATAAGTAGCCATAATGGGCATGCATGAACACATGTATACACAAACACACACACACACACACACACACACACACACACACACACTTACTTGATAATCAAAGATCTTCCTGGAGGAGTAAGCCAGAATCCAAGTGGGAGGTGGCTCCCACCCAGAGCAGTGGTTTTGAAATAGAAAAACCACAGGAGATTAGAATGGGTACAAGGGGTCAGTTTAAATCTCTCGCAGGCTAGGGGGCCAGTGCCAGGTACTCAGAGAACAAATATGAGCCACCAGCACCAAGGAGGCTGACTCTTCTAAGGGAACCCAGCCTGGTCTAAAAACTTCTTTTATTGCTTACAGTTGACTGATCTTGATGTGCAGGCAAATAAGCCTGCCAAGGGGAGGAATACAGGAGATTCAAAGCCTGGCCTTTCGGTTACTTTGCGGTTCCTGCCTCTTTCTCGTATTATTCTTTCCCCACTGTTCCTCAGCACCGGATCAGATTGCCCACATTGGCTGCCTACAATGACCTAATCAACTGGATAGCTATTCAGCACTTCGTTTCTCTATATGCCGAGTGCACACAGTCTAGAAACAACTTTGAACCTGAGATGAAGAAAGTTCCCATTGTGAGCCATCCGAAATAACTAGCAAGAGTTTGCCAATTACCACATCATGGAAATTTAACACTAACAGCAGTTGACTGTGGGTTATAAAAGAAAAAGAAATTCTTTACGAAATAAATTAGTGAAATCAAAACATTACTTTAGACCATCAAAATTATGCAAATTCTGCCTGTCTTCACATTTTTTAGTCAATTTATTGCCAATGCGGTGTGTATATTCAATATTCTAAGGATTTCTGTGGGAATAACTTCATTGTAAGATAAACAAGTTTAGTCACTGACATATAAATGTAGCCACTGGAATAAAAATGAAATGGGTCCAGCCTATTACAGTACCCAGAATTTTCCATATGTCTATTCCATTGTAGCTGCCAAAGTCACCATTCCTTGTCAACCTCTAATTGGACACCAGGCCTAAAAGCCTTCAAGGATGGGGAGAGTCCTTTTGAGCTCTCGGATCCAAAACTTCAACCTACTCCAGGCTTAGTTATAAACCTATTATTCTGTAACTATGAAAACTGTACCATCTTCAGGCATCTCAGGGACCTCGAGACCTCATAAAATGAGAGCTCTCCAGAGGTCAAGTGCCGCATGAATGTGCTGACACAGAGATGGATTTTCAGCAGCAAGGCAAACTGAAGAAATTATGAAAATTAGTGATTTTATAGATGCAAATATTAGGCATCTTTAAAAAAAACATGTATACCTAATGTGGAGGGAGAGTACTTTTAACTAAACAATTGCATTTAGTTTTATTATAAAAGGTAGGGAAAATATGATCCGTGTATAGTGAAATCAGTAGAAAATTCTAATACACATTAAGCCCTAGATTGTATGGAGATTATCTTTCAAATAAGATTTTCATTGCTGTAGTACCTGCTAAGAGATGCATTAGAGGAATTTATAAAAAAAAAAAAATTAGTCAATTGCAAGGTGACAATAATTCTCTGAGCTAATGCCAAGCCACAGATGTAATTCCAAGCTTAACACAGTATGAAATCCTAAACACTATGAAGCAAAATGCTTGTTTCCTGTGCACTTTTTCAGAGTGTGTTTGTTTGTCTCCGACTTTCCTTTCAGCTCCAACATCTAACACTTCGGCCACAGGCCCCCAATATCCATGATAATCACTGGGAAAACATAAGACTAGGGCCAGTAAAATTCACAGCCATCTTCAATTTCCTAGTGCAGCAAGTCCTACCCAAAGAATGCATAGGTCTCCAAGGGTCTTTGCTGGGAGTGAAGAAAATAAGGATGGTGAGAGTCCCTTTTAGCTCTGAAATCCAAAGCTTCAAATTACTCCAGGCTTAGTTGTAAACCTATTTTCCTATAACTATGAAAATTGTACTATCTTCAGGCATCTCAGGGACCTGGAGACCTCATAAAATGAGAGCTCTCCAGAGGTCAAGTGCAGTATAAATCTCCTTTAGCTTGCAGCAGTCACTCTGAAATTTGTTATTATAAATAATCCATGGAAGACCTGCCCCACATGCTCAAGTGACGTTTGTTCATGATTTGAATGTCTTTGCCATTGTAATTCAAGGGGGTTTTCAATGTAGTCACCCAAAATGTCCAAACCACAAACATGAAAATCAAGTCTGGCAGCTCTAGAAGGCCAAAAGAAAAAAAAAAAAAAAAAAAGCATGCATTTAGAGAAGGTTCGTCAACCTGTTCCTCATGGAATTGTAAAATCCAGTTAGAAAGGACTTCCCAAAATTCTGGATGAAGTCTTGCATAAGTGGCTTGGAAAAGAGCCCCAGGACTGTTACATTTCAAGAAAGCATCTCTGGCCCTGTTAGTAACTGCTGCTTCTCTTTAACATTTGGCTTATGTGAGCATCCAAAAGTCTGTTTTCTCTTCTTTTCATATTGCAACCCATGCTCAAATCACTGCTGAGTGTACTCCATGGTCCTGCTATAGTTTTTAAAATACTCATTAGCACTCTAAGGAAGAGATCCTATTGGGTCTCTTCTCTGTGCTGAGAGATATTATATGTTTGGATATTTTAGGAATGGCAATCTTATTTCAATTTTGATTGGCATAAATATATTTTTGACTGACGCAGCTCCAAGTTTTAGTCTGTCATTTGCCTGAAGGTTTAATTGTCAGCTCCTCTTCCAAACGCAACTGATCAGCACTTCTCACTTTAGGATTCTGTAATTAGTTAGGATATACCTCAGTAATTTTAAGCACCTGCCTTACCTCCTAGCATAGAAAAACTCATAAACCGCTCAAGAGCTCTGAACAGTCCTGTATTCACTGTGCCGCCTACTTCATTGTGAGGATAAACAGCCTCTCTCCACTCCATTTAACTCAAATCAGTGACACATCTCAAGGTTTACCACTCCAGGTATTCTTATTCCCCATTTCACGTGCACAGCTTGCTTAATAGCAAGCTGAGCTATCCATTTAAAGGCCTTAAGTAACTTATTTACCTTCATCCTTTTGGGGAATTAATTCAGTATTTTTTACTTAGGAGCCAATTACATCCCAAGAAACTGATTTTTTCTCTTTGAATGAGGTAAATATCTCTCTTGGGTTCTGACTGAATTCATAGTATCATCAATGGAATACCAAGAAAGGTTGGGACAGGATGCTTAAAAGATATGAAGAACATCCAGAAGAAAGTAATGAAAATAAACAAAAGGATGCAAAAACAAAACTTACAAAAGGATGCAAAAACAAGACTTGCAAAAGGATAAACGAACTGAGACCAAAAGGCTGAGAAAACAGTTTCCTATTCTGCCTCTCTCACAAACGCACAAATGTGAAGTTCTTGTAAACGTTTATTTACATAAGTTATTTAGTGTCCATTAGAAGTCTTTCTGTCCCAGGTCCATAACACTATTGTCTTTGATCTCAAAAATGTGTTGAATTCTCCTGAGTTTATAGAAGTCTCTCAATTATTTTAGAGATTTTAGGGTAATGTGATTATTACCCTAAAATAATAAAGGGGCCCAAAATGTAGGCGTTATCTTATATATGACTAAATAAAAATAAAGTCCTAACAATGAACTATGAATAGTGAGTGAGGACCCCAAGGACAACTGAGAAAAAGTGTCATTCTTTAAGTTCCAAAACTAATCACTAAAATATACACAGTAACCAATCAATGTGTGCTGGAGTTCAGCTCTATACAAGGTACGACAGATGTTTACTGTGAGTTGTTATGTTTCACCTGAAAAGATTATCAAAACATTCTCCATAATGATGCTGCCCTTTTGAAGCAGTAATGAACACAATGCATATAGCATACAGTTCATACTCAATAAATATATTTTAAATAAATAAGGTGGTACATGGGTGGCATGCATCTTCTTGGCAGCTGATGGTGTTAGAATTGCCACAATGCAAATTTTAGAGTAAGAAACATATAGTTCTGATTAAATAACAAAACTATATACAGTTAAACACTTTGTTCAGAAGCAACTACAGTATTTACCCTTTTTCCCAGCATCTTATTTTTTAGGGTCATCTGCAGAAACTAATTTGACCAAAGTCAATTGATACCTAATGTATGAACTCCCAGTTAGATATGGCAAAAGAAAAGGTACTCCTTACCTTGAAACCTACAGGAAAATTATTTTTAAAAAAGAACAAAAAAGAGATCTTACAAAGTCTCCATTGTCAGTGAAGCAAAGTAATGGTCATAATCCCAAAATGCAAAATTAGAAGAACAGCTACCAAATACCGTAAAACATAGGCCGGGGTGAAGGAGGACTCTGAAAGTTAATACATCACATCTCTGATCCAGACCAGGACACAGGTCTCCCCACAAGTGTTCTTGAAAGATTGACCTATTAGACATCAAGATGGGAGGCAGGGGTCTGGCAAGCCTTGTGAGAACAGAATAACATTCCAATAGCTTCTCAGTGAGTCAGTGCAGAATGGCAGGGGAGGGGAGCTGAAGGAGGAACCATGTGACGTGCCACTTGATCATGTTCCAGCCTTCTGGCCACGGGTTCTTGAAGGGCTGGGGAAGGAAAAAGGGACTTTAGGGACTTATTTCCATATCACCACTCAAAAGGCCTGTGGCCTGAGGGGCTCCACCATGAGTAAACTCCCCACTCAGTGCCAAAAATAGAAGACAAACATGACACTTGGACAGAAAATCTAACAGAATGTGGTGTCCATATAAGAAAACAGTCTTAAAATAAGTTATGAATAGCCCTAGCTCACTGTCCCCCCCATACCTTACTATTCTTCAGCACACATATGGCAAAGAAAGAGATGTTCACATTTAAAAATGAGTGGTAACCAGTAAGAAATCAACAGAGAACAACAAAAAGTAAGAAGGGTGAAGAGTTACGGAGTGAAAGAAGAACACAAGAGTTGATGAAGGGAATTCACCTGGAAAACAGAAGTGTTTAGACAAATCATTCTACATAAATTCAGACAGTTTAATTATTCTGAAAAGAGCTCAATAAGACACACAAAAAAGAAAAACAAAGAAGATATAGACAACCGGAGAAAAGAAAGTGCAAGCTGGCAGTGAAGGTCAGAAAAGAAATGAAAAAGATCTTCACAGAGACCTATTAGAAGCCGCAAAAAGTGGATTAAGTGTGACTGAGAATATAGAGATATAGAGACCTCTTCAGAATTCCATTTTTTAAAGAGGAACAAAGAGATAAATGCTATTAGAGAGAAAAGGATAAAAAGGACAAAGATTCAAAATATGCATCAACCAATAAAGCTACCCACTCCTGCCAAAAAAAAGAGCAAGAAGATTTGAATGGAAAAAAATTACTAAAAATATTACAGATTTAAAATAACACTATTTTTTTTCTTTTTTTCTTTTTTTTTTTTTTTTTTTTTGAGATGGAGTCTTGCTCTGTCACCCAGGCGGAGTGCAGTGGCATGATCTCGGGTCACTGCAAACTCCGCCTCCTGGGTTCAAGTGATTCTCCTGCCTCAGCCTCCCAGGCAGCTGGGACTACAGGCACATGCCACCACACCCAGCTAATTTTTGTATTTTTAGTAGAGATGGGGTTTCACCAGCATGGCCAGGCTGGTCTCAAACTCCTGACCTCATGATCCACCTGCCTCGGCCGCCAAAAGTGCTGGGATTACAGGCGTGAGCCACCACACCTGGCCAACACTAATATTTTTAAATCCTAAAAATTTTTTAAAGATTTTAATTTGAAAGTCCAATGGCCAGCAGATGTTCTTCAGAATGAAAAGAAATGAATGTCAATGTGCAGAAGAAATGAAGCACAGCAGCAAACATAAAGATGTAAGCACACATAAGAGACTGTATTTTCTTCTCTTGATTTTTTTTTTCTTCTCATGCCCAAGTGATTTACCTGGGAGAGGCAAGTCTGTCATGTACCCTGAGCATTCCTGCTTGCCCTGGCTAAGTATGCCAAACTACAAAAGTCTTAAAAGGATAGTTTAAAACAAAAATAACATTGTAAGTTGTGAGTTATAATTATGAAGGAATAAAATATACGACAACAGTAACACAAAGAGAAGGGTACGGGTAAGTGGAATTAAACTGTTTGCTAGGTGGAAAGGGTAAAGTAGGAAGTGGAAAGTGTCATGGGTAAAATGTGAAAATGGAAGTGTGAAGTGGAACTTTATTTACTCTAAGACTTTGATAGATTAAGGATGTATATTAATGGCCTTAGAGCAACACTAGAGAAATAATAATAAAAGATGTAGCTAAGGAGTCAATAAAGGAAATAAAATAGAATGCCAAATAATATTTGATTAATCCAAAACAAAAAAGCAGGAAAGGAGTAACTGAGGAACATAAAACAGAAAGGAAAAATAATAAACAAATAGCAACATGACAAACTTTAATATTGTTGGTTGTTATTAATTTAAGGATAAAGGCATAAGTTTATAGTATAAAGATGAAAGGCCAGGTGCGGTGGTTCACGCCTGTAATCCCAGCGCTTTGGGAGGCCGAGGCTGGCAGATCACCTGAGGTCAGGAGTTCAAGACCAGCCTGGCCAACATGGCGAAACCCTGTCTTGACCAAAAATAAAAAAAATTACCTGGGCGTGGTGGTGCATGTCTGTAATCCCAACTACTCGGAGACTGAGGCAGGAGAATTGCTTGAACCCAGCAGGCAGAGGTTGCAGTGACCTGAGATTGCACCACTGCACTCCAGCCTGGGCAACAAGAATGAAACTCTGTCTCAAAAATAGATAAAAAAAAAAATAAATAAAGATGGAAAAAAATACCATGCAAACAATAATCATAAAAAAGCTGAGGTGCCTGTATTATCGTCAAACAGTACAAATATCAAGAAGTAAAATATTATCATAGATAAAAAGGGATATTTCATGATGATAAAATAATTATTGTATAATGAAGACCTAACAATTTGAAATATGTATGCACCAAATAACAGAGTGTCAAATATGTAAAGCAAAAATTGACAGAACTAAGGAGAGAAAAGACAAATCCACTTTCATAGTTGGAGGTTTTGCTTTCTGCTTCCCAGTAATCAATAGAACAAATAAACAAAACATTGATTAAGAATAAAGAAAATCTGAACGACACTATAAACCAACTTGACTAAATTAATATTTTTGGAACATGAAAATCAACAACTTCAAAACACGTGTGCTTTACAAGTGCACACAAAATCACCAAGATAGGTTATATGCTCGGTCATGAAATGAGTTCAATAAGTTTCAAAAGATTAAAACCTTACAGAGTAAGTTTGCCATGCATAATAAAATTAAATTAGAAATTAAAAATAATATATCTAGGAAAAAACACAGATAGTTGGAAATAAAATAACATACTTACATATAATCCATGGATCAAAGAAGTCACAAGGAAATTAGAAAATGTTTCAACTGAATAATAATGAAAACACAACATACCAAAACATGCGGGATACAGTTAAAGCTAGCTCAGGGAGAAAGTTATTATTTTAAATGTCTACAATAGAAAAAGAAAAAAGATTTAAAATCATTGACCAAAGTTTCCCCTTATGAAGCTAGACGAAAAAGAACTAACTGGATATCAACTAAGATATAAAGGTAAAAACAGAAATCAATGAAATAGAAAATAGACTAAATAAATATGGAAATTTAACAAAGTCGAAAGTTGGTTCTTGGGAAAAACATCAACAAAATTGATAAACCCCTTGGCAAGACTAATACATAAAAAAATTGAGAAAGCACAAATTACTAATAATAGGAATATAAATATATCCAACAGATGTTTAAAGAATTATAAGAGAATAATATGAAGACTTTATTGCCAATCAGTTTGACAACTTAGATAAATGCCTTGAATGACATTAATTACCAAGGTGGAATCAAGAAGAAACAGAAAATCAGAATAACTTAGAGAAATTGAATCTGTAAATCAAAAACCTTCTCACAAAGAAAACCTCATGCCCAGGTGATTTCCCTGGGAGAGGCAAGTCTGTCATGTACCCTGAGCATTCCTGCATGTTCTGGCTGAGTATGCCAAACTACAAGACTCGACCATCCCCTTAATACTGAGCAGTTTATATAGCCAGTCATACGGGCAGTTAAGTGGGTCAAAGCAACCACTAGTAACCACCATGGCCCTACTTACTCCTTAGGGTAGGGAGACTGGCCTGCTGCCTGCTTGCTAAAAAGGATGCTGAGTTCTTGGCCCTGGGTTTCTCAGCTACAGCACAAACTATTGCATGCATAGTCACCATCTGATCCCATCACAACACCCTGCGGGTCTTGCAGCAGGAACTGCTCCTGCTGTTCACATTGCTGTGAGTAATAAACTGCGTTACTCTAATCCATTAGGTCTCATCGCCCACTTTCAGCATCTACGACGTTTTGGCAGTTTTACTTCTTGCCATTGACCTAGAGGTTCTCCTCTGACATAAGCCAACTTTACTAAAGAAATAATGTCATCATTACACAAATTCAGAAAATAGAGGTAGCGAACATGCTTTCCAATTCATTTTATGAAGCCAACATAAAACAAATACCAAAACCTGACACTTTAGAAGAAAAAAAGCTACAGGCCAAATCTCTCATGAACAAAAGTGCAAAAGCCCTCAACAAAATGTTTTTAAAAAACAAATTTAGTAATAAATAAAAGTGACAATATATCATAACAAGGTGGAGCTTATCCCAGCAATGCAACATTGAGTCAATATCTGAAAATCAATCAAGGTAGTTTACCATATTTACATAATAAAGGCAAAAATTATACGATCATTTGAATACATACAGCAAAGAAATTAGACAAAATGAAATAACCATTCATGATAAAAATTCTCAGCATGCTATTCATATGACTTTCTCAATTTGATAAAGAGCAGCTACTAAAACCTACAGCTAACATCATACTTTGTGGTGAAATAATAAATGTTTTTCTCCTAGAACAGGAACAAAGTAAGGATGTTTGCTCTCACCACTTCTATTCAACTATTGCACTGAAAGTTCTAGCCATGCAATGAGACAAGAAAAAAATAAAAGGCAAGAGGGTTGGGAAGGGAGAAGTAAATCCTTATTTGTAGACAGCCTAATTATCTATATAGAAAAATACTAAAGAATATATTTAAAATATCATAAAGTTAATAATCTAAAAATGTTCCAGAATATGATTTATATACAAAACAATCTTGTATATTTATATATATAAGCAAAAAACTATTGGAATTTTTTAAGTATCACTTGCACCAGCATCAAAATATATGAGGTGCTTAGGAAGAAATTCAGTGAAAGATGTATATAACCTGTACACCAAGACACCAAAAACATTGCTGAGAGAAATTAAATAAGGCATATATAAATGGAGAAATGTATCATTTTCATGGATTTAATATCTCAATTCTATTAATATGTCAATTATCTCAAATTGATCTACAGGGTCAACATAATCCCAGTCAAAATCCCAGCATATACTTTACTTTTGTACCAATTAACAAGCTATTTCAACTGTATATGAAGACACCAAAAATAGCCAAAACACTTTAGAAAGAACAAAGTTGGATGATTTACACTACCTGATTTCAAAACTTATGAAGCTACAGTAATAAAGATATTGTAGTTTTAGTGTAAGATATACACACAGAGCAATGTAACAGAATGCAGTACCCAAAAACAGACCTGTGTATACACATAACTGACTTTTGATAAAGGCACCAAGGTAGTTCAATGAGAAAATAGAATTTTTTCAACAAATGTTACTGGAAAACTTGACACCCATATGGAAAAAAATGAATTTAACCCATACCTTATACCATACACATAAAGTAATTTGAAATGGATCCCAGGCCTAGCAGTAAAAGCTAAACCAAAATGCTTCTGGAAGAAAATATAGGAGAAACCTTCACAATCTTGTTGTTATCGACCAATCCTTAGAACACAAAAAGCACTAACTAAAAAGAAAAAAAATTAATAAACTGGACTTCATCAACATTAATAGTGTGTGTTCTTCAAAGACGCCATTAAGAAAATGAAAAGCAAGCAATACCAGGAGGAAGTATTTGCAAATAATGATACAATATCATCTTTTAATTTTAAAATGTAAATATTATTGATAATATATTTATATAATCATAATTATTGCATAATATGCCCAATATAAATATATATTTATGTAGTATTTGTTTATATTACCTAATGTATAATTATTATTTTACTTTTATTATTTATTAAATGTTATTTATTATTATAAAGATATGGCAAATAGTTTGGCATATATTATATATTATAAAATAGATATGTTATTTATTCTGATATAATACAGAACAATTAGTTTTGTCCAAGTTAGTGTTTTAAATTAACTGTGTCCAATAATTAAGATAAATGAATGTAAAAATGCAAATGTTTGTGCCATATGCATAAATACAAGCCTCTAAAAATGCACAATGGTCTTACATTCCTTCAGTGTTAGTAAATATACTGTCTTGTCAGAGATTTACGTTGCCACAGAATTTAAATTTTTAGCATCATTAAAAGTACAGTCAAGTAATTACATGTAGTTGATGTGAATATTTGGAAAAAGCATTAAGGTAAAATACTTCTGTTGCATATAAACTATACACAATTAAACTACAACTACTGCACAAAAACATCATTCCTTAATGACATCACTTAAAGCACTGGGCATCAGCTCAATGGAGCAAATTGTGTTTAACAATAAAATAATAATGTTTGCCATCCTAGAATTGCCAAACATGATTTTAAATGCATTTCACACATCTTAAATAATAATCATTATCCCTATTTTCCACACGTTAACTTTCATTCCATGTTGAGTGTTTAAAATTCATACTCTCTGCCTCTAACCTCTGTACTTCTCTTTGACGTCAAGTCCAGGAGCCAAGAAAAATATGTTTTGGGTACTCTACCAGACATTAGGACTAGAAAGGGAGGCTCTAAATACATCTGCGCTTCCTCCAAAATAATACTTTCCTTTAAACATCTTAACTCAAGAATTTCATTTTTTAATGGCTGTAGAAAGTCTGCTGTTAGCACATCCAATGCTGATAGCTGCACTACTGGGCAGGGCAGTCCGCCAGCCCTAAGTACCCGGATGCTGGGACTGAGGAATCAGTGGAAGGAGCAGGGGCTTGAGATCCCTGGATCCCAGGTTACTCAGTGACTCTGGACATACTTCTTACCTCTCTAAGCCTCAGTCTGCTAGTCTGGGATCCTTTACCTTGCAGGGCTACATTAGGAGGGATAAGTGCAATAAATAGGGCAAGTTTCATATGTCTTAGAAACAGTCCCCCAGTAAATGTTAGTTCTCACCCTCCAGCTCCCTGCCTTCAAAGGTTACAACCAGGGGAAAAAGAGAGTGTGTTGTGATGACTGGCAAACCATATGGAAGGAAAGAATTCAATGTAAATCCCTACGTTTCACCAAAACACTTTCATGGAGATTAATAACTTAAAGGTTGAAAGTGAAACCATCAAAAGTAATTAGAAAAAAATCAAGGTTGCAGTTGTCTAATTCTAGAATAAGAAAGTCTTTTCTTCAAGCTCAACAGGAAAGATAAAACTAAAGAAAATGTTAATACAATTGACCCCGTTAAAAAATAAATATTTCTATATGCAAAAATAAAAATCCTCAAACTTAAAACATGAAAGGCAAACTGGGAAAAATATTTGCACTCCATGGCAAAGAACTAATATCTTTAGTATATAAAAAGTTTTTTAAAATCAGTGATTAAAAAGCAGGCACTCTTTATGGAAAAAATGAGCAAAAGACAGGAAAGGTAATTCATTCAACATTCAATAAACATTTGAGCTCCTTCTATATGTCAAAACCACTCTTCTTGGAATAGGAGATAGAGAAGAAACAAAACAGATGAAAATCTCAGCCTGCATGGAATTGGCTTTTCAGTAAATACAGTATTAAAACAACTAGGGGGTAGAAATAAAAAAAAAAAACTTAGTCAAGAAAATACGAATTAAAAAAACAATGAGTTCCCACTTCCCTCGGCAATGATTTAAAAGATTAAGTAGAGGGCAGATTAGCAATATGCTTTAGAAGTTTTAAAGACTATTTATTTATTTCTCAGAAATTACTCTCTTAAGAATTTGTCCTAAGGAAGTCTGTAAGGATGCAGTTAAAGGATATATATTGCAGCCTTATTTTTAATAACGAAAAACTAAAAATAACCCAAACATCCATTAATAAGACATGGATTCAATAAATTACAAAACATCTATACAATAAAACACAACAGAGCTCTTTAAAAAATCACAATATTCACGAAATATGTCCACAACACATTGGTAAATAAAAAGAACAGGTTTCAAAACTGCATATATTGGATGGCAGCATGTTTTTGTTAAAATAGGTAGATAAACATAGATACCTGAATGCATCAAAAAAGAATCTTGGACGACCATACATTAAAGTATTATCAGAAGCTATTTCTGGGTAGAGAGTCTATGGGTTCTTTTTTAAACATATATTTCCGTAGTTTCTAAATTATTTGCAATTAACTTTTTTTTATTTTACTTTAAATTCTGGGATACATGTGTAGAACGTGCAGGTTTGTTACATAGGTATACATGTGCCATGGTGGTTTACTGCACCTATCAAAGACTTAAATGTAAACCTCAAAACCATAAAAACATTATTTTTATAATCAGAAAAATTCTAAAGCTATTTGCACTGGGATTTATTTTTTAAAGCTTGCAGTCTAACGAAAGAGAAGAGACAGCAACAGAAAAAGATGAACAATGCCCAGTAGCATACACATTCCTGGAAGAATTACGCTCAGAGCAGTCAACAGTCCACTATTTAATTTGAAACACCAATACCCAGAAGCACCACATCTCTTCACGCAGGCAAGAAACGTCTTTGCCGTAACCAATTCATGCGAAATGCCAGTCTCAGTGACCAGGAAAACCAGACTTTGGGGACAACAGGAGAGTCTGTGCTCTAAACAAGATTTTCAATAGGAAGAAAAAGACACCCAAGGGACACAGCCAGGCAAGTTAAGTGAATATATGACACCTGGAAAACAGCCCTGTACACCAAGCCATGAAATATTTACCACATTGGACCATGAGGGCCAAGTAATTGAAATTAGAACTGTTCTTTATCCAGAGCAATCAATTTTTAATGGATGAAATCCAGTTCTAAATCTCATTTATGGAAATCTGTTACAACTAAATCACAAATCTCACAGTGTTCCATGGAGCTTCTGCGCCCCTGGTCCCTTTAACCAGGAAGCAATGAAATTAATTATTTTTATTTCAAATTCATTTAACTTTCTGTCACCAGCAGTAACATTTATATCACACCAGGGGTTCTTGGGGTTATCAATGTTTCTTCCAAGTCTCCACATTTCAATTTTGTATCAAAATAAAGCCCTTTTATCTCCAAAACCATGCATTTCATATTCATAACTGAGGCCTTTAAAAAAAAAAAAAAAAGCTCTTCTGACCCACCTCATTAACAGTGCAAAATTCACTCATCAAATACATATCATTAGCCAGTGAACTACTGTCATTTTTGAAAAGCATATACATATATTCAAAGGGTTTAATTCAAAGGTATTTTTTTTTTCACTTTTCCAAAAGATGCTGCTTTGCTTGGAAACAAAACCTGAAAGGTTGCTAGAAAGGAGAATTATCCGACAGCAACAACATAAATTTTAAAAGGTAGGAAGGATTCAACAGGGACCATTTCAAACCCATTTCTGCCCATTTTATGCTCTGTGGTCTTTTCCCTGCATTCCACGGTGTGCTTGGCTACGGAGAGAGGCAGGCTCAGCTGCATGCGACACCTAAGTTAGAATTAGAAGGAATTTAGGGTTTCCCCTTTTTCCAGATGCAAATGGAGAATATATTCTGTCAGACAGACCAGGATAAATTAAGCTGAGACCTGAGCAGTGCCTTTATTCCTCGGCAGCTCTCACCTCAAGCTTCATAAACTCTGAGCCAACTATCGGAGGCAGATTGGAGCTAAAGACGTGGTTCTTCGTCCACACTGTGCTATGTGTCCAAAGGTGTGACCTTGTTCTGTGGGCCTCCATTTCCCCATGTGTAAAATTAGGAAATTGGACCCAGAGGCAAGCTGGGATTTTTCTACCCCTTCAGATCCATCCTACGGATTACAGGAAGTCTAAAGATATGGGCAGCCTAAGAGCTCTGCAAATTTCCACAGTGGTGTGAATTGGGGGATTAAATTCTCAGGGTCACCTCTGGCTCTGAGCTTCTGCACCCAGAACACTCAGACAGAGACTTCTAAAAGCACCTCGGTGGTTCTGCCAGTTGGCTGAGATTAAGAACCACTGAGAGAAGCACTGTGGGCCCTCCCAACCCTGGCAGTGTGGCTTGACCCATGCTTGATTTATCGAAATTATTACCCAACGAGAACTGGAAAAAAAAATGGTCACCATGACCCAGGTTGAACACAATACTCTTGAGAGAAGAAGAGAGGACAAGAAAAAGGTCTCCAGCCAGCATCAAATACAGAAATAAAAGTGGCCCAGATCCATGTCACGCATGGCAGAAGTACTGGGACTGGTCTCCCCAAGTGGTCTGCAGGGCATGACAAAGAAAAGAATCCTGTAAATGCCCAGGTGGCTGCCATGACCAAACCTCTAACCATCCCAGCGTTCTTCTTCACCTGAAGTGGCTCCAGTTTGCAACTAGTGGTCAGTTCAGCTCTTCTGCCCAATACCACACCCTCAGCCCACACAGGCCTTGCCCTCCAGAGAACCCCAGTGTTATATATAATTAATACATAGTATATAATATATAAAATAAACTGTAATTATTGTGTATCGTTATATTTTTTAAATATACATGTAATTTTATATAATTCATAATTATACATAATTCATAATAATTTTATAAGATAAAATAAGTAACGTAATATACAGGTAATATTGTAAGTATAATATAATAAATTATAATATGTATATTAATATATCTCAGCTATAAAATAGATATACAGACAAAATATATGTAAATATACACATATAGATATCTTCCCTCAAAACACACTCCGCTATTGGTTGGCAACATGGAAACCATGGTGTTGCCCAGTATTACTCCATCAGCAATACCCAAGGCAACAAATATCAAAGTTTAATCATTACAGGTTCAATAACATGTGGATCAATCCCACCCAGAGATTCAAACCTCCAATATAAATATTCCAGACATAACAACAAACAGCACCTATTCTATGTTAATTCTGACTGATCAGTTTACTGGCTTTCTATTTATTAACTAAATATCAATATAAGACAATATAAAAACATATAGACTTACTTGAAAACTGTAAGAGCTCATACTTACCATAAATCCTGCCCTTAGGTCAAAACAACCTTGATGCTACCATATTTCAATTGTCTTATACATCCCTTCTGAGTCACTCCTGCCCTGAATATGTGGGATAATATGGTACGGAGAGCCACCGTCTCATCTTGTCTCACCACCGCCTGAGACTCAGACATGGCTTCTGTTCATAAGTCCCTCTTCAATGTTTCTTTCTGAGCAACTGCATCTTTCAGTCTCTTTCTTGGGCCTCTCAGTTTCCTCTGACTCTTGGGGGTAGGTTTGCATAAACCTGCCCACCAAAAAGCACATACATGCACAGAGCTTGCCTGTATTTAAAAGCAGAATGTCATCACAAAAACAGAAGTGGATTGTCCTGCAAAACCCCCTCCCTTCATGACAGTGATTCTCCACCCTGTATGTGTGAAACTCTCCTGCGGGCCTTGAACAAGTGCCAGGGCTCAGGCTCTGCCCCCTGAGACTGATTCAGATGGTCTGGCTGGAGGCCCAGCATGGGTAATTTTTTTTAAGAGCATCCAGAGGATTCTAAAATGTTGCCTGACTTGAGAACCACTGATTTAAGATGGTGCCTAAAGGATCTTAAATGTTCATTTTTAAAGAAACTTAAGGGAAATTTAAGCAAATTTCACCACCTTCCTTGGTTTCCAAAAACCCAATCATATCTATAGCATGAGGTATCTAAAATAATCCAGAGGCACCTGCCGTTTGCTCAGCTGGTACTGTCTCCTCATCATACACCCACTGCCTCTCTCACTGCCTAACTCCGGCTCACCCTTCAGGTCTCAAGCATCCTCTCACTTCTTATGCAAAGCATTTCCTGACCCTCTGGGCTGAGCTGGGGTCCAGGTCTGACCCCCCACACCCACCCCAGAATCTGCTTCCATTTTCCTTTCCACACTGGGCTGCACTTGGTTCATGATGTCGCTCCCACTAGACTGTAAGTTCCCCGAGGACAGGGACTCAGACGGCCTCGCTCACCATCATCACCCAGCACCTTCCTGGATGCAGCGCACATAGCAGATGTTCCCTAAATACTTGATACATTAATTTTGACTTTTAAACCCACCTCCATAAGAGAAACTGATCACATCATTCTCTATAAAATACAGCATGAACAGCCTACTAGAAAACTCAAAGCAGACACAGCTCTGCCAAGGAGATTGTAGGGAAAATAATGTTAAGGTCTTGAAAGCAATAACTAGATACTTTGCCCAGGGAGATAAATCTATGTATCTTTAAAAGGTGGGGCCATTAAGAGAGTAAAAAGACAATCCAGAGATTGAAGAAAATACTTGCAAAATACATATCTTAAAGAACTGGTATCCAAAATAGAAAAATAATTCTTACAACTTAAGGGAAAAAAACAGTTTTTAAAATAGGCAAATAATCTAACAGACACCTCACCAAAGAAAATATTCAGATGGTAAATAAGCATACGAAAAGACACTCCACATCATATGTCATCAGGGATATGCAAATTAAAACAAAAAGGTACCACTACAGGTCTCTCAGAATGACCTAAATCCAGAACACTGACAATGCCAAATGCTGGTGAGGGTGTGGAGCAACAGGAATGCTCATTCATTGCTGGTGGGAATGCAAAATGGTACAGCCACTTTGGAAGACAGTTTAGCAGTTTCTTACAAAACTAAACATGCTCTTCTCATATGATCCAGCAGTTGTGCTCCTTGGTATTTACTCAAATGATTTGAAAACTTATGTCCACACACAAACCTACACACAAATGTTTATAGCAAGTTTATTCATAATTGCCAAAAATTAGATCAAGTAAGATGTCCTTCAGAGGATGAATGGATAAACTGTGGTACATTCAGAAAATGGAATATTATTCAGTGATAAAAAGCCATGAAAAGACATAGAGCAACCCTAAATGCATATTTCTAAATCAAAGAAGCTAGTCTGAAAGGTAGTCTGTGTAATTCCAACTATATGACATTCTGGAAGAGACAAAACTATGGAAACAGTAAAAAGATCAGGGGTTGCCAGGGAGATGAAAAGGTGGAGCACAGGGGATTTTTAGTTTCACTATTCCGTATGATACTCTAATGGTGAACACTTGTCATTATATATTTACTAAAATCCATTGAACTGTACAAAACAAATAATGAGCCCTAATGTAAACTATAGGCTTTAGTTAATAATAATATACCATTGTTGGTTCATCAATTGTAACAAATGTAGCATGCTAATTCAAGTAGATAGTAACAGGGGAAACTGGGGGTGTAATATGGGAACTCTCCATATCCTTTACTCAATTCTTCGCAAACCTAAAACTACTTTTAAAAATAAAGTCCGCTAATTTATTTTTTTAAGTGGGACCAGAGCAGTTTAGTCTCCAAAGGCCCTCGCCCATGGTGCTAGACTCTTCCAGGTATACAACATACACAGCTGTGACTAGATTATGGTGTTGGAGAAACTTATTAGAAGACCAGGTTGAAGGGCTTTATGTTTGGGTGTCCTCTTATATCAGTATCTAAACCCTCCTGGGAGGGGTCTATCTGGAGTTGAGTGGGACTGAATCCCATGGGTTAGCAGGATAGAGAATGATATGGTTACTAATGCTAGGGTAAGAAGCACCAAGAAAACCACAGTAAGATGCATGGAAGACCTGTAGTCACAGTGGCAACAAATGCAAACCCTTTATTCCTCAACATATTTTGGTCTTTACTAATCCACACAAGCCTTGTTTTGATTATTGACAATATGATTATTAATTTTCCTATTACTCAGAGAACGAACTTTCTGGACCCCCAAAATGACAGTACGGGAGTATGGGCCCTGGAGACAGAGAAACGTGAGCCCACATCCAGTAACTCTGCCATCTCCTGGCTGTGTGGCCATGTGTGATTTGCCTACCTAACTAATCTATAAGAATGATTGATTATGATGCCTCCATCAGAGGAGGGAATTGAAATATACATGTAAAGAACTGAGTACAGCCACAGCTTGGAAGCAATAGCCTAATAAATTGTAGCTATTATATTTATTATTCCAAATCCTATTCTTATTCCATAATGTCGTGAGGCCTCTCTTGCAGCTGACAGATGGTCATGATTAATGCTGGGAAAAAATCAAAGAGAATACATTCTCTGATGCTGTCACTCTTATCCCATGGTGAATGAATGACATACAATGTTAACCCTTCAGCCCTATCACTTCCAAGGTACCCCAAACTGTACTTCTCAAATTCTGTCACTTTGAAACATTTACCTGGCATATCTACACCAAATTTCTCTTTCCACGTATACCTAGTAATAGCCAACTCAACCATTTGAATAAAATAAATGAATTTGTATAATGTATAAAGTACATCAACAAAAGTCATTACAGTAACTTCATCAAACATTATGAGAAGGGCATGCCCTGGTTAAAATTACAGGGGAGGGAAAGGTTTTTTTGTTTGTTTGCTTGTTTGTTTTATTTTTTTCTTTGAGATGGAGTCTCACTCTGTTGTCCAGGCTGGAGTGCAGTGGCGTGATCTCAGCTCCCAGCAACCTTCATCTCCCAGGGTTAAGTGATTCTCCTGCTTCAGCCTCCCAAGTAGCTGGAATTACAGGTTCACACCACCATGCTCAGTTAATTTTTGTATTTTTAGTAGAGACAGGGTTTCACCACGTTGGCCAAACTGGTCTCGAACTCCTGACCTCAAGTGATCTACCCACTTCAGCTTCCCAAAGTGCTGGGATTATAGGCATGAGCCACCAAGCCTGGCAGAGCAGACAAAGTTTGTTCTCAACTTTTTCTGTCTTTCAGGGCCCTCCCCACCCTCACCAGAGTTATAACCACAGCTAGATCCTCTGGCAAGATAGTTGATGAGTGGTTAAGATGCTGGGCTTCCTGAAGATATTAGGGCATTCTTAAGAACTTAAGGAATGAATATAGACTTGGATTTTAAGGAATGAATATAGACTCTCTGGCTACTGCTTGGGAGAAGTCAGCAAATTCTTTTTGATACTCTTTCATTACCACCAACATGATTGATCATCTGTCTAAAGTCAACCTGAAATATTTTACCAAAATGACTTTAAAAAGGACCAACATGGCTGGGCACGGTGGCTCACGCCTGTAATCCCAGCACTTTGGGAGGCCGAGGCGGGCAGACCACGAGGTCAGGAGATCGAGACCATCTTGGCTAACATGGTGAAACCCTGTCTACTAAAAATACAAAAAATTAGCTGGGCGTGGTGGCGGGCGCCTGTAGTCCCAGCTACTCGGGAGGCTGAGGCAGGAGAATGGCATGAACCCGGGAGGCGAAGCTTGCAGTGAGCTGAGATAGCGCCACTGCAGTCCAGCCTGGGTGAAAGAGCGAGACTCTGTCTCAAAAAAAAAAAAAAAGGATCAACATGACTACGTTCACAGAAATTGCATTCCAGAATCATAACATTAAAAACATTCCCAAGATGTTGTCTAATTCGTTCTCAGTGTTTGACCAAGATTTCTCCTAACCTCTCTGGCCACATGGCTGACTCCAAGAAGGTCTGTGGATAGATAATTAAGCCTACAGGTGTTTTGGGTCTATCTGGGGACCACAAAAGCAATTAGAACAGTGGAGGAAGTATGCTTAACTTCATTATCGCTGGGGCTCAGCCAGAAAGAAGGTCGCCATGCAAAATATTAATGAAAAGCAGTTCCAGATTGGGAAAATGCAAATAATGTTTCAGCTGCTGATTTTTTTTTCTTTTTCTTTTTTGTCAATGGCCCAGCAAAGCTGAGTGAAATAGCAAAGCCCCCTCTGCCACTTCAAAGTAGCTCAATTTGCCAGGCTAACCAATTGGAACTTAGAGCCAGGTTTTATTGTCCCTGCCTAGCCCATTAATAGTAGCAGGAGAACAATAATTCAAAATAATTACAGAAGTGAAAGGTAGTAATTAGCAGTCCAAATTAGCTATTAAATGATTCAGAAACTTCAAAGTGAGAAGATGACCTTTTCACTTCTTACGTGGCAGTGACAAATTGAGTTCTGATTTGAGAGGAAAAATAAAGCACTCTAGCACATTATGGATTTTCTCCACCTTCCAGTGGGAACTGGGCCACGTTCATTAGAAACGTGATAGAAAGCATGAATCAGGATGTTCTTTAGTGGCTTTCTCACCTGCCTGCCTGGAAAGGTCACCTTCCTCTCCAGCCCATCCTTGGTGCCTTCTCTCCTAGTTGTGAGAAAGAAAAATGGGGAATTCCTACTGCATACTCTTTTATTTAATTAACTGCTATTATCATAACACAAGTTTATTAGATCATTTCTCATTCTAATTAAAAATGATTGGCTGAGTACATCCACATGGTGGGTGCGCCTTAATTCCTAGAACAAATAATTTCACTTCATAATAAACATGTCATTGCAGTCTTCTCTCGGATATTTTCCCTCTGAAAATTTTGCCAGGTTATTCTTGCCATTTCACCTGCTGAGCAAAGTTACACAGAAATTGCACTATGAAGCATTAACCATACCACTCACTTCTATCAATATATTAACCCAGAGCCATGCTACCAACACCTTCAATTGCCCTTCGCTTGGAAAAGACAACCCTGGCTCTAGAATTGCATGTTCTTTATATAATGATACTCTCATTAGTCACCTTGATCTTTCCACAATTGCAAGCCAGGATGTTTCTTTGCAAGTCAAGGTATGAACAGATTTTTGTACTTTATTTTAAGGCTCAAGATCTTGACATGAGAAAACACAGGGCCATAGGACTGACTTGAAGAGAAAGGTGATTATCTCTTAAACGCAAAGAGGGAGCACAGTCCCTCAGGGCTTCCCTTGGCTAGGGGAGGGAGTTTCCTGATCCCTTGCACTTCCCAGGTGGGGCGACACCCCACCCTGCTTCTGCTCATCCTCTGTGGGCTGCACCCACTGTCTAACCAGTCCCAATGAGATGAACCAAGTACCTCAGTTGGAAATGCAGAAATCACCAGCCTTCTGCATTGGTCGCACTGGGAGCTGCAGACCAGAGCTGTTCCTATTTGGCCATCTTGCCCAGGAATCCTCAGTCTGTTTTTTTGTGTGTGTTTTGTTTTGTTTTTGCAAGAATCAAAGACTAGTGCCAGAGCCAGGGTTGCAGGAGGTTCAGCCAAAAGAAAGCTCCATCTGACTCCAAAGACAGCAGAGTTCACTGGAGGGAGAATTTGAGGCAGAGAGGCTAATGCATACATTTGCTGTGATTCTTCTCTTTCAAAATTTCTGGGCTTCCTGCTCTGTTTGCTTTCAAAAATCATCATGGATCTGAGAATGACACGTTTTCAAATGCTGGTCACATGCTCAGTAGACATTTGATGAACTTTCAGAAATGCTCAATTGAGGGACTTGGTTCTTCCCAATTAACACTTAGAAACTAAGACTCTCTCTCTGGGATGAATACCTGCAGGGACTTTGACCTTCTGCCTCACTTCTTGGATGCATCTGCCTAGGGCCTGGTTCTGATCATCTACCTTTCCTATATGACTTGTATGTTTTTGCTTTGTGATCTGTGTTGATGGCCTATTCGAATATGCAGGTGATTCTCACTATTCACAGTAGTCATATTTTATAAAGTCACCTTGAACACTTAATTAGCAATACTTAACCATTGTTTCTAGGGGAAATACAGGGTTAGATTCCCATGAGCCTCTGGTCACAAGCTTTTCATCAGCCAATTAATATGTAACCTGTAAATGTGTGTTTTTGTGTAAAGGCACCTTACTTAATAGATGTTGTTGATTCATTAACATTGAACTCAATGCAAACAGCACTGTAACTCATGCCTGAATGGAGCTTCTATAATACATGTATTTTCTCTGTAATATATATCACAACCTTCTTACCCTTAGAAACAACAGATGGTGCTTCAGTGGTATGTCATTTTAAACAGTGAAATCACCAGCAAAAAGCACAACAATGCAAAAAAAAGTGGCATTAAATAAACCATTAAAAGGACATTGTTTATAGTATGAGAGCTGAAACAAGAAGGCAGAACATAGTCTTGTTCCATTTCAGCTGGGAACGTGCATGTTGGGTGACTCAATTGTTTTGCTGCTCTGTGCATGTCTGTGAATGCCCATGAAAGTGCCTGCATACTGATTTCTGGGGTTACAAATATGTTTTAAATTTTTAAAAGCAAATTTGTTAATATGGAATCTGCAAACAGTGAGTGTTGCCTTTGTGTCTCTGGCTTGGGGATGGGGCAGGGGATGGCGTGACCCCTGAAAGGACAGCAAGTGAGGCAGGAAGAGCACTGGATTCAGAGCCAGGTGGGGAACAGGGAGTGTAGACTTCTCTGCCCCCGATCAGCTGTGTGATGATGGGCAAAAGCCATCTCTATTCTAGGCCTTTTCTCCTCATTTCTAAAGAAGAGGGCAGCCCTTCTTAACTTACATCTGAGATCCTTTTTGCCTCCACTAAAGTGGGAATGAAAGAAAAAATGTTAAGGGCAGCCAGAGAGAAAGGTCAGGTCACCCACAAAGGGAAGCCCATTAGACTTAACAGCAGATCTCTCTGCAGAAACCCTACAAGCCGGAAGAGAGTGGAGGCCAATATTAAACACTCTTAAAGAAAAGAATTTTCAACCCAGAATTTCATATCCAGCCAAACTAAGCTTCATAAATGAAGGAGAAATAAAATCCTTTACAGACAAGCAAATGCTGAGGGATTTTGTCACCACCAGGCTTGCCTTACAAGAGCTCCTGAAGGAAGCACCAAATATAGAAAGGAAAAACTGCTACCAGCCACTGCAAAAACAAACCAAAATGTAAAGACCATTGACACTATGAAGAAACTGCATCAACTCATGGGCAAAATAACCAGCTAGCATCACAATGACAGGATCAAATTCACACATAACAATATCAACCTTAAATGTAAACAGGCTAAATGCCCCAATTAAAAGGCACAGACTGACAAATTGGATAAAGAGTCAAGACCCATCAGTGTGCTGTATTCAGGAGACCCATCTCACATGCAAAAAACACATAGGCTCAAAATACAAGGGTGGAGAAAGATTTACCAAGCAAATGGAAAGCAAAAAAAAGCATGGGTTGCAATCCTAGTCTCTGATAAAATAGGCTTTAAACCAACGAAGACCAAAAAAGACAAAGAAGGTCATTACATAATGGTAGAGGGATCAATGCAACAAGAAAAGCTAACTATCCTAAATATATATGCACCCAATACAGCAGCACCAAGATTCATAAAGCAAGTTCTTAGAGACCTACAGAGAGACTTAGGCTCCCACACAATAATAGTGGGAGACTAACACCCCACTATCAATGTTAGACAGATCAACGAGACAGAAAATTAAGGATATTCACGACTTGAACTCAGCTCTAAACCAAGCAGACCTAATAGACATCTACAGAGTTCTCCACCCTAAATCAACAGAATATATATTCTTCTCAGCACCGCATAGCACTTATTCTAAAATTGACCACATAATTGGAAGTAAAACACTCCTCAGCAAATGCAAGAGAACGGAAATCATAACACTCTCTCAGACCACAGTGCAATCAAATTAGAACTCAGGATTAAGAAACTCATTCAATGGGAGGCCAAGGCAGGTGGATCATGAGGTCAGGAGTTCAAGACCAGTCTGGCCAACATAGTGAAACCCCATCTCTACTAAAAATGCAAAAAACTATCTGGGTGTGGTGGTGGGCACCTGTAGTCCCAGCTACTTGGGAGGCTGAGGCAGGAGAATTGCTTGAACCCAGGAGGCGAAGGTTGCTGTGAGCTGAGATCATGCCACTGCACTCCAGCCTGGGTGACAGCATGAGACTCTGTCTCAAAAAAAAAAAAAGAAAAAAAAAGAAACTTACTCAAAACCACACAACTGCATGGACACTGAACAACCTGCTTCTGAATGACTACTGGGTAAATAACAAAATTAAGGCAGAAATAAATAAGTTCTTTGAAATGAATGAGAAAAAGACACAATGTACCAGAATCTCTGGAACACAGCTAAAGCAGTGTTTAGAGGGAAATTTATAGCACTAAATGCCCACAGGAGAAAGCGGGAAAGCTCTAAAATCAACACCCTAACATCACAATTGAAAGAACTACAGAAGCAAGAGCAAACAAATTCAAAAGCTGGCAGAAGACAAGAAATAACTAAGATCAGAGCAGAACTGAAAGAGATAGAGACATGAAAAACCCTTCAAAAAATCAATGAATCCAGGAGCTGGTTTCTTGAAAAGATTAATAAAATAGATACACCACTAGCCAGACTAATAAAGAAGAAAAGAGAGAAGAATCAAATAGACACGATAAAAAATTATAAAGGGGAGATAACCAATGACCCCACAGAAATACAAACTACTATCAAAGAATACTATAAACACCTCTATGCAAAAAAAAAAAAAACTAGAAAATCTAGAAAAAATACATAAATTCCTGGACACATACACCTTCCCAAGACTAAACCAAGAAGAAGTCGAATCCCTAAATAGACAAATAAAAAGTTCTGAAGTTGAGGCAGTAATTAATAGCCTACCAAACAAAAAAAACCCAGGACCAGATGGATTCACAGCCGAATTCTACTAGAGGTACAAAGAGGAGCTGGTACCATTCCTTCTGAAACTATTCCAAACAATAGAAAAAGAGGGACTCCTCTTTAACTCATTTACTAAGGCCAGCATTATCCTGATACCAAAACCTGGCAGAGACACAACAAAAAAAAGAAAATTGCAGGCCAATATCCCTGATGAACAATGATGCGAAAATCCTCAATAAAATACTGGCAAACTGAATCCAGCAGCACATTAAAAAGCTTATCCGCCATGATCAAGTCAGCTTCATCCCTGGGATGCAAGGCTGGTTCAACATATGCAAATTGATAAACATAATGCATCACATAAACAGAACCAATGACAAAACCACAAGATTATCTCAATAGATGCAGAAAAGGCCTTCGATAAAATTCAATACCCCTTCATGCTGAAAACACTCAATAAACTAGGTATTAATGGAACATATCTCAAAATAATAAGAGCTATTTATGACAAACCCACAGCCAATATCATACTGAATGGGCAAAAGCTGGAAGTATTCCCTTTGAAAATCAGCACAAGACAAGGATGCCCTCTCTCACTACTCCTATTCAACATAGTATTGGATGTTCTGGCCAGGGAAATCAGGCAAGAGAAAGAAATAAAGCATATTCAAATAGGAAGAGAGGAAGTCAAATTATCTCTGTTTGCAGATGACATAATTGACATAATTTTATATTTAGAAAACCCTATTGTCTCAGCCCAAAAACTCCTTAAGCTGATAAGCAACTTCAGCAAAGTCTCAGGATACAAAATCAATATACAAAACTCACAAGCATTCCTATACACCAATAATAGACAAACAGAGAGCCAAATCATGAGCAAACTCGCATTCACAATTGCTACAAAGAGAATAAAATAGCTAGGAATACAACTTACAAGGGATGTGAAGGATCTCTTCAAGAAGAACTACAAACCACTTCTCAAGGAAATAACAGAGGACACAAACAAATGGAAAAACATTCCATGCTCATGGGTAGGAAGAACCAATATCATGAAAATGGCCATACTGCTCAAAGTAATTTATAGATTCAATGCCATCCCCATCAAGCTACCACTGACTTTCTTCACAGAATTAGAAAAAACTACTTTAAATTTCATGTGGAACCAAAAAACAGCCCGTATACCCAAGACAATCCTAAGCAAAAAGAACAAAGCTGGAGGCATCATGCTACCTGACTTGAAACTATACTACAAGTCTACAGTAACCAAAATAGCATGGTACTGGTACCAAAACAGAGATATAGACCAATGGAACAGAACAGAGGCCTAAGAAATAACACCACACATCTACAACCATCTGATCTTTGACAAACCTGACAAAAACAAGCAATGGGGAAAGGATTCCCTATTTAATAAATGGTGATGGGAAAACTGGATAGCCGTATGCAGAAAACTGAAACTGGACCCCTTCCTTACACTTTATACAAAAATTAACTCAAGATGAATTAAAGATTTAAATGTAAGACTTAAAACCATAAAAACCTTAGAAGAAAACTTAGGCAATACCATTCAGGACGTAGGCATGGGCAAAGACTTCATGACTAACACACAAAAAGCAATGGCAACAAAAGCCAAAATTGACAAATGGGATCTAATTAAACTAAAGAGCTCCTGCACAGCAAAAGAAACTATCATCAGAGTGAACAGGCAAACTACAGAATGGGGGAAAATTTTTGCAATCTACCCATCTGACAAAGGTCTAATATCCAGAATCTACAAGGAACTTAAACAAATTTACAAGAAAAAAAAAACCCATCAGAAAGTGGGCAAAAGATATGAACAGACACTTCTCAAAAGAAGACATTTATGCTGCCAACAAACATATGAAAAAAAGTTCATCATCACTGGTCATTAGAGAAATGCAAATCAAAACCACAATTGAGATACCATCTCACTCCAGTTAGAATGACGATCATTAAAAAGTCAAGAAACAACAGATGCTGGAGAGGATTTGGAGAAATAGGAATGCTTTTACACTGTTGGTGGGAGTGTAAATTAGTTCAACCATTATGGAAGACAGTGTGGCAATTCCTCCAGGATCTAGAACTAGAAATACCGTTTGACCCAGCAATCCCATTACTGGGTATACACCCAAAGGATTATAAATCATTCTACTATAAAGACACATGTACACGTATATTTATTGCAGCACTCTTCACAATAGCAAAGACTTGGAACCAACCCAAATGCCCATCAATGTTAGACTGGATAAAGAAAATGTGGCTCATGTACACCATGGAATACTATGCAGCCATAAAGAAGAATGAGTTCATGTTCTTTGCAGAGACATGGATGAAGCTGGAAACCATAATTCTCAGCAAACTAACACAGGAACAGAAAACTAAACACTGCATGTTTTCTTTCATAAGTGGGAGCTGAACAATGAGGACACATGGGCACAGGGAGGGGAATATCACACACTGGGGCCTGTCAGGGGGTGGGGTGCAAGAGGAGGGATGGCATTAGGAGAAATACCTAATGTAGATGATGGGTTGTTGGGTGTAGCAAACCACCATGGCACATGTATACTTATGTAACAATCCTGCACGTTCTGCACATGTATCCCAGAACTTAAAGTATAAAAAAAAATGCATTCCAAAAAAAACCAAAAACAACCAGATGGAGAAGCCCACTCCCTGGGAAGTCACAGTAAAAAGTGAGGTTGTAAAAATACATATTGATGCTCTGCACTGAAGTACATGCTTCCGAAAAGAAAATGTGCGTACACACTGTTGTGCTGAACCCCTGTTAACCTCAGTAGGGAAGCCACCGGGTTCAAGAGGCTGATGAAGGACCCAGAGCCAGCAAACAAGACATGGGGTCTTATTAGGAGCCACATACAGTGGAGAGAGTCCAGTGGCAGTGTCCTGGACAACATATCCACCTTACATACACTCCAATGGCAGCAGGCTAGACAGGAAAACCTGCAACTACTTGTGAACATCATGCAGTTTCTATAGCATACAGCATTTTCACTTAACACTCTCCCTTTAATGACCTCCATTTGACAACCTTCATTTATCCAAAAACTCAGGGCCTCAATCCCCCATACAGCCGGTGTTCCACCGAATGGGCCAGGGGCTCAGATGTTTAACATAGACAAGGAATGGGACTCTGGGTTGGCCACGCCTGGATTCCCTATCTCAGAACACATTCAGGTGTGTCTGCCATACACCATCATTCTAAGGGTATGCTTCAGTTATTGCTGTCAGGTGCATTACCCTAGACACATATGTTTTTGTGTATTTGAAGGACCATACACCAACTCTTAGCAGTGGTTTTACATGGAGGATGGAATTCTAGGGGCTTTCACATTTGACATTCTTTCTCCAATGTTTGGATTCTTCATGAAAAATCCTTATTAATTCTGTAAGCAGGGAGAAAAAGACATGTATTTCATAAATACACTCCCACTTTCAGGGCTCTGGCAGACATACTCAGTACAGACCAGTCTGCAGCTCTTGTTGTGTATTTAGTAAACATGTGATACCAATGAACTATTTGAAAAATATTGGCCAGGCAAGGTGGCTCACACTTGTAATCCCAGTGCTTTGGGAGGCCGAGGCAGGTGGATCACTTGAGATCAGGAGTTCAAAACCAGCCTGACCAACGTGGTGAAACCCTATCTCTACTAAAAACACAAAAATTATCCAGGCGTGGTGGTTGGTGCCTGCAATCCCAGCTACTGGTGAGGCTGAGACATGAGAATCACTTGAACCTGGGGGGTGGACTTTGCAGTGAGCCAAGATAGTGCCACAGCACTCCAGCCTGGGTGACAGGGCAAGACTCTTGTCTCAAAAAAAAAAAAAAATTAAATTAAAAAACAAAATGAAATGAAAAATATCATTAAGTCTTGTAAAGTGATGCCTGTACAGAAGCTAACAGCCTCTAGGCTACATGATTTTTGTTTCTGCTTGACAGTATTCTCCTGTGGCAGATTTTGTAAAAATTGAGTTCAAACATGTAAATAAGTGAATTCCAAACAACTTATACAGCTTTCTGTGCACTCTGTCACCCTTTAAAACCCTCCATGGGCAGAACTTGAGCTCTACCAGCATCCATTCACCCTGGAAAACTCAACAGTGGTCATCGGCTGTGCTTCCAGCCAACACAGGTGGCACCTAAGTGAGGCCTGGGGCTTCAGGAGCAGGTGGCAAATGCATGCTTTTCCAAGAAACCAATGCATCACACCCACTGGGATGGTTATTATAAAAGCAAAACAAACAGAAACTAACAAATGTTGGTGAGGATGTGGGGAAGTTAGAACCCTATGCATCTCTGGTGGGAATATAAAATGGTGCCACTGGCCAGACACAGTGGCTCACGCCTGTAATCCCAGCACTTTGGGAGGCCAAGGGGGCAGATCACTTGAGGTCAGGAGTTCAAGACCAGCCTGGTCAACATGATGAAACCCCATCTCTACAAAAAATACAAAATTAGCTGGGCATGGTGGCACATACCCATAATCCCAGCTACTTGTGAGGCTGAGGCAGGAGAATCACTTGAACCCGGAAGGTGGAGGTTGCAGTGAGTTAAGATCATGCCATTGCACTCCAGCCTGAGCAACAGGAGCAAAACTCCATCTCATAAGTTAATTAATTAATTAATTAATTAATTAAAATAAAATGATGCTGCCATTGTTGACAACAATATAGCAGCTCCTCAAATAATTAAAAATAGAATTACCATATGATCCAACAATTCCACTTCTGGATATGCATCTGAAAGAATTGGAAGCAAAGTCTCAAAGATATATTTGTATATCCATTTTCATAGCAGCATTATTCACAATTGCTAACAGGTAGAAGCAATCCAAACATCTCTTGGATAAATGGATAGACCAAATATTGTCTATATGGTCAATGGAATATTATTCAGCCTTAAAATGAAAGGAAATTTGGACACCTGCTACAACATGGATGAAACCGGAGGGCATTCTGCTACGTGAAATAATTCAGTCACAAAAAGACAAACACCGAATGATTCCACTTATATGAGATACCTATAGTAGTCAGATTCGTAAAGTAGAATGAATCTACTGTGGGGAGAGGGGATTGGAAAGATGTATAATGAGTATACAGTTTCAGTTTTGCGGGATGAGAAGAGTTTTGAAAATGGATGGTGGTGATGGTTACACAACAAGGCGAATATACTTAACACTACTGAATTGTACACTTGGAAGTGGTTAAGATAGTAAATCTGTTGTGTGTATTTTATCAAAGAAATTGCTTAAAAGAAACCAACACAAACTCTATAGTGGTTTGAACTAATACAATGGAGAGAAGCAAGAAAAGATTTCAAATGTATATTTCGTAAATTGAGCCACATATTCTCCATGGGAATTTCATAACTATTTGTGTCAAGCGAAGAGCTAACATTTATTCAGCATTTACTGTGTGACAGGCACTGAACTGAATTGTTCATGGGCCACATTTGATGTCATCCTTGCCATAATCTAGCAGATGGAAAACTGGATACTTTGGTGTCCATTTTACAGATGGTGAGCTGAGTCTTTGAGAGGTTACTCAACTGCCCAAAGGCTGCCCAAAGTCACCTAGCTAGGGAATGGTAGAAGCAGTCCCAAATCTAGGGGATCTGTCTGACTCCAGAGCCCAGCACACAATCACTGCACCACTTCCTCAGCCAGCAGGGTTCTTGGTTCCTGCCCAAAAGTATTTCTGTGATTTTGCAGCACTATGAACTCCTAATTGACAGGTAGGTGCCCTGTGGTTTCTGGGTGTGCCTCTTGCTGATTTCTGGCTCACAAAAGCAAGATATATATACATATATATATAATATGTATAAAATATATAATTTTATATATTTCATATGTATGTATGTATATATATATATATATAAAAATACACACACACACACACACACACACATATGTGTATACATTTTTTTGACACAAAGTCTCACTATGTTACCAAGGCTGGACTTGAACTCCTGGGCTCAAGTGATCCTCCTGCCTCAGCCTCCAAAGTAGCTGGACTGCAGGCATGAGTCACCATGCCTGGCTATCTGCATCTCTGGATAATGAGGCCAACCTGGAGTTCAATCCCAATGCAGCTGTTAGGAGTCAGGCTAGGGATGACCTATGGGGATGGGATGGGGGTAGTAACTGCTACGGGCATTCAAGGGCTCTTGGGAGAATAAAGACCTAATTCTCAACCTTCATGCTGGTTAAACAGGTGTGTTCACCTTATGACAATTCTTCAAACTGTACACTTAGGATATGTGTGTATAGTGCACTTCAATAAAAATGTTTTTCCAAAATTCCCAACATGAATGCTGAACTTGAAACAACAGCCATGGTGGATCAACTGACCGGAAGTCCAGAAGGACTGAAAAACAAAGCAGTACGTAGGCTTTGGGGAGATTCGATCATTTCTGTATTTTCAAATAATAGGTATAGATGCTTCCAAGCTGTGGAGCTGAACACATCATGCTCAAGTAGATGTTCTCAACCCGGCACTCATTGGAATCACCTGGGAGCTTTAAAAAAAATACAAAAACAAAAACCTGTTGCCACAACCCCATCCCTGAAGCCTCTGGGGCCGTTGGCCTGTGAACAGCCTGGGTGTTGGTATTTTCAGATGCTTCCTGTGTTCTAAGCAGCATCCAAAGCTGAAAGCCACAGCACCAGGAGCAGATCAAGCTCTTCCCATCCTCTCTCCTCCCTTCACACCCTATGTGATTACGGATGAGAAAAACAAGGCTGTGCCAGGCTATCTTTTTCCAAGATCTCGTCCCTAAGAAGTGGCTAAGATGGGTTAGTGGCTCAGGTCAGTCTATCTCCAAAAACAGCTACAAACACAATATTTATCTACAAGTTGCTCAAATGCACAGCTTTTCTTATCATTGATTTGCAGACTTTACATGTGGTTTTCCCCCAGCTCCCTGCTCTTCCCTGCCAGCTGCTTCATATCATATCGCCTCTCTGCTACAACCTTGTCTCCTGGGCGGCTTCTGCTGGGCGGTTTCTCTTAGTCCCCCTCCCCCACACACTCCCACCCAGGTCATCATATCCATCACAGTTGAAAATGGTCTAGTAATTTGTTTCTTTTCTTTTTTGTGGGAACAGGGGGTGTTTTGGGGGTTTTCTTGTCTGGTTTCTCTATTAAATGGTAATCTCCAGGATGGCAGGTCATGCATCTGTTTTTTGTTTGTTTGTTTTTTGTTGTTGTTTTCTTTGAGACAGAGTCTCACTCTGTCACCCAGGCTGGAGTGCACTGGCGCGATCTTGGCTCACTGCAACCTCCACCTCCATGGTTCAAGCAATTCTCATGCTGCAGTCTCCTGAGCGGCTGGGATTACAGGCGTCCACCACCACACCCAGCTCATTTTTGTATGTTGTCCAGGCTGGTCTCGAACTCAGGTGTAAGCCACCACACCCAGCCTGCATTTGTCTTATTCCCTAATGAATTCCCAACATTTAGCACATTTCAAAAGGACTCAGTAAACTCGCTGTTGAATAATACATAAATAAGCCACTCAATTAATAGAAATAGTTGTCATCGTAAGTGTGTTTACTGTAGGCAGGAGCCCTGGGGACCCTGTGGGATGGGGACACCCCACCTCTGGCAGACTCTGCCCATCACCCCTGACACTTTGCAATCTAAACCCAAGAGGCCATAATCCCTGACCCTGGAGACTTCTGATTCCAAAACGACTGTGTCAACGTGAAACCTTATGTTCCGAAGTTTACCGCATTCCCCAGGCAAAACACTGCACTGACTTCTACAGCCTGTAATGTCAAATCAGCACTCTTGGCTTCTCCATACAATTGACCTTGGCTTTCAATCTCCCATTGGCTTAAGCCTGTTACTGAAGCAAGAGATTCCATCTGTGAGACCCAGAGCATAAGTATTCCATGGGAAAGTATCCCAAACACATGCCAGAATTGTGGTCATTTCTATTTAAACTATTTTAATATCTTTGATGGTTTCATTTCTGCCACTTTGCTGAGGGGTGTCTGTCTTCAGATCCAGTACAGAGCCAAGTAATCTCTGAATTTACAGAGGGTTTATACCCCAGCCTGGGCAGCATAATGAGATCCCCATCTCAACAACAACAAAAAAAAGCAAAAAAAAAAAAAAAAAAACTCCTTCATGTTATGGCAGCTAGAGGCAATTCTTGAATGGTTAACTGTGTTTTCACTGCATATGCCAAGTTTGTGTCTATGTTGAGGTTTCTCCTCTACAAATGAGCTTTATAGGGTAGTCCAAATCCTCCTTTGGTCTTGGCCAAAGATTCAGGATAGTCTTGTGCCCGCTGGCGGCCCATTGAAATGAGTGCAGACCTCCATATGAACACCCCAGAGAGGCCAGGGTCATCCATGGGGAATACAGAGTTAAAACCAAAAGTCGGCCGGGCGCGGTGGCTCACGCCTGTAATCCCAGCACTTTGGGAGGCAGAGGCGGGCGGATCATGAGGTCAGGTGATCAAGACCATCCTGGCTAATACAGTGAAACCCCGTCTCTACTAAAAAAATACAAAAAATTAGCCGGGCGTGGTGGCAGGCGCCTGTAGTCCCAGCTACTGGGGAGGCTGAGGCAGGAGAATGGCGTGAACCTGGGAGGCGGAGGTTGCAGTGAGCCGAGATCGCGCCACTGCACTCCAGCCTGGGAGACAGAGTGAGACACCGTCTCAAAAAAGAAAAAGAAAGGAAAGAAAGAAAGCCAAAAGTCAAAGATGAAAACCTACAGGGGAGGCAGAATCATATCACATGTAGCAAATCAGAGCTCCAGCTATCATTTGTTCCCAGATGACCTTGTTTTATCTATCCCTTGTGACTCTCAGACACAGGCTGTAGAGAAGACAGATAGATGTTCATCTTGACCCTGCATCTCCCTGGCCCACCTGAGCTCACCTGTAGCTGCGGGACTTTCTAGCATGCAGACAGCTCACCACTGCAAGCACCCACAGGAGCTGGCTCCAGTGCAAGCAGGCACAACCCAGAAGAGTGAAGTGCCTAATGTCACTACCACCCCTCCCCAGAACAGCCCTCAATCAAAGGAAGGTAGAACTGGAGGACAAATGGCCCAGCCTCCCCATTCTCTGCCGGCATGTTCTTTCAGAGGTTCTGCAGAGAGTTCCTGGGACTGAGCCCTGTTGCACAGGGATGCCCACTCATTAACACACTCTGTGGGCTCATCTCCCTTCCCTGTCTCATCTTCCCTGCTTCCTCACTAGTGACTCCTGATATTAACTCCCAAATAAACCAACCTGCACTCAAATGCTTGTCTCAGGGTAGGCTTTTGGAAGAACCCCAATTAGAACAGTTTGTAATTTCAGCTGTACAATCAGTAAGGGAAGGCAGGGAGAAGCAGGGCCTTGCTCAAGGTGGATTTGTTTTCTTTGGAGTTTCCACAAAGACCTGGGGAGTACCTAAGTACACCCCTGGTGTAACTCAGAGCTCCAGAGGACACTACCAAGCAGAATTAACCACAGGAGAGGGTTAACCCTGATGCAGGTGCAGAGAGACCAGTGGTGCCAGAGAGACTCCAGAGGGGGCACGCCTCAAACACCCACGGAGTCTGTATTCTTGGGCATTTAATCTGCACCCAGCAGGCAATGGCACAAGATTTAACTGTTCACATGTCCAATCTGACAGCAACAAAACCTGACTGCAGAAAAGGGATCAGACATTGTGGAGGCTCAGCCTTCTGAGTAGAAGGCTGTGACAGCCATGAACAGCCTCACTAGGGCCATGATGCTGTCCCCTTCACTCTGAAAAGGCCACATCTGCATGCAAACTCACGAGACCTCCTCACAGAGGAATTCTTTGTCCTCCTAAGAACACCCACATTAACCAGGCAACAAAACCATATCCCGAAGTCCTTAGGGTCCTAGTTTAGTCTCAAGTAGAAATTCTCTCCCCCCGCTCAGGGCATAAGCAGGTGTCCCATAGACTGTATATGTTCCACAAACACAGTTTGTTTTATAGGGTTTTTTTTTTTTTTTTTGGTGTTTGGGCTTTTTGTTTTGTTTTGTTTGTTTGTTTGGCTGACAGATTGTTATAAAATGAGATTTCTCATGAAAATAGGAATTGTCTGTTTCTCCTGAAAAATCAAAAGATCTGACCACCCTGGACCCACACTCCCACCTGGCAGGCATTGGCCAGGACCAAACAGTGGCTGCTCCTCTGAAGCAGCCAGGTACCCGCTGGTTTGCCTCAGTCCCTACCACCCCTCCCTAGGGAAACACACCAACCACTTCCCTCGGTGTTATCTGCCTGGCTCCTGTTGAAATATCAGTTTGAAAGCTGCATGTTAATCTTTGATATGTATCACATTTAAATGTGCATGCTATTTCATTCATGCCATTTGGAAATAGATTAAATTATACTTTTCAAAATGATATTCAAACACTTGCTTAACCCACCTTGGAATTTTTTTAAAACCCTGCACATTATTATCTTTAGTGCCATTTTTAGTTCCATGGTTCTATAATTAAGAAGTAACCTTCATCACGTGCTATTGCTATTTGATTATATATATAATATATGTAATATAATTCTATATATATACTATATATAGGATTATATATAAATAATCCAATAGCAATAGCTATTAATCTCATATTATAAATTATCTCATAACTCATTTTATATATAAATATATAAAATATTTCTCAGTAAGAGCTGGGCTTCTCTTTAAGACACAGACCAGGCTCTATTTGTCCTATATCATAAAACAAAAGGACACACAATTTTGCAAAGTCTATTACTTAGGGAGATAGATAAGAAAAATATAGAAAGAAAATGCTATGGCATGCTACACTGCAGAAAGAAGCAACAAATTACATGTGCATCCAGCACCAGAAAAGACTGTAACATAAATCAATAAACAGCATTGAAGAAAAATGTAAAATGTAAGAACCACAACAGGATTTATGGCACCATACCATTTAGGTAAATCAAAATGCATATAAAACAAACAATATTAAATATTTCAAAGGATACATACAAATGTAAGGACATATATAAATCCATTGCAGTCATTGCCTATAGAGGAGGGAAGAGAAGAGAGTGGATATGAAAAGGAAAAATAAAACAAAGCATGCAGGCCTTGCCCAAACTGACAATGACAAAGTCCTACAACAGTGACAATAAAATAATATAACTCAAAGCTGCACCTGGGGTCCAGAAAGAGAAGGGAGAAAAAAACCAAACCGGCAATCAGGAATTTCTACCCCTGCAACACCCTAGCAGGAGAAAAAAATAACAAGGAAGGGGTTTGTTTCTGCTATGTTTCATTCTTATGTGTAAATGAAAGTCATTGCAAAGAGACTAAATGTCAAGAACTATGCGGTACCTGAGCCTCTGAAAGGGCCCAGATATATTAACTTTAGGTCACAGAACTGAAGAAACAATTGGGTATGAATCCCCCAAATTATAGACACAGACAACCATGCCCACCCCTGGTTCCCCACATCACCACTTGGCCATCAATTTTTGGCCATACACCTAGTACCATGATTTACCTTCTCTTTTTTTTCAAGCTATCACCTTTTAAACTGAAATACCTACTTTAGCCAAGCCCTACATGCATGCATGAAGTCATGGTTTTTTGTGTTAATTTTCTTGTTAAACATTGAAACAAAAATAAACTATTAAAATTTTAAAATGTCATTTATGCCTATCCCAAATTGTCTCATCTATTTATTAAGGCAATGCTAACTATTCAAATAAATAAACTACAGGTAATAACATCTCAACACTGCCTGTATTTATTTCTTGCCCATATGACAGTCCAGGGCAGGTGAATGGATCAATAGGACAAACTGACTTCCTCCACACAGCCTGGCCTCATATATCGCTTTAGCACACTGCTGCCTCAGCCACCCTGGGGGCCATGTCCATTTGACCAACCTGGAGGAGAAAAAAAAAAATCGTGGCAAAGGATGCCAGGGATTGTCATGCCCAGGCCTTGAAGGGGCACCCACTGTGTTTACTCTGTGAAAATATTCAGAATCAAAATGGAGTCACTAATGTTAAGAAAACTTCAACAAAACAGAGCTGGGGAAGATCATGCAGAGAGGGTTCTCACTTGTATGTATCAGGCCTGATAACAAACCAGACTGTACAAAAAAACAGAACCTTGCATAAAGGGCACTGCAATCTTACACAAAACATACTTCTAGAAGGACATCTGCCCAGCAACTGCCTGTCCAACCTTGGACTGGCATCACTCTTGTTATTGATCTTTGTAGCCAAGGATAGTTATTTCAAAACAATTATATAATTCTCCTTATTTTTTCCTAAAAAAACCTCTGTCTTCCTTTACTTCCCTGAATATGCACATAGTTTACTATGGCATTACCATTGCAATGCCCTATTCCCAAATAAACATATTTTCTTTCAGAGAGCCTCTCTCTGCTTGTTGCCTTGGTTGACAACTCAAATTTCCTAGCTAGCATTCAGCCACGTGGTCACTCCTACCTTCCAGGGAGGTTGGAGAATGTGGTATAGCTACCTGCCGTGAGCACAAGAGGAGAAACCTAAGCTATATTATGGCCTGTTACATACACATCTATTTCTCACTAACATCAGGGCATTTTGAAGGCTGGTAGAGTAGCTCTTTTGTCTTCATAACCTCTCACAGTGCCTACCAGTGAGGCTAAGTTAAGTATTCATGGAAAGGCTGACGGAGCAGTCCCGGGAGTATATGCCCTTTCATCTACACTCCAGTAACTGCACAGAAGATGTTGTTCCAACCTGTCTTCTGCTGCTATAAAAGCCAATTCAGTGGGAAACAAGAGGAACCATTAACATCCAGAGAGCTGCAAGTAAGGCCACACTCTGCCTCATGGGGAACATGTGTCTTTCTTAAGCCAAAGCAAAATTAAGAAACATTTTTACAGACACTCTCTAAAAATACATAGGGATAATGCTAATGATTTTCTGCTAGGCGGGAAAAGAAGTCCAGAAAACTTTTAAACGCTCCCATTTGGCAACAGGGAAGAGCAGAGACAAACAGATTTAAAATATAAAAGACAACTTCAAAAACCAAGAAGCTGTATCTTACAGAGTTAAAAATCAGAGTAGAAACAGAAGGGAGAGGGAAAAGCCATTTTCTTGTAAGTCACTGGGTCTGGGAGAAGATGAAGTATTACACAAGAACATTTCAAATGGTGTCCTGGGAAGAGGCTGGTGCAAATAATTCATGAAATAAAAATTGAGGAGAGAGAAAAGGAAAGGAATGCCCAAAAGCAAACACTGTGTCTGCAGAGCTGTCTGGACGCATTGAAGGAGTCAGTAATTATTGACAGGTCAGCAATTGTATGAAGATAAATAGCTGATGATAAAAGCCTTGCAAGCATATCAATGTTTGTAATAGCAACATATGTTGTCAGATCATTTTCTAACACAGACATGAAATAGGAATAAGAAACATATCCATTCCATCAATGATTAGTTTGTGCTTTCTGCATTAAGCACGTGGAAAATTGTATTCGGTTTTTTTTTTCCTGCTGCAACAAATCACCATAAATGTAATGACTTACAACAATGCAGATTCATTATACTACAGTCCTATTAAAAAGTCTCACACAGGTCTCCCAGGGCTAAGATAGGTGTCCCAGAGCTAAGATCAAATTGCCAGCAAGTTGCATTCCTGTCTGGAGGATGCAAGGGAGATGCCATTTCCTTGCTTTTTCCTGCTGATAGAGGCTGCCTGCATTCCTTGGATCACGGCCCCTTCCTCCCTCTTCAAAGCCAATAACAGCAAAGTCATTCTCACTCTGCCATCTCTCTGGTGTTTTTCTGCTTCCCTCTTCCATATTGAAAGACCCTGTGATTACACAGGGCTCGCCCATACAACCCAGGATAACCTCCCTATTTTAAGATCCACTGATTAGCAGCATTAATTTCATCTGCAACCTTAATTCCTTTTTACTATGTAGGCTAGCGTATTCAAAGGTTCAGAAATTAGGACATGGATCTCTTTGTGGGTGTGGAGGAAAGATTATTCTGACAATCACAAGAATTAAATTGAATGAACCATAAATCTTGCTCTCATGATTCTTAGAGTCAAGTAAACAAAATATGATTCATTACACAATAATAACAGCCACTAATAGTAACTGAGTGCTTACTAATTGTCAGGCTCTGTTCTGAGCATTTTATATATTAATTCAGGGGTTGGCAGCTACTACCCATCACCCATGTTTGTGAATAAAGTTTTATTGGAACACAGCCATGCTCATTTGCTAGGTATTGTCTATGGCTGCTTTTATGTTACAACAGCAGAGCTGAGTAGTTGTGACGGAGATCATATGGCCCATAAGCCTCAAATATTCACTATCTGGCCTTTATGGGAAAATAAGTTTGCCAAACTCATGTATTAGCTCATTGAACAATGCTCTGAGGTTGGTATGCTTACAATCTTGGTTTTACATATCAGAAACCTGAAGCACAGAGAGGTAAAGTGACCTGCCTCAGATCACACAGCTCAGAAACAACAGAACCAGAATTTGAATGCCTCTTGATAGCACCTCTCCAAAACGACCATCAACTAAAGCCCCACGGATACATACCAACGCAGAGGCAACAAGGAAGACAGAATACACAGAGTTTGGAGGAAATTAATGAAATGATCATTTGTCAGGCTCCATCTGTATGCTACGCACTGTTAGAAATTCTGTGAACACCATCTCATTAGAATCCTACATAGGTAGTATTACCCTTACATTAGAAGTGAGGAAACTGAGGCTTAAAGTCCCACAGCTGGTCATGGCAGAGGCAGGATTCAGACTCGGGTCTGTCTGATTCCAGAATGTGCACCACCTTCCCCACGTGAGCAAGACGGCACTTCCAGCAGGGATATCAAGGAAGACTTCCTGGCTGGTTATGTTTGAGTTGGGCCTTGAAGAATAGATGGGATCTTGAGACGCAGAGCTGGGAATGGGGAATGGGGTATTATTCTATGGAAACGGACAGCAGGAAACAAATCTTGGAGGTGAAAAAAAAAAGCACTCAGTGTGGTTGGTGAATGGTAAGGGAGCTGGTTTGGAAAGTTAGAGTTGAGAACTTGAACGAGAAGCCATGGAAGGTTGGATTAAAGAGATGAGAAAGCCTGATTAATAGGATCTAGAATGCCAGGCTCACTGATTTTGTTCTGCAAGAGATGAAGATGTTCAAGTTGGAGTTTACTTGTCAACATCTGGGGAAAGAGATCTAAGGTGATGGTAGAAGAAATGGAAAGAGAAGAAAATGGGAACTTTGCTAAAGAAGAATCACTGAACGGCCAAATGAAAGAAAAAGGCATGGAAAACAATGGTCGAGGTCGAAGAGGGGTCTTGAAGACAGTGGCTGACTGAGTAGGGAGCTGGTTATGCCATGGATAGAAATAAGGCAAAGGGGAAAAAAGCCAGTTATGGCAAGTAGGTGACAGATACATAGTTATTTTTGGTTTAGTTCTGCTGTGTGCAAGATCCCAGTATTGCCCCTGGGTAGATATATCCAGTACAGAGCTGGAAATGCAGGGAGAGTTCAAGGGATGTCCCTGGGAGAGGTCCGCATGTGGAGGTGATGGTTTAAACTATGGAAATGGATGACATGTCTGGGACAACACTGATTCTCTGTGACCTTTGCAAAGGTACACAGATTCTGTGGGTCCTTGCCAGCATTGTCTTTGAGCTCAGGAGTGGAGAACACTGCCTCACATATTTATAACATTTTACACAAAGGCCACATTGCTTACCCAGTAAGGTCCCCGGTAAAGTCTATGTGGATTTGTGAGAATGAAATCAAGCGTTCCTCTTTTTTGGTGCTCTTTTCTCTATATCCTGTTGTAATGCTCTCCCTTGGCTCCAGCCCTTGCTCTTGGAAGCAAAGTTCAGTCCTTATAATCGGCTGATGCAAGTCCAGAACCAAATACATTGTATATAGAATGGGGTGGCTTTCCTTTTTTCTACATCAGACTTTTTCCTTTCTGTTTATTATAAAGGTTGCCCTGCTTCGATAGAGTGATTATTCTATGGATGAATTATAAATATTTTGTTTAAGTTATTAATTATGTATTCAGCATGTTTCACTTGTATCAGTGTGCATTTAAATATGTCATCTCAGCCTGTCCTCATGAGACTTATTTCAATTTCACAAATGAAAATAAATCTAAGCCTACAGCCTCTGCACAACTCCCTGATGTCACCTAGTGTTCTGTTCTTTCCCCAGCATCATCATTTTCAAATCAGCTCCCAAGGGTCAGTGAGGCAGACTGAGCATGTGAATCTTGTTGGAATAATTGGGTTTCTATGATAACTGGAGACCATAATAGGCCATGCACTGGTTTTCCAATAGGGGTTTTTTTTAACAAACAGAACCATAAAATTCTAAGGGAAAGGTATCAGTCTGGCATTGATCATCTTGCAAACTATTCTCAGTGGCCTTGAATTTAACAAGAATAAAAGTTTTACCCTCAAATGCAAGCTTTTGTATTTTGTTCCTTTGGGTTCTTTTAGAAAATGTCCTTCATTTACACAAGTAATTAATAAGAACTTATGTTCCAAAAAATTCCCACGTGAACTACTGATAAGAAACAGCTAACCAGCATAATCACATGACAGTGCCATCAAAACACACTGACTTAGAAAAAGTACTTCAAAGGGAGAACATAAGTTTCAAAGGAAATGTCATATTCAAGAAAAAGGAAAGATTTATGAATTTAAGCTCCTGCACTGAACAGATAGTTTGTTAAATGAAATTATTTTGATCTATTTTGATCAACAGTGAAATTATTTTGCTCTATTTTGATCAAAAGTGAAATTATTTTGCTCTATTTTGTTGATGAATCCCTGACCCTCTAGGAATCTAGGGCTATCACTTTAGAATGAAATACAGTCATCCATCCAACAATATATATTGAAAACCTAATATTCTCCAGGCATCGTTCTTTAATTATTCATTCAATGAATATTTATTGAGGGTTTATTATTTTCCAGACATTGTGCTTGGCCCTGGCAATAGAGTGCTGCTGTCATGGGGGTGAGGCAAATACTTGAATAGGATAAATTTATATATTGATACATATTGCAAATAAATAAGACATGGTGATGGAACAGCCAGCGAGAGGTGAAATGTAAGGAAAAGTGAGTATCAGAGGAGAGAAGCCAGGAACAAAAGAGCAAGTTCAAGGCTCCAAGATGGGAACAAGATGGGAGCATTTATAAGAAGGCCAGAGTGCCCAGAGTGTAGGGAGAATAGGATGAGGTCTGAGAGGGGCCCTGGTAAGAAGTTCAGATCTGATTCCAAGTTAGGTGGCAGGCAGGAAAAGATTCTAAGCAGAGGAGCCCACAAGCCCCTTTACTTGGGATTCATGAGGGACTGTGCAAAGGTGCCTTGTGCTTGAAAATAGGTAAGAGGAGGCTGTCTAGAAATGGAGAATTGAGGTCATCCCAACCCTCACTTGGGATGGAAATGAGGTAGTGGGAGTGGAAATGAGGTATCAGGAAAGGGCTGGCAGAAAACAGGAGAGTGGCTGCCACTTCAGGATGGAAGAGTGAGGAACAGACCTCAGTTCAAATCGATTATCAGAGGTGGCTCTGCAGGAGATGAAAGGCAAGGATGGAAGGCAACACAGAAGGCAAGGCTTACCCAGGCATTCGGAGAAGCCTCAAAAGGGAGGGCGACTTGGAAGGAGAAACCACCTCTCCCTGGGCAGCCACTCTGGGTGCCATTTTGCTCCCTTTTGATGATAACCTGATTGGGTCAGCTCTGATCCAAATGTCTTGAATTCTAACCTCTTCAGTTCTAAAGCTCCACAACTCCACCCCATGCCCCTGCTGCATGTTCAGGGTCCTTGTTAGTGGGGTTAGAATAGGAAGAAGAATTATTGCAGAGAGAAGTAGAAAGATGCCTGAGTCACCCCTGCTCCTTGACCATCAAAACATTTTCCCCAGAATAATGGGAAGAATGACTAGTAGAAAGCCATTTGCTCTTCATTTAAGATCTTAAAGAAATGTCTTCATACATGTATGAGTACTGTCCTGGACTGGGCATCGTAGCTCATGCCCATAATCCCTACATTTTGGGAGGCTGAAGAGAGGGGATTGCTTGAGGTCAGGAGTTCAAGACCAGCCTGGGCAACATAGCAAGACTCCATCTCTACAAAAAATCTTAAAAATTTGCCAAGCATTGTGGCACGCACCTGTAGTCCCAACTACTTGTGAGGCTGAGGTGGGAAGATCACTTGGGCCCAAAAGTTGAAGGCTGCAGTGAACTATGACTGCCACTGCACTCCGGTCTGGGCAATGGGGCAAGGCCCTGTCTCAAAAATAAATAAATAAACTGTCCTGATAAAAATACTATGATTAGTCCATAGACACAGTAGTGCTGGACCCTCCATTCCCATGAATGCCTAGCAGACATGCAATAGCAGAAAGAAGGCAAGCTATGCATTTGACAGGCTTGGGTTTGAACATTGAGCTTGAAAGTTGTTTGATCTTGGGCAAATTACTCCACCTGCTTGAGCTTCGATTTCTTCTCCTGTAAGATGAGGATAATAATAACATCTGCTCTCAGGCTGTTGTGGGGATTGGATGGGTGACACGTGGCAACACTCAGCATGTGCCAGATAGAGTGTGGCTACTTGGTAAAAGTTTGCTTCCCTTTTTCCCAGGCAGGATCACTGGCAGATGTTTGATGTTAACATGTCCTTTTCTGCTTTTTGCAGACATTTTGAGCCAGGCAGAAGTGAAGAGACACATCCTGCTACTGCTACTCAAAACAAGGCTGGAAAATAATTAACTCAAAGAGGGAAGCATGCCCAGGAGAGTGCCTGGCATGGAGGGACCTCCAAAAAGGGTCTTTGTTGTTGCTGCTGGTGCTGGTGCAGAAAGGCCAGCATAAGAACAAGAATTCAGATGACAGCAAGTTCTCCTTACCCGGAGAATGTCCTAAAGTTTGATCCACCAATCAAGTAGCTTACATCCAAGACATAATTAGCACTTTCTTCATGGGGTCACGCCATTCCCAATAATGCTGTAGGTCCACTTCAGACGACAGTTTCCAATTCCCTCACTTCTTAGAACCCTTGAGAAATCTTACAGCCCCTAATTGAAGAGTTTGAGGCAAATTTGTGTAATCAGATCCTGGCATACCCTGATAAGAAGTAACAACACCACAGCGGACAGGAAGAGGTCACCAAGACTCCTCTTCATCACAAAACGGGGCTGCACTTGCTTCTTCTGTGGGACTCCAGCAGCCACATGCCAAACCACATTGGCCCTAGATGTGAGACTTAATAATTCTGTTTTTAATATTATGCAATGGGGTTAATTAATCTAAAGAAACATCTGCCAGCCGCTGCATTTTCCCAGTATGGGTCTTGACCAGGTAGGAACCATTAGGCCCTTGCTGTGCTCTTCACTCTTATTTGTCAATGTTGAATTAAATCAGAGAAGCAGTTTGGGCAGAGTCTCCTTTAAATAAAAGCATCAAGTTAATAATAAACAATGGAGAAAAGAAAGTGCTGGCAGAGAGTGCAAACTTGTTCTTCTCCAAAATGAATGTTGGAAAGCACATGAATTTTAAAATCCAAGTGAAATTAGTGTCTTGCACAATGAAACACAAAGTCATTCCTCACAGACAAATCAAGTAAATGACAGGATTGTATTTTCTTGCAAAATAAGTGAAGTGCCCATTTTATCACATTTGGGCTATTTCTTCAAAAAATATTCATTCACGTCACAATCTCTGAAGCCATTATAGAATAGACTACACTATAAGCATATTAGAGATGAGATTACAAATGTAACCTGGGCCAGGCACAGTTTCTCACACCTATAATCCCAACACTTTGAGAGGCCAAGGCAGGAGGATAGCTTGAGCCCAGGAATTTGAGGCTGCAGTGAGCTACAATTGCACCACTGCATTCTAGCCTGGTTGACAGAGTGAGACCCCATCTACAAAAATTTTAAAAATAAAAATAAAAATATATGTATCCTGGGGTTATATGCTATGATTTTATTTGCATATTAATCCTGGGGGGAGGGGTTAGGTACCCCAGGCTATTCTATCCCTGGGACCTATTTGCTGGGGAAGAGGGACAGTGAAGAAATGGGTAATCTGTAATCTGGAGCTTTGTTGAGTCTTCTGGAAAGCTGATTTCAGGAACTACGAGGGGGTTATGATGGTTCTACCTCAGAATAGTCCTCAGATCACTTATGGATTGCAAGCATTCCACTACAGGGTACCCCTGCTATTTTTGTCTCTAGGACCACTGCCTCCTTCTTATGATCTAAAGTACCTCCTTTCTGTGTGGATCCCACTCTGACACAGCCCCTCCAACCCACCCTCAGCACAAGGGTGAACATAGACTTTAGTTGGGGCAATTGGATTTTTCTAAGACTTCCCTGGGACTGCTGCTGGTGTTATCAGGAAAGATTGTGTCTTTTGGGGATTTTCTAAGCTAACAGGGCCTGAGTCCGGGGTTGTAGGTAGTCACCTCATTCATCATGTGGAAGAGCTCATCCAAGGTGCAGAAGAATAAATTCTGGTAGCATTATTGAAGCCTCTGGAGCCAAGCAGACTTGAAGGCAGATGCACTCCCAGACTCACAAGCTATGTGAGCTAATGTATGTCCTTTGTGCTTAAGTAACTTGACTTTTGTTTCTTACAACCAAAAAATGTGAAATTGACTATTGTAGTGCAGGCTGGACCCTGAAAGAGCTGTTTCAGATGAAACACAGAGTGATACTTCCTGGTACAATTCAAGAGGCCCTTGAAGATCTATCTGATTCTAGCTGGGTCTGTGTTCAACACCAAGCTAATGCTAATGGATCTCAGTGGGGAACTGCTTGGAGCTGTCCCCTGGACCTAGTGCTGAAAAAGCAACTATTAGGAAGCCTGCAGCTGAGCTCTAGAATAAGAGAGGGGAGGCCCTAAGGGAGCGGAAACTGGGGAGCCGCCCTGGACCCCACAAGAAGCCCGGCAATTATCTCTGTGGTTTCAGGAGAATGAAGAACCAAGCCAATCCATTGATCAGATCCCAGGGGCAGGTAGGGGTGTCTTGTAAGTGAGGTGGAGCCCAGCGGCAAAAGACCCTGGCAGTAAGCAGAAGTTCCTAGTTAGCATCAGTCTAGAAGCAGAAACCTCAGCATCCCCAGAAACTGGAATTGAGAGTTTTTGTCCCTGAGAGGGAAGATCAAAAGAGTAGGACCTCAATCTTAGAGGAAATGGGATTTTGAAGTCAGAGTCCCTGGGTTCAAGTTCCTGCTCTCATATTTATAAGCTACTTAACCTTAAGTATTCAATCTGTCTCAATTCTCTCACCTGCAAATTGAGGATGTTAGTAATAATGATTATAATCAAGATATATGCCTGAATTATTTTTCATTGCTACTACTAAAGTTCTATACTTTCTGAATTATGGTGTAGTCATCTGTTTAGATGTCTGTCTCCCAAACTCGACTCCTTAAGAGAAGAGATTGTTGTACTTATATCCTTACTCCTCCTCCTTAACATAGTGCCTGAAACTCAAAATTAGATGGATAATAAGTTAATGAAATTATGCACTGCATATAAAAGCACTTTATATCCTGTTGCACACAACACTGCTGTAAAGAACTACCAGGCATGAAACAAAGTCAAAGACCTAAACATAATGAGGCAAGACAAGAACCAAGTTACTGGACCTGAATATACCAGCAGGAGTCACACAGGGGAAGACAAGAGTCCTCAACCCTGAGCAGGATGACCTGATGCTGAACCTCCAAGAAACAGGAATCAAAGCCTTCCTGAATAGGAACCATATTGATCCCATGCTTTAAAGGGGACCTTATGTAAATGGCTCTAACTGGAGTTATATCAGGGGTATAGAATGTGAACAGGCATCCCATTATTAATAAATAACCATTATTGCTGGATGGCCATTGAAAGGTAACAGCTACTGGGTATACCTAGAACAGATTATAGTCTAGACATCTCTACTATCCCAGCATTTGTCATCATTAAAGGATATGGGGGATCATTTTCCATTGGAGAATGTGGAATTGTTTATACTTTTCATATACTCATTACTCAGGAGAATGAATCAGCATCTTCCACCAAGAATCCAGAAGGCATTGAGCTGAAAATCTGTAGATGGACACTTGAATCAATCACAGAGACAAAGAGTACCATGACCTTTAGGGTCTCAGCCAGAGAAAGAGGATTGTAACACTTGGAAACCATTCAACAGTCTTAGGCAACAGTCTTGCCTAAGACGTAGGCTGCAATTTTGAGTTTTACATGAACTTAAACAAAATTGGCTGCTATTGCTATTTTTCTTCATCCTGTTCTTATGTTCTTAAGGCACATCTGGGATCAAAATGTTATGGCTTCTTTAATACAAAGAATGTGTTCCTTCCTTGTTCTCTTACAGAGCTTGATTCGCTTTCTAAAGAACATCCTGAGATTACATCCAATTGACCCATGAAATTTTAGTAATTAAGTTTTACATTAACTCATAAGCACGGCCTAGGTCTTAGGCAAGACCGTTGGGTGGTTTCCGTGTGTTACAATCAAAATTATATGCTTCCAAAAGTTAAAATTTACTGTGCTTCATAAAATGTCCAGGAATCTTATGTTGCCTTTCATCTTGTTTTCTAAAATTACCTGTAACAAAGTTATAGTTATCCAAAATATTGAGCTTAGTAAACAGCTTTTCATATCTTAATTGACTTTATCATAATTTTTCCTCTAGTTCTATTGTATAGTAAAAGTGCATAATCCTTAAACTCTAATAGGATTGCATTGGATGCTCCAAACAGTATCAAATCTCAAACAAAAATGGCCACCCTTGGTATTTTTCTACTTTCTATTCATAAATGGTATATTCATAAGGCACATCTGGGAACAAAATGTTATGGCTTCTTTAATATAAAGAATGTGCTCCTTGCTTCTTCTCTTATAGACCTTGATTTTGCTTTCTAAAAAATATCCTGAGATTACATTCAATTGATCATTTTAGTAATTAATGTCTTATTTGTTCAGATTTATAAAGTGCTATTGCCTTTGGCCAAAGGCAATGACAAGAGTTATAAAGCAAAGATAATAAATAAAACCCACAAAATTAGAACTACAAAAATAGAAGAATATTGATTTCTGTGTGTAAAAAGAGGCCAAATTGCAAAGTTAATTGCAAGAAATAACTGGCTAAGAAAGAGGAGATAAAATATGTGTAAGAAAAAATATGATGTAAACAATGAAATGTAAGGGAAATAATAGAATAAATCCAAAATTTTTAAGTGAAAGAGTTAATTATTACATCTCTTTAAAAAAAAAAAAAAAAAAAAAACTGGTGTATTTGTTTTTTCCAGAAAAAAAGATTGATATACTCCAAATGCTACAAGACTTCTTCTAAGTAGCTATTTTCTTTAGTTTTTTTCTTTTTTTTTTTTTTTTTTTTGAGACAGAGTCTCGCTCTGTCGCCCAGGCTGGAGTGCAGTGGCGCCACCTCGGCTCACTGCAAGCTCTGCCTCCCGGGTTCACGCCATTCTCCTGCCTCAGCCTCCTGAGTGGTTGGGACTACAGGCGCCCGCCACCACACCCGGCTGATTTTTTGTATTTTTAGTAGAGACTGGGTTTCACCATGTTAGCCAGGATGGTCTTGATCTCCTGACCTCGTGATCCGCCCTTCTAGGCCTCCCACAGTGCTGGGATTACAGGCGTAAGCCAGCGCGCCCGGCCTGTTTTGTTTTTTGTCTGTAATATGAGAAGAAACATCAATCCCTACTCAGCCTATTTTGAAAGACTTGTAAAAATCGCAAAATACACAGGAAGGGCGGGGCCAAGGTGGCCGCCTAGAAGCAGCAACTATAGAGGCTCCCATCAGAAAAAAACCATAATAGGCATGCGACCAAGGTATCCAGGTTCTCTCATCAAAATTGACTAGAAGGCTGGCGTGACCCAGGGAGAGAAGGAAGAGCAGTGTGGTGCAGCAGCCCTCGTTAGAGCCAAATGGGGAAGGGGAACCTCCCCCAAGCCAAGGGAGGCAGTGAGTGAGCGCGCTACCCAGCCGGGGAATCTGTGCTTTTTCCATGGAACCGTGCAACCCGCGGATCGGAAGATCCCACTCACAAACCCATGCCACTGGGGCCTAGCGTCCCAACCCCGGAACACGCAGATTCTTACAGCCTCTCAGATGGAATCTGCTTAAGCCTACCAAACTCCCCGGGGGAGGGGCAACAAGCACCCGCTACAGCTGCCTGCTGTCTAAGCCTTTTGAGCTCCTTGGCGGAGGGGTAGCAGCCAGCACTGAGACTCGCAACTGCCTAACACTCTAAGCTCCCTGAGCGGGGGAAGGGCGGCACCTATTTCTGTAGCTCCGGGCTGCATTTTTCCCCTGCTGGAGCCAGGGAGGCTGGACAGCTTGGTCCCAAGACTTGCCCCCCTAGCCCAACACACCAGCTGTGGCAGTCTGCGGCCAGAGTGCCTCTTCAGGCCCAACCCTGACTCATCCTTCCTCAGTGGATGGCTTCCTTGCAGGAACTCCAATAACTCCAGCCAGAGGCTCAAGGACAAAATTTGGATCTCCCTAGGCCTGAGCCCCTAGCGGGAGGGGTGGCCGCAGTCTCCGCAGACCAGCAGACTTTGCCTTTCCTCCTGGTAGTTCTGAGGAATCCAGGCAGCCCAGATGAGTAGATTTCCCCCCAGCAAAACACACCCTCTCAACCAAGGGACAAAGTGCTTCATTAAACAGGTCTTGCCCCCAGTGCCACCCAGCTGGGTGAGACCCTCCAACAGGGGTTGTCAGACACCCTATACAGGAGCAATCCTACTGGCATCAGGTTGGTGCCCCTCGAGGTCAGAAGTCCCACAAGTGGGAGCAAGCACCCATCTTTGCTGCTCTCTAGCCTCCTTGAGTGACATCTCCAGGCACAGGAGCAAATCAGATGAATAGGGCCTGAAGTGAACCCCCTGCAAACTGCAGCAGCCCTACAGAAGAGGGACCTGACTATTGAAAGAAAAAAAACAAACAAAGCAACAACAGCATCAACCACAACAACAAAAAAGGCCCCCAACAAAAACGTCATCCAAGGGTCAGTAGCCTCAAAGACCGGAACTCAACAAACTCATGAAGATGAGAAAGAATCAACAAAAAAATGCTGAAAACCCAAAAGGCCAGAGTGCCTCTTCTCCTCCAAATGATCACAACTTCTCTCCATTAAGGGCACAGAACTGGGTGGAGGATCAGATGGACAAATTGACAGAAGTAGTCTTCAGGAGATGGGCAATAAAAAACTACAATGAGCTAAAAGAGCATGTTCTAACCCAATGCAAAGAAGCTAAGAACCTTGATAAAGGGTTAGAGGAATTGCTAACTAGAATAACCCACTTAGAGAGGAACATAAATGACCTGATGGTGCTGAAAAACACAGCACGAGAACTTCGTGAAGCATACACAAGTATCAACAGACGAATCAACCAAGCGGAAGAAAGTATATCAGAGTTTGAAGACCACCTTACTGATATAAGACATGCAGACATGAATAGAGAGAAAAGGATGAAAAGGAATGGACAAAGCCTCTAAGAAATATGGGGCTTCATAAAAAGATTGAACCTACAATTGATTGGAGTACCAAAGGAGACAGGAGAATGGAGACAAGCTGGAAAACACACTGCAGGATATTATTCAGGAGAACTTCCCCAACCTAGCAAGACAGGCCAATATGCAAATTCAGGAAATACAGAAAACACCATTAAGGTACACCACAAGAAGATCAACCCCAAGACACATAATCATCAGATTCTCCAAAGTTGAAATGAAGGAAAAAATGTTAAGGACAGCCAGAGAGAAAGGCCAAGTCACCTACAAAGGGAAGCCCATCAGACTAACAATGGACCTCTCAGCAGAAACTCTACAAGTGAGAAGAGATTGGGGGCCAATATTCAACATTCTTAAAGAAAAGAATTTCCAACTCAGAATTTCATATCCAGCCAAACTGAGCTTCACAAGCGAAGGAGAAATAAAATCCTTTCCAGGCAAGTAAATGCTGAGGGATTTTGTTACCACCAGGCCTGCCCTGCAAGAGCTCCTGAAAGAAGCACTAAATATGGAAAGGAAAAACCTGTACCAGCCACTGCAAAAACACACCAAAATATAAAGACCAATGACACTATGAAGAAACTGCATCAACTAGTGTGCAAAATAACCAAATAGCAGCATGATGACAGGACCAAATTCACACATAACAATACTAACCTTCAATGTAAGTGGGCTAAATGTCCCAATTAAAAGACACAGACTGGCAAATTGGATAAGGAGTCAAGACCCATTGGTGTGCTATATTCAGGAGACCCATCTTACATGAAAAGACACACACATGCTCAAAATAAAAGGATGGAGGAAAATTTACCAAGCAAATGGAAAGCAAAAAAAAGCAGGGGTTGCAATCCTACTCTCTGAGAAAATGGACTTTAAACCAACAAAGATCAAAAAAGACAAAGAAGGGCATTACTACATAATGGTAAAGGGAACAATTCAACAAGAAGAGCTAACTTCTAAATATATATGCACCCAATACAGGAGCTCCCAGGTTCATAAAACAAGTTCTTAGAGACCTACAAACAGACCTAGACTCCCACACAATAATAATGGGAGACTTTAACACCCCACTGTCAGTATTAGACAAATCAATGAGACAGAAAATTAACAGGAATATTCAGGACTTGAACTCAGCTCTGGATCAAGCAGACCTAGAAGACGTCTACAGAACTCTCTACCCCAAATCAACAGTATATACATTTTTCTCAGTGCCACATGGCACTTATTCTAAAATCAACGAAATAATTGGAAGTAAAACACTCCTCAGCAAATGCGAAAGAACTGAAATCATAACAAACAGTCTCTCAGATCATAGTGCAATCAAATTAGAACTCAGGATTTAAAAACTCACTCAAAACCACACAATCTCATAGTAATTGAACAACCTGCTCCTGAATGACTCCTGGGTAAATAATTAAATTAAGGCAGAAATCAAGAAGTTCTTTGAAACCAATGACAACAAAGAGGCAACGTACCAGAATCTCTGGGACACAGCTAAAGCAGCTCTGTCAGCTGAGAGGGACTGGAAGCAATTACACTCCAGCAGCAATGAGCATACCTAGCTCCTGAACCTTTGTTTCTAATGCAATTCTCCAATAAAAGGATCCAGGGATCCTTGGATAAATGGCTGATGCTAGGACTGGGGTAGGAAATATACAAGATGAGCTTGGAGCATCTTGAGTGTAATAAAGTAAGGGAGTGCTAACAAAAAATTGTTTTTAATAAACCACAATGATGAGGTTATGTCAAAGGGACACAGAAGCCAAGTAAAGGAGCTCCCAATGGGCCAGAGCTGGAACAACATCAGCAACATAAATAAAGTATTGGATCATAATCAAAGGCTAAAATAAATATCCATGAGTCCATACTGATATAAATAAATAAATGAGAGCAAAGAGGCAAATCTCCCTGCAGAATTCTACATAATTGACATAGATACACTCCCCTCAAGCGGTGAATCATAACTCCCTTCTCCTTAAGTTTGAACTGCTTATAGCAACTTGCTTCCAAAGAGTATAGTATGGAAAGAGAAAAAGAAAGTAACTTTACAATGAAGACCTCAAACACTACCTGCACCAAGTAACAAATGTTAATATCAACAGTGATGTCGTGATAGTTTGTACCTTGGATATGACGTGCTGAAAATGGCACGTCTGTGATTGTCCTCCCTACCTCAAAAAAAAAAGAACTCAATAACCCCAGTCTAGTGATGGGAAAAACAACAGACGAATCTCAATTGAGGGATATTCTACAAAATACCTGACCGGTACTCTTCAAAACTGCCAAGGTCAATTAAAAAAACATCAAGAGTCTGAGAATCTGCCATAGCCAAGCAGAATCTGTGGAGTCAGAACAAGTAAATGGAATGTGGATGCCATACTGGAACAGAAAAAGATGTTAGTAAAAACTAAGGATATCTATAGGTTGGAGCAAAAGTAATTGCAGTTTTTTGCATTACTTTTAATGGCAAAAACTGCAATTACTTTTGCATCAACCTAATAATAAAGTATAGATGTTAGCTAATAACAGTGTATCAATATTGGTTCATTAATTGTAAAGAACATATCGTACCAGAGTAAGATGTCAATAATAGAGGAAACTGGGTGTCGAGCATGTGGAAACGCTCCATAGCTCTTCACAATATTACTGTGAATCTAAAAATTCTAAAATAAAAAAATGTATTTTAAAAATTAAAGTAGCCTGGGCACAGGCCCATGTCTGTAACCCTAGCACTTTGGGAGGCCGAGGCAGGTGGATCACCTGAGGTCAGGAGCTCAAGACCAGCCTGACCAACCTGGCGAAACCCCATCTCTACAGAAAATACAAAAATTAGCTGGGCGTGGGGGCAGGCACCTGTAGTCCCAGCTACTCGGGAGGCTGAGGCAGGAGAATCGCTTGAACCTGGGAGGTGGAGGTTGCGGTCAGCCAAGATTGGGCCACTTCACTCCAGCCTGGGCAGCAGATTGAGATTTTGTCTCAAAAAAAAAAAAACAAACAAACAAACAAAAAAATTAAAGTAAAAATGTAAGAAAATGCAATTACATTCTAGAGGCTCCTTCTAACAATTTTAGAGAGTTTGTCCTTCCTATAACAGTATGCCTTTATTTATATAAGCTTTATGGGTAACTATGATTATTTCCAGATTTCCAGAGGTTTCTTTCCTATTTCATTCCCAGCTCTCTTTCCCTAATGTGCATTTGTTTTACTTATCTGACTCTACACAAACCCCAGGTTCTCCTTAGCAAATTTCAAGCTACATTGGTGATGATATTCTTTCTCCTTTTTAAAAAGTCATTTTTAATTTTATTTTCCCTGCTTCCCAGCTTTCCAATCCTAGTTTTGGTTCCTACATCACTTAGTACCAGAGACAAAACAGATCATCTTATTTGCTTGCCCTTCACTCTCAGACTCAATGTCTAGCATGCGAGTAATTGTCTTTTTGCTGCATTGTCTTTTCTGTGCTCTTAATATTGTGAAGAATGCCATTTTCCATCACTCTCCAGTCACTGGGCTTACACTTGCAGAATCACCAATGATTCCTTCCTTTCCCTCATCTCAGGCAATTGCCAAACCCTGTCGACATCTCCTTTTCATTGTTTCTTGAATCAGAGCCTTTCTTTCCATTTTAATGCCAACACTCTGTCACAAACTTGGGTTACATCACAGTATCTCTCCTCGCAGCCAGCCCAGAACCATTCAGTGCAGTTCACAGGCCACCTTGACCAGAATCACTGGAGAGAAGGCTGAATGTGAAGACTCCCTGGCTCCTCCCAGAACTATTGAATCTGAATCTCTGGGGACTTGCTTGTGTTTTTAGAGGTGAGGTCTCACTATGTTGCCCAGGCTAGACATGAACTCATGGACCCAAATGATCCTCCCACCTCCGCCTCCCAAGTAGCTGGGACTACAGGTGTGAGTCGCTGCACCCGGCTTGGAAATCCACGTTTTAAATGAACCACTCCCCAGATAAATATACTCTTTACTAAAGCTTGAGAGTTAGCTTGATCCTGATGGTTCTAATTTCTGGCTCCTGATTTCAATCACCTAAGAAGTTTTTGGAAATACTGATGACCATGCCTCTTCTCCAGAGATTTTGGTTTAATAGTCTGGAGTGGATCCCAAGTACCGGTTTTAATTCCATGAGTTATTCTAATGTGTGGTCAAGAAGAGAACCACTGGAGCTGATGGCTCTTTAGATGGCTCCTGAGGCTTCATCCAGTTCTCAGATTCTGTCTTAACTTTCCTGAACATTGGTTTAGTAGGAACCTGTTTCACCAGAATAACATTTATATACTTGTATTTGTATCTGTTGCCACATAATAAATTTCCCCAAAACTTAGAATCTTAAAGCAACATGCATTTATCATCTCATAGGTTCTGTGGGTAAGGAACCTGGGCTTAGCTGGCTGATGGCCTCAGGTCTCTCATGATGTAACTACAATGCTGGCCAGAACTGAAGCCATCTCAAGGGTCAAGGGAGAGAGATTCAATATTGATTCATTAATTGCATTGCATTCCATGATCACTCACATCGCTATTGGTAGGTCTCAGAAGAGCCACTTCTGTGCTCCCTCAGCTTTGGACAGACCAAGGTCTTCATTGGCTGTTGGCAGGAGATCACAGTTTCTTGCCATGTGGGCCCCTCCAGAAGGCTGTTCATAACACAGCTGCTTGCTCCCCTAGTGGGAGGAATTGAAGACAGAGAGAACATTACAAGCTTTTTGTTTTTGTTTGTTTGAGACAGGGTCTCACTGTATCATCCAGGCTGAAGTGCAGTGGCACAATCATGGCTCACTGCAGCCTTGACCTCCCAGGTTCAAGCAATCCTCCTGCCTCAGCCTCCAAAGTAGGTTGGATGACAAGCATGCACCACCATGCCTCGCTAATTTTTTGTTTTGTTTTGTGGAGAGGGAGATCTCATTATGTTACCCAGGCTGGTCTCAAACTCCTAAACTTAAGCTCTCCTCCCGCCTTAGCCTCCCAAAGTGCTGGGATTACAGGCATGAGCCACCACTCCCAGCCTATCACAGTCTTTATATAACCTCATCTCAGAAGTAACATATCATCACTTTTACCATATTTTATTCATTATAAGTGAGTCTAGATCCAGCCCACACACTAAGGCAGGACACCAGAAGGCAGAGGCCATCAGGAGCCATAGTAGAGGCTGCCTAATGCAATATCTCCTATTGATTAGACAGCACTAACTGCTATATAGCAAATCTCAGTCCCTTGAAATAGTCTCTCTCTTACTTACCTAAGTTAAAAATGGGTGTTGCTGGTCAGTAGGTAACTATCCTCCAACTTATAATTCAGAAACTGGGGGTGCCACAGAGGTGCCACCACTCAGATCCCCCACAAGAGGAAACCTGCCATGAGGAGTGTGCTGGGCTAACAGCCTTTATTTGCTGCACATCTGGAATCTACCACAGCTTTCACACCAAGTCCACACTACCCCAAGAGGCTCCCAGCCCATCACTGAGCCCAGCAGAGCTTCTGGAACCAGACTCTTGTGCCCGGGACATGATCTTTGCCCAAGGGCTTCCCTCATTGAGATTTTTCTCAGAGCTGCACTGTAGTCAGAGACTCTTCCTACCAAACCCACCTTCCTTCCCTCTTCCCTTCCTCAGGAAACCAAGAACCATTGTCTGAAGGTTCCCCTTGCGTCCCCCTACCCACTCTACACTTTCCCCTTCCCAAGAACTTCCCTCAATAAATCTCCTGCACTTCTAACTCTGTCATGGCATCTGCCTCCTGGAAGACCTGAACTGACACAGGGGTATTAGGATTGGCTCAAGAAAGAACCATTATATGGGGTTTGAGGACTGGTTCATTCCACTAGGACATTTTCCCGGGTTACCACTGATGGTATCTTCAGAAATTCAGCTGCCACATTATGCCCAGGATTATCTGTGCCCCACATCCCTCTTGGGTTTGCGTCTTCCTTGCCAAATGGGGTGCTAAACTAGAAGATAAGACTTCTTGCCCAATCTTCTTCCAGAACCCTCTCTTTCACAGGTGTCAGACCTGCAGCCCCACCTGAAGGCTCTCCATGCCTGTTCATCTTCCCCTTCCCTTAGATCTTTCAGAGGCATTTCCCCCATAAATCCCCTGAACTTCTAACTCCTTCTTGGCATATGCTTCCCAAAGGAGCAAAACTGGCACAAGACCTTGGCTTCTTTCATCTTATGGGTCTACCATATGTTGGGTTTTTGTCTTCTAAGGTCACTGTGTTCACCTTCATCAAACCAAGAAAGGAGAGTGAGCATGAAGGTTCCTGAGTATGAGATTTTATAGGCCAGGCCTGAGAGTGATACACATTATTTGCACTCATACCCCAGCCGCTCCCCAGGTACTGGATGTATCCAGGCATGCCTTGTCTTATTACACTTCACTCAATGGTGGTTTTTACACATTGAAGGTTTGTGGCAATACTGTGTTGAGGAACTTTATCCACACCATTTTTCCAAGAGTACATGCTCACTTCGTGTCTCTGAGTCTGCATTTTTAAGCAATAAAGTATGTTTTGATTAGTGTATGCACATTGTTTTTTAGACACAATGTTATTGCACACTTTGCTGTTATGGAAACTTGGTTCTCTCATGGCCCCGATGCTTGCAAATATCTACAAGTATCTTTATTCATAGACTTTTGGTTCTTGTTTTTGTCCTTTTTTATTTCAAGGGTCAGTTTTTATATCTAGAGATCCAGAAGTTTATTTTCATTTCTAGCTTATTTATTTTCTAAGATAGCCTGCCATGTGCAGGAGATCTTTTAGATTGGCAATTTTCCATTCCAATTTATTTACTTATGACCAAATCCTCTATATCAAGTCTAAACCTTACATTTACAAAAAGAGAGGACAAGGTTCTCTTTATTTGGGCTCCTAGATCTAGCTTGAATACTGCCTGAAAGCTTCCTGGAGTCTGTGTTTGAAGTCTCCTCTTGATTCTTTATTTTCTTTACCATTTTAAATCTTTCTCCCATATCCTCTATGGGAAAGATTTCTGCAATGGCCTAAAGTAATACACTGCCTGTTTTTCTGTGTTTGTTTTCTTCCTTTATATCTTCAAAAAAAAAAAAAAAAACAGGATACGTGGGCTGAACGTGCAGGTTTGTCATATAGGTATATGTGTGCCATGGTAGTTTGCTACTCCTACTGACCCGTCCCCTAGGTTTCCTCTCCTTACCCCCCAACCCCAAAAAGGCCCCAGTGTCTGTTGCTCCCTATCTGTGTCCATGTGTTCTCAATGTTCAGCCCTCACTTATGAGTGAAAACATGCAGTGTTTGGTTTTCTGTTCCTGTGTTAGTTTGCTGAGGATGATGGCTTCCAGCTTCATCCATATCCCTGCAAAGGACATGATCTCATTCCTTTTTATGGCTGCATAGTATTCCATTGTGTATATGTACCACATTTTCTTTATCCAGTCTATCATTGATGGGCATTTGGGTTGGTCCATTTCTTTGCTATGGTAACTAGTGCTGCAATAAATATACACGTGTATGTATCTTTATAGCAGAATGATTTATATTCCTTCGGGCATATGCACAGTAATGGGACTGCTGAGTCAAATGGTATTTCTGGTTTTAGATCCTTGAGGAATCGCCATATTCTCTTCCACAATGGTGGAACTAATTTCCATTCCCACCAACAGTGTAAAAGCGTTCCTGTTTCTCCACAGCCTCACCAGCATCTAATGTTTCCTGAATTTTGAATAATCGCCATTCTGACTGGCATGAGATGGTATATCAATGTGGTTTTGATTTGTATTTCTCTGATGATCAGTGATGTTGAGCTTTTTTTCATATGTTTGTTGGCTATGTAAATGTCTTCTTTGAAAAGTGTCTGTTTATATCCTTTGCCCACTTTTTGATGGGGTTGTTTGTTTTTTACTTGTAAATATGTTTAAGTTCCTTGTAAATTCTGGATATTAGACCTTTGTCAGATAGGTAGATTGCAAAAATTTTCTCCCATTCTGTAGGTTGCCTGTTCAGTCTGATGATAGTTTCTTTTGCTGTGCAGGAGCTCTTTAGTTTAATTAGATCCCACTTGTCAGTTTTGACTTTTGTTGACATTGCTTTTGGTGTTTTAGTCATGAAGTCTTTGTCCATGCCTATGTCCCGAATGGTATTGCCTAGGCTTTCTTCTAGGGTTTTTATGATTTTAGGTTTTACATTTAAGTCTTTAATCCATCTTGAGTTAATTTTTAATGCACTGCATGTTTTGCTTATCCTCTCAAGGAGATCATTAAATTATACAGAGCTGGGTTATTTACATTCTCTCTTCATCTTTCCCATGGTTTTTAACCATGTTCCCCATCTGAGGGGGTTGTCAATCCAATAAACTAGTTGGTACAAATTTGAACATCCAGAACAACAAGTATCTAATACAATGTCGAACTCTATAGTAAATTTCTGTCTGTTTCTCTGAGGCTTAAAAAGCTTTAATTAGGCCAGGCGTGGTAGCTCATGCCTGTAATCCCAGCACTTTGGGAGGTCAAGACGGGAGAATCACTTGAGGCCAGGAATTTAAGACCAGCCTGGGCAACATAGTGAGACCTGTCTCTACAAAGAAAGAGGAAAATTTTTTAATTATAGCTGCACTCTGCTTAACTCTGCTATAGACAATGATTTAAATTCAATTTTCATATATCAGTCTTTTGGTCAAACAATTTTATAAAGTGATAGTTCTTTTCCTGAGAAAACTCTGAAGAAAGAATTATCCATTTTGGAGGTCAGGGGAAGGAACAGAAGAAAGAGAAGGAATGTAAAGTGGATGGGTACAATGTACACCACTTGGGTGAGGGGTGCACTAAAATCTGACATCACCACTACACAGTCCATCCATGTAACCAAAACTCACTTGTACCCCAAAAGCTATTGAAATAAATATATGTGTGTGTGTATATATATAATTTACATAAACATAAAATAAAAAATAAAGTGGATGGGGAAGACAATTCAGAGAGAAGGAGGTACAAAGCAGGTGAGTTCGGATAGTGTGAACACTAGTGAATTAGAACTTTTTGGAAAGAAAATAACCTTGAAGTCAGCATTTTGTTTTGCTGGCCCCTTGGCTTATCAATTTTAAAGAAGTTAACCACTGAAGTTTTGAATGTTATTATTTCCTAATTTTCCTGGAGTTCTTCTTAAATGTATTCATTTTGACATATCAGAAGTTTCCCACAATGGGCATTGTTATTCTAAATCAAAAATATGTTTATCATTTACCAAGTTAAGGTTACAGTGCAACTTCATATAGAAAACAGTTATTCTTGAGGAGAGTGAAATTTTGACATAGACAAATGAGAAAAGACCTAAGAAGGGATCATGCAGGTAACTGTTGACTCCAGAAGATGAACTCAACAAAAACAATCTCCAACAGTCTTGACAGAGTGTCTTTATGGAGATTTCAAAGGGGATCCAATACAGAGTTTGATCCATCACCTTTACATTAATTGGCCAACAGTCTAACAGACCTCCAACCACTAGTCTTCGAAGTTGTTTTGGAATGGATGATAGGCTTATTCAGCCTGCACCTACCTTATTCTCTCAGGAGCACCTCCTTATGTGTTCAACAGACAAGAAGGATAGGCAGGTAAATGGCAAAAAAATTTACCAAATAGTGCAACTACAAACCAAAGCCTCTAATGATTTTATATATATACTTAAGTCTCACTTTTTAAAACAAATTATGTGTCCATAAACTAAAAGGTTTAATTACTTTATATGTTATTATAGGTCTAATGACCTTAAATATATCCTAAGACACAAATCAGAATATCAAAATAAATTCAACAACCAAAGTTTACTAAAATAAGTCAGAGATTGATTGGTTACAAAAGGTAACAAAATAAACTCATCAATAAGAGCTCATGAAATAAGTTGAAGCTCAAATCTTTGTTGAGACAGACATACCTGGCAGCAACACAAAAGAAGGACAAATAAAATGGGGGCACAGGTGGTCTAATAAACATGTCTGTTAGCCCAAAGAACCCATAGAATACTACCAAGCAAGGGTCTTCAAATGATTTTTAATCTGTGAATTCCACCAAAATCATTCTCAATGAATGAGACCATCACTCAGAAGCTGAAACTAAAAGATTGAATTTATTACCTACTTAAGTAAGGGAGAGCCATGCTGGTCATACGAGACTTAAGTGAGCAAAGAGATCATTGAGACAAACCCCTTTGAGCAGATTTGCTACAGAGTTTGGGAGAAGGGGCAAGAGTGGGAAAATGTCAGCCTCAGAAGTGCCTTTTGTGCTGGTTGCAGACACTGGAGCAGATTGGCATCAGCTTAGAAGTGTGCTCACTGGAGTAAGTACATCACCAATTAACTGACTTTCAAAGCGTAAGGTTGGCACTGATTGGTTGGCTTTTGGAGATATGCTCAATGAAGCAAGTTGTTGTTGACTGATTTACAGCCGTTTCTGGTTTTTACTGCTTACCATGGCTATAAAATTGGCAGTATTTTCTTGAGAGTGTGGGGACTTTTCCTTCTCGGTCTCTGCCAGAACCACTTGATTTAGACTCACGAAGAATTAAAGGGAAACAGCATTGTCAACTCCAGGTAGATCACGCCCATCTCATCCCGTGCCTCTGTGACTAGCCACTGTCTAGCAAGAAAATGAAATAGACTTGGCTGGGCTTGCTTTCCACAGAACCATGCTGCTTGCTTTATTGCTTTCTGCGCTCTCCAGGTGACTGAGGATTGACTAATAAATCCTTTCTGCTTTTTGCTATGGTCTCAGGAACAACTGATGATAAAATAGGTATTTTTCATTTTCCTTTTTTAAAGGAAAAGTTTCTAACTTTTTTGGTCCTCTTAAACTTCAGCTGCTCTTCTTGGCTTCTTCTTAGTTGTGGTCTGTGCCTCTGCATTTGGGGCCAAATGAATGAATATATAAGTCAACAAATTCTGTTGATGTAAATATGCCCAACTTTTCAAAACTTGGACTTGCTGGATGGGAGACAGGATGTATCCAGGCAAAAATACCCAAAAATGCACAGCTATGTTATCAATACCAAGGGAGTTATAGAGATATTAAGTACTAAAAGAATTCAGAAGTGAGAGCAACACTGAGTGATTAGGCAGGCTTCACGGAGGAGATGAAACTTAATCTGGCTGTAAAATACCATTTCTATTTCAATAGGCCAAGAAAAGGAAGCATAAAACATGGATGACAAAACATTTTAAGTCAAGGTGGGGATTTATTTTATGTATTTAAAGATAATGAAGAAGAGTTCTGCTTCTAGTTACTAAGTAGAGAGTTGCAAGAGACCATTACCGTTTATCTAACAACCAAACAATGTGAATAAGCTATACATGCGTATGAACTAAACCTTCACTCTAGGAAATGAATAGCCATTCATAGAAGAGAAGAGACTTGCGGCTGCTCTCCTCTCTGGCTGAGCAACAACAGGATTAATGCTCCAAATGTGGGGTTAAAGAGGAACCAGTCAAAACTTGAATAAACATTTAAAGATTACAGTGAACTGGAATGACAGATTAGAATTCCAGGAGTCCCAGCCCCAGAGCAGGTCTTGCACCTGCCTGCCCAGTCTGTGCACAGGTCTTCACTGAGTGCTTTGTGCAGTACATTAAAAGCTGGAGGCAGAACTGGAGAGATTTTCCCTGAGGCACACAGGGAGGAACCCCTACAAGTCTCCGGGAGGTAGGGGAAGAGCAGGATAGCAATCCAAGGCGCTAAACACTCTCAGCCACAGAGAGCTCAGAAAAATCTCCCTATAGCACCCAGGAAAGTAGAGAGAAATCTCCCTAGGTACAAAATGTCTAGGGCAGGATTGTGGGGGAAAGTGAGGTATCTGGGCAACCAAAAATCTGGAAGTGGATTGTAAAAAACCAGAGAGATCCATTAGGAAAACTGGCAATTCAGCTATAATAAACAAAGAGCTCTTCTGATCTCGACCGTGGTCAGATTCTACAGAATCTGAATGCCCTACAGAAAAGAATGCCCTGTGCCTGCTCCTAAAATATTAGAAGCAAATGGTGAACTGAATCAAAGCTGCAACAATGGCCAGTCCTAGCTAAACTACAGATAGGACTGATTCACCGCCTCACTCTATCAGCCTGAAATAAGAAAGAACATGCCCATTTCTGGAAGTAAATTTTCTTTACTTCAGTCTCTATTGTTCTTTTATACAAAATATCCAGCATACATCAAAAATTATAAGGCACACAAAGAAGCAAAAGAAAAAATATGATCCATGGACAAAAAATAGTCAACAGAAGCAGACACAAAGATGGCCCAGCATTTGAAATTATCAGACATGAACTTTAAAATAACTATGATATATCGAAAAGATACCTGCACTCTTGTGTTTGTTGCAGCATGACTCACAGTAGCCAAGATTTGGAAGTAACCAAAGGATCTATCAACAGATGAATGGATAAAGAAAATGTGGTACCTATACACAATGGAGTACCATTCAGCCATAAAAAAGAGATTATGTCATTTGGAACACCATGGATGGACTGGAGGTCATTTATGTTAAGTGAAATACAGAGAGACAAACATCACATGTTCTCAATTCTGGGATCTAAAAGTCAAAACAATTGAACTCATGGAGATAGAGAATAGAAGGATGGTTACCAGAGGTTGGGAAGTGTAATGTGAGGCTGGGAGGAATAGTGATGGTTAATAGGTACAAAAATAGAAAGAATGAATGAGACTTAGTATGTTACAGCACAACAGGGGGACAATTGCCAATAATAATTTAACTGTACATTTAAAAATAACCAAAAGGGTATAATTGGATTGTTTGTAAAGTAAGGGATAAGTGCTTGAGAGGATGGATGCCCCATTTTCTATTAATTTTCCATCACATGGAAATATTATGTATTACAGGCCTGTATCAAAATATCTCATGTACCCCATAAATATATATACCTACTACGTACCCACAAAAATTAAAAATAAAATAAATAACAATAATAATAATATAGACGCTAAAAAACTGGTGGAAATATAGACATGTTAAACAGAGAATTTCAGCATATTTATGGAAATAAAGACCACGACGAGACCAGTCAGTCAAAACAGAGAAAATACACTTTCAAGGTTTTCATCTTGTGTTATTAGTTTTTTTCTCATTAACTTAGGTTAGCTTCTTTATTTTACATATGTAAAGAATCGTTTTAAAAAGCAAACTTTTCTAACAAGCCAAAGAAAATTGTGTGTGCTAGAACTAAATTATCTTGGAACATAAATTAGAAACTTTTATTAATCTCAAAGTAAAAACATTAGAAACATCTCTATATCTAAGCTACCAAACATATGCCAAACATGTAATCTCTGTACATCTTTCTTATTTATTATAACTTACCTTCATTTGTAAGGAATTGATGTCTCATTTCTTTTCACATAAAATACATCATAAATGCACCAATTCTTTAACTGACACTTTGCAGTCACATAGTCATCCTAGTTTGTCAAACCAACTCTTAAATGAGTGGCTTTATTATTATATGCAAGTTCATCCTCTACTTCATTAATGACTAATATGTAAAAAATGTTTTCCACTTTATTTTACTTTTAGATAAATTAGAGGGCAAGATGGTAAACCATTGTCCTGGTTTTTACAAAAGAAAATCATGACTTTGCAATAATTAAATTCACTGAGCATACCAAAGATTAATTAATTGGCACCATTAAGTGAAGCCTATGTTTTACTTCATTAAATTCCAAACTTACTGATGGTAATATTCCAGGCCTGTGATTCTAATGCCTTCTTTGCCTAAAGGCCTTGGGAAGTTTTATAACATGTCAGCCCCATGCTGATCAGTCAGATTTTCCTTCCAGAATTCACAAAGATGGGTTACATTTCACCGTGCACGTCATCTTTGCATGTACCATTCCTGAAAGGACCTGTTTAGTATTCACCCTAAAGCAAATATGATGAAAAGTATGAAATAAACACACACCCCAAAATGCAAAACCTTTTTAAGCGACCAAACTAATCTTAGTATTTTAGTAATTGCCATATTGAAACAATTTCCCCAAGAAGTTGACAACTGCATTCAGAAGGATGCAAAGAAAACAAAGTATCTCAAAAAATAAGCTCTTCAAATAGACAAGAATATATATTCTTGTATATTCTTGTACAAAAAAATATACAAGATCAAAATAATTTTGCCAACCATTCCCAGACTTGTGAGTGTCATAAAATGTCTTTTACTGTTGCTTTCTATTTCATCTCCCAAATCACTCCTCTCTTCTCATTTTGCCTCGTCAATGCACTCCCCCAGAATGTCAGGACAGCCATTCGCTTAGAAAGCATTCAGCTCTGGAGGGTTTCCACTGGGTGGCCACTGGCATCCTCTCTATGGTGGCAGCAAACAGGAAAGGCAAGTCTCCAAACATTTTCTTTCCCTACTGCCTGCCTTCCTGGGCTGCCACTCCACAAGAATATCCTATATCCCATGCAATGAAAGGAATTTCTCGTGGGCTTCGTGAAAACTGGAACTGACAGGAATCTCAGAAGTGCTCTAGAAATGGCTTGGGATGGCAGTGGGGGAGATGGAAGGAATGGTTTACAGAGAGGAAGGAGACAGAGACCAAGACAGAGAAAGCCAGACAGCACAAGAAAAGAAAAGTTCTGCTCATTAAAATCAGACCAAAAACATTTTTTGCCATCTAAATTATAGAGTGGTATTTTATTGGGAATGGGGAAGGGGTGTTTACATTTTTCCATTGAAACATGTTTACTTACTGTCCGTATTATTCATGAAAAACGTAATCACAACATGCTTTTAAGAGACAGCTGAACTGAGCCATCAGCTACCAAGCATCGAACAGTTCTTCCTCCCTCTTTCAACACCCAACATTCACCAACAGCATGGCATGTTTCTTTTTGTTTGTTTGCTTTGTTTAGAGAAAGAGAAGGAGAGGACCTCACACATTAACAGTCTAAAACTGGTCCTGAGTTTCATAAACCCTGAAAGACTGGCCAAAAATGTCCCTGTATGTCCAGATCTTTGTCACTGTGTCCGACCCTCCCAACTGCACACCCACTCATTTTAAGACCCATCCGTTTGCCCCAGGGCATGGTAAATAGTCTTCCTCAAGCATTCCCTCCCCTCCCCTCACTGTAGTAATCCCACAACCATCACTGAAGATCTGTGGTTCCAGACTTTCAAGAAAGGATGAGGGGCAAGGAGGGACAGGGAGAAGGAGACAGTGAATGGGTGCAGCAATAGGCTGAGCCTGAGGTTAGAGCCTGGAACAGAATCATCTACCTTCTCGCTGCTTTTGCGGTCCAGAAACTGGCTGGGGTGGCAGCCATAAAAAATGATGAGTTCATGTCCTTTGTAGGGACAAGGATGAAGCTGGAAACCATCATTCTCAGCAAGCTATCGCAAGGACAAAAAACCAAACACCGCATGTTCTCACTCATAGGTGGGAATTGAACAATGAGAACACATGGACACAGGAAGGGGAACATCACACACCGGGGCCTGTTGTGGGGTGGGGGGAGCGGGGAGGGATAGCAGTAGGAGATATACCCAATGTTAAATGACGAGTTAATGGGTGCAGCACACCAGCATGGCACATGTATACATATGCAACAAACCTGCACATTGTGCACATGTACCCTAAAACTTAAAGTATAATAAAAAAAAAAGAAAAGAAAAAGAAACTGGCTGGGGTGATAGGAACTCAGAGGCTAACAGGGGGCCTTAATGCCTGAAAACTGAGAGTGCTAGACCCTCACAGATCATCTCTCAGTCCCCCTCTAGCACTGAAATTTCAACATTCTAGGATACTGCCTTTCACATGGACTTGCTTGAAGTTTGACATTCAGGGTAGGGTTGCCAGATTTAGCAAATACAGATGCAGAATGCCCAGGTAAGTTAGTCTCAGATAAACAGTGAATAATTTTTTGGTATAAGTATATCCTATGCAATACTTGGGACATACTAATTCTAAAAATATCATTCATTGTTTATCTGAACTTTTAACTGGGTGTCCTGCATTTTATCGGGCAACTCTCTGACTTAGTAGATAATTCATAAATTGTTGTTCACACAGCAATCACTTACTCAGCACTAATTATGACCAGGGCCTGAGATTTATAAGAATCATTTGATGCTAACAGTCTTATGAGAGAAGTAAAGACAGAGGCTCCTTGGAGTGAGGTGGTAAGAGCAGGACACAAGTCCTGGCCCAGGTATCTGCATGCCATTTACATGCAATCATTTAGCAATTGTTGCAACATTGACAATGCATCAAATATCTTTGGAACGCTGTGCATGGAGCACTATTTGCCTTTAGGGAGGAGAATTGAGAATCAGAGGTGAGAGAGATAATTATTCTTCACAGCTTATTTGTCATCTCTACTGTTTGGATCTTTTTATTTTAGCAACACATGTAACCTAAGCAACTTTTTAAATTGAAATAAAACTAAATCCCAAGTAAAGATTGGTGTAATTTGCAATTTTGGTAAGTAGACTTTTATCAACATTAGTGCTTTGTCAGTAAGAGTGGCAACAACACTATTATAAACATGTTGATGATGTTTCTTTTTGTTGGGGGTAGAGTCTCTCCTCACAGCATTGTCCCCGGTTACTTACAGACCGGCACTAGTCACAATAGCAAAGACTTGGAACCAACCCAAATGTCCATCAATGATAGACTGGGTTAAGAAAATGTGGCACATATACACCATGGAATACTATGCAGCCATAAAAAAGGATGAGTTCATGTCCTTTGTAGGGACACAGATGAAGCTGGAAACCATCATTCTCAGCAAACTATCTCAAGGACAGAAAACCAAACACTGCATGTTCTCACTCATAGGTGGGAATTGAACAACGAGAACACTTGGACACAGGAAGGGGAACATCACACACTGGGGCCTGTCGTGGGGTGGGGGAGGGGGGAGGGATAGCATTAGGAGATATACCTAATGTAAATGACAAGTTAATGGGTGCAGCACACCAACATGACACATGTATACATACGTAACAAACCTGCATGTTGTGCACATGTACCCTAAAACTTAAAGTATAATAGAAAACAAAAAACAAAAAACACAGTCTTGCTATATGGGCAAACTACACATCTCAGGGGTTTGGCATACAGATTGTTTTGTCACCCAGGTACTAAGCATAGTACCTGAGAGGTAGTTTTTTATCCTCTCCCTCCTCCCACCCTCCACCCTCAAGTAATCCCCAGTGTCTGTCGTTCCCCTCTTTGTGTCCATGTGTTCTCATGGTTTAGCTCTTATTTATAAGTGAGAACGTGTGATATTTGTTTTACACGCGGTTTCCCTAAATAACAAACCTGCACATGTACCCCTGAACCTGAAATAAAAGTCAAAAATGAATACATAAACACTGTCTCACTTTTCTGTGCAAGAACCCTGCCCAATTAAGGAGAAAATTCCCCCATGCCTCAGATGCCGGGTTTTCTGTGAGCTCCACTGCCTGTGTTTCTCCCGGAGGCAGTAAGCAGCTTTTACTTGGATGAATAACTTATCCTAGGGAGCATTCTGTTCCCCAGACTGCCTGGGAGGCAAAGCAGAAAGCCTCCTCACAAGTCCTGGACCCATTGGGAAGAACCTTTGATCTGACCCTACTGACTCCATGGAGTCTCATTAGTGGTTCCAACTCTATGTCAGATGTCCTGTTCCTCCCAGTCCTAAAGGCCGAGACACAAAGACTAAGACTCAATGGATTCAGCTCTAAATTTTTAAAGATGAAAAGATATTTTCATGAAAATCCTATGGTAGCAAAGTTATTTTCTCCTAAGTGGACTTCAACCCATGGTTCCTCATTCTCTCAGATACACAAATCTGCACAAAGAGAAGAAATTATAGTTTTTTTAAAAAAAACTCTCTGCTTGGGACCTATTCTTCACAATTTTTGCAAATTCTCACTATCATTCTCAAAAACCAGATTGTCAGCACTGCAAGAGAAGGTAGGTCAAGGAAAATAAGCATTCTTTGAGGCATTCAGCTATTATGTGATTTGAAGCAGTCCATGAGAGGTGTCATGCACCGCACAAAATCAGCAGTTCCTGTCCCTGCACAAGTTCGTTCTCCAGCACCAGGAAGCCTCCAGGCGCTTACAAAGGCTGGCCTCAGATGAAGCACCACAAGCAAGCTCCTTCCACTATTAACTGGTAAAAACTGAATGCAATTGATAAAAAGGTGAATAGTCAGTGACTGCAAAAGTGTCAAATGGCAAAATGACAGTGAGCTTCTCATGTATATTATTTATAGCTCAGAGTACAGAGGATGCAGGAAAGAGAAAGGAAGGTTAGCACTTTCTGTAGGAACAACTGGACAACTGAAATTGTGCAAAAAAGCAGAGAAATATGGACCAGAGTGCCCTGCATTACCATCCAGGCTCATCTTATGATGTCAGTGGCACCATTTGGGAAATAAGAGACATGGCGCCAGCCTGAAATAATCGAAGAGATCAGAATCCAGTTATAAAAAGATTATTCAAGGGAAAAACTGCGATTTGAGAGACAGACTCCAGAGAAATGGGATCAGTGTTCCAAAGTTTAAAGTTAAATTCTTGCTTATACAGGCAGAAAACAAATAAATCTGACAGGGTAACATTTTTCTATACAAGGCTAGTTTATGAATGACAACAATTTAATTACTTACAGTCTGTTTTCCTTTCTGTACAACTTGTTTTCATCTCCTCTCCAATTTATTTTTTAAAATAATCCCAACTTTTATTTGAGATTCAGTGGGTATGTGCAGGTTTGTTACCTGAGTATATTGTGTGACACTGAGGTTTAGAGTATAAACATTCCCATCACCCAGGTAGTGAGCATAATACCCAACAGTTTTTCAGCTCTTGCCCCTCTTCCTCTGTCACCCTCCAATAGTCTCCAGTGTCTGTTGTTCCCATCTTTATGTCCATGTGTACCCAATGTTTACCTCTCACTTCTAAATGAGAACATGCCATATTTGCTTTTCTATTCTTGCATTAATTTGCTTAGGATAATGGCCTCCAACTGCATCCATGTTGCTGCAAAGGACATGATTTCATTCTTGTTATTGCTGTGTAGTATTCCATGGTGTATATGTACCACATTATCTAGTCCACCACTGATGGGCATCTAGGTTGATGCCATGTCTTTGCTCTTCTGAATAGTGCTGTGATGAAGAGTATATTTAATAACCCATCTTCAGACAACGTGATAGCCATAAAGTCTTTCCATAAGAAAGGCAAAGGGAAGGTAATCTAAAATGAAGATCAATAGCAAAGAAGGAAAGGGTCTTCCCTGTCACTCTTTAGTCATTTATAACATTTTACAAAACAGTGCAGTTAGGGAAGAAGACTAATCTATAATCAGAGAAACAAAGGTTACAGCTGCCTACATTACAGTTGTCTGTCACATGACTCAGGCCCCATAATCACATTCCTTTAAGGTTCAAAATACTTCAGAGTTCCAACAGCTTAGTTTTATAATTACTTATTTTCACACTGGTTTCTTGCTTGCTCTGCTCCCACTTCCCTGGGAAGTACTGGGATTATGCAGTAGAAAGGAACAGGTCATGATATGTAAAATCATGACCCTCCTATGTTCTCCATCTTCCCCACCCTGCCGTGTGGTTTTCATAGCTGTCAGGCCTCTGAGCCCAAGCTAAGCCATCATATCCCCTGTGACCTGCACGTATACATCCAGATGGCCTGAAGCAATTGAAGATCCACAAAAGAAGTGAAAATAGCCTTAATGGGACTGCCTTTAGGGAGGAGAACTGAGAATCATCTCTAATGATGACATTCCACCATTGTGATTTGTTCCTGTCCCACCCTAAATGATACATATATTCTCCCCCCACCCTTAAGAAGGTACTTTGTAATATTCTTCCCTGCCCTTAAGAATGTACTTTCTATGCCTATCCCAAACCTATAAGAACTAATGATAATCCCACCACACTTTGCTGACTCTCTTTTCGGACTCAGCCCACCTGCACCCAGGTGAAATAAACAGCCTTGTTGCTCACACAAAGCCTGTTTGCTGGTCTCTTCACACAGACATGTGTGAAAATAGCTCTTACCATCACCCAACATGTTACCAGTTCCTTTGTCCCCTGCCTGTCTTTCCCAGCATGCTGTAAGCTCCAGAAGAGCAGAAGCTTTCTTGTATTCACAGGAAAATCTCCAACTCCTAGAACAGCATCTGACACATCATATAGGGCACCAGCAAATATGTGCCAAACTACTGGATTTATCCTTTTATTGGTTGAGCACTCAACAGGCACCTGGGGATTTTGCTGAGTGATGTGTACACAAATGATGAACTGGATAAACAGAATGTGGTCTATCCATACAATGGAATATTCCTTGGCCATAAAAAGAATGAAGTGCTGATACATGTTACCACATGGATGAGGCTTGAAAACATTATGCTAAGTGAAAGCAGTGAACATAAAAGGCCACACATTGTATGACTCCATTTCAGTGAATTGTCCAGAATAAGCAAACCCATAAAAATGGAAAGCAGGTAAGTGGTTGCCAGGGGCTGGGCGATTTGGGGGTTGGGGAGAGTGAGGGGATGGGAAGTAATAGTTAAAGATGATAAAGTTTTTGGGGGGTGCTGATGAAAATGTCCTAAAATTGATTATGGTAATGGTTGCACACCTCTGTGAACACACTAAGAATCATTAAATTACATATTTTAAAATGGGTGAATTGTAAAGTATGAAAATTACATCGCAATAAAGCTATTATAAAAATAAATCTGACTTCATCATCACAGCAACATCATCATTCTGCCTTCTTTATGCCTCACTTCCCATCAAATTGCCTTTTCCAGGAAAAATAACTAATAGAAATGCTAATAACACATTTCTTCAATTATTCTCCTTTTTTCTAAAGAAATCCTCATAAAGCATCAGACAACCACAAATGGGGCCCACTGTCTCAGGGGAGTCATTTTCAACATCCTCCTTCTCTTCATCTGCAGGGCGGGAGCTGGACTAACCTCTCAAAGAGAAGGATGATATATTAGTACCTGACTATTGCAGAAGAAAATACAGAATATAAGTGCAAGTATTATCACTCTGAGGAATCAAGATTTCCCTGGTCAGGGAAAGAGTTATCATTTTTGGCAGCAGAAATTTTGATTTGATTTCCAACCCACTTGGAGACCAACCGATAAAATGTTGTTAACTGTCACATTGCCAGCTGTTTTCAAAAGAAGTAAAATAAAACCAACACATCTGTTATTTTAAAAGCAGGCAGAGTGATTCTTAAGTTTAAACCTCTGCTAGATTTTGAAATTCTCTGAGTTCTTCCATTCCCCCATAACATTTATAAATGTCTAGCTGAGTTCCAAACAATCCAGAATCATGGCTTCGCTTCATCCCCTTTTTTCTTTTTCTTAATTCCTGACCCTCAATCTACAGACATGAACCACCCTCATCTGTCCCTGAGAGGACAAGGCCCTGGCAGTGTTGCAAGCACTCTGCACTTTCAAAGAGTATTTTTGGGTCAAAAAGCAAACAGCAGCACGTTCTCCTCTGATGAAACTATAGCTTCTGGCTGTCCTCTTATAGCCCAAAGTGGTTGCACAATGGAGATACAGATATCTGCAACAAGACCATTCAGGCTTACTAACCTGCAGAAAGTCATTGTCTTTAGTACTAAGAGGAAAAAAAAACTATTTTATGTGGTTTCCCTCCATTTTTGAAGGGGAAAAAAATCGCTTATTTTTTTCTCCATAGACGTTGGGAGAGGAATCAAAAAAGTTGAAAAATTTGGGGAAAGCACCAGCTCCAAAACATTGCTCAGCACTCAGCAGTGAGTGCTCAGTGAAACAGATGGAGTCACACCTAGGCTGTGGGATAGCAGACAGTATGATCGTGTGTCTCCTCTGGTGTGAGCATCCCTGAGAGCCAACCATGGGCTCAGCTCTGTGCTGGACACGGGAGATACCATGTGCTTACCGCCGGCCCTGTTGCAGTATGTTCATGAACATGCTAAACTATGGTTTATGATATAGCATTAGAGCAGAGCTTCTCAACCTCAGCACTCCTGACACTCTGGGCCAGAGAGATCTCTGGAGCAGGGGGCTTCCTGTGTACTGTATGGGGTTCAGGAGAAGCCCTGGCCTCTGCACACTGAATACCAATAGTAGCTCCTGAGTTGTGACAACCAAAAATGTCTCTATCCCTGGGGTGGCGGGGGAAATCACACTGCATAAGAGCCATAATCGGAGTAAATGTAAAGTTCTAGAGGGGTTGAGAGTAGTTCAATTCAAGGGGTAGAAGCAACCCCCTGGGACCTTACTCACAGGCTCACAGAGCACACAGAATGAGATGCAAATAAAAGTTGCTTCTGGCCGATTCTAAGAGAAACAGCAAAGAGAAGATGAGGGTTGTACTGAAAAGCCACAGGAACAGAAAGGAATTTGAACAAGCTACTCAGGGCAACTAGGTAGGGCTGGTGAGGTCATACTGTCAACAGCATTAAGTGATGCCAAGTCTGTTGTCTGGCATGGGCTTAGCTACCCCTTGGTGAGAGTCGGGAGCCAGGAATGCAGGGATTGCTCCCGTGGGTGGGAGATTGGGTTGGGAAATGTAAAGCTCTCTTTCCTTACCAAGTTTGTTTAACATGGCGCTTCCCACCCCACCCCAACCACATCTTCATGCTACTTCAAGCTGGGAGGAGCCAAGTTCCAGATGTAGCGAATCTCTGCCTGTGTGGACAAAGAGACACATTCAGAGGTGAGCCCAGAGGGGGTAAAGTGGACTGGGGAGAACTTCGGAGGATGTTCATGTCCAGGAGCAGCCCCACGCCCTGTATGGTCGGTGTCTAGAGCCTCACAGCAACTAAGACCAACCCAGCTCTCAGAAGAAGGAATGTCAAAATGTCATGTTCAATTTTACATTCAGTGCCTGGAATCTTTTCTTCACAATTGAAATGAAATGTGCTGAAGGAGGTGAATCCATGCATTAATCTTCAGCTCACAAAGGAAATACTACATAAGAAGCAAGGTAAGTGCCTGCTCTCCTCCCAGAACGCCTCCTGGGGCGGCTGAACAAACGTTTTGCTGCACAAAGCCTAGCGTTGGATTAAAGGGGTGGTTTAATTCATTCCTAGGAACACGCAAGAGATCTACAGCTCTGATCTCCAGGATAGTGAAATGAGGTGGTGAATGATAAGGGTATAATTTAGCCAGCTCAGTGAATAAATAATCATTGCAAATGAAGCAGTAGCACCAGGTAATTAAATTAATCTGTCTCATAGACATGATTCCCTGACTCTCCACTGACAAAGTTGCCTTTCTAGATTTGACTTTTACTGTTGGGCCTTCTTTGGATGCTGAAAGAAGTTCTTAGCTTCCTATTCTCAGAGGGTTCCCCTGGAAAGGGCATGAAGAATAATAGACAAACATTCCATTCTTCACCCCGTGCTGCCAGCCCCATGAGGTCCAAAGGGTGGGATGTAGACACCATCACAGTTTCATGTTTTTATACCTTCCCTTTGACGCTTTCAATTTTCTTCTCTGCATTTCTGAGCTAAAATTGTAACAGGTTTAAAATTGGGAAAGGGATGGAGGAAAGAGGGACCAGATATGAAGGCTACTTTCATACATTAGAGCTTTAATATTAATATACAGACCATGTTCATAAAACCTCAAAACCTACCTTATGTAGAGATCAGGACAAAATTAGAATAAGGAAAAAAAAAAGTCTGTTTAAGTAATTATCTTTTTTTTCTTTTTTTTTTTTAAGACCACAGACTCAAGAAGGACATAATTGGATTTTTTTTGCCATGGCCTGGAAAGAAAGGTACACACAGTTAACCACAAAACAGGCCTCTCTGAAAAAGCCATTGCCATGGACTGCCAGACAGACAATGACAAGACACAAATACCTTCTGGTGTGTGAGCCACGGGACATGTGAGCTTCCCCGCTGATGCTCCTCTTATATCAAAGATCACTTTCACAACATGAGCGACTATCTTTTATCAAACCAATGATCACCTGCAAGCTATGGTATATTTTTGCAGCTGTGTAGAGCTATGTGGCATGAGAATGTGGGACTTATAAATTGCTGATCCAATAAATAGACATTATGGGCAACAGTGTCTTATCAGCTAGTGTGTACTAAGGTTTCAGGAACAGTTGTTCTGACCTTACTATCCAACGAGGAGTAACTGATTCACTTCTCAGAGGTATATTAACCTAATTTGGACATCACAGAATGCCTGAAAAATAATTCTTCAGTGCATTAAACAGTCCCCTGGATCTATTAAAGTAAGCTTATTCATAAAATACTATATTGCCTGTTTTTGTCATTGCCGTATGCCAGCCAGATTTTTTAATGACATTGTGAAAATAAAAGGTATTTTTAAAGGGAAGGATCAAAAATACTTCCCCAAAGAGCATTTTCAACCCTCTCCATCACCTCCTCAATTCAGCTTCTCCCTCTACCACCCTCCTAAAACTGCTCTCCAAGGTTAGCACCCTGAAACCTCCCGAACTTTAGTCCAGAACCCCCGTCTCCACCACCACTCACCCTCCTGAGCCTCTCAGCACATTTGAGAGAATCCCCCTCCCCTCCCTCGCCCTCCTCTCCTCTGCCACCTCCCAACTCCCACTTATGGACATGGTCTTCCCCTCCAGCTTTCAAGATATTGCTTCTCGCTGGCTGGATTTCCACCTCTTTGCACTCCTTCACTCCTTCATGCTATTAATTTGTTTTCCCTGCCTGCTTTCTAAAGGAAGATGCTCCCACCATGGCTTTGACCATGATCCTCCACCATCCTCTCTCTGGATTCTCTCTTCATTCACTCCCTAGTTTGCACACACAGCCTCAACTCTTTCCTAAAACCCCGATGACAGTTGTCCCCAAAGGCCCCCCAGCCCTTAAACTGGATCTGTGCAGGCCCAGCTCATCATCTTTCCTCCAGATGACACCTCCAGGCTTCCCGATCTCTGCTCGCCCATCATCCCAGGCATCCAGCCACAAAACCCAACAGCCCACTTGGGTTTGCTTTCTCCCCTGAGGCCACTTTTCCAGGACCCTTGTCACAGCTGTTCACTCCCCACTATTCCCATTGCCACGGCCCTGGTTCAGGCTATTGTGAGCCCTAGCCTGGTCTACTTTTCCTTAGCTGGTCTTCCTGCCATTCTCACTGAGCCATCCGTGAGAGGCTGCATTTAAGATGAGAAGGCCAGCCAAGCAGTTAAGCCAGGAGGGCTGCCCGTGGTATACGGGCTTACTCAGAGCTGCAAAACACCTCTCCTGCCAAGGAACAAAGCTACCCAGATTCCAAGCAGACATGATGAGCACTAGACCTACTGTATGTTAATACACTCCTCTATTAAGTTTATGTGAAACACTGGGGAAACAAACATTAAACATATTTCTTGGCAGGACACAGTGGCTCACACCTGTAGTCTCAGCACTTTGGGAGGCCAAAGTGGAAGGGTCACTTGAGGCCAAATTTCGAGACCAGCCAGGGCAACATAGTGAGACCCTGTGTGGATTTAAAATTCATCTGATTTCAGTTCTCCAAGGAAACCTCTCGATTCCAGGATCATTGACTGTAAATAAAATGAAACAAGTAAACACACACAGATTATAGATATGGTGTTAAGTCTCACATCCTGAATATTGGTCATGAAGCCAGAACTGTGCCAAGTGCTATGGGGTGTACATTAAAAATATTCCCTTCATCTATGAGAAGTCTGAGGGAAAAAAAAAAAGAAAAAATATATATATTCCCCACCACAGGACCTGTGACCTTACCTGCAGAAAGACTTCAGGACACTGTCTCTGCCCCCCAAGAACAGTAAATTCTAATGTGAGTAGAATCATGAAGACTATAACAATTCTTAAATAAAAAATGTCTGGAAGGTAAAATTATTTAAAGAAGAAAAAAAGTTTTATTTGGAAAAATTCATTCTTAGAGAAAAAAGAATCACAAGGATAAATAAAATAAATAAAAGCCTGGTTTATTTTTCTCTTCCATAATTCAGGGATCCTACCCCTGGGTTTGTGATGCTCTAGAACATTTTAAATAATATATAGGGGTGTCATCCCTAGCCACACAAAATGTAGCTTCAGTTCATTTCAAGTTTTAAAATGAGTAGATCACCTAAGAATAGGCTCAGGAGACAGAAGAACAAAACACAGCCACAAAATCAAACAAACCAATGATGTCAGCACTGAAAATACTGGAAACCTGCTATTTTTTTTATGATAAATGGCACTTCTGCAATGAGACCTGGGCTGGCAGGCAGTTTTCCTAACTCCATCAAAAGCCACCATCTAGGGAAGAAACCCTTCACCAATGGTTAGTTATGGGATCGTCAAAGGCAGGTCATATGCCATCCAAAGAAAGAGCTGAGTGCTGATCGACTGTGTTGTACTGTACTCACTGTGCTTAGAAAAGCAGGCATTCATAATCTTCCATGTCTCTCATACATTTAGAAATCCAAATATATCTGCACATTTATTTTTAGACTTACCGTTTTACACCTAAAAGCCTCTTAATTAACCTATCAGTCACAGACTTTAAACTGTTCATATGTCTGCAGTGCGTGCGCTGGTTTTCTTCCAAATGCTAACCTGCCTCCAGCCCCTGGGTTCTTGAGAAACTCTGGGAAGCCAGTCTTGAGCCAGGAAGATAAGGGTCCTGGCTCCCCAAGGCCTTCGCCTGAACGCCATTTGGCACACACTGGCTTGCAGTTTGGGTCTCAAAGCTACACAAACTACAAACCCTATTCCTCTTCCCTTAGGACCACATTCCAACTCCAAAAAGCAGATTAATTGAACACAGAATTGCAAATTGCTTTGGCTTTTCCTACTTTGAATTTGTTTCCTGTGATCTTATGTATAGAATGTGGAAACCAAGGATAATGCCCGTTACAACCATAACTGCAATACTTGGGACCAAAGAGATTCAAAGAACGTCTGTCTTAACAAAACTTTGCTTTAAAATATGCAAGCACACATGCGTGTACATGGGTGCACACATGTGGACACACACATACTTTAATGCCTTGGGTGCAGGTAGAAGAGAAACCAGGCAGTTTGCAAGTCAACCAGTTTTCATTTCCACCCACCGTGCACACATTTCCATTCAATGACAAGGGACAAGAACGGGGCTCTCTCTTTCATACCTATCTAGCTGCTTTTATCTTGGAACTTAAAAGCAACTTAATCACATTAATTAGGCTTCACAGCAGTGCTGCAATATCTTTTGAATTTTCTGAAACCAGAACAAACGGAAGTTGTACCCCAAGATCATTCTTGGGGGTCTTCCAAGCAAAGTAATTTTATCTAAAACTTAGACTAAATTAGAAAATTATTTCAAAAGGATCACAAATCCCCAAACAATGGAAAAGACATAAAAAGAAGCAGAAGAGAAGTATAGCAAAAGGGACAAAAATAAAAGTTGCCCTTAGAAGCCACATCTCCAAATTTGAGGCGTTTTTGTTTCATAATATTGCTTCCTTTTTTGGAATATACTTTAAAACAGTTATCTGAATTCCTAGGTGATAGTTTCCTTTCAGGCTAACAGCAGGAGTTCTGCTTGTGAATTCAATACACAACCAGGGCCACATCAGCCTTTATGTTTTAAGCATGAAAGTATTTTAGAAACTACTCTGACTGCATTATCAACTTAGCAATGGAGAGAAATGCTGCGAGATTCAAAGACTTCCAAAGTGAATACGAGCCCATCGTATTACCTTAAAAATCACGAAGAGTTTGTTTCATCATTTCAGTTCTTCGAGTTTTATACCCTGGTTCTCAGGCACTGGGCAATGCCCATAGCAAGAATGAATACTTGGGAAATTAATTCATAGGACATCTTTTTCTTGGTATGAAAAGTTATCTTTTCTTCTAATGACATGACACACTAACTCTTGGCTCCAAGCATGCTTTATCTGCAACATCTTTAAGACCCATTTATGCCTAGTGTTCCATTACTGGAATGCTAAGCATGTGGGAGTTATTTATATCCTACTGCTCAAGGTCATCACCAAGATCTGATTGCAAAAATTCAAAAAATTGCAACCTCTGGCATAAATGGGTTAATCAAGTGGTATGACTTTGCTGCCCAAAATGTAATTGTAAACCTGAAAGGGGATCCCCAAATGCCCTCTAGTAGCTGTTAAGAACCATCTCAGAGCCTTCACCCAGAGCCTCTGTTCTGCCTTCCCAGCAGGGTCTAGTCAGTTCATCTGCTAGTCCTTGCTTAGATCCAAGCCAGGCATTTTATCTATGTGCATCTCAAATCACACTTGCCAGGGAAATGCAAGGGGGAAAAAACCTTCCTGCTCTCACCCTCCCTTTCTGGAACTTGGCCCACTTAGAATTTTGCTTCCTGATCCTTCCAATAAGCTAAAACCCCAGAGGCATTTAACGATTAAAAGGGACCAGAGGCATTCGGTTGGAACATGTGTATCATGCATAAAATCAAACTGTTCTTTCTCATGGTCCCCATATTGCTAACATTGCCCAAGTAAAAATGCAAATTGCCACATAGTTTAATCTGTGCATGATTCTTACCTTTGTGCAATTAAAAGAGAATAAATTTTAAAGTTTTTATTCTTCCCCCTCTGCCTCCACCAAAAGAAGTAAAAACATTAAAGCCACTAAGAGACTTCAAGTGCACACTGAATTCCTCTGAGCTAGGAGATTTAGGAGATCATGAGCAACCACATTTCTTTTTCAGAGAATTCAGGCAGGATCAAATTAGGTTGTCTGGTTTTCATAGCCCCCACAGGTCACATTCTGTTTAGTATCAACAGACCCAGAACTTATTATGACAGCAAGTTCAGTCTATTTCCTAAATATTATTCCCCTAAGGTGTAAATACTGGCCAAGCAAGCTGACCATCATGTTAGCCAAGCAAGGTCAGTTGCCCACCCTACCTCCCCGACCTAGAATGTTCCTTTTAAGAAAACTTGGCCGGGTGCGGTGGCTTATGCCTGTAATCCCGGCACTTTGGGAGGCTGAGACAGGCAGGTCACCTGAGGTCAGCCATTCAAGACCAACCTGCCCAACATGGTGAAACCCCATCTCTACCGAAAATACAAAAATTAGCTGGGCTTGGTGCTGGGCGTCTGTAATCCCAGCTACCCAGCAGGCTGAGGCAGGAGAATTGCTTGAACCCAGGAGGCAGCAGTTGCAGTGAGCCAAGATCGCACCACCGCACTCCAGCCTGGGCAACACAGACTCCATCTCAAACAAACAAACAAAAAAAATTAGCTGCTGCGTGTGCCAGATGGATATGTACTAGGTGGATACCACTTGAATTGGGCATACTGACACATCTCCTGAATTTGTAGATTTTTTTTTTTAATGGAGTCTCGCTCTGTGCCCAGGCTGGAGTCAAGTGGTGTGATCTTAGCTCACTGCAACCTCCACCTCCCAGGCTCAAGCAATTGTCCTGCCTCAGCCTCCCAAGTAGCTGGGATTACAGGTGCCTGCCATCATGCCCCGCTAAATTTTTTTGTATTTTTAGTAGATACAGGGTTTCACCATGTTGACCAGGCTGGTTTCGAACTCCTGACCTCAAATGATTGGCCCGCCTGGGCCTCCCAAAGTGCTAGGATTACAGGCGTGAGCCACCTCACCTGGCCCTGAATTTGTAGATTAACCCCAATAATAAAGTAAAAATGGCCCCTAATAATTAAGTACTTACCATGTGTAGTTTATAGATATTCTCTCATTTTTTCTTCACAACAATCCTACAAGATGGGTACTCTTGTTAGCCCTATTTCAGACAAGGAGACTAAGGCTCAGAGAGGTTAAATAAGTTGCCCATGGTTACACAGCAAGTAATAAGGGCAAAACCATGATTCAAACCCAGACCTCTTCCACCCCAAGGCCCTGTACTAGGCCTCTCCTCTGCCCACCATGACCTGCCATGTGCCCACAGGGGTCCCCTGACTCTCCTCACACTTCCTTCACGGCCTCATCACTTTCTCGGCCTCTGAGTTCTGGAACGTCTGCTTAGCTTTTCCTGGAAGTAGCCTAGGCTCTTCCCAACTGTGACCCAGGCTCTGTGGCTCTGCTAGGCTATTGTGCATCCCATCCTGGCCTAGGCCCCAGAATGTTCCATGCCGTCTGCCTTGCGGGTTACAGTCCCACGCGTCCACAAAGATTCTGGAAGCTCCATCAAAACTTACGTGAAATCCCTCACAACATCCTGCAAAGAGTACGGTAGGTCTATCCCTTTGCAGGTGAGCAAAGTTTCCTTGGAGAGTGGCTTGGATGAACCCACAGTGGACTTGGCAGCAGTGAGAAATGTTCTTGTCTGACCTTAATGTTTTAATTTACAATGTAAGGATGGTCAAGTAATTTTTTTAGAAATATAAAATTCTTATATTCACAGTCCAAATTATATTATCGTGTAAACCAAATGATATATTCTGGGGCCTAGTGTAAGAGATTATTCTCAGCCTGTTAATAGAATATTGTGTTTGTCCTTAGTATTATTGCTCACCGGCACAGGCTGAAATTCTACCACTTTTATTTGAACAAGATTTGTCATGCAAAAGACACTGATTACTAGCAATATAATCTTAGTTCCATCAAAGTCAAATAGATTTCTCCATTCATCCAAGCAGGAAGTCAGCCAGATATATGGAATGAAAAACAAACTGACACTTTTAATGACAAATGGGTAGCAAAGCTTTATTGATTAAGAGAATAAAAAATGAAATACTAGGGAATAAACACTGGGTGATATCAATGAAGTTTAAAAAGAAACATACCATTAACTGATCTATGACGATAAGCTATAGTTGAGGGACGCTATAAAACAGGAAGCAGGTATCCACAGGGAACACGGTATTTAACTGAAGGTTATTCTGTTTATCATCATCTCTTTTATTAGCCCCTCAATAGCATGTAATTCAGTGGACTGCAATATCACAGGAGGATTTTTTTGCTTTTTTTCTTCTCCATTAATATTCCCTGCCAGGCTGTTGCCAGAATTACAAATAAGAATATTTATGTTAATAGCTACCACAAAGAGAAAATGCATGTGAAATAACTCTGCAACTATCCATAAAACCAGGGCAACATGCAGGGGTTTGCAGACATCAAGGGGTCAATTTTTGCCCCCAGGGGACATTTGGTGATGTTTGGAGATATTTTTGATTGTCACAACTGGGGAGTGCTATTGGCATCTAGTGGGTAAAGGCCAGGGATGATGTGAAACACCCTACAATGCACAGGAAGGGTGCACACAGCAAGAAATTACATGGGCTAAAGTCTCAACACCTTCCAGGCTGAGAAACCTGCTTTTCATAGATGAAAAAAGCATAAGCTCACATTGACAGCAGCTTTTCAATCACTGGAAACTCCAAATCATGATCATATATCACACAAAAGGGACATGTATTTTAGACCATCCCGAGGGACTTGATTTTGTAGCCTAGCAACATTTCAAGGCAGGTATGTGGTGTCAAAAGATTCTGCAGGAAGTGCCAGAGGAAAGCATCATTCCAAAAAACAGGACACAATTCCAAAACCTGGCCCAGAAATGTAAATGGCCGCAAATATTGAGCAACTCATTTGGACTAATACGTTGATTTTTAAGTATATTAATAAAATGCCTTTACCATGTAAATCAAAAATCATTTTTTTAAAACCTACATTGTGGATAGTTTCTAAACCAAACCACAACATATGTGGCAAGAATCATCTCATTTGAATTGTGTCTTGACAATCACATGCAACATCAGCTTTTATTGTAACTTGTCATGATGTATCTCCAACAGGATGTAATTTATCAGCAGGTCAAAGAGCTGGAAAATTAATATCTGTTTAGCTAAATAGATCACACCTGTTAGCAAACTTGTCCCAATAATTTGTCGTCATGGTTTATGATATACGCAGACCAAGGTCATTTATCACTTGGATTATTTACAGAAGTCACAGTCTTGTTTTCTGAATGTGTGTGTGCCTGCACATGTTTACACATTTATGTGAACTCTTTGAAATGCTTTTATATAATATGTTTAAAAAAATAAGTGAAGGGAGTGCTAAATCACCTCTGCAACTTCCTTTGAATTCTGTTTCTCTGTTGCTTTGTTCTTCCACCTAAACAGCAATTGGTGTCATTTCCACTTCAATTCATTCCTAAACTGCCTCTGGTGATAGGTTTTCTGCAAAAGCACAGGAGAGTTCCAGGGCCTGAGAAAAATTCCCACAAATAAACCTTAGCCCTTCATTAACTGCAAAAGAGCTCTCCAGTCCTCCTTTGGGGGCTGCCCTGAGCAAAAGTGTGCATAGGAGTAGTGACAAGCAAAATTTGCAGAGTCAGGTCAACCCAGGTTCAAAACCCACGTTGACCACATCCTGCCTGTGACCTCGGGCAAGTAGCATAACCTCCCTGATCCTCAGCCCCATACATGGAAAGAGGAGATAAAATTACCCACCTCCAATTTGCACATCCATGTTCATAGCATCATTATTCACAATAGCTAAAACTTGGAAGCAACCCAAATGTCCATCAACAGCTGAATGGATAAACAAAATGTGGTATACACATATGATATGGTTTGGCTGTGTCCCCACCCAAATCTCATCGTGAATTGTAGCTCCCATAATTCCCATGTGTTGTGGGAGGGACCCAGCAGGAGATAATTGAATCAGAGAGGTGGTTTCCCCATACTGTTCTCATGGTAGTGAATAAGTCTCACAAAATCTGATGGTTTTATAAGGGGAAACCCCTTTCACTTCGTTCTCATTCTCTCTTTGCTGGCTGCCACGTAAGACGTGCCTTTGCTCCATCTTTGCCTTCCACCATGATTGTGAGGCCTCCCCAGCCATGTGGAACTCTGAGTCCATTAAGCTTCTTTCTTTTATAAATTACCCAGTCTTGAGTACGTCTTTATCAGCCATGTGAAAATGGGCTAATACAACATACAATGGAATATTATTCAGCCTTAAAAAGAAAGAAAATCCTGATACATTCTACAACATGGATGATGCTTGAGGACATTATGCTAAGTGAAATAAGCCTGTCAGAAAAAGACAAATACTGCAGGAGCCCACTTATACGAAGTACCTAAAGTAGTCAAATTCATAGAAAGAGAAAGTAGGGTGGTGGTTACCAGGGATAGGGAGGGAAGGGAATGGGGAGTTTTGTTTAATGGGTCTAAGGTTTCATATTTGCAAGATGGAAAACTTTGGCAGATCTGTTGCATGACAATGTGAATATACTTAAAACATGACTGAACTATACACCTAAAAATAGTTAAAATGGTAAATTTTATGGTAAGTGGTTTTTACTACAATTTAAAAACTTTTTAACATACCTGCTAAAACTGTTGTGAGAATGAAATGAGGTTATGCTTATAAAGTACTGAGCACAGAGTTCAGCACACAGCCCTCTGTTAATGTCAAGAATCATTATGAGCTAAATAGTCTGCTAACTATTCCATCAAGTCCATTTTGAGCATGCATTTTGGGCCTAACCCTGTGCTAGGGTGAAGGACAGTACACATGAGAAAGACACATTATCCCATCAGGTCGCCCACAGGGACACCGAGGAAACAAACCTGGCCCAGGTGAAAGAGCAGGAGAACAAGGCAGAGATGCTAAGTTCCATGATCCAGACCAATGACACTGGGTATCAGAGATGAGGAAAATCAGGTAGAAATTTCAAGGATGCATTGGGAAGCTCCTGGCCCAACACCTGGCCCAGAACAAGTGCACAAGAGCATTGGCCATCGTTATTATCACTGTCATCTTCTATAAATGGGATGGGACGAGTGCCTCCTCCATCACCAGGATTAACGGTTCTTGCCACCCACCCCCATGCTTACCTCTTATTTAAGGACAAGGGCTCCTGGTCTTGGTCTTTTGCAGGAAATTTTTCTCTTCACTGTTGCCTGTTTGCCCCGAGCCGTTTTCATTATCCTTTGTTTTCTTTCTCTGTGTTGCTTGTCCTATCTCTTTCTTAGTTGTCAGCTCAGTTTGGGAGATTTTTTATTTATTATCGGCCACACAGGCAAACCTATGCCTTTCCTTGCTAAATTTTATAACTTTACAAGTGTTGGCAACAGGGGTGACCGCAAAAACTATAAACCATCTCCATGAAGTCTTTTCAATCCATTCAGATTGCTGTGGATTATGTAACATCTAAAAAAAATACACACACACATTGGCTTTTGTACTTAAACTTTACTTGTTTTTTGTTTGATTTGGCTTTTATTAACAAAAAACTTTCTCACTAAAGAAATGAAGCTGCCAGCACATAGTCCTCTAGGCATTAGGGCTCCCTCATCAAATTCAGGAAATGGCAACCATCACCCAAGTAATTTGACTTGCACTAAAAATGCTTTGTCCCATCATCAACCTTACCCACTGCCAAAGAGTGAATGCTGGGTCAGCCTGGGTCACAGCTTTGACCTGGGAATTCTGGATGTGTAAAATGTGAGAGTTTGAAACAAACATAAAGATGACCCTATTCAATCCCACACTTAATATAAGGGAAACTGAGCCTTTGAAGAGGAAGTTACCTAACAATGACTGTACCCTTTTATTACTATGTCTTTCTGCTCACTATTGACCAATCCAGCACTGCCCAGTGGTACCTGGGGGGAAAAGTCAACTTTCGTCCTTCTATAGCTTCCAAATTTCCAGAGCTTGCCCCTGAGAAACCAATCTCTTCTTCTCAGCCAGCCCTTCACTGCAACTTGAATTGATGGCTCTATAAAAATAAAATCCATTTAGGAAATGTTTGCCTTTTTCTTCTGACATAACTGGGGCATGAGATACTGGAGAGTTCCAGCTACAAAGGTTTTCTCATTCCCTAAACCCAGACTCACCAAGACCTCTACCACCTCAACTCCACCCAACACCTCAAATATCACTCTGTGCCCAAATTTCATGTAGTGTTCATTCTAGCAAGCATCATGTGATTTTTTTCTTGCAACTGACAAGAGGGTGAGTACTGTAACTGATTACAGCTCTTTGGGGTCATCATGTGCTGAACCCAGTTTATGAACCTCCCCAGGCCTTCCAACCTCCCTGCCCATCCACTTCCTCCCTTCTTGCTTCCTAGAGCCATCCTAGAAGGGCTCATGCCAGTCTCTTGGTTGCAGAGCCCCGGCTTCTGCCACCACCACCTTTGCTGGCACCAGTTAAGGTGTCCTACATGTGGCATCAACTGGCAAAGTCCACCCAGCTGCACACTGGCCAGACAGGACCCATGGCAGCCTAGTCTTCCCCAGCAGCTCCCTGGAGGGAGCAGGAAACAACCCAGATGTGCTAACAGCCTACAGCATGAACTTTGGCTGATGAAGCCAAGAGACAGGAAAGAGCAAGCTGGTGAGACTCTCACCATCCCTCCCCACTTTGGATGGAACCCCCAGTGGGATTCCTCACCTGTGGTCCAGTGACTGACCCACATGCTGTTTTCTTACCAACTCTGGTGCACTCTGTAACCCACGACCTTGTCTTTCCTTTCCTTGCTTCCTCCCACATTTGCCCTTTGGGGTCTCACCCTCAATAAAGCTTGAGTACAGAGCAGGGCAAGCTTTCTCTGTAAATGGCCAGATGCTAAATATTTCCAGCTTTGCAGGCTAGACAGTCAGTGCTGCAACTACTAAACTTTACCATTGCCCGCACCAAAGCAGCCACTGACAATTTGTAAGCAAGTGGGCATGGTTGTATTCCAATAAAACTTTATTTATGAGCATAGACATTTGAATTTCATAAAATAGTCACATGTCACACAATATGGGCATATCTCAGAAATACTGCATGCTCAGTGCTAGACAACCACAATAAAGCAAATATCACAGTAGAGTGAGCCACACAAATTTTTTGGTTTCCCCATGCAAATAAACATTATGTTTAAACTATACTGTAGTCTATTAAGTGTGCAATCACATTATGTCTAAATACATATATATGTGTGTGTGTGTGTGTGTACATACATACCTTAATTTTAAAATGCTTTATGTTAAAAACTGTTAACAATCACCTGAGCCTTCAGTGAATTATAATCTTTTTGTTGGTGGAGGATCTTGCCTCAATGTTGATGGCTGCTGACTGACCAGGGTGATGGTTGCTGAAGGTTGTGGTGACTATGGCAATTTCTTAAAATAAGACAACACTGAAGTCTGATGCAGCAATTGACTCTTCCTTTCATGAAAGATTTCTCCATAAGATGTGATGCTGATTGACAGCATTTTACCAACAGTAGAACTTCTTTGAAAATTGGAGTCAATCCTCTCAAATTTTGCCACTGCTTTATCAACTAAGTTAATTTAATATCCTAAATTCTTTGTTGTCATTTCAACAACATTCCCAGCGTCTTCACCAGGAGCAGATTCCATCTCAAGAAACCACTTTCTTTGCTCATCCATAAGGGGCAACTCCTCACCGGGTGCAGTGGTTCACACCTGTAATCCCAGCACTTTGGGAGGCCAAGGTGGGTGGATCACTTGAGATTGGGAGTTTGAGACCAGCCTGGCCAACCTGGTGAAACCCCATCTCTACTAAAAATACAAAAATTAGCCGGGCATGGTGGCCTGTAATCCCAGCTACTTGGGAGGCTGAGGCAGGAGAATTGCTTGAACCCAGGAGGCAGAGGTTGCAATGAGCCGAGATTGTGTCACTGCACTCCAGCCTGAGTGACAGAGCAAGACTCCATCTCAAAAAAAGGAGGCAACTCTTCATCCGTTTAAGTTTTTTCACGAGATTGCAGAAATTCAGCCACATCCTCAGGCTCCATTTTTAATTCTAGTTCTTTTGCTGTTTTCATCATATCTGTGGTTACTCTCCCCAGTGAAATCTTGAACCCCTCTCAAAATCATCCATGAGGATTGGAACCAACTTTTCCATACTCCTGTTAATGTTAATATTTTGACCTTCTCCCATAAATCATAAATGTTCTTAATGGTATCTAGAATGGTGAATTCTTTCCAGAGGGTTTTCAATTGACTTTGCCCAGATCCATCAGAGGAATCAATATCTATGGCAGCTATAGCCTTACAAAATGTATTTCTTAAATAATAAGATTTAAAAGTCAAAATTACTTCTTGATCCAAGGGCTGCAGAATGAATGTTATTTTAGGAGGCATGGAAAGAACATTAATCTCCTGTACACCTCCATGAGAGCTCTTAGGTGACCAGATGTATTGTCAATGAGTAGTAATATTTTGAAAAGAATAACTTTTCTGAGTAGTAGTTCTCAAAAGTGGGCTTAAAATGTTCAGTAAACCATGCTGTAAACAGATACGCTGTTATCCAGGCTTTGTTTTTGCATTTATATAGAATGGGCAGAGTCAATTTAGCACCATTCTTAAGGGCCCCAGGATTTTTAGAGTGGAAAATGAGCACTGGCTCCAATTTAAAGTCACCAGCTGCATTAACCCCTAACAAGAGAGTCATCCTATTCTTTGAAGCTTTGAAACCAAGCATTGACTTCTTTCTAGCAATGAAAATTCTAGATGACATCTTCTTCCAATAGAAGGCTGGTTCATCTACACTGAAAATCTGTTGGTCAGTGTAGCCACCTTCTCGATGATCTTAGCTAGATCGTCTAGATAACTTGCTGCAGCTTCTACACCAGCACTTGCTGCTTCACTTTGTACGTTTCTGTTATAGAGATGGTTTCTTTCTTTAACCTCATAAACCAACCTCTGCTTGCTTCCAACTTTTCTTCTGAAGTTTCTTTCTAGGTATCTTAGCCTTCTCAGAATTGAGGAGAATTAGGGCCTTGCTCTGGATTAGGCTTTGGCTTAAAGGAATGTTATGCCTGCTTTGATATTCTATCCAGACTACTAAAACTTTCCCCATATCAGCAATAGATTGTTTTGCTTTCTTATCATTTGTGTGATTTAAAGTGAGAGGTGTGGCTCTTCCTTTCACTTGAACAGAGAGAGGTTATTGCAGGGTTATTAATTGCTCTAATTTCAATATTGTTATGTCTCAAGGAATAAGAAGGCCTGAGTGGGGAACATATACAACATTGATTAAGCTCATCATCTTCTATGGACAGGGTCCATGGCACCCTAAAACAAATATAATTACAATAATAACAAAGATCACTGATCACACTGTGATAGATATAATAATACTGGAAAAGTTTGGAATATTTTAAGAACCACCAAAATGAGAAAGAGACACAAAAAGAGCACATGCTGCTAGAAAAATGGCACTGATGGACTTGCTCAATGCAGAGCTACCACAAACCTTCTATTCGTAAAAGACACAATATCTGCAAAGAGCAATAAAGTGAAGTACAATTAAATAAGATATGCCTGTATTAGTCTTCTTATAATATTTTGTCAACCATTTAAAAATGGAAAAACCACAGCCAGGAGTGGTGGCTCACGCCTGTAATCCCAACATTTGAGGAGGCCAAGGTGGGCAGATCACCTGAGGTCAGGAGTTTGAGACCAGCCTGGCCAATATGGCAAAACCCCGTCTCCACTAAAAATACAAAAAATACCTGGGCATGGTGGAGCGCACCTGTAGTCCCAGCTACTTGGGAGGCTGAGGCAGGTGAATTGTTTTAACATAATTCACAATTAAGATGGAAGTTGCAGTGAGCCAAGATCGTGCCACTGCTCTCCAGCCTGGGTGACAGAGAGAGACTCTGTCTCAAAAAAAGAAAAAAAGGAAAAACTATTATTTGTTCATGGGCAGTACAAAACAGGCAGTGGGCTAGATTTGACCCCTAGGCCATAGTTTGCCAAACCCTGATTTTTTTTTTTTTTTTTTTTTTGAGACAGAGTCTTGCTCTGTCGCCCAGGCTGGAGTGCAGTGGCGCGATCTCAACTCCCTGCAACCTCTGTCTCCTGGGTTCACACCATTCTCCTGCCTCAGCCTCCCGAGTAGCCGGGACTACAGGTGCCCGCCACTGCACCTGGCTAATTTTTTGTATTTTTAGTAGAGACAGGGTTTCACCGTGTTAGCCAGGATGGTCCCAATCTCCTGACCTCGTGATCCACCCGCCTTGGCCTCCCAAAGTGCTGAGATTACAGGTGTGAGGCACCCCAACCGGCCGCCAAACCCTGATTTAAATCACTGAGTTGTGGGATTTCTTAGCTCACAGCCTGTGCAAAAATAGGTGACACAGGCCAAAGTGTGCCAGTCCCTGCTTTAGCACCTAAACTTTGTTTACAGCCTGTTTTTTACAAATCCCAGACTAAGACACACCACAGTCATAATCCTTAGGTAAATTTTTAAAATAGTAATAAATTTTTTAAAGCTTTCTTAATAATTCTCTGCACTGAATTAGAGCCTGAGTTGCTGGCAGGTCATATCGAGAAAGCCAAATTCCTCGCCTCCTTCCTGTAGCCATCCTAATCAGTGAAGCTCAGGGATGCAGATACTGGTCCCCGCAGCTCCTGCTGTGTCAAAGCCACCTTCCATTCTCATTTATCTTTCCCTGGGTGTAATTCTTTACTCCCCTTTCAGGTCAAGAAACATAGATTAAATTCCTTTGTATCCTTCACTAGTTCTTCCTACACAATGAATATTTATTATTCAATAAACATATGTTGATTCTTTATGAGAGCAGGAGCAAGAGGACAGCTTTCATGATGGAGCTGAATTTCCTTTCTCAGAGCTGCTTAAGGAGGGAATAGGTTGCCTCGGAGAGATGTGAATTTCTCATGTATTAGGTATTCAAGAAGGTCTATAAGATCACAAGGCGAGGATGCTAAAGATTAAGAATTCACACTTCAGGTGAAGGGTAAGACTTCATTTTGGCCCCCAGAGTCAGTGACTCCCCAGATTAGACAAACGCTGAAAAGTCAGCTCTCAGAGATGCAAGAGAAGGAAGGTAAGAGCATTGTTAGAATTCCTACCATATACCAGACACTGAACTGAGTGCTTCATACATTAATTATAATAACAATCAAGATGTATTGACCCTACAATATGTGCCAAGTACTGGGTAATAGTCTTTTACAATCTACTCCAAGGACACACAGCTGAAAAACAAAACAAGAACAAAACCCCGGTCCAACTGACCTCAAAGGCCATGAGTTACCCTTTTTATGCCTTTCTCCTTGAGTGGGAGGTGAGGTCACACCATGAGGTCCTTCTACATCTTGATGGGACCATATTGTCCAACCACTATAAGTGACATTAATGATTATGTACTTTTTTTACTAAATTGAGATCTATTGTGGTGTTTATGCTCTTGAAAAAGAACATTTCAAAGAATCAAACTACTCCTTAACTTTAAAAAAAAAAAAAAAAAAAAAAAAAAAAAAGTAGAGAATCGCAGTTGTTACGGAACATGGACTCACCCCGGGGAGCTGGGAATAGCTCATAACAAACTGCATCATAGCACACCACTAATTAAGAATGCTTAAATGGCAGCTAGTGCCTCAGAGGGCCGCCACAGGCTAGAACCATGCCGTTCCATTAAGCCTGGAAATAAGTACTTTGTCATTAACCTGACGTATAATTTATGTGGGTATAAATGTGTCTCCTTCCTTCTCAAAATGGGCAAGAGCCAACACAGTATCCCAGCTGTGCACCCCAGCTCCTCCACAGGGAAATACAATTCTCCTAATGATCTAACTTTTGTTTTGACCCAGAGCCCATTTTAAAATATTGCCTCTCTCCAGACCTCCTGCCAACAACAGCGAGGTGATGTGCTGCTTAGGAGAGCCTGAGAGCAGCGCTATTATTTCTGCAGACATTCAGCCTGATACATGTTAATCAGCTTCATTAACCCAATGGGCACGAACAAGGCCTTATGGTTTGCCTACCTGGAGAAGCAGCCAGGTTCAGGGACACAAAAACAGGCCAAAAGTCTACACCCGTAGATGTTTGACTTCCTGAGACCCTGGCACCCTTGCTGCATTCACAGGTTCACAGTGTCCTCACCATTTGAACATTATTTATGCTGCTGTTGTCTTGAAGCAACCTAGGATGCAAGTCCTAGGAGCGTTTCTCAGCATTCCAGGTCTGCAGCAAGACTGCACTGAAGGAGGTATAATGAGGGAGCTTCTCCCTCTGCATTAGCTCAAGCCGCTGCAGTGACCCAAGCAAAGCTGTGGCAGCCCATCCATCTTGTCACCTCTGCAGAAGCAAGCATCTGCTCCCCTCCCCAGGGCTCTGCCAGGCTCAGCTCTCATCCTGCAACTGCTTCCATTCACACCACTCTCAAGGCCTCCAGTCAAAAACTCCCTAGAGAAAGGGTTCCATCTGTCAGTTGGCCGTCTTCCAACGAGGAGTGCCCTATTGACCAGAGTTCTCCAGCCCGGTCACTTGAGAGGCCACCACTGACCTACATACTGGTTCTTTTTTCTTCTTTTGGTTCCAAACCACACTCCCATTTCCCTCCTCCCCTCCACCTCCATAGGCAACCTCTCCAAAGTGCTCAATGTGCACCTTCTTGTTTGCACTCTTTCAAAATGAATACATGATTATGTGTGCATTTTCATAAATGTACATTATGTGCATGTTGTTGATCTCATTCTGTTTCCTTAAATTCTGGTTTTTCTCTTCCAGGGTCAAGCCCTACCCCCCTTTTATGTGATAAAAGTTATGGATAATGTAATAAGTTATGGATATGCTTACCAGAAAAGTACATGAAGGGAAACAGTAAATTTTGCACACAATTTTAGGTTGTTCACATGTGCTAAAAGCCATTCGTGGACCCCTGAGGGTCAGGGAGCTGGGGTTGAATCTTTGTCAGAGATACTGGCCTTTGACCAGGGCTTGAAGGTCTAGTCTGATCAGTAGTAGCCAGGGAAATAGGGTCACAAGACAGAAAAAGGACACCCGTGCACAGAGAACTTCCTATAGCCCATCTTCTCCAGGCGGGTTGGCCATGGCAGCCACTCTGAGTCCAGTGAACTTCCTTTCAGTCTGTTCCTCCAATAAAGGAATGTAATATTATAATAACCCACGTTATTCCCATTCTGAATGCCCTTTCAGCTCATCCCCTTACTCATACCCATCACTTCCTTCAAAATTCAGAGTTCTCCCAGAGGGAATTCTTCTGTATTAATCTGTTTTCATGCTGCTAATACAGACATACCCAAGACCAGGTAATTTATAAAGAAAAAGAGGTTTAATGGACTCGCATTTCCACGTGGCTGGGGAGGCCTCACAATCATGGCAGAAGGCAAAAGGCACATCTTACATGGCGGCAGACAAGACAGAATGACAGCCAAGCAAAAGGGGAAATCCCTTATAAAACCATCAGGTCACGTGAGACTTATTCACTACCATAATAACAGTACAGGTAAAACTGCCCCCATGATTCAATTATCTCCCACTGGGTCCCTCCCACAACACATGGGAATTATGGGAGCTACAACTCAAGATGAGATTTGGGTGGGGACACAGCCAAACCATATCATCTTGTCATCTTTACAAACCATTTTAGTCACACTTGCCTGACATATAATTTTGAATTTGTTATCATGATGTTTAGAAAGAATTCCAAACAGTTTTTTTTAGTTATGGTTTACCCCTACCATCAGGTTGTAAACCCACTGAAGAAGGGAGCCGTCTGCTATACATATGAAAAGATAGAGAATGGTGTTCATCTGAATTCCAGAGTGCAGAGGGATGAGAACTGATTCTTATGAGAAAGATGAGGAGAGCTGGACCCCATTTTTCAGAAGGCTATGGTCAGTGGTTTTGTATCAAGACCTTAGTACAAAACAAACCACAACAGATCTCAGTGGCTTCAAACCATCTTTGTTATTATCTCTCATGGTTCCGTCCATTGCCTGGACTTAGCTGGGCTGATGTCACATGAGGCCTCTTAGAGAGTTGCAGTTGGATGTTGGCTGAGGGTGGAGTCTGTTGAGGGTCCAATGGGGATGATGTTCAAGATTACTTCTTCATTTGGCAAAGCTGAGGGCTACATGGGCACCTCTCTCTCTCTTCACACAGCCAGCCTGGGCTTCTTCAGAGCACTGTGGCATCAGGGTATTCAGGCTTCTTACCTGACAGCTGGTGTCTAAGTTTCCTAGGGCTGCCATAACAGATTATCACAAACTGGGTGGCTTAAAGCAAGAGAAACTAGGCCAGGCATGGTGGCTTATGCCTGTAATCCCAGAACTTTGGGAGGCCAAAGTGGGAGAATCACTTCAGCCCAGGGGTTCGAGACTAACCTGGGCAACACAGTGGGACTTGTCTCTATAAAACATTTTTAAAAAATTAGTAGTCCCAGCTACTTGGGAGGGGTGGGAGGATGATTTGAGCCCAGGAGGTTGAAGCTGCAGTGAGCCGTGATGGCACCACTGCACTCCAGCCTGGGTGACAAATTGAGACCCTAGCTCAAAAAAAAAAAAAAAAAAAAACCCACACACACGCACAGAGACATGCACAGACACAAACACACACACACACACACACACACACACACACACACACACACGCACACAAGAGAAATGTATTCTCTCACAGTTCATAAAAGCGGAAGCTGAAATCAAGGTGTCGGAGGAGTTGATTCCTCTGGTGGCTTCGACCTGAAGTGAAGCCGCTCTCCCCGTGTGACTAGTGCATCCAATCTTTTTTTTTTTTTAGCTAATATTTATTGAACTAATGGACCATACATTTGATATACAATACCTCATTTAATCACAACAGCCCTATTAGATTGCTACCAATGAAAATAAAACGAGGTGGATAGAATATTCCTGGCTTAAAAAGTTGTCCTGCAGTAAAATATTGAGAGGGGTCTACACATTGTCTGGATTTTTTAAACTATAAAGATGAAATAAGACAAGAATACAGTTAGGGTTTGAGCAAATAGAGTCAAGGGCTTGAAGAGAATGAATACACAAGTTTGAATGTGTCAGTATGTTGCTTAAACAACTACGAATGTCTGTATTCTTGTCCCTACAATCCGGGTGTAATGGAAGTCCCTCCATGTGTTAATGAAACAGCTCTAAGTAAAAAAGTGAGACATTAATTAAATGTGGAGTAAGATATTCTTCATACCCACTAGGATGGCTGAAATCAAAACGACACACATTAAGTGTTGGTGAGGCTTTGGAGAAATTGGAACCCTTACACATTACTGGTGAGATTGTAAAATGGTAGAGCCACTTTGAAAAACGGTCTGGCAATTCTTCAAAAGATTTAACATATAGTTAGCATATGACCAGAAATTCTACTCCTAGGTATCTACCCAAGAGAAATGAAAACACTTGTATATGAAGGTTCGTAACAATATTGTTCATAATGGCCAAAAGGTGGAAATAACCCAAATATCCACCAACTCATTAATGGATGAAAAAAAGGTGGCATATCCATACAATGGAATATTATTCTATCATAAAAAAGAATTCAATACTGATACATGCTGCACCATGGATGAACCTTACAAACACTATACCAAGTTAAAAAGTCAGTCGCAGTGAAACCCCGTCTCTACTAAAAGTACAAAAAAAAATTACCCAGGCATGGTGGCGGGCGCCTGTAGTCCCAGCTACTCGGGAAGCTGAGGAGGGAGAATGGCGTGAACCCAGGAGGTGAAGGTTGCAGTGAGCTGAGATGGCACCACTGCACTCCAGCCTGGGTGACAGAGCGAGACTCCGTCTCCAAAAAAAAAAAAAAAAAAAAAAAAAAAAAAAAGTCACAAAGGACCATATATGATTTGATCCCATTCATATGAAATGTCCAAAATAAGGGCATTCATAAAGACAGAAGTAGATCCGTGGTGTCTAGGGACTGAGGGGAGGGAAAACAGGGAGTGATTGCTAATGGGTATAGGGCTTCTTTTTTAGGGGTGATGAAAATGTTCCGAAATTACATCATGGTGACAGTTGTACAATTCTGTGAATATACTAAAAATGATTGTACACTTTAAAAGAGTGAATTTTGTAATATGTGAATTATATCTCAATAAAGCTATTATAAAGCTGTTGTCTAAAAAGGAAGAGAAAAAAAGGAAGAAATATGTGGTTTTGAAAGAGACGCAATGAGAAAAGTTCTAGGGGCAGGGCAGATTTGGGTTTGAGGGCTGAAATTTATATAATTTGGGGGCATTCTTGAAGAAAAAAACATTAATGAAAATACACATTACAACAATGTGCATATAGTTAACAATACTGCACTGTACACTTAAACATTTAAGAGGGTATATTTTATGTGATGTGCTTTTTAAAAATATATATATATTTATTTATTTATTTTGAGATGGAATTTTGTTCTTATTGCCCAGGCTGGAGTGCAATGGTGCGATCCTGGCTCACTGCAACCTCCGCCCCCTGGGTTCATGTGATTCTCCTGCCTCTGCCTCCTGAGTAGCTGGAATTACAGGCGCCTGGCACCATACCTGGCTAATTTTTGTATTTTTAGGAGAGAAGGGGTTTCACCATGTTGGCCAGGCCGGTCTCAAACTCCTGACCTCAGCTGATCCGCACCCCCACCCCCGGCCTCCCAAAGTGCTGGGATTAAAGGTGATGTGCTTTTTTATTATAATAAAAAATGCAAATGCAAAATTAGGTACAAAACTGGATATTTCTAATGAGAAAATAAATGATAAATTATGAATTTTTTAAAGCTAAAAAACATTCAGAGCCCATTTATAAAATGACATTTTTATTAGTTAACTGCCTGCCCTACATTTATAATCTTATTTTCCTTCATTGTCGGCTGCATAGACTTTGTTTGCCTTTCTTATGAGACAATGATTTTATATCATTTTCTACAAAGGGAATAGATAAATAATTCAGTCTTTCTCTAGTATAGTTGATCTAAATTGTTTTTTATTAAACAAAATTCAGAAAAAATTTTTTCAGCTTCAGAATTTGTTAATGGCTCAATATATTTGGTATGCACAAACATCTTCCTGTAAAAACATATTCATTATAGCACTGCCACACACATTTGTGCTCTACAACCAAAAATTCTGATGAAGTCTATATCACATGACTCCCATCCAAAAAAAACATTGCAATTTATTGTGGTATGTTTATAATTGTACATGTTGCATTAATGTATACTCTTGACAGGAAAGAACATCTATTTTGAGCAAGTGTCAAGAAATGATTCCACTAGTTCTAACTTTACACATCTGATGAATGGAAGTGTTTTCCATAGACTAGCATCTGGCTCTCTCTATGTCAAATCTTACTTCTTCTCCAGGGCCACATAATCTCTGTTGTCACACCTGCAGGCCTGACTCAGGGAGACTCACAGAGTGGTTGGCGGGAGTGTCCTAGAAGCTTCTCCTGTGCCAAGGTGACTAGAAATATCTATACACAGAAAGAACCACAAATCGCAGAAAGAACCACAATCCACAGCAATACCTCCCACTAATTATCCCCATTCAACTCCCTTTATCTGGATTCCAAAATGCACTCAACCTCCAGCAGCACCTCACACAAGGAGAAGTGTATGGCAACGCAGAAGCTGGAGTGGAAAGAAGCAGAAGTCATAACCACTCACAGCCCAAATCCTACCCTTGTAAATTTTACAAAAAATATGAGCACGTCGCTGGAGTCTTGGGAGCGATTGAAGCTTCATTCATTTCACAGTGACTCTGCCTTTTTCTGAAAAGCAGTTTGGGAGGTGATATGGTCTGGCTCTGTGTCCCAACGCAAATCTCACATGGAATTATAATCCCCACCATGTCAGGGAAGGGACCTGGTGGGAGGTGATTGGATCATGGGGGTGGATTTCCCCCATGCTGTTCTCGTGATCGTGACTTCTCACGAGATCTAATGGTTTAAAAGTGTGGCACTTGCCCCCTTTCTCTCTCTCTCCTTCTCTGCCATGGGAAGATGGTGCTTGCTTCCCTTCACCTTCCACCATGATTGTAAGTTTCCTGAGGCCTCCCAGTCATGCTTCCTGTTAAGCCTGTGGAACTGTGAGTCAATTAAACCTCTTTTCTTCATAAATTACCCAGTCTCAGGTAGTTCTTCATAGCAGTGTGAGAACAGACTAATACAGGAGGTGTTTGTGCAACAAAGAATAAGCTCATGAAAGGGAGAATTTGCACTGTCCATAAAGGGGTTAAATTGAGCCTGTGTGCTCAGAACTTGTAGGTAATACACATACTCTACCCACTTTTCCACTGAAACAATTGCTCCCAGGACCAGTAAACCAAGTATTTATGAATCAACATTGTCTCACCTGCTCTACCTATCAGCATAATTACCTGAACATAATTTGGGACTGGGAAATGGTAGATCTCCTTCTTAGGGCTTCCCCTTGTGACTTAGTCTGGGACTGCGAGCTGCTATTTGGGCTATTCTTCCAGCCCTTTGCGATTGCCCAGAATGGGTGGTGGGAGCAGAAATGGGAATCAATGGTAGGTGCCCATTTTACAGATGGGGGACTAATTCTTGGGCCCACAGAATCAAATGGTAGCCACAACCTTGTATTGGTGGGTGAGTTTCTCTACCCACCTTTGAATCATTACCTTGCCAAATCTGTCCCAACAAGCCTGTACCTTTTCCTTCCTAACCCTCCTGTGCCTGTCCTACACTGCTGCTGGTAACGATGATAACAATGATGATGATCCTCACAACTACCTGAGAAGTAGGCATCACTGTCCATTCTTAAAATGAGAAAACAGGAGTGCTGAGCAGGTAGATGGCATGCATGTCAACAGCAACTTAGCCAGAGATGGAATTCTAACTCAAGTCTACCAATCCATGTCTCGGGTTCTTTGTACCTCACAACCCTACCTCTTACTAAGGCATCTCCACCAGACTAGATCAGCTAGTGGAAGTATCTAGGGTCCAGGATGCAATCAAAGAGAGAGGGGCCAGGTACAGTGGCTCATGCCTGTAATCCCAGCACTTTAGGAGGCCGAGGTGGGTGGATCACTTCAGGTCAGGAGTTTAAGACCAGCCTGACCAACGTGGGGAAACCCCGTCGCCACCAAAAATACAAAAATTAGCCAGGTGTGGTGGAGCGCACCTGTAATCCCAGCTACTAGGGAGGCTGAGGCAGAGAATCGCTTGAACCTGGGAGGCAGAGGCTGCAGTAAGCTGAGATCGTGCCAATGCACTCCAGTCAGGGCAACTCAATGAGACTCCATCTTAAAAAAAAAAAAAAAAAAAAAAAAAAAAAAGAAGAGAGAGGAATGGACCTCCTTGTAGTCACGAACTCAGCCTCAGAGCTGGCCATTGAATTTGCAAGGACCAGTATAAAAATGAAATGCAGAGCACTTTGTTCAAAAAAACAGGCAAAAAGTGTCATTAAAGATGCTAAAATATAAAACGTTTTCTTTTTTCCTGCAATTTCTCTTGCTTGCCCTACATGTCATGGTGTTATTATATTTGTTATTAAAAGTAAGGGCAAAAACCACAATTACTTTTGCACCAACGTCAGTAATATTTACTGTCATTCTAAGTTTAAAAAAAGAAATAAAATAGAAAATTATTAGTGTGAATTTTACCACTCTTCTGTATATTGCACAATACCAATTTTAAATGCAAATATTAGAACATTTAACAAACATGTGGAATCACCAAAATCACACAATTTGCACTTCGTACCTCACACAAACATGAGTATTTTGATCTTACCTAAGCAGCAGGAATGCTGCACACAACCAACTCCCTTCTCTTCTAAGAACACATTTACCAATCAGGTTTCTGATGTGTGAGGAGGAGGAACTGTGGCTTGCCCTCTCTTTTCCTTCCTCCTGTGTCATCATTTTCAGCATAGTGGTTGGCTAACACAGGGAAGTGACACAAGTAAGAAGGGATCTGATAGGGCGCAATAGGTATTCAGGTTTCTTAGAACACCATTGCCTTCTTTCTGCATTCAAAACAAGTTCTGATTCAAACGGACAGTGTAGCTTCTTGGCGCTGTGGGTTCCCTGCTTCCTAAGTGGTAAATGTAACACACTCATATCACACCTACCTTGTGCTTGCTTTATGTCTCACTGAGCTCCCACAGGGCGCTGCGGGAATTCTAGGTTCATGGGACATCGTGAATACACATGCAAATGGAGAACGGCAGGTGCTGCGGGCATTGTGCGTGCGTCCTTTACTCACGCAGATGCTGCACTGCCCTATCCGACGTCACCGACAAAGCCCAGATTCAAAGATAAAATTATTACAAATTTCAAGATGGTAACGGCAGAGCATCAAACCAAGTTTGAAGCCCTTCTGAGACCACAGCCCTGTGCAACTGCATGGGTCAGACACCCATGAAACCAGCCCTGCTGGACTCAGCTCTGAGGAGGAAAAGTAAAGGATGTCTTCCACATTGCTCAGAGCCATACCCCCAGGGCCTGTTTCACAGTAAACATTCACTGAATGAATGAATGAATGCATGAGAAGGTAAGGACCCTCTCTTGACCAGTCCTCTGGTCAAGAGACTTTCCAGGATGAGCCTCCGCTAGCCAGGGTAAGCAGGAAACCAACAGCTGGCACCAAGCCTGGCACATAAAACAATTTTACAAATAAAGGTGCTTTCATACATAATAACAATTAGTACTGCCTGCTGTTCTAATTACTCTGCAGCTCTTTAGCCCAGTTCAGCCCTGGGGCTATGCTGGTCATTGCTGCTCTCTCTACACACACAAACACACGTGCACACACACGGTCACACACACATTCCCAGCTGACCCAGCAAGCCCATCCCCACAAAGCTGCCTCGTTCCCCCATCCCACTGCTGCTACCTCCACTTCCTCTGAAAATGCCGTTTCGCTACTGTGACACTTACTGTTCTGCCACCAGCCTCCAGCCGGGCTTGGTCTCTGCTCCATGGCTGCTGGTTCTGCTCTGCTTCTGACCCTGAGGAAGGAGGCTCTCCCCACAAGTGGCAACTGGATGGCCAGCCCTGGAAGATTGTGAGTCCTGTAGGTCCCAAAGAGCCGCGCTTGCTTTTACATGTCCACAGGTCTCTCTGCAGAGAATTTATGACAAGCTCCCAGGGCTTAGACTGGAAAACAAGAGGTAAGAAACAATACATTAAAAAATAAAAATTTTTTTAAAAAGTTTGCTGAAGTCTTCCTTCCCCATCATAACCCTCTTTTGCCACATGTCCCAATTTTTTCCTCCTCAAAATGAGTTTTCTGCCCTCCTGGAACACTCTCCCCAGAGACAGAGGATAGCTTTTATCTTCTCTTTGAGCTCAACTTCATTCCTCGTACCTAAACTTACCAATACCAGCCAATGCTATGCTGGTGAAGATGTGGTGGAACCAACACTCTCATGCTGCCAAGAGAAGTGGAAATGAGCTCAATTGTTTTGGAAAGCAATTTGACAACAGTCATTAGAGACCCTTCTAAATTTCTCCTCTAGGAATTTCTAAGGAAATAAATGCACAAAAGCTGTGGATATACAGATGTTATTAAGAATAGCAAGGCAGCCAGGTACAGTGACTTGCACGTGTGATCCCACCTACTCAGGAGACTGAGGTGGGAGGATCTGAGGCCAGGAGTTTGAGACCAGCCTGGGCAACATAGTGAGATCCTGTCTCTAAAAAACCAACCAAACAAATAATAGCAAGGCAAAGAAAATAATCTAAATGTTCAGTATTGGCAAATAATAAAATAGATTGGCATATCTAATGAAATGCTTAAATGCCACTTAAAATGATTATAAAAATGATGTAATAATATGGGGAAAATTAAAATACTTATGATCATATAGTTATAAAAGAATAAGGTGATGTAAAATTGTGTACATGTCTTAAAACCAAATTTGTTTTGAATCCTATGCATAAAGAAAAAACACAGACTAGAAGGAAATGTACCAAAATGCTAAAAATGATTGTATTGTGTTGAGATAGGTTTATGTAAATGTTTCTTATCTAAGTTTTATAATGAAAATAAGGCTGCCTAATGATCCTGTCTGCTCCCTTTCTCAGACAACAGAATTAATGGTCCTAAATATTATCAAAGCAGCTGGTTCTTTAGAGACAGGTTCTATGGTATATACATGTAAACTGCCACTACAGTTTTCTTTTTGATGCTCTTTTAGCATACCATCTCTTTACACATAGCAATATTCAGGATAAAAAAATCGATCCGGTGAAATACTGTATTTCCACTTTGGAAACCACGCTCCACATTCTGTCTACCTTTGCTTTCATGACCAGAACCTCCATTCAGTACAAAGTCAGCGATTTCCACACCATATGCTGTGTGCTCTCCCAGAGCTGAAAATCAGAATGACAACAAGAGAAACACAAAGCCGCCACAAATTGTCAAAGGTGCATGTTATTGTAACAACAATCTGGCAGCAGCAGGCAGAGCTTATTCCTACAGTAGCAGCTGTTGGATAGGAACTGTTGAGAGAAAGAAAGGAGAAGATGACAATGCACTTAACAGTCACTAATCAGAAACTTGTACCTTGAGTATTCCTAAAGAAGGTGTTTATATTTGAGGTGGTGGTCCTGGCACATTTTAAACATCTAAACATCACTGTAAAGAGAGAATTCCATTTGGATCCAGTTCATGTTGACCTTTACTCCAGGGGCTTCCTAGCAGAATAGCTCTTGTGATTTGAAAGCAAGAGCCACATGTAGGAAGCTGACTCCGCAAGCCCTTAGTAGCATTCTGACATCAACACGTGTAAGACCAGAAACTGAGCTAAACCTTGGCTGTTGAGCACAGTAAGAAAAACCGTGGCTTTGGCATTAGAAAGACTTGGGTTTAAATCCAGACTCAGCCACTTACTGGCTGTGTCTCCTTGGCAAGGTACTTAACCTCCTCCAGCCTCAGTTGTCTCATCAGTAAAATGGGAATAGTAATTCCTGTTTTACAGGATTCTTAGGAGGATCAGAAATGACCTATGTAAATGTGAGTTAGCATTATGACCCAGCAATTCCACTCCTGGGTATCTGCTCAAGGGGAATGAAAACACATGTCCACACATAAACTTGTACATGAATGTTTCCAGTGGTATTATTCATAATAGCAAAAAAGTAGAAACACTGAAATGTCAACTGATGAATGAATAAGCAAAATGTGGCAAACCCAAAAATGGAATATTATCCAGCGATAAAAAAAGAACGAAGTACAGATACATACTGCAACATGAATGAATCTTGAAAATATCACACCAGATAAATGAAGTCAGACACAAAAAGCCACATAATACATGATTCCATTTATATGAAATTGTCCAGAACAGGCAATTCTACAGAGACAGAAAGTAGATTGTGGTGGCTGAGAAGGATGAGGGGTAGGGAATGTAGCTAATGGATATAGGGTTTCCTTTTGAGGTAATGGAAATACACTAAAATTGACTGTGGTGATGGTTGCACATACCTGAATATACTAAAAACCATTGAATCATAATACTGTAAATGGATAAAATGTATATGTGAATTATATCTCAACAAATCTGTTATTTCAAAAAAGAAATGGTATGTGTAAAATGCCTCACGTAGTTTCAGGTGTTCAATAAATCATAGTTACTCGTACATCTGCCATTCATTTATGATTGGACCTCACTTCTCTCCCTTCTAGAAAGTACACAACTTCTTTTGGGCAGTGTGTTTCCTGCTTAAAAGGTAATACTAGAAGCAAAATTATAATCCCTAAAAAAGACTTTTGAGCTTACCATTCCTTTTTATAAATGGGAAAATTGAGGCCCAGAAGACTGATATTTCCTACTCAGAAAACTGCAAATAAGGGCCAGTTAGAAGAGAATATAGGGAAGGAAGGTGGATCAGTCAAGCAGAACATGCCCAGCAAAGCCAGACAAGAGCAACAGCAGTGAAGCTCCATAAACATGGTGCCCCACAGGTTCAAGGCTGTTCCTGGAGGAAGGCTGCAGGTGGGGAAAGGCAGGATGAATAATAGGAAGAACATTAAACAGGGTTAGCTCATAAAGCATCCTAGGAATAAGGCTTGCTGAAGTTGGGCAGAAGCTCTTTTTATTGGAGTTTTAATCCTGGAAGTAAAACTGGAATACAAGGCCAAGTTGGGAACTTTTGGCAGTCTATATAAATAACATTTTTATCTGCTTTGTTGGAGTTTTTTGTTGTTGTTTTTTGGTATGGTGGGGATTGTTTTGTGTTTTGTTTTAGTTTAGTTTTGGTTTTTTGGTTTTTGCAGAAACGTATGAATATGGCTCTTCAGACTTCCATATGTGGAGAGTTTGGGGGAAATAATCTATGGTCAAATATGAGTTTTAGAGGAGAAGAAAATACATTTTTCCTTTGCCTGTCTTAGATTCATTGGTTGGGGCTGTGTGAATTATTAGCAAGCTAAAAGGTCACATTTCCCAGCCTCTCTTGCAGCTAGCTGTGATAATGTGACCATGTTCTAAGTAATGATACATAAATGGGAGACTTCCCAGAAGGTGCCTTAAAGGGAAGTGCATGCTTTTCTTTTTCCACCCCTGTCGCCTGGAACTCAGATGTGAAGACCAGAGCTCAGGCAGCTGTCATAAACACAAGGGTGAGGGCCACACCCTATGATTGGCAGAGGGGAGACCTGAGAGAAGCCTGGGTCCCTGGCAATTTCACGGAAGTGCCATACCAATCCTGAATTTCCTACCTCCAGACTTTGTTATGTGAGAGAAAAGTAAGCTTTAGTCATGCCTTAATCTTGTTAGACTATATCCTAATTTTTTTTTTTTTTTTTTTTTTGGTTTTTAGAGTGTTACTTGTCTCGAGAAATTTTTTAATTTGCAGACAAAAATATCTGAAAGTTTACCTTCAAAGACAACTTCTGTCATGGAAATTACACTGAGTCATGGAGACAAATAAAAGGGGGGTCTTAGGGAGACAAGCTGGACCTGAAGAATAATTCTGGGAACTCCACAAAAACTCACTGCTCTGGTTTACCCTGTTCTAAGTCACAGTAAATTGAATTAATTTTTGTAAATGTCAAACATTAGTGTTACCCAACCAGCAATAGTGTGTACTAACACACTACTAATGTATGTCTCAGGAAATTTCTATTTGCACAATATGCAGCAAACATAGGACAAGAAAGCTCCTTCTACTGAACCACTGCACAAGCTAGAACTACATAAAATACAAGTCTGCTTTCAGAGATTCACGTCTGAGATGGGTCCCTTGGTCTTACAGTCAACTGGGCATAAGTGGATGGTTGAGGAATGTAGACTCTCATTGAAGATAAATGAAACCAGCTGCTGACAGGCACAGGACCATAAAGAATTAAACACAATCCTGATTTCAATTCCAGAGGCTTTCCAGTACCTGGGCTCACACAACACTGGCCAGCCCTGTTCAGTCTCAAATGCATAACCACAGCCCAGGAGGGATACAGTCCAGACAGGGAAAGCATCAATTCTCCCTGAGCTATCTTCCAGTCTCGACAGAATAATCGGCCAAGCCTTCCCCTTGTTTTGGAGACATGTAGCGCTTATTCGCTACCTTAATGAAGTCCTACTGTGACATCTCCTGAAATGTATGTAGGAGAGGAAAACACATGCCTCCCTCTACCCTTCTAGGGCCTTTGGCTAGTCTAGGAATGAAACTGACAGAAGATGGATTAACAGGAGAAAAGTCATATTAATATGTACACATGCAATGGAGTCCCACAAACATTTGAGATTCAAGGAAGTGGCCAGATGATTGAGGCTTATACAGCATCCTAAGCTACAGAAAGCGGTAGGAGGGGCAACACAAGTTGATATAGTTTGGATGTTTGTCCCCTCCAAATCTCATATTGAAATGTGATCCTGTGTTGGAGGTGGGGCCTGGTGGGAGGTGGGGTCATGAGGCGGGTCCCTCATGAATGGCTTGGTGTTCTCCCCATGGTAATGAGTGAGTTCTCACTCTATTCGTTGTTTAAAGGAGCCTGGCACCTCCTCCTCTCTCTCTCTTGCTCCTTCTGTCACCATGTGACATGTCTGCTCCCCCATGGCCTTCTGCCATGAGTGAAAGCTTCCTGAGGCCTCCCCAGAAGCTGAGCAGATGCTGGCACCATGCTTATACAGCCTGCAAAACTGTGACCCCAATAAACCTCTATTCTTTATAAATTACCCAGGCTCCAGTATTTCTTTATAGCAATGCAAAACAGACTAATACAGAGGATGAGGGAAGGAAATATATGGTGAATAGAGGTTGTTTTGTTATGCAGATGAAAGTCTTTCAGATAATAAAAGCTGTCAGAGCAGCTCTAATGACTAATGAAAATTCCCTTTAGAGAGGTCCATTGTTTTTACAAAAGAGCAACTTTTCAGATCTACTCCTGGGTCTGCAGTTTCTCAAAATAACCAGCTGAAACTAATCAATATGCTAAAAAGGGATATTTGGGTGGCATATTCTGAGCTCCTATTGTCACATTTTGGGGTGTTGTGTCCTGAGCCCCAACATGTGCTTGGAGAGCCTTGTCTTCCACTTTATGTCTAATAGTTTTTTAGCCACATTGAATGAGCCTGTTGCAGGTGCCCTGTGGGGAGGGAGGGGGTGAACATTTGCAGCAGACACCACTGACCCCACCCGGATGCCCTCGGATCCCCCTCCTGGTGCTGTGTTCCCATGCTCCAGCCCCCACTGACAGCTCATAACTACAAGCCACGCAGAGCAGAGCATTACCCTTGGGCTTCAGGGACCACCTCCCTATGTGGAGAGTGGAAATATCTGGACATCTGTATCCCTTGGGGTGGCTGGTAGCCTCTGGCTGACCAGTGTCAGGGCTAGGCTCGCTTTCCTCCAGTAGGCAAACTCTGAGGTGCAACTCACACTCCAGAGCTCCCCTCTGGCTCAGGCTGCAGCTGGTTCTTCACCAGTCAGACCCCTGCTTGGCCCCTTTCTCTCTTCCCATCTTTGCCTCTACAACTCCCTTTTCCTAGGAGTACATCCTTTATGAATCCCACTCCCTTCTGCCTTCCTCCTTCATAAATCACTCACACCTGAATCCTTGACTCAGGGCCAGCTTCTGAGGGACCCCCCTCATAAGGCAGAGTGCTTGGGAAGAAAGGCATGCCCACAGAAACAACCATAATGATCACCAAACATGATTCTGGGGTCTACTGGGGGAAGCTGTACTCTCCTGACATTTTATTAGTTGATGTTTTCTGCCACAGTTAAGAACTTGGGAAACAGAATCAGACACAGACTTAATTAAACCAGGCTCAGAGCTGTCCCAGCTTCAGTAAACATGGACACCTGGATCTCACACACACACCCGTCTCAACTCTGCACACGCAGGAGGGAGAGGGAGCTTCGCTGGAAAAAGAGGGCAAATACTCTTTTAAACTGCAGCTGCTCCAGGCTGAAATTTGAAAGGCTGCTCAGCCTCCACCCAAGACTGAGTCTGAAAATCCACCATTAGGATTAATTCCTTGGGGTTGGGGTAGAAGGGATTGTATCTCCAGACCTCTTAAGAGTTAAAAAAAAAAAAAAGAAAAGAAAAAGAAAGAAAGAAAAGAAAAACTCTAGTCATTATCAGATATTAATATCCTTTTGATAATTGACTTTAAGAGGAGGCTGATACGAAACTTCCCATGGCAATTATAGCTATAGGATGTAGAAATATGTCCAAAGAAAAATGTTCTGGCAAGTGGGCAGTCAGAGGCAGGAGAGTGAGCAGTAGAGAGAGAGGAGAGAAGCAGACAGGAATTTACAAACAGGAGCTGGGGCTCTAACTAGTGGGATTTGATGGCGAGATGTCTCACAGGAAGTTCTCCACTCCCAGACAGGGGGCCCCGGGCTTCCTGCCTCAGAAGTGTAGCGGCAGGCATCCTGGGAAGGTGAAGAGCTTCCCCAAGGATGACCCTTCCAAGCCAGTCCACCTCACAGCTCTCCTGGGATACAAAGCTGGCATGACCCACATCCTGTGCAAAGTCACAGAAGCTGCTGCCACACGCTACTGTGTGGTCTGAAATGGCACCCAGCAGTATTAACCACTTAGTATAATAATAACAGCCACCACGTATTGAGCAATCAGCACTCAATTAAATCCAAGCACTGTGATAGGTAAACACTTTACAAGAATCCTCTTGTTTAAACCCCATAGTAACCCCATGGGGTTGGTACCATGATTATTCCTATTTTACCAGTTAAGAGGCACATGGGTTAAATAAAAGCTAATCAGTGTTGGAGGCAGGATTCAAACCCAGGATATCTGACTCCAATCTAGCCACCGTGCTTCTCCTAATTCATCCTCCCTGTTCTGCAGATGTGGAAACTAAGGTGGAGTATAGGCAAGTGGGCTGTATCGAAAGGTGAGTGACTGAAAAGCAGGACCCAGAATCGGGGGCACCCACTCCCAGCCTAGTGGTCCACAGCAACTTCTTCACCCAAGGGACCAAGTCAGAGGCCTTCAGGGAGAACTTCAGCTCTGCAGGATGGATCCCCACCCCTTCTGGTCCAGACCCTGCCAACCCTCCAGCCTCACCTCCAGTCTCACCAGGGCATGCCCTGCCTGCTAAGCCTGCTCTCCTGTACCACCATGTCCCAAAATGCCATGCTTATACCTTCCCTCCCTTTGTGCAAGTTGTCCCCATAGAAGTGACTCCCAGGGAATGCCTTTTCCCCTACCTGTCTGATTAATTCTACTTATCCTTCAAGGTTTCTTACAGCACCTCCCCGGTATGATTCCCTGAGCTTTTCCTAATATCCAACCCACACACCCACACTCGTCCCTGCCCACCCTGCTCAGCCTTCCTCCTCACTCCCCCAGCTGCACACACACGTCCTCCACATGAAAGCATCTTTACCCCAGTGCACATCTGCCTCTACCTCCCTCTGCAAGCTTCAAGAGAGAGTCCCACGTGTTGCTCGACTATGTCTCCAGGAACATAGGGCAGGGCTGGCACTTAGACGTGCTCCACAGAGAGGGAACAAACAAGCAAACAGCCACTGAGATCACACTCAGAAATAACTGGTTATTTCTTACCACAAAAAGTAAGTACGTGAGGAAATGTAGATATTAATTAGCTTGATTTAGTCATTCTACAATGTATGCATATTTGAAAACAGCATGTGTGCAAAATAAATATGTACAAATTTTTGTCAATAAAGAAAAATTGGTTGTCAAGTGTATTTTCTACCACCCCCCAAATGTTTTTTATCTCTGTAAGTTAAAAGTTCAGCCAAAAGTTGAACAATAATTGCTTTCCATAAGAAACAAAAGAATCTCAGGGAAATGCAAATCAAAATTACAATGAGATACCACTTCACACCTGTTAGGATGGCTATCATCAAAAAAACAAAAAGTGAATGTTGGCAAGAAGGTCAAGAAATGGAACCCTTCTGCACTGTTGGTGGGAACGGAAAATAGTGTAGTTGCTACGGAAAACAGTATGGAGGTTCCTCAAAAAATTAAAAATAGAACTATAATATGATCTAGCAATCCCACTTCTAGATACATTTCCAAAAGAATTGAGATCAGGATCTCAAAGAGATATCTGCCCTTTTGTGTCTATTGCATCCTTCACAATCACCAAGATATGGAAACCACCTAAGCATCCATCAACAGATGAATGGATAAAGAAAACATATTGTGTACATGCAAAGAATATTATCCAGCCTTAAAAAAGAAGAAAATCCTGCCATTTGGAACAACATGGATGAACGTGGAGGACATTATGCCAAGTGAAATAAGCCAGCCACAGAAGGATAAATACTACATAGGCGATTCCACTTATATGATGTGTCTAAAATAGTCAAACTCATAGCACAGAGAATACAAGAGATTGCTAGTGGCTGTGGGTGAGGGGAATTGGGGACTTGTTCAATGGCTATAAAGTTTTGGTTATGTTAGATGAATAAGCTCTAGAGGTCTGTTGTACAACTCAGTGTCTATAGTTAACAACACAGCATTATGCACTTCAAAGTTTAAGAGGATAGATCTTATATTAAGTGCTCCTAACACAGTAAAAAAAAGAAAAAAAACAAAAGGGAAGAGGAACACAAGGAAACCTTGAGAGGTGACGAATATGTCTATTACCTTGACTGTGGTGATGGTACCGGTATTGGCATATGTCCAAACTCATCAAACTGTGCTTTATTCACATTAAATATGTGCTTTATATATTAATTATACACAATAAATCTATGACTACAAAAAAGGGGAAAAGAATTGCCTAAAAGTGAATGATTATATATATACTCTTGCCCACAGACTGCATGGCCATTTGCTGAACACATAGCATGCAATTCCGCTCAGTTATCACGTACTAGATTCCCCATAGCTTGTCTGATCTTCTGCCTCTCAAGGGTTGGAGGGACACAGGAGATCAAGGGACAGGGTAGCCACCCATCCACCCTTACTTCTGACTCCCCTTTCTGTTACATGGTGCCAAATCCCTCCTCATGACCTCAAGAGCAAGGAGAACACAGTCTTTCCAGGGCAGCCCATTCTATCATAACAGAGCTAAGACCATTAAATCATACCCACAGGAGAAAAAAATCCTGTGTTCAACCATAATCTGCCTCCATGTAATTCTTCCCCAATACTCTTGATTCACCCCTAGGTCCACTCAGATCCAGCGTAATCCCTTTTCCAGAAAAGAGCCCTTCAGAATCCTCCCAAGTCCCATCAGAGTCCTGAGATTCAATATCTCCAGCTCTTCCAACCACTCCTCCCTGGATAGGGCTTTGCATCCCCCACGACCCTGACTACCCTTCTTGGCACCTGTCATGGTTTGTCAACAAGTCAGCAATGTCACCAGCTCTGCTGCTGTTGATGCTGCCCAGGACTCTATTACCTCTTTTGGCAGCTACAGCCCAGTCCTTCCTCACTGAGTTTATGGTCAACCAACTCCTCCCAGTCTTTTCCATTCACGTCACTGCTAAGCCATATCCCTCTCATTCTAAATGGGGCAGCTGGGCTTAGGGACTGTGATGGTTAATATTAGGTGTCAACTTGATTGGACTGAAGGATGCCTATATAGCTGATAAAGTATTGTTTCTGGGTATGTCTGTAAGGGTGTTGCCAGAGGAGATTAACACTTGAGTCAGTGGACTGGCAGAAGAAGACCCACCCTCAATCTGGGTAGGCACCATCCAATCGGCTGCCAGCATGGCTAGAACAAAGCAGGCAGAAGAAGGTCGGATAAACTGGCTTGCTGTGTCTTCTAGCTTTCATCTTTTTCCTGTGCTGGATGCTTCCTTGAACATCAGACTCCAAGTTCTTTGACCTTTGGACTCTTGGACTTACACCAGTGGTTTGCCCGAGGGCCCTCGGGCCTTCAACCACAGACTGAAGGTTGCACTATGGGCTTCCCTACTTTTGAGGCTTTAGGACTCAAACTGAGCCACTACTGGCTTCCTTGCTCCTCAGCTTGTAGATTGTCTTTCGTGGGACTTAATCTTGTGATCGTTGAGTCAATTCTCCTTAATAAACTCCCTTTCACATATACATACATCCTATTCATTCTGTCCTTCTGGAAACCCTAATACATGGACCTTAAATAGATCCAGGTAAATTTCACTTTGCTATGTCATTGTGGCAGAGACTGCCAGCTGGTGCTCTAGATCCATTTCCTCTTCTTCCCAGACACACAGCAAGAATCCACTTCCCAGCCTCCCTTGCAGGTGACTTAGCCTTAGCCAACGCAATATGAACGGAAGTCGAGGTATTTAAAAAGCAAGTGTGACTTCAGAACACCACATAGTTGCTGATAAATGTTTTTCTTTATAGAAGAACTCTAATAAATGAGGATGGAATGATAGAATTAGAATATCACCACTTTACAAACCCCTAATGAAATAATGAATGTACACTGTGATCATCAATAGTAAAAACACACACCATCTATGAACTAAACTTGTCCAAAAAAAATCACCTGTATCTCAACAAGACTCTAAATTTAAGTATTGGTTCAGAGGAACATGTTTACATAATGGAGATGCAACCAGCACAATCCAAACTGGGAGACTCTACAGAACAAGTGACCCAATAACAAATAAGTTAAAAGGACAGATGTGGGGAGGGAGGGAGATGTATAGATTAAGAGAGACTTAATCCCCCACCATCCAAAAACCACATATGTGTACCTATCAACCAATGCAATGTGAACATCCTTGTTTGAATCATGATTCAAATAAAGTGTTGAGAGGGGGAGAAAGAGAGAGAATCTGAATCAGGGCAACTTGAACATTGATAAGGTGTTCAATATTAGGAAACTACTGTCAGTATCTTAGGAGTGATAATGGTGTCATAGCCATGCTTACAAAAAATAGAGTCCTTTTCTTTCAGATATCCAAACTTACCTATAAAAATGAGATGATGGCTGGGATTGGCTTCAAAATAATCCAGTAGGGTAGGAAAGGGAGGAATAGAAATGAAACAAGGGTGGTCCTAAATAGATTGTTGCTGAATCTGAATGATATGCATTTGGAGTGAACTTTAGACCTCTGTTCTTTTACACATTTCAAATATTCCATAAAAAAAGATAAAGTTTATTTTAAAAGAAAGTAAAGGTCCCTCCTCCATGCTTCCTCTTAAGAATGCACACCTGGAGGTGGATGCAAATGAGGTGTTTGGGGATGGGAGGCCCACAGGATGGAAGAAGCCGGGTCCTCATGGGAAGTCATCAGCCAGCCATGAACAGCACCTCAGGCTGTTATGTGAAGAAGCACTACAGTTCCATTGTATAGGAGCCATTATAACACTTTGGGTCTATTTGTTTCCACTGTCTTGTCTACACATAAAATACATCAATAAATAATTTGGTCTTGGCCCACAACTTTTACTATGCACTCTTCAAAATTATGCTTTCATCCAAATTGTTTTCTCTCCTTGGCTTTGTGTGCATTTTTGCATTTGAGCTTTGACAGGAAAATGCCAAGGACAGCATATTTGAATGTTTGACAATGTCCTATGGCCACCATTAAAACCCTATACAGGGAGACCAAGTCAATTAATCAACATCCTTTGAGTAGCGATTCTGTTATGAATCTATCTAATTATATCAACCCTTGCTTATAGTACTCTGTTCTGTATAGAGATTATTATGTCCCTGTCAGATACTTTGTTAAACTCTAACTAGGTAATTGACAGTTGGGTCTAACAACTATGTTAGAAAAAAGGAAATAAGATCAGATTTAGAGCCGGGTGAAGTGGCTCACACCTGTAATCCCAGCACTTTGGGAGGCCGAGGTGGGTGGATCACCTGAGGTCAGGAGTTCAAGACTAGCCTGGCCAACATGGTGAAACCCCATGTCTACTAAAAATGCAAAAAAAAATTAGCCGGGCACAGTGGCACATGCCTGTAATTCCAGCTACTCTGGAGGCTGAGGCAGGAGAATCGCTTGAACCTGGGAGGCAGAGGTTGCATTGAGCCAAGGTCATGCCATTGCACTCCAGCCTGGGCGACAAGAGTGAAACTCCATCTCAAAAAAAAAAAAAAGATCAGATTTGATTTACTCTTACTAAACCCACATTAACTCTATTGATCACTTCCAGTTCTAAGTGGTCACAAGTAATTCCCTTAATAATTTCTTCTAGAATCTTGACTGGCTTCTGTTGTCAAGCTCACCAGTCTATAATTTAGGGGAGGGGGAAGCCATCTTTCCCTTTTCTAAAATCAAAACTATCGTTGTAGGTCTCCAAACTTCCAACACAACTCCCTTCTGTCCTCCACAATTCCTCAAATCCACCCACAATGGTTGGATTGAACCCACTTGGAGAATCCACTTGGCAAATATTTCCTTTGCCTCAAGATACTTGAAGTCATTTAGAGGAGCTCAGGCGCTCAGTGCCAATTCACTTTTTATCAGTATGTATTCTACTACTCTTGTTGAGAGTCTCTTCTCTGAAAGAAAACAGAAGCAAGAATAGAGTCATTCTACTTTCTCCGTGTCAATTACATTCATCAGATTCATCTTCCAGAACAGATACCTGTTTCCTTTGGAAAGAAACGGTGGATCCAGTCCTTCTAGCTGCCTTCTGTGCCCAACTCACCTCCAGCTTCTCAGAGATAAGAGACACGCCAATTGCACACTCTTTAGCACTAATCAGGGCTGCAGCCCCACATCCACATCTGGCCTCCAACCCCATGACCTGGATGAGCAATGTACCAACTTCACAGCAATGCATGAACTTTTAACCTTCAGTGCCAGGTCGAGGCTAGCTGGCAGCATGGGCTGCCTTTGTATTTCAATCCCCAGGCCCTACTAACCCAGCAGCATTAGATCAAAGAGAGTAGAGGAAGAATGAACAGGAGAATCCCTCACAAAGTAGAAAAGTGATTTGTCAGAATCCATTTTACATGAAATTTCTTTACTCCTTCATAAAAATCTCTTCCTTCTGGAATGATGGTGTTGTGTGCACTCCCGAGGGTTCCCTTTTAGTTCCAGCTCACTCCAGGTTAACCATGGAGCAGAGATAATCCTTGAGGCCCTCTAGACAGGAGCGCATGACTGACACAGGCTTGACCCCAAGCCATCCTTGTCATTCTCGCTCTGCCGAGCGCTAGAAAGCCTTCTGGCCATCCTTGGCATTTTTGTTTCAAGTCCCAAATCATTCTCATCCTTGGCCTTTCTAACACTATCTTTCCAGATCTATGCCATACTCAATCATGTGCCTTTCCTGTCCTCCTTTAGAGATGACCATTCATCCAAATCCTATACCAGCAAAGAGCAACCGTCTCGGGGCTGCCATTTCCTCCCTCCCTAAACTGACTTGAGGTTTCCAAGTCGGGCTACATTGCCCAAAACTTCCCCATGTGATAAATCTCTTCCCTGTGTTCTGACTATGGAATTACGTCTTTGTTTTCCTAAAACTGATGAAGTCTCCTCCTTCAGGTCTACAGTGTGCACGTTATGCCCTGCCTTTCTCTGGTATCAGTGGGATGGAGGTGGTGACCGAATAGACAAAACTAATCAGAGATTATTTTAAACTTAGCAAGAGCTGGGTGATTTTAGGAATTATATAGAAAAAATACAACATTCCATTAAGGTCAACGTCATTAGAATCACATAGGAAAGATATTTCTGTGTTTTAAGAGCCAATAAAGTACAAAATCCAATCAGGCAATCAAATTGCATGGGAGTGTATGTAGACAGGAGAATGAGAAGATGCATAACTTGAATCCAGGGACACAGGCTAGGAGACAACACCCCTCTTGAAGATGTGGAGTCTTTGATTAAGGATTCCTATAAACACAGCATTCTGTAGCCCTGGCCCGTGTCCAGTGGGGTGAAGATGAAGATGAAGATGAAGGTCTGGTCACTGTGCTGGCTCAACCAAGCCAAGAGGGCAGCTTCCAACACTGTGCAGGGTGGCAAATTAGTTTCCTTACTGAGTACACATCTTCTAATCTCAGGAATACTTAGAATTAAGTATGCAATTATTGGAACTTGCTAGACTTAAAGCAGTGAAATACACAAATTGATCTTAAAAGGTTGAAGAATAACTCTTTTTTTCTGTGTACAAAATCTACCCTGAAGACACCAAAAGACACATCTTTTTCCCAAGGTTGCCACTAACTTCACTTCACTATTTAATTTCTCCTCCGCAGGTGTGGGTCCCTGCCCTCAGGGAGGACAGACAACCTTCAGCCAGGCAAGGGAAGGACCTGTCAGACTTTCTGCTTCCAGCTGAGCCTCCCACAGGCAGCCATGTGGTTAAGCCCCGAGTTACACCCAATGTACCTGTGGGCCATTTGGGGAATTTGCATCCATTTGAACCATCTGGCCACACAGAATCCTGTCCTGAAAACACTTGGACTCCTCAAACCTTTTATCCTCACTCCATGGTCCTCAATGGCTTTTCCCACCAGCCCTGCAGATTCCCAAGAAGCGTTATATTTTATTGAGTTAACACTAGCCACAGCTTCATTCTGAACAGGGTTATTTTCTTTAAATAAGAGCTAGCTCCCCCTTAGAGCCATGGTTTCTAACATTACCGAATAAGATGCTATTGTTCACTCGTGATCGCGTGGAATGGGATCATTCAGATAATTCAATAAAAAATAAGACTGGAGGGGAGAAGCAACTTTCCTCTGCCTCTTAGGTTCTGTGGCTGGGCCTGAGAATCCAGTTGAAATAAGACAGACTAACAGAGAAAAGCACACAGATTATATATGATATTTTTACACGTACATAGGAGCCTTACAGGAGAGATGAAGACCATAAGAAGTGGTTCGGACCGAGCGTCTAAATGCCTTTTTAACAAAAGAATGATTAATTTGAAAAGATGTGTCAATACAAAGGAAAAGGGTTTCAAGCTTCTAGGGGTGGTAAGTTGTGAGAAAGTGACTAGGAAATTATATGGGAGCAACTAGTGGGAGACAAGGGCTATGTTAGCAGGTGTGTTTGTACAGGTTCATCTCATTATCAACTCCTACTCTCTGGTGATGAGAATGTTCTTCTCTTCCAGGTATACAGATGGCCCCTTTCTCGTGGGAAATTTTACAACCTGCTTTTAGGTAGAAGAGGAGGTCAGAGCACCCTCCCTATGTCTGCTATTTCTTAAATGCCTTCAACTCAAAATAATCAATTACCAAAGTGACATATTTTGAGGTTGCATGTTCTGAACCCCTTCAAGACATGGATGAAATGTACTCACTTGTGTGGAACGTCAGTCCACAAGTCATCCCTGAAATCTGACTCTCTAGGTCTGAAATCTGACTCAGCTACTTCCTAGCTGTGTAACTTTGCTCTTGGATCCTCAGTTTCCCAATCTGTATAATGTGTCCAAAAATAATACCTACATGCCACCTAAAGCTGTTATAGGAATGAAATTCTATGACCCACATAAGCACTTAGCCCATAAGAAGTGTTCTATAAATGCAATAATCACTGCAGATTCAGGGGCATTTGGAGCCTATCCACCAGCTCCCAGGAGGTACAAATCCACACTTTACTGGAACAGTCCACTTCAGTCTTAATATTAATGACTTATCTGACTTTGCCTCTTCCATTATTTCCTGCATTCAACTAAACCTAGCTTTGACCTAAAAGAAACCAAGATCTGAAGCAAGGAAATGGAACTTTGAGAGAAAACATAGCAAAGTCAACAACAAGCTCTTAGAAAATAAGTCTTCTGAACCTGTCATTTGCACTCTTTCTAAGTACCTTGTAAACTCCTGGAAAGTGAAGACTTGCAACTTTTTAATCAAAATTTAATTAGCAACTTGCACACAATAAGCACTCAGTGATTAGGAGTATAAATGAAAAAAATAGTAAGTTTCCAGTCAGTAGATACCAGGAAAACCAATTCGTCATTCATTCTTACTCATTAACGCCAACTTCTCCAAGCTCTTGCCTGAGAGACACCCAGCAATGATTTCTCAGAGCTTGGATTGTAGAGCCTCTTCTCTTAGTCACTTACTCCCAGTATCCCACTCCTCTACTGTATTTGGTTTCCATGTCCTCTGAGAGATCCTCATTGTGTGAAATAGAGAATTCCTTGTTAACAGGAATGATCTGGAAAACACTGGAATGTGAGTTCCTTCTCTGTAGGAATGTGCTAACAGTATGTATATTTTTGGTCATATATTCCCCCTCTCTGATATCAGGATGTAGCCTGTGGGCCTCATGACAGGTATTGTTCCTACAAGCCCAAATTGTAATCTTTTCCTGACAATCTCATAAAGAGTTTATATCATATAAGCTCCAGGCTTAGTCAATAATTTTTAAAGTTGCTCTCCTACCAAGAAGTCTTTTCTCCAAACATGCCTGGAGGAAGAAAATCCAAGACCCTTTACAGTTTACACCTATAAATATACTATTAGAAAAGGCTCAAGTGCCCAAATCCCAGAGACCTGTGGAGGATGTTAAAAAATTGGGTTGCCTCAATAAAGGTCTGTTGTATTTTTAAAAACTCAAGGGCATTGTGTGGTTTAATCTGACTTCTATTTATTTATTTATTTGTTTATTTATTTATTTATTTATTTATTTTTGAGATGGAGTCTTGCTCTGTCACCCAGACTAGAGTGCAATGGCGCAATCTCGTTTCATTGCAACCTCCGCCTCCCAGGTTCAAGTGATTCTCCTGCCTCAGCCTCCCAAGTAGCTGCGATTACATGTGGCACCACCACACCCAGCTAATATTGGTAGTTTTAGTAGAGACGGGGTTTCACCATGTTGGTCAGGCTGGTCTCGAACTCCTAATCTTGTGATCCGCCTGCCTTGGCCTCCCAAAGTGCTGGGATTACAGGCGTGAGCCACCACACCCGGCCTAATCTGGCTTCTTAAATAGCAAAGTTACTTTCTGATACATAGGGAATCAGCAGCAAGCTAAAAGAAGTTAAATTCACTAGCAAGTGGTGTAGCAAATTATTTCAAGAACAGTAAATAAGAACAGGGAATGTCAAGGTTCCCCCAAACATTCAGAGTTGAACATGAAATCACCACCCACCTAAAGGATGAGACAGATACTTCAATATTAACTTTGTGAGAGACTATATTCCAGGGCCAGGATGAGGAGTGCATTTGAAGTCTGTGTTTACTTGAAAAATATCTGGCCAGGCAAAGTGGCTCATGTTTGTAATCCCAGCACTTTGGGAGACTGAGGCAGGTGGATCACTTGAGGTCAGGAGTTCGAGACCAAAATGGCGAAACTCCGTCTCTACTAAAAATACAAAAATTAGCCAGGCATGGTGGCGGGTGCCTGTAATCCCAGCTACATGGGAGGCTGAGGCAGGAGAATCACTTGAACCTGGGAGGCGGAGGCTGCAGTGAGCCAAGATTGTGCCACTGCACTCCAGCCTGGGTGACAGGGTGAGACTCTGTCTCAAAAAAAAAAAAAGAAAAGAAAAAGAAAAACATCTGCTATAGAGCAAATGAGTTTAACACCTCTAAGGAGTGAAGATATCAGAAGAGGAAAGATCAGCTGCTAATTTAACAAATATATATAGAGTTCCTTATTGGGATATGCCAGGCACCAATCCCAGATGGTGGTAAATAAGAGAGATGCACTCCTTAGCTGCATGAAGCTTAAAGTCTAGTGAAAAAGTACTTGTCATTCCACCAAAAAAATCAAACCCCACACTCCTACACGATGAGCAGGATTCTTGGTTCTATACTGAAAAGGAGGAAGCTGGACAGCCTGGAACACACAGAAAGAATAGCAGAGAAAGAGATCAGGGGGCCCCAAGTGCCCTCAATGGGCATACAGTGACATGGTCTGCAAACTTGAGTTGTCTGGAAATAGCCAGTAAAGGCTCTAACAGCAGTGAAACATCCAGCTCTCACCCGTTTCTTCAATTCTGTGCTCAGCCAACAATATCCTTATTGTAACTTGGCTTTCAAGATAAGGCAGAGGCTTTTAATTACCTTCCTGATACTAATTTTCCCCTTCTTTCTGTCAAAGAAGATAAACTTCTTCTCTCCCCTCTTGTTGTTTACATGGAGGGCTGTGAATTAAACAAACAAAAGGCAGATTTAAAAGGAGATGAGGTACACATTTTTAGTTATTTACATGCATGAGAGTTCACAGAAAAGAAGTGAAACTCAAAGAAGCAGACAGAACTGGGGCTTATATGCCATTTTAACAAGGAAAAAGGGATTGGGTTTTTTAAGCAAGACAGAGGTTGTTTTTTTAACTTTTATTTTAGGTTCAGGGATACATGAAAATTTAGGTTTCAGCAGATTTGTTATATAGGTAAACTTGTGTCATGGGGGTTTGTTCTACAGATTATTTCGTCTCCCAGGTACTAAGCCTAGTACCCAGTGGCTATTCTTTTCAGATCCTCTCCTTCCTCCCATCCTCCACCCTTAGGGAGTTTCCAGTGTCTGTTGACACTCTATGTGTCCATGAGTTCTCATCATTTAGCTCCAACTTATAAGGGAGAACATGCAGTATTTGTTTTCTGTTCCTGCATTAGATTGCTAAGAATAATGGCCTTCAGCTCCATAAATGTTCCTGCAAAGGACATGATCTCATTTTTTATGAGTGTGAAAATGGTATTCCATGGCATATATTACCACATTTTCTTTATCCAGTCTATCATTGATGAGCATTTATGTTGATTCCATATCTTCACTATTGTGAATAATGCTGCAATAAACACACATGTGCAGGTATTTATGGTAGAACGATTTCTATTCCTTTGGGTATATACCCAGTAATGGGATTACTGGGTTGAATGGTAGTTCTGTTTTGAGCTCTTTGAGAAATCGCCATATTGTGGAACTGCTTTCCACAATGGTTTAACTAATTTATACTCCCACTCACGGTGTATAAGCATTCCCTTTTCTCCACAAACTTACCGGCATCTGTCATTTTTTGACTTTTTAATAATAACCATTCTGGCTGGTGTGAAATGATATCTCATTGTGGTTTTGATTTACATTTCTCTAATGATCAGTGATATTGAGCTTTTTTTTTTTCATTTATTTGTTGGCTGCATGTATGTCTTCTTTGAAAAGTGTCTGTTCATGTCCTTTGCCCACTTTTTAATGGAGTTGTTTGTTTTTTGCTTAATCTAAGATCCTTATAGATGCTGGACATTAGATCTATTTCAGACGCACCATTTGTAAATATTTTCTCCCATTCTGTAGGTTGTGTGTTTACTCTGTTGATAGTTTCTTTCACTGTGCAGAAGAAGCTCTTTAGTTTAATTAGATCCCATTTGTCAATTTTTGCTTTTGTTGCAATTGCTTTTGGCATCTTCATCATGAAATCTTTGCTATTCCTATGTCCAGAATGGTATTGCCTTGGTTGTCTTCCAGAGCTTTTATAGTTTTAAGTTTTACATTTAAGTCTTTAATCCATCTTGAGTTGATTTTTGTATATGGTGTAAGAAAGGGGTCCAATTTCAATCTTCTGCATATGGCTAGCCATTTATCCCAACATCACTTAATGAATAGGAAACACTTTCCCATTGCTTGTTTTTGTCACCTTTGTCAAAGATCAGAGGATTGTAGGTGTGCAGCTTTATTTCTGGCTCTCTATTCTGTTCCATTGGACTATGTGTCTGTTTTTGTACCAGTACCATTCCATTTTGGTTACTGGAGCCCTGCAGTATAGTTTAAGTCAGTTAATGTGATGTCACCAGCTTTGTTCTTTTTGCTTAGGATTGCCTTGGCTATTTGGGCTTGCTTTTAGTACCACATGAACTTTAAAATAGCTTTTTCGGCTCAGCATGGTGGCTCCTGCCTGTAGTCCCAGCACTTTGGGAGGCCAAGGTCAGTGGATGACTTGAGGCCAGGAGTTCAAGACTAGCCTGGTCAACGTGATGAAACCCTATATCTACTAAAAATATAAAAATTAGCTGGGCATGGTGGCACATGCCTGTAGTTCCAGCTACTTGGGAAGCTGAGGCACAAGAGTCGCTTGAACCCAGGAGGCGGAGGTTGCAGTGAGCTGAGATCACACTACTGCACTTCAGCCTGGGTGACAGAACACCAAAAAATAAGTAAATAAATAAATACATAATAAAATAGCTTTTTCTAGTCCTGTGAAGAATGTCACTAGTGGTTTGATAGAAATTGCATTGAATCTATATATTGCTTTGAGCAGTATGGCCATTTTAATGATAATGATTCTTCTTATCCATGAGCATGGAATGTTTTTCCATTTGTTTGTGTCATTTTTTTTTTCGTTGAGCAGTGTTTTGTAATTCTTATTGTAGAGATCTTTCACTTCTCTGGTTAGCTGTATTCCTAGGCATTTTGGGTTTTCTTGTGGCAAGTGTGAATGGGATTGTGTTCCTGATTTGACTCTTGGCTTGGCTATTGTTGGCGTAGAGGAATGCTAGTGATTTTTATACATTGATTTCGTATCCTGAAACTTAGTTGTTTTTTCAGCTGAAGGAGCTTTTGGGCCAGGACTAGGGGGTTTTCTAGATATAGAATCATATCATCTGCAAACAGGGATAGTTTCACTTCCTCTCTTCCTATTTGGGGTTGGGTTGTAAGGGACAATAAATTGTGGGGAAGGGACTAGGAGAGTTACAGGAAAACTAATAGCTGTTAGTTTTTATTAGTAAGGCCTGTTTATGCAAACTCATCTCAGTATCCACTCTCTGCCTTCGGTGATGAGTTACTACTCCTGGTTCAGACGAGGTACTTCTCATAGGGAAATTTATCCCCTGCTTTTAGGCAGATAAGAGGAGGACAGAGAATTCTTCCTGGATCTCTTGGTTCTCAATTGAAAGAAAATTGAAAAAAAGAAAATTGAAAAGAGATTGTAGGTCTTTTTTAAAATGGCATATTTTGTGGTGGCATATTCTTATCTCCTTCGTTTTTTAATAGAACATCTAGCTGAATATATGGCCACCTAGAATAAAGACTATATTTCCCACATACCCTTGCAGCCAGGCTTATCCATGTGACTTAGTTCTAGCCAATAGGATATGAGAAGTGTTATGGGCAACCTCTGTGTCAAGCTCCTTCCTAGAAGAAATGCATCAGCCTTTTTCTCCTTCTGCCTTCTCACTGGCTGGAAAGCAGACATGGTAGGGGGCATTCTTGGATCACATGGGTGAGGCCACACCCTAGGATGATGAAAACATAAATAGAAGAAAATTGGGTCCCTAAGGTCTTTCTGAGTTTGGACTTTTATATGCAAATAACCAAATTTCTGTGGCATTTGGGCTACCATGAAACTTGGATCTTGGACCTGTCTCATTCAGTTGAACTTATCCCCTGACTAATACACTGTGTAAATTTCCCCTTACAGGGAACATAGGTCAGAAGACATGCATGTTCAGCCCTCTGGTAGTCCTATTTCATATGACAAATTAATACACTAGCAGTTGTCCAGAAAGCAGGAGTCAGCCTTCTGCAGTCTGCCAGCAGGGATAGCAGCAGATTCCCAAGTCTGGCCTCCTGGAAAGGCTCTTAGAGGTCAGCCCCCAAGCCTATAACAATAAAAACAGCTCAGATGGCACAGAAGATGTTGAACCTCACCACAGCACAAACATTAGGGGTGCAGCCGGCAATCCCTCAAGTGTCTGAATAACCAGACCTGCAATCTCATCATTACCATAGACTTTCGTGGTCACCTGCCCTTTTTTTATCTTTTTTACAATCCATGGCTAACTTGGCCAGAGTTCTCACAGAAAGTGTAGAGTTATGCTAATCCATTGTTAAAAGAAAAACTATAGAAAAAATAAATTTAACAGGCTGGGTGTGGTGGCTGACATCTGCAATCCAAGTGGTGGGAGGATTGCTTGAGCCCAGGAGTTCAAGATCAGCCTAGGCAACATAGTGAGACCCTGTGACTACAAAAAAAAAATCTTAAAATTAAGCCAGGCATGGTGGTGTGCACCTGTAGTCCCAGTCACTCGGGAGGCTGAGCCCAGGAGGCCAAAGCTGCAGTGAGCCATGATTGTGCCACTGCACTGCAGCCTGAGTGACAGAGCAAGACCCTATCTCAGTCAATCAATCAATCAATTTAACAGCGTTCCTTTGAGCATTAAAGGATTCATGAACTGGGCATCACTCAAAACCAAAAGAGGTCCAAAGAGCTCTGCTCCACAGCACGACCAGCAAGCTTTTACAGGCTGACCACAGAAGCTAAGTAGAGAAATTACTTGATTGGCTACAGCTTGGCATTTGCCTTATTTGGGTATAATCCAGTGGAGAGTCCTGAGTTAGAGGTTGGTTGGTGATTTCTGATTAGTTAAGCTCAAGTTTTGTTTTACGATTTCCATTTAAATGGATTTTGGTTTGCTCTCCGGGTACAGAGACAACCTTGTGTTAATGGCCTCCTTCTTATTTTCTTTAACACCATGATGACCAAATTGTCGCAATTTGTTGGAACTTTCTTGATGTTAGCACCAAACACCTTGCATCCTGGAAATTCCTTAGTCCTAAGCAAACAGGGATGGTTGGTCACCCTGTGTGATGCATCCTGGTACATGGACAAATAGCTGCAACCACATCCTACCCCAGATTCCTATAACCCTCTGTGTGTGGTCTTTATATTTCACTCATCCCATTGTCAGAAGACATTGTGAATGTCCCCATGAGCTCCTCCCTAGCACCTGCTATAGTGCCTGGCACAACCCAGAGATAACTAAGTTCTCCTTTAGCTGGATTATATTCTAGTGGGCGTGTGAGTATTTTGCTCTCTTAAACTATTGGAAAGTCATCCTTCGTAAAAGAGAAAAATGACATTACAGAATAGGGAGGGAAAGGAGTGATATATTTAATGAAATGCATTTGAAAGTTGGGAAATGATGAGAAGTATATCTAAAGTGCTGCTCTGGAAATGGAATAAAGACAGCAGCATTCCAAACCCTCCCATTTTACAAAGCCAGAAGAATTATTTTGATTACTGACAGCTCCTGTTACAAAACTTGGGAACAAGATCATGAAGCAAGTTATGATGAGGCATGCTTCAAAAGTCAGAGACACAAAGGCTGAATTATGAGGATGGGCCATTTCTAATTAACAATGGCTCTGGACTGTCCTCTGGGTGTTGAGGCATAAATCAAGTGGTGACTGTTGTCTATGAAGTTTGTCCCTATTGCTGCCCCTGCCACACTGAGCTGCTGTGAGCTGCTGCTTTCTGTCTGTCTGTCTGTTATTTCCCCCAAGACCAGGAGTTCCTGGAGGGCAGGGATATCTGGCACAGTGCTGAGCACATGACTGGCATTCAATGATACCTGTGGATGTCACCAAAGGTTCCCTGCTCCACAGATAATAGCTTTTCTGGACAGTGCAGGGGTAAAAAGTGAGGACTCACCCAGATTGCCTCTGAGTGCTTCCGTTTCCTGATCCATAAAATAGCACCTAACCCACAAGGTTTTATGAGGACTAAAGAAGTCACATGCAGAGACTCTGGAATCCTGCCTGGCATAGAGCAGGTGCCATAAAGTAGTGCTACTTTGATTACTTCCACAATATGAGACTATCTATTCATTGTGAAACTTTGAACAGCCTGGAAGTTGATTTACTCAAATGCTAAGTGAAAAGAGTAAGTTATATAAGAGTGGGTGTGGAATGATGCCATTTATGTAAGAAAAAAATGTGTGAGCAGCTGAAGACAGCTGGACCAGGCCCCCAGAAAGGAAAGGGTGGAGAGAAGAGGAGGAAAAGGGTAAAAGCAAGAAAGGAAAGCAAACAGAACAGTCACACTTTGTTCTCCTCACTCCTGAATTGTTTAAATCTTCTGCACTATGAATGTAATCATGTCTCATTCATGGACTTAAAAAAATTAGGCAAAAAAATTACAAAAATGGATCCCCTGAAATCATACTGACCAGTGCTGCCCTACTGAAAGCTCCTGACCATTCGACCAACATCCCCAGGCTGAATGTTGCATGCTGGGCATCACCCTCACCCAGAGCCCCTCATCCTGAGCAGGACTGACACTGGGTGCTAAATAGTTCTTTGCTGTGGGGCTGTCCTGTGCATTGTAAGTCGTCCAGCAGCATCCAGGCCTCCATGCCACTACATGACAGTGGTACTCCTTGGAGTAGTCCAAGTTGTGACAACCAAAAATGTCTCCAGACATTGCCAAATGCCAAATGATTTTGCTCCGGGGGGGCAAAATCACCCTGGATGGGAACTAATGTTGACCCACTTTGAGAAAATGAACAAGTGATTGCCACCTATTTTTAGGGAGTGCCACCTATATGCCCCTCACTTCTGAGCAAAGCCCAGCATCAGCATGGCAGGAGCAGGCATTGAGAGTGCTAAGCTAGATCATCAGCTACATCTGCTGCTTCTTCCTTTCTTGGAGAGATGGGATCTCGTTATGTTGCCCAAACTGGATTCAAATTCCTGGGCTCAACAGGCACTCACCAGTACCCTGAATACACTGATCTTGTCTGCATTTCTTTTTTTTTTTTTTTTGAGACAGCATCTCACTCTGTGGTCCTGGCTGGAGTGCAATGGTACCACTCATAGCGCGCTGTAGCCTCAAACTTTTGGGCTCAAGCAACTCTCCCACCTCAGCCTTCCAAGTAGCTGGGACCACAGGCGCACACCGTCTGCTTATTCTTCACTATTGTAGACGGAACAACCTGAGGACCATTATCCACTTCCTCTTAGTAAACACTGTGTCTCCCCCAAGACTGTAAAAACCATTCCACAACATTTGATTTGCAAAACAACCCTTCCCCACACCTGCTCCTGCTGCTTCTCCCAGTCTCACAAGAAAATGTCATCTCTTTCCCTGGGGTCCCGGGCCATGATGATGACAGTTTACATTTATATTGTGTGTTCTGCCAGGAGAGGATGTGAAGAGCTAAACTACACAGGGGACTTTTGAGAAACTATTGGAAACCAGAGGCACTGAAGGATCACAGCTCTGGGAGTGGCTTGGGCAGCTGAAGAGGTTAAAACAAAGGACAAAAGTTTCTATCATTTGAAAAGCTAAAGCATTCCTTCTCCCCCAACCCCAACTCTCTGCTCCCTTCCCCTTCTCTCCCCTCCTTCCCTCTGCCTTTCCTCTTCCTCAAGCCTTCAAGCTGCCCAGCAGTGTCTCCTTCCAGCAGTTAGTTCTAGAGTGTACATTAATCAATGTTGCATAGTAATAAAGTCACAAAGTGGTTCGCAGTGGCTCACAGTGCAGTCAAGGTTAATTTCCCTGACCCAAATCCCCTGTCCTGGCCCTCTTCTAAACTCTATTTATGAAGTAAAGGGGGTTTTCGGGGAGCAGACAAAATAACCAGTGAACTTTTGGGACTATCTTCAATGTAGTGGACCAAATAAATAATTAACCCAAAAGTTAAATTCCTTTTTCTGTTTGAAATCTAAGCATGTTATAAGGAAAGCCAAAAGTGGGGTCTTTGAAAAGCTGAATGAAAAGGACTAACCCCTTCAAAACAATTCAAAAAATGGGGGAAAAAAGAAAGCAGGAAAGTAAGAAAAATTAGAAATGAGACTACAAATATGAGAGCAATTAAAATAGTTAATGAAAATAACTGGTTATTGCCAATAAATTTGAATACCAAGATGAAATTGATGGCTGTTAGTAAAATGAATTGCCAAAACAGACTCAGGAAGAGATAGAACTGAACAATCACGATAGAATTCTTGGGGAAAATATGTCAAACATCTACCACTACAGTAGGAACCAGGCCCAAATACTTTTGTCCATAAATTCTATCTGTCCTTAAAAGAATAGTTAATTCCTATGCTATTCAAATCATAACAGAAAATGAAAGAAGATGAAAATTTTTTCCAAAATATTTTGAGAAGTAGACATAACTTTGATTCAAAATATAATTTTTAAGTTAAAAAAGTTTATAGTCTTGCATTATTAATAATATAGATGAAAAACCTTACTCAATATATGAACAAAATGAATTTGAAAGTATATTTTTTGTTTTTGTTTTTTTAATATATATTTTGGTTTTCCATTCCTGAGTTACTTCATTTAGAATAATGGCCTCCAGCTCCATCCAAATTGCTGCAAAAGACATTATTTTTTCCTTTTTATGGCTGAGTAGTATTCCATGGTGTGTGTGTATATATATACATATATACATGCCACATTTTTTTAGCCACTTATTGGTCAATGGGCACTTAGGTTGGTTCCATATCTTTGCAATTGTGAATTGTGCTGCAATAAATAAATACACATGTTAAGTGTGCAGGTGCTTTTTGATATAACGACTTATTTTCCTTTGGGTAGAATGTGTAGAATGGATCTAAGGGTTGATCTACTTTTAGTTCTTTAAGAAACCTCCATACTGTTTTCCATAGAAGCTGTACTAATTTACATTCCCACCAGCAGTGTATAAGCTTTCCCTTGAAAGCATATTTTTGAAGCGCAGTAAGCAAGTTGGGTTTATTACAGGGATTTCAGGATGGGTTAAAATTATTAAGTGGTTTAACATCAGGAAATCTATTAGTGCAATTCATTGTATCAGTAGGTTAAAGATGAAAAATCCATATGCTTATTTTAATAGATGTCAGAAAAGCATCATGTAAAAATTCTGAGTAAAATTATAATTTTAAAAAATTCTAAATTTGATAGGGTATTCAACATATATCAACAGCAAACAGCACATTACATAAAAGTATGATACTGAAGTTAAAACAGGAAAGGATGCCTGTTATTACCACTACTTTTCAACGTTGTTCTTGAGGTTCTGAAATTATTATTTATAGATTTTATTCCCAGGAAATCCATGCACCTCAACTAAAAACCTATTAGAACCAAAAACATTCAGTAACACAACTGTTTAAAGCTAAATATATACAGGCCAGATGCAGTGGCTCACGCCTGTAATCCCAGCACTTAGGGAGGCCGAGGTGGGTGGATCACGAGGTCAGGAGATTGAGACCATCCTGGCTAACACGGCAAAACCTTATCACTATTAAAAAAAATACAAAAAAATTAGCCGGGTGTGGTGGCAGGCTCCTGTAGTTCCAGCTACTCGGGAGGCTGAGGCAGGAGAATGGCTTGAACCCAGGAGGTGGAGCTTGCAGTGAGCCGAGATCGTGCCACCGCACTCCAGCCTGGGTGACAGAGCAAGACTCCATCTCAAAAAAAAAAAAAAAAAAAAAAAAGCTAAAGCTAAATATATTCAAATCAAAGTTTTCATTTATATCAGCAACACGAAATTATAAAACATAGTGGGATAGCAGATCTACCTCAAAATATTTTTTAAATGTTTAATGCCAAAATTAAAATTAATAAAACAGACTTATTATTTAATAACCAAGAGGATGATAGGAATAATTTACTTCGTGTTTTCTTGATTCTTTTAATACAACCCAGAATCAGTGAACTTTGTGGCCGTAAGAGGCCTGAGAAATTATTCAGTCTCGCTCCCTGTTCACTATAAAGGAAACTACCAACCCCACTGAGTTTGAACAACATCACTATGCTCATAAATCCTGTGAGAAGCTGGATAAAACCTAGAATCCAAATCCAGCCCATCCTCTTCCTCCTCCACTTTACTACTTTCATTAAAGGATTTTATTTGCTAAAAAAAAAAAAAAATGTATTTAAAATGCCCTCTGATTTAAGAAAAATAATTTGCAAATGTTGTGGAGATTAAAACAATCTGTGATTGTTTTCTTATGTACTTTAAATTGTCTTTGTGAAACAAAGGTCTACAGGGTAGAACAGATGTAATGTGCTCTTCCATCACACCAAACTGTGGGCAATTAGTGCTTTTCAATAGTCATTATGCCATTTCTAAAACAATAAAACCTAGTGACCATGATGCCTGGTAGTAGATTGCAGTGCATCTCATCTGTAAACTCCCCAAAGTGTCAGTTTAAATCTGTGCATGGTATTGCAATTATAATGAAAAATGTTCTGAATTTAAAGCTATCTACCTTCAACCATCTGGAGTTGTTCCTTTATTAAATGTGCTTCCAGCATGGGTGGAGTCTCATGATGATTCATTTTTGAAAGAAAAGAAATTCATCCCTGGTTCACAAGCCTGTTCAGACAGGCTTGCAGTCTTGCATTTAATGATAGCCTGAGAAACACAGAACAAAAGCTGCTGTATCTCTGCTGAGACAATTCGAAGACAGAGACTAGAGAGATAAAGACTATCCTGGTCTCAGACACAGTTGAGATTTAAAAGCAACTTACAAGTCAATTCAAGAAAGACAGACAAATCCAGGAAGACATGAGCTATAATACAAACATGAGATTACTATCAAGCTGTAATAAAAAAATCCAAACATTTTCTCACCATCACCTTTGTGAAAGAAAAAGAAAAAGAAAGAAAGAAAGAAAGAAAAAGGAGGGAAGGAAGGAAGGAAGGAAGGAAGGAAGGAAGTTAGCATAAAAAGAGAAAGCACTGCAGCTCCTGAAGGTTTAAATCCCAATCTTCCTGCTTAGCATATTTCTCCAAAAGAATAAAATACATATTCAGGGAAGATGTAAAAGAGGCCATAATGTAGTCCATACCATTTTCTTTAATGTAGACCATTCCATTTTCTTTTGGGAAAATGGCTTCTCCTTTTCTATATGTAACTGTTCAGAAGGTAAGGTCTTTAAGCATATGTGTTGGGCATCTGTTCACATAGCCTCCTTTTCCTCACCTTCATTGTAAGGGGATCCCACATTTTCAACTTTTTATTGGTATTATACTTTAAGTTCTGGGATACATGTGCAGAATGTGCAGTTTTGTTACATAGGTATACACGTGCCATGGTGGTTTGCTGCACCCATCAACCCGTCACCTACATTAGGTATTTCTCCTAATGCTATCCCTCCCCTAGCCCCCCACCCACCAACAAGCCCTAGTGTGTGATGTTCCCCTCCCTATGTCCATGTGTTCTTATTGTTCAACTACCACTTACGATTGAGAACATGCGGTGTTTGGTTTTCTGTTCTTGCGATAGTTTGCTGAGAATGATGGTTTCCAGCTTCATCCATGTCCCTGCAAAGGACGTGAACTCATCCTTTTTTATGGCTGCATAGTATTCCATGGTGTATATGTGCCACATTTTCCTTATCCAGTGTATTATTGATGGACATTTGGGTTGGTTCCAAGACTTTGCTATTGTGAATAGCGCCGCAATAAACACACGTGTGCATGTGTCTTTATAGTAGAATGGGGAATCCCACATTTTCAATGAGGAACTGCACTTTCTCAATTCTGAGCCATATGGCTTAGGAAACTCAAACACACACACACACACTTAGCTATATGGCTAGACCATCAGCGTGGCTTAGGAAACACAAACACACACACACACTTAGCTATATGGCTAGACCATCAGCGTGGCTTAGGAAACACAAACACACACACACACACACACACACACACACTTAGCTACATAGGTAAACCATCAGCACAGGCTGAAGTGAGACACAGCTGATGTTCTCTCCAGGCAGTCACTGCCCCTTGAGAAAACTGAGCACCTTCTCCAGGGAGGCCCTGAGTCAGAGGAGGCCTCCCTCTCCAGATGGAAGCTTTCTAAGCCAGAGCAGAGTCAAGATATCTTCCCTCCACTCATGGGCAGTTGCCGGCATCAGATCGGTTTCCACTGCCCCTACCACCTGCTGCCAATTCTGGAAGAACTGGTTTCAGGGAAAGAAGCAGATACATAGTCATGTGTCGCAAAATGATGTTTCAGTCAATGAAGGACCACATATACAAGGGTGGTCCCATAAGATTATAATGGAGGCCAGGTGTGGTGGCTCACGCCTGTAATCCCAGCACTTCGGGAGGCCGAGGCGGGCAGTTCACAAGGTCAGGAGATCAAGACCATCCTGGCTAACACGGTGAAACCCTGTCTCTACTAAAAATACAAAAAATTAGCCGGGTGTGGTGGCGGGCGCCTGTAGTCCTAGCTACTTGGGAGGCTGAGGCAGGAGAATGGCGTGAACCCGGGAGGCAGAGCTTGCAGTGAGCTGAGATTGCACCACTGTACTCCAGCCTGGGTGACAGAGCGAGACTCCATCTCAAAAAAAAAAAAAAAAAGATTATAATGGAGCTGAAGAAGTCCTATTGCTCAGTGACATCGTAGCTGCTGTCATGACACAGCATAGCACATTACTCACATGCTTGTGATGATGTTGGTGTAAACAAACCTGTGCTGACAGTTGTCTAAAAGTATAGCATATACAATTGTGTAGAGCACATAATATTTGATAATGATAAATGACAATGTTACTGGTTTATCAATTTACTATACTATTATTATTTTAGAGTGTACTTCCTTCTACTTAAACATTTTTTAAAAATAGTTAAAAGTAGCCCAGGTGCAGGCTCACGCCTGTAATTCCAGTATTTTGGGAGGCCGAGGCAGGCGGATCACGAGGTCAGGAGTTCAAGACCAGCCTCACCAACATGATGAAACCCCATCTCTACTAAAAATACAAACCCTGTCTCTACTAAAAATACAAAAAATTAGCCGGGTGTGGTGGTGCACGCATGTAATCCCAGCTACTCAGGAGGCTGAGGCAGGAGAATCGCTTGAACCTGGGAGGCAAAGTTTGCAGTGAGCCGAGATAGTGCCACTGCACTCCAGCCTGGGCGACAGAGCAAGACTCCATCTCAAAGAAAGAAAGAAAGAAAGAAAAAATAGTTAAAGGGAAAACTGCCTCAAGCAGGTCCTTCGGGAGGAATTCCAGAAGGCAGCATTATTGTCACAGGAGATGACAGCTCCATACCTGTTATTGCCCCTGAAGACCTTCCAGTGGGACAAGCTGCGGAGGTGGAAGACAGTGTTACTGATGATCCTGACCCTGTGTAGGCCTAGGCTAACATATGTATTTGTGACTTAGTTTTTAACAAAAAAGTTTAAAAAGTAAAAAATTTTAAAATATAGAAAAAACTTTATAAAACAGGGATATAAAGAAAGAAAATATTTTTGTACACCTGTACAATGTGTTTGTGTTTTAAGCTAAGTGTTATTACAAAAGAGTCAAAAGTTTTAAAAAATTAAAAAGTTTAAAAAGTAAAAAACTTGACAGTAAGCTAAGGTTAATGTGTTATTGAAGGAAGCAAAATTTTTTTTTATAAATTTAGTGTAGCCTAAGCATACAGTGTTAATAAAGTATACAGTAGTGCACAGCAATGTCCTAGGCCTTCCCATTCACTCACCACTCACTCACTGATTTGCCCATTTACGTAAGTGCCCTTGACAGGCATATCATTTTGTATCTTTTTTTGTATCTTTTTTGTATCTTTTTTTTTTTTCAGAGTCTAGCTCTGTTGCCAGGCTAGAGTGCAGTGGCACAATCTCAGCTTACTGCAACCTCCTCCTCCTAGGTTCAAGAGATTCTCCTGCCTCAGCCTCTCGAGTAGCTGGGATTACAAGCCACCAAGCCCAGCTAATTTTCTGTATATTTAGTAGAGACGGGGTTTCACCATGTTGGCCAGGATGGTCTCGGTCTCCTGACCTCATGATCCACCCACCTCGGCCTCCCAAAGTGCTGGGATTATAGGCCTGAGCCACTGTGCCCGGCCCATTTTGTATCTTTTATACCACATGTTTACTGTACTTTTTATATGTTTCCATATATTTATATACATAAATTATTACCATTGTGTTACAATTGCCTACAGTACTCAGTACAGTAACATCCTGTGTAGGTTTGCTAGGAGCAACAGGCCTTACCATATAGCCTAGGTGGATCAACCGTCTAGTTTTATGTAAATACACTCTGTGATACTCACACAAGGACAAAATCACCTAATGATGCATTTTCCGGAAGGTATCTGTATCATTAAGCTACACACGACTGAACTTCAAGAACATATTAAGCCTCTCCCCTCACAGTATAGGTCCCTGGAGTCACAAGTTGGACTGGGGGAAGAGTTTAAGCCAATTATAGATTACAGTTACAGCCTGGATAGAACTAAGTCAAAAGTAATTAAAATGTTAAAGAATTTGCTCAAGATTTTATTAAGAGACAGGAAAGAGGAAATTGACAAAGTATGGCTATAGGCAATGACTGCAAGAAATAAAAACTATTTTTTGTTTATATCCCCCTGAGTTTGACAGGTTACAGATTATTTTTAACAACAAAATCATAATAGCACAGGAAAACAAGAAAGGCCATCAAAAGGCTATAAAATGTTTTTAAATCCTGGGAAGATACCAGATGGAGTTACATTAGTATAAAAAATCAGAACTGAGAAAATGCTAGCCCAGAAGACCTGAGACAACTGAGGCTAACCCCCAAGGGCCCCAGAGAACTCCATAGCCTCTACAGAGAAACACCAGGTGCAAGGGCTGTCCAGGCGGCCATGATCAGAGAGATTTACAGAAGAACTGCATTCTGAATCAGTGACAGTGCTAATGGGGGTTTCCTGGAGCTGTTGAGGGAGGGTGGAGATTGATTTCAAAGAAGCATGAGGGACATTTTGGAGTGATGGGAGTATTCTATATCTTTATTGGGATGGTGGTTAAACGGCAGATAGACTCGACACCAAAAATCAATGCACCACTGCGCTCCAGCCTTTTTACATTTTATTATATGTAAATTATACCTTAGTAAAGTTGATTTTTTTTTTTAAGAGATTTCAGCTACATATTAACTGGCTGAAAGTTATGGGTCGTGTTTGGATCCTAATTCAAACAGTTGAGGGAAACAAGAGAACTTAAAGGATAAATTGGAAAATATGAACATAATCTGGATAGTCTATGATTTAGGTATTATTGCTGATTTAGAGGTGGGTATGATGAAGGTATTGGCGGACATTTAGAAGGAGCATCCTTATCTCTTAGAGATTTACACAAACTGTTTACAAATGAAAATATACAATGTCTAGGATTTGATTCAAAATAATTCAGGGGGGTGGATATAATGAAAGGGACTACAAAGGAAACAAAATTGGCCGCAAGTTAATTATTGGGTGATGGAGACATGAGGCTCATTATATTCTTCCCATTACTTTTTTGTATGTTTGGAATTTTCCACATTAAAAACTTAGAAATAATTACATGCTGATATGGTTTGGATCTCTGTCCCCACCAAATCTCATGCTGAATTGCAATCCCCAATGTTGGAGGCGGCGTCTGGTGGGAAGCGATTGGGTCGTGGCGGTGGATTTCCCATGAATGGTTTAGCATCATTCCCCTTGGTACTGTCCTTGCAAACGTGAGTTCTCGTGAGATCTGGTTGTTTAAAAAGTGTGTAGTACCTCCCCTCTCGTTCTCTTCCTCCTGCTCCAGCCACGCAGAATGCCAGCTCCCCCTTAGCCTTCCGCCATGATTATAAGTTTCCTGAGACTTTCCCAGAAGCTGAGCAGATGCCAGCACCTTGCTTCCTGTACAGCTCGCAGGATCATGAGCCAATTAAACCTCTTTCTTTATAAATTACCCAGTCTCAGGTATTTCTTTTTAGCATTGCAAGAATGGACTTACACATATGCACATATGAAAAAGACCAAAAGAAACTTCAACAACATTAAATTGGTCATGGTTTTTAGAATTAGGGTTATTGATGATTTCCAATTTTTTCTCCATAATTTTTATCAAAACTTTTTTAGGAACATAACATTTTAGGGTTTTTTTTTTTTTTTTTTTACTGTTTTAATTTTACCCATCCTTTAAGAATAACTCAAGTCTTCTCTCCTCCAAGAGCCTCCCCTGGTCCCTCCAACAAAGATTGTCTTCCTTCAACAGCACATGTGAAACCACTTCCTCTTCTTAGCACTTGGCACATGGTATCTTTGGTAATTTATTACCACATATGTTTACTGTTGCAGTCTGGGGGGTCACTAAGACCACTCTTGGGTTTAATTTTTTGCTAGGACTCAAATAACTCAAAAAAATCCTTACACTCATGAGTGTTTATCAAAGTGAAAGGATACAGATTAAAATCAACAAAGAAAGAAGATGCACGAGGTAGAGTCCAACAGAGACCAGGCATGAGCTTCCAGGTGTGCTCTCCCAGGACAGTCACACAGACAATGCTTACTCCTCTCAGCTGAGTCTTGGTATCTGAGGATTTTACCGCGGCTCAGTCGCGAACATGGTTGGCTAGCTGTGTGGCTGGCCTTAGGCTCCAGCCCCTCCAGAAGTCAAACCCATGCTATGTAGCCCAAGGCCACCACCACAAATCATGCTGTGCTTTGGTCTGAAGGCTTGTTCCCTCAAAATGCATATGTTGAAACTTAATCCCCAACGTGATAGTATTAAGAGGCAGGGCCTTTAGGAAGTGATTAGCTCTCCACCCTCATGAATGGGATTAGTTCCCTCATAAAAGAGGCTTGAGGGAGCCTTTCCACCCCTTCTGCCATGGAAGAACACAGCAGCAAGGTGCTGTTTATGAAGCAGAGAGTCCTGGCCAGACAGTGGATCTGCTGGTGCCTTGATCTTAAACCTCTAGAAAGTGAGCAACTAATTCTGTTCTTTGTAAGTTACCCAGTCTAAGACATTTTGTTGTAGCAGTGATAACAGCAGCAGTCCGTCTCGTGCAGCCACTGCCATCATGCTGGGTGCTGCAGGGAAGACACAGGGAGGAGGCAAACAGCCCCTCCCACCCCAAGCCCACCACCCTGGGGGCTGCCACGATGGGGCCAGGCTGGGTTGTGCTATGGGCAAGGGGGAGCTCCAGACCACCCCTGAGGGCCGGGACCACAGCAGGAGCTCACGGCAACATCACCCCTGCCCCGATGCCGGCCGGGGCCCAGTGAGGGCCTGGAGCCCCTGCCCCAGGCTGCAAGGGGGCGCAGCTGGGTGCCGTGCCCATAATAGCAGCCCGAACAGACTAAGACACACTGTTAGCACAGACTATCTGGTATGACTCAAGGCCTCCAGGTAAATAAGACATTCTTCCCAAGCAGGATATTCCACGGGCTTGGAGGTTACCTCCCAGGAGCTAGGCGAGGGCCAAACTTTTTGGGGTCAAGGTTGACCTTTCACTATACAAATGTCTTCTCATTTATGTTTTCAATCCCCTGAAATACCATAAATTTATCATTTATATTTTCAAGAAAAATACCATAAATTTTGCTGTATTTCAGTTATTTGGCATGTGCTTTGCACAGAGAAGAAAAATGCTTTCTGTCAAGGCCCTTGCCCCATACACACTTGCTGAGAGAGGGCCAACTAAGTCTGTTGGAAGTAAAAGTGGCAGTGGAATTAGGGTTTCCACCATCAGAGATGGACAAAACCTGGGAGAATGGGAAGAAAACAGTTCAGGGAACTTAGCGATAAGGAATTTTGGAAAAGCATTGAAAAGGCAGGTAGAACAATGCTTTTTGAAGTGAAGTCAGCAGACCAGCAGAATCAGCGTGACCTGAGAACTTGTCAGAAATACAAATTCTAGGCCGGGAGCGGTGGCTCACGCCTGTAATCCTAGCACTTTGGGAGGCCGAGGCAGGCGGATCACGAGGTCAGGAGTTCAAGACCTGCCTGACCAACAGGGTGAAACCCCGTCTCTACTAAAAAAAAATATATATACAAAAATTAGCTGGGTGTGGTGGCACATGCCTGTAATCCCAGCTACTCAAGAGGCTGAGGCAGGAGAATCTCTTGAACCTGGGAGGGGGAGGTTGCAGTGAGCAGAAATCGCACCACTGCATTCTAGTCTGGGCGACAGAGTGAGACTCCGTCTCAAGAAAAAAAAAAAAAGAAAGAAAGAAAAAAAAAGAAATACAAATATACAAATTCTAGGCCGGGTGTCGTGGCTCACACCTGTAATTCCAGCACTTTGGGAGCCAAAAGCAGGAGGATCGCTTGAGCCTAGGAGTCCAAGACCAGCCTGGGCAACATAGGGAGACCCATGTCTATAAAAAATTAAAAAATTAGCCAGGTGTGGTATCACATTCGACAATTCAATTCTGAACTAACTACCCAGAGATAGTGTCAGACTCCACAGGTTCAAGGACTCAGTCCCACAGGACTGACCTTACTCCAGATGCCAGTCACAAGTGTTGGGTCCCCAGGTTTCCAGGATTTCTGTCCAACTTGGCTATAAATCAGGGGTTCTCACAAACCCCTCATCAGCTTTGATAATTTGCTAGAACAGCTCTCAGACCTCAGAAGTCACAACTTGCTTGTAACAGTTCATTATCAAGAATACAATTTAGGAAGAGCCAAAAGGAAGAGATGCATAGGGCAAGGTATGGGAAACGGATGCAGAGTTTCCATGCACTCTCTGGGCACACCACCCTCCCAGCACCTCCATGTAGTCACCAACCCAGCTCCCCAAACCCTATTGTTTAGAGATTTTTATGGAAGTTTCATGACACAGGCATGATTTATTAAACTTTAGTGATTGAACTCAACCTGCAGCCCCCCTCCCCTCCCCAGAGGTCGGGAGAGTAGGACTGAAAGTTCCAGTCCTCTAATCATGCCTTGGTCTTTCTGGTGACCAGCCCTCATCCTGAAGCTGTGTAGGGGAACCCAGCCACCAGTCATGTCCTTAACATATCACTCTGGAGATTACCAGAGTTTTTTTGGAGCTATGTGCCAGGAACCGGGGACAAAGACCAAATATATATGCCTTTTTTTTTTTTTTTTTTGAAACAGGAACTCTCTGTGTCACCCAGGCTACAGTGCAGTGATGCAATCTCAGCTCACCGCAATCTCCGCCTCCCAGGTTCAAGCGATTCTCATGCTGCAGCCTCCCAAGTAGCTGGGATTATAGGCGTGCACCACCATGCCCGGCTATTTTTTGCATTTTTGGTAGAGATGGGGGCTTACCATGTTGCCCAGGCTGGGCTCAAACCCCTGACCTCTAAGTGATCCTTTCACTTCAGCCTCCCAAAGTGCTGGGATTACAGGCATGCGCCAACGCACCCAGCCAAATATGTATGTCCTATTACGCCACAGGAACCCACAGAAGAGCTGGTTGTATGTTTGGATACTTGGACACAACAGCCACTGGTGTAAAGAGCAGTCTATGACGATCACAGCTCCAAAGGCTCCACTTCACTCAGCTATTCGGGGCCCACATAGGTAGTAAAGCGGCTAACCAGTGACACTACACTCTCATGAAAGGTCAGGTTGTAGAGACTTGTTAACAAGAACAGAGAATGCATGAAGTTCCTTTAGCTTCTAGAATGTACCATGTTGTCCAATAGCCCTAAGGAGCCCCCCAGTTTCTCTCATAGGAACCATAATGGGTTCAAGCCAAGGATCTAAGTGGTAAATCAACAGGACAATATTTATGAAAAATTAAAGTGCAATGTTTTATAAATGCTAACCCACTCTTTGGCCTGGATTTATGGCTTGCTCTAACAGCTCAGTTTTCTCTCTCCTCAAGCTCAGGTTCTCATTTGCACCCAGTTTATTAGGAAAAATAGAGCAGGGAAATTTCCATAACAATGATCTTCTCTCATGCTGAAGACACTCTTAATCAATGAACTGACAGCATAATGGGCTGCTCATTAGATCCTTCAAGAATAATAAGTCCCAGCCAAGTGAAGGGGCTCTGCCTGAGCCTAAAATTGAGGAAACCACAGAGAAAGATATGAAAAAAACCAAGAGGCTGCAGTAGATCTTCTTAAAAAGGAACTGTCTGGGTGATGTACTTGGCATTTTGCAAAAGATTATCATGGCTTTGTAAGCATAGCAACTTTCACTTATGATTCTTTATAAAAAGAAAAATGAATAATGAATTTGGTGTTGTGATTAGACAGCCTAAAATACATGCATTCAAATCATTGTAAGTGTTTTAAAGAAGAGGTATCAGTAACGTATTGCTGAGTAAACAAATCATCACAAAACTCAGTAGTTTAAAACAACAATCAGTTGTTCTTTCTCATGCACCTGGAGGTAGGGGGTGACTAGTCTAGTCTAAGCTCAGCAGGGATGGCTCTACTCCATGTGTCACTCATCTTCACTGGACCAGTGGACCAACCGAGGCATAGTCTCCTTGTGTTGATGGCCAGGCACAAGAAGTCAGGTGGAAACCCACAAAGTCACTTAGCTTAGGTTTGGACTTGACACCATCACTTCTGCCTCATTTTGTTGGCCAAAGCAACGCACATAGATTAAACCCAAAGTCAAGGGGCAAAGCCATGGATGGAATGCATGATATAGGGAAGGGTAAACCTAGGGGCTAATAATGCAATCTACGACAGGGAGAAATGCATTTTTCCCATAAGGCATATGGACTGAAATTCTCTATAGTTGAACACAGTTCCTTGATTTTTTTTTCAATAATAAAACTATTTCTTTAAAAGTGACAGAATGTATTTGCTCTAAACTGCTTTTTTGGCCTCATCTCCATAAATGCACTGGCTTGCTCAAACCCTCCTCTGGAACCCAACTAGCCAAATTACTGGCTTCCAAATATACCCTGTAATTCTCCTTTTTTTTTTTTTTCCTTTGCTTAGACCAGTGATTCTCAAAGTGTGGTCCCTGGACAGGCAGCACCAGCATCACATGATAATTCACTAGAAATGCAAAATCTAAGTCTTCATCCAAGACTTACTAAATCAGAGTAGTCTGTGTTTTGATAAGCACTTCAGGTGATTCTAATGAAGGTTTAAATATGAAAATCACTGTCTTCCCCCACAGAGGACATTTGACTCTGTTCATATTATTAAGCCCAGTGCAGATACACCCTGAAGAATGCTTTATATCACTACCTCCCCCAGTCAAGACCATCTCCCCACTTTTAAACTCTCCTGGTACTTATTATACAGTCAGTAAATTATTAGTTACTTTTTCATATTACCTTATCTTCCCAGCCCGACTATAGATACAACTATAGATACTATAGCCCAACTATAGACACTGGTCAACAGGCCATTTACCATGGAATTTAGAATCAGAGGGACCTAGGTTCTAGTCCCAGTTATGCCCCTTACTAAGTACATGGTCTTGGGCAGGTGACCTAACCTCTCTGAGCCTCAGTTTCCTCATACGGATATGAAATTGGTAAAACTCACTCACTCCACAGTGTTTATGCAAAAATAGCAGTAAGCTAATACAAGCACTTTCAGCATGGCATCAAGAAGGCTGGGGCCAGTATTGGAGACCAGAACATGCCACCCCAAAATATGCCACCTTAATATAAGGATTATTTTGAGACAAAGGCAACTGAGAATCAACAGATGAAGGAAGACTTCTCTTACCTCTCATTTTCTGCCTTAAAGCAGGACATAAATTTATAAAGATGTCCCTCCTTCCCTCTCTACCAGGAAGGACAAAGGTTGATCACCAAAGACAACTTTAGACCCTTATCGGCTTGGAGATGACATCAGAGGAATCTACCCAACAAACTTTACTAACCAGCCTTTATCTATCATTCATTTTCTCATTTATTTTCCTTCCCACAACTTCCAGCTCATAAAGACTCAAGATCCTCTTTCTTTTTTTTTTTAATTTCCATTTTTATTTTTGATTCAAAGGGTACACGTGCAAATTTGTCACATGGGTAAATTGTGTGTCACTAGAGTTTGGCGCATAAATGGTTTTGACACCAGGTAATAGGCGTAGTACCCAATACGTCATTTTTTGACCCTCACCCTCCACCCACCTTCCACCCTCAAGTAGGCCTTGGTGTCTATTTCTCCCCTCTGTCTCTGTGTACCCAATGTTTAGCTCCCACTTCTAAGTGAGAACATACATTGTTCAGTTTTCTGTTCCTGTATTGATTTGCTTAGGATAACAGCTTCCAGCTGCATCCGTGTTATTGCAAAAGACATGATTTCATTCTTCTTATGGCTGTGTAGTATTTCCTGGAAAATGTGTATCAAGGTCCTTTCTCTGTCTTGTCGCTTCTCCCAAAATGTGTTGTTTTTGTTGAAGATGCTGTATAGGCCAGAGCTGTAAGGCACCTCTTTGAGATTTACTCATTTTTCCCTGGTATCTCCCATGAATACATGAGGCATACATGTTAATAAACTTCTGCTTTTCTCTTGTTAACCTGTTTTTTGTTATAAGGGTCTGTTACAGGTAAGAGGAAGGTTGGGGGGAAATTATTTCTTCCTCTCTTATACCAGTATTTGGGCTTCTTCGCCTCTCCTATAGCATCTTACCCAGTGCAGATGAATGCATTAAAGTGCTGGTTAAACATTTGTTCTGTTTTAAATATAAGTGGGATTTTATTCTCTGGACTCTTGCTCTCTCCCCTGAGAAGTCCAGAGTTTTCCTATGCCAGGCATTATTCATTCCCACTATCTTCTTTGGTCACAAGAGTGGAGTTCTGAAGGATTGCTGAGGCCTCAGGACCTAACAGCCAGCAAGCTTGCTCCAATGCCCACATGCTGCTCTGAGAACCATGAAGCAGAGACATTTATGAGATCTAAAACTCTTTGTGGAGCTTGTCTCCTGGCCCTGGGCCTCCTTTCAACTGGGTTTACAAGAGGCATCGAGGCATTCAGCTATTTGATCAGTGCCATATGAGGACAGTGATTTTCAACACAGCATGAACCAAGTGGTAAATTATCCCAGCTAAAACAATCCCCATCAAAGAGAGATGCTGGACTTGAGCTTTCAGAGTTGACTCTCAGGTCATTGATGTGTTAGTCATTGTCATCCAGGACCTTTGGCTAATTCGACTTTTTTGTGAATGCCCTAGAGGTTCAAGTTGAAGAGATGGTGACTCAGGAGACAAAGAGAATTAAAACGCTCTTAATTACAAAGAATTTGAATGTGTTGCACCTAGGAATTTAGAAATGTGAACTCTGGTTAAAATCATTCCAGAGCAAAGATTTGTGAATTGAAGCATAATTACTTTCATTTCATTCTAAGAAATGCTAATTATGAAGCTAGTTTTATAAAGAAATCATTATGTATTGGGGAAAAGGTTTAATCACTACACATTTGGAGATAGAGGATTCATTTGCTGGCAGATAATACAAGTGCCATAACTGAGCTTCTGTGGAACAACATAGTTCTACTTTTTAAAAAAGACATTACAGTAGCCCTATTGAAATATTTACACTATTCTGAAGGATGTCCGTCACATGGAACTGGAAGTACCAGAATTTCATTTTTTCAAGGGACATAGATTGGAAGTGGCAATGTCAAACTTTACCTGGGCCCTGGGCTCAGAAAAAGCCACTGTAAGCAGCAAGAGTTGAGAAATCCCCACTGCTCTTCCAGGCCCATCTCCATCCTTCCAAAATGACTCCCTTGTTTATCAAATCCCAAATGTTCTCCCTTTTCTTTGGGATATTCCCTCATTAATGAATGATATCCCAATTGCAATAGCCCAAATCAATTCATTTCAATTGCCCAGGGAATTCTGTCCTAGACAGAAGGAAAAAACATCTCTCTCTACTTTTTCTCTCCCAACTAAAAATGCAATTAGTACATGGTTAAGTCTATATCTGCCTATCGCTAGGTATAAGTTAAAAGTTATATTCAGTGCATCTTCTCAATGCTGTACCTCCTTCATCTAACTTCAAACCAACATATTTAGAATCACTTTCTAGCCAGATATTTGGCTTATGCACAGCTGTGGGTACTGCCAGTTAGAAAGCTCAGCTCTTGGTTTTTCTACAACCAGAGCACAACCTGGTTTTATTAGACTAAACAGAGATGAGAGTCCTTCTAGTTAATGCCCCACCTCTGGTCTGGATGCCCACTATCTGCTGGCTGACCTCCTCTTGCACATGGAGCCTGCTGGTGGGTGCCCCTGGTGAAGTATAGGCTGAACTCCCTGCCTGCCCATCTGACCTCCCCCTGCTAGACCCTGCTGATTCCTGTCTAGTGTAAGAGACAGAGTACCTGGATTAATTAAGGGGATGATTTCATTCAAGCTACTGCTATGATGGGACCCAGAAAGCAATACCCTAAAGTATGGCATGTTGGCATGCTGAGTACTTTGAGCTATAGGAGATTGGAATGCCCCAGAAGCAGCCTCAGAACAAGGTCTCTCGGACCTTCTTCCCTCTGTCTCTCTCCCCTCTTTCCCCCACTCTCCCACAGGGAGGATCTCTCTCTGAAGTTCCCTTATCCACCTAAAGATAGACTTTCCAGAAAGAATACAACTATCATAAGCTCCCTCCCCAAGAATCTCAAAAACCAGGGAAGATTAACTGTATCACAAGAGAAGAGACTGAATGCCTAGACAGGCTTTATCACAGGCTATCACCTATTCTTTTAAGGGCTGTTCAGAGATAATTTTTGTTTCCTGAGAGACTTTTTATCTACATAACAAGATGACCTTTGTTGGTCGTGCATTTCCTCCCCTCACCTTCCCATACCTTGTGTCACTACCACCCCCAGAAGCCCCAGGCCTCTTTTCCTTTTGTAGCTCAGATGCTCTATAAACTTCAATCATTTGACCCTTTTTTGAATCTCACATTTTGTGGGACTCCCATGTGTATGCACATAATTAAAGTGGTTTTTCTCCTGTTAATCTGTCTACTGTCAATCTATTGCACAGACTCAACCATGGAAACTTCACAGGGTACAGAGGAAGTTTTCCCTCCCCTACAGCTACAAAGAAGATGTTGATTAATGAGGAACACCCCAAAGAAAAGGAAGTTGTCCTGGGGTTTTCTAGAGGCAAGTAGCTCAGGTGTGGTGGCTCACACCTATAATCCCAGCACTTTGGGAGGCCAAGGTAGGTGGATCACTTGAAGTCAGAAGTTTGAGACTAGCCTGGCCAACATGGCAAAACCCCATCTCTACTCAAAATACAAAAATTAGCTGGGCGTGGTGGCAGGCACCTCTAATCCCAGCTATTTGGGAGGCTGAGGCAGGAGAATCACTTGAACCTGGAAGGGGGAGGTTGCAGTGAGCCAAGATGGTGCTATTGCACTCCAGCCTGGGCAACAGAGTAAGATGCCATCTCAAAAAAATAAAATAAATTTAAAATTTTTTTTAAATAGAGGCAAGTAGGCAAGGAAGTCATCCTCAATTCTCATGGGGGTCATAAGGAAGAGCGGAGGTGGCTCTCATCTTGGGATTTGTTGGAATATTCAAGAGCAGAGTGGTCATCTACAGTTAGCCCTTTCTCAGAACACAAAAGGGTGGGAAATTTCCCAATCAGCTCTGCGTTTTGGGAGCACAAGGCTAAGGAAAAATGCAACATTGTCACTAGTATCTGAGTTCCCACCATCTCACCAGAAACTCAGCTCTGATAAGCCCCTTGCAGGCCACCATGTGCCAAAACAAAACAGTTATTTTAAAAACAATAATTGCCAACTTTCATACAATAATGCTTTGTTTTCTGGGGGCATTTGGAGTTTGGCTAATTGATCACCCCCCAGGAAGAGATTTTCAGCAAACTGGCTTTCAGAAAGCTGAGCCACCTCCTCACAACATTCTCTAAGATCAGACAGACACAAGCATTTTTGTGCATATCCTAAAGCAAATGCTGAAGCCCCTGAGGGCTGTGAGGGTCAAGAGAGAGATTTCCTCTTGGCCCTATGAGGGTTCACTGAGAAATCAACTCACAAAAGGTGGGTTAATTGGAGGAAAGGCATACAGATTTATTTAACATGTATACACGGGAAACTCATAGAGTCATTACCACCTTCAACGTGGTTCAGAAGCTTATATTCCATCCTAGAAAAGCAGGTTATGGGAGAAGAGAAGAAAAATTCTGTTTGAAACCAGCCCAATTTTCCAACAAGCTGTATGCCTACAGAACTGAAGTTTGAGAAACTTACATTTGTACAATGAAACACACCTGCTGCCTGTTGACCAACTCCTCTTCCTTACCCCTCCCTAATTCCTATTTTCCAGCATGCACATCGTTAAAATGAGATGCTAGACCCCTCATTCAACTACCTGCTGCCTGTTTATTGCCTCCTCTTCCTTGCCCCTGCTGTTTTCCTTCTCAACTAGATAAACCCTTAACTTAGTAAGGGACAACATGGATTTGTGGTTTGGCTTCCATTTCTCTGGCTGACATCATCCATAAAATAATGAACCTTCTTCCCTGGCAATACTCATTGTCTCAGTGATTGGCTTTCTATGCAGTGGGCAAAGGGACCTAGAGAGAACCCCTGGTGTTCAGGAACATGTCGAAGGACAATAAAGGATTACTGGGGAGAATGAATGGACCCAGGTGCAGAGATTAACATGTCATCCAAATTAAAGCATTCTTTTGATGTAAATCTATCATTTGTTCATCAAGTAAAATCACGTTTCAGTAGTTTCCCACTCTGCAAATCTCAAATCCATCAGCTGTATTCGAACTGTACAGGCAGAAAGGAGACAAAGATAACAGCCAAGGGATTTGTTTATGCCCCTGGGTTTTTCCCCAGCTCCCAAAGTACTGGAAATACAAGCATAAGCCACGACACCCGGCCTTGATTTTAGAGTTCTGACCTCCAGAACTGTGAGTCAATGTACTTCTGTTGTTCTAAGAGCTGGTCGGTGGTTCTTTGTTACAGCAGCCCTAGAAAACCAATGCACTTACAGAAAACCTACATTACTGCAAAAAGAATCTGCCCCAGCGCAGTCATACACTGCCTGAGATCCTATTCCACTCAAAGGGAGAGAATAAAAATATGAAATAAAAATTGCCACCAGCCTTTAATAACCACCCCAGAAAGCAGGACTTCCCACCCTCAAAAACTACAGATCAGAGTATGCCCTGATGCTGCCTTTTCAGAAGCCAGTGTGACAGTATCCCCAAAGAAATACACAAACCCTTTGACACAGAAATTTCACTCATAGGACTTGATCCTCACACATACTTGTGATTAAATGCACAAAGATCCACGCAAGAAGATATTCAATGCAGCAGTTGTTGATAATCACCAAAGCATGGGGGACAAAACCTAACCTATATCTGCCTCAGTAGTTATAGGTTATATACCACCCAAATAGAATAACCTGCAGTGGCTAGGCCTTCCCAGACCAATCTCAATACTAATGTGGAAAACTCTCTAGGCCTAATTGTTAGGGAAAAAAAGCAAATTGTGGATCAACAGATGTAGTATGTAACAATTCATGTGTTTAAAAACACAGGGGCCAGGCACAGTGGCTCAAGCCTGTAATCCCAAAGTAAGGCCTCGGCCTTACTCATGAGGCAGGCAGATCACAAGTTCAGGAGTTCAAGACCAGCCTGGCCAAGATGGTGAAACCCTGTCTCTACTGAAAATGCAAAAATTAGCCGAGCATGGTGGCATGTGCCTGTAATCCCAGCTACTCGGGAGGCTGAGGCAGGAGAATTGCTTGAACCTGGGAGGCAGAGGTTGCAGTGAGCTGAGACTGTGTCATTACACTCCAGACTGGGCAACAGAGCGAGACTCCATCTCAAAAAAAACAAAAACACAGTAACGATAGGTTCTGGATGTTGAGGAATGAGAGGGGAAGTAGGTGTGACTATAAATGGGTAGCACAAAGATTATTATAATTATCTTAGTCCATTTGGGCTGCTGTAACAAAAATATTGTAAGTTAGGTAGCTTATAAACAAACAGACAAAAAAATTTATTTCTCATAGCTCAGGAGGCTGGGAAGTCCAAGATCAAGGCACAGACAGATTCAGTGTCTAGCGGGGGCCCTTTTCCTCACAGATGGTGCCTTCTCGCTGGGTCCTCACAGGGTGGAAGGGCAAACAGGCTCCCTGGGATCTCTTCTTCATGAGGACACTAATCCATCTCATAAAGGCTCCACTTCCCAAAGGCCCTACTTCTTCATACTATCACATTGGGGATTAGGTTCCAATGTGTGAATTTGGGGACAGCAAAAACATCCAGGCCATAGCAGTGGTGATGGGACAATACTCTATACCTTGATCACCATGGTGACTACATGAGTCTACACATGTGATCAAATGGCAGAGAAATACACACACATTGTACCAATGTCCATTGCTGGTTTTGATATTGGGGGAAACTGGGTGGAGGGTTCAGGGGACCTCACAGCACTATCCTTGCAACTTCCTGTTAACCTATAATTACTTCAAAATAAAAAGTTTTTTGTAAGTAAAAACAAATACAAAAAAATTACATAGAATATTAAAAAAACTCTGTAAGTGTGTACATATATGGATATGAGTGTCTGTGGATGCACAGGAAACTGTTTGAAAGCACAATCATCAATCATTGCCAGTCCTTTCCCCTGGGAAGGGAGTGGAATTTGTGGAGAGAGTAAGACACTGTACTCTAGAACTCTATCAACCTTAGCACTGACAGAATATTTTACAACAAAGCCTGTACTTTGTGATAATGTTACTTTAAACAAAAAATAGGTCTTTTGAAGAGCAATCTATTTGTCCACCTCTCAGGGATGGCACTACTAACCACTTTTGTTTTCTATTCTAGAATTTAAAAATAAAGTAAGCTAAGAAGAGGGAGAAAAGTACCTATAATTGAAGAACATTGCTTCACACACCAGCTCTTCTGGGTAAGTGAATGATGGGGCTTTTATCTGTCACCTGGAGAAGAGATTCAACACAGTAGAGAAGGGGCTGGAATCAAAAATACCCACCCAGCCCATCGGCAGCCCACCGGCCTCTCCCTCACATTTGTGATTGTTAACTGCCCCCTCCAGAAGCTTCCCTTTGTATCACAGCAGTCCCCCTCATCTGTGGGGAATATGTCCCAAAACCCCCAGCAGGTGCCTGAACCTGCAGATTGTACTGATCCCTATACATACTATGTTCTTTCCTATACATGCATACCTATGACAAAGTCTAACTTATCAGTTAGGCACAGCAGGGGATTAAAAACAGTAATAATAAAATAGAACTATAACAATATATTGTAATAAAAGTTAGGTAAATGTGGCCTCTCTCTCTCTCTTAAAATATTTCAATATTTTTAGACTGCAGTTGACCATGGGTAACTAAAACCACTTTAAGTAAAGCTGTGGATAAGAGGGAACTATTCTATACTCACTGAGAAAAAGGTGTCTGCAAAACAAAACACGAAAGCACAGCACTTGCTTTTGTCTATTTTGGAGAAACTATTTATAAGGACTCCTGAAACCACTTGCATATGTGGAAGAGTAGGGGTCCAGTTGTAAGAGAAAAATATTAGGACCTCTCCCCTCCCCCCCTCCTTCCCCCTTCCCCTCCTCCTCCGTCTCCCTCCCTGTCCCTCTCCTCCCTCTCCCACCTCCTCCCACAATCTCTCTGTTGAGGCAGGGCAGGCAAGGGCTGCCCCCATGTAGAAAGTGTGCCACCAAGAAAGACTTGCATTGGAAGGGCTAGATGTGTGCTGCATATGCTGCATAGACCTTACAGGGAGTCTCTTTTCTCCTTCTTGCTTCCTTTGCACAGAATCACCATAGATATCACAGGAGCTTGTGCAGTTGGAGGAAAAGGAAAAGAAAACCATTTAACAGCAGGCTGTCTCCTCTATACAAAAGAGAATTCACCAGGGTTTGGGACAAGCCCTTACCATCAAAGAGTGTGTTTTGGCCAGCCATGTGCTCCAGGCATGTGCTTCTCTTGGAAACCTCGTCAGGAGAGGGTGACAGTCAGCAAGGACTCACGCACTGAAGTTCCAGCTCATACCATCACTCCACGTTCAACCCGCTGCCACCACCACTTTAACAGCCCTAGAAGGTCAGAGACTCAGCCCTGGATGTGTGCAAGTTAAAAGAAGGGAATTGAACCCCCTTTAAAAGAGTCTAGAATGCCAACTTTGGGTAATCATGACTCAATGCTTTATCATTTATTTCATCACTACCTCGACCATTGGGATTTGCAAGAATTTCCCTTTAACAAAGTAGATCTTTTCTAGTAGGTACTGCCCTCCCACCCTTTCCCTTTTTATTTTTTTACTCGGTCCCTGATGACTTCATATCTCTTGAGGAATGGCTGAAACCCCTCACAACAGCCCTGACTTCTGAACCAAAAGTCGCATTCCCTGGACACACAGGATCCTGTCACACACAAGGAGGGGTCAAAGAAGACCAGTGGCCATGCCAGATAATGATTAGCAGAAGAACTATCAACTCTTCCAAAGTCAAAATTATTATTTTTTATATACAATGTATTAGTATGTTTTCATGCTACTGATAAAGACATACCCGAGACTGGGCAATTTGCAAAGGAAAGAGGTTTCATGGAGAACTCACAGTTCCACATGGCTGGGGAGGCCTCACAATCATGGCAGAAGGCAAGAAGGAGCAAGTCACATCTTACATGGATGGCGGCAGGCAAAGAGAGGGCTTGTGTAGGGAAACTCCCATTTTTTAGAACCATCAGATCTCATGAGACTTATTCACTATCACAAGAACAGCACAGGAAATACCTGCCCCCATGATTCAATTACCTCCTATCAGGTCCCTCCCACAACATGTGGGAATTCAAGATGAGATTTGGGTGGGGACAGAGCCAAACCACACCAGAGGGCTTGCAACTATTTTTTATAATCATCAAAGTCATTTATTGAACACCAACTGGATATATGGCCACTTCGAACACTAAGATGTGACCCTTGCCCTTATGATGTTTTCAAAATTGAGATCAAATCCACATACCATAAAAGTCACTATGTTGTCTCCCACTTTAAACCATAACTTTTATACTAACCAATCTGGACAGTGAATTTACTCATTGAATTCCCCAAGGGTATACTTGGGAACCAAGTTATTTTAGAAACTCTACAAAGAAGATATAATGCTTAAAGTTCAAGGTTGTCTTGTGGCCTCCCAAGGCCTCCTCCAATGGGCCCTTCCCTCTACCCCCAAGCCTCGTCTCACACCCTCTCCCATTCCTCCCTGGGCTCTGGCCACACAGGTCTGCCCTCAGTTCCTTCAACACTAAGCCTTGCCTGCTTGTCACTGCCTTGCCTTAGAAGGCTCCTTTCCTGGCTCTGCAAGACCAGTGTCTTATGCAGGCCCCAGCCTCAGTGTCCCCACCTAGGACACCTCACTTCATGTAAGGACTTTCCTCTCTCTCATCATCCCATCTCCCTCCCTCCACTGAACAAAACTTGTAATTATCTTTTTATTTTATTTTTGAGATGGAGTTTCACTCCGTTGAACAGGCTGGAGTGCAGTGGTGCAATCTCGGCTCACTGCAACCTCTGCCTCCCAGGTTCAAGCAATTCTCCTGCCTCAGCCTCCCACGTACCTGGGACTACAGCACATGCCACCATGCCCAGCTAATTTTTTTTTTTTTTTTTTTTTGCTTTTTAGTAGAGACGGGTTTCACTGTGTTAGCCAGGATGGTCTCGATCTCCTGACCTCATGATCCACCCGCCTCAGCCTCCCAAAGTGCTGGGATTACAGGTGTGAGCCACCATGCCCAGCCATAATTATCTTTTTATTTGTTCACTCATTTACATCTTCACTCTCCATCCTCCTCCCATAAGAAAGGAAGCTTCACAAAGGCAAGGAGTTTGTCTCTACTCTTAACACTGAGTACAATGTGGGACCCTACTCATGCTCACCATGAATAAACCTGCTTTCAATATTTTCCTAAGATTCACATAAAACTTTAGAGCTTTAATCACCCACTTATCTGTGTGTTAGAACAGATCTAGTATTGCTTTCCAAGGAAAGTGTTGGCCCTGCAGACAAGTACTTCTGTGAGCCCTGGGCAAGCGAGCCAAATCTGGCACAAATCCTGGCCAGATCCTGCCATTGTCTTAAAAGGATGCCTACCCTTGCTCCAGCCCAGGGTGACTTAGTTGATGCTCTGTAGCTATTTGTCAGAGGACAGACATCAAACTCACTGCTACATATTTAGCAACTCCCACTTAGTTGCCAGAAATAATATGATGAAGGGCTGCCTAGAGAATGTGCCATATATTCTTTCCTTTAACTTTATTTATTTATGTATTTATGAGACAGAGGCTCACTCTGTCACTCAGGCTGGAGTGCAGTGGTGATATCATAGTTCAATGCAGCCTCCAACTCCTGGGCTCAAGTGATCCTCCCACCCCAGCCTCCTGTAGTCACTGAGACTACAGGCATGAGTCAACCCGCCTGGATTCTTTAATTTTTAATGTAACTTTTTTTTGCATCAGCTAGACCCTTAGAGAGAAAAGTTGAACCATTTTTTGTTCCCATATAAAAGTTTTTACTAAACTATACTTTTTCACTCTACCGTTGACCCACATTGAAAGATACTATGAGACACAACCCTGGGAAACTCATTATTCTATATGATTACATATTCTCTCTGAATGTTTTTGAGGATATTATTTGCTACATCACACTGGGTCTCCTTTGAAGACCCACAAGAGAAATCTCTCAGCTCCCGTGTAACAAAAATAGCTGTGCTTTTCTGAACACTGGCTTGTTTTTAATCTTTTACTTGCCACGAATCTTATTTATGCCTGTGCTTTGGAGGCTAAGGAGCTCATAGCCACACTTCTGGAACCATATCATGCACACTTGATGTGCTAACCTTACCCTGGGCTTCATTGGATTTTTTATAAAGTTATTTTCCTCTGACCTCCATTTCTTTACTCACCTGTTTTTATCTTGTTACACTAAATCTATTATTGTCTCATAATCCTTTCTGGAATAAGGCAGGGAATCTATACAACCAGAGTTAAGATTTTGACAGTTTGATGCCATGTTACATAAAAACAGTGATATGGGGGTATATTTGGACAGCCTGGCTTAAAATACAGACTGTGTAGGATTTCCAGGATTTAGTTCTGAGGCTCCTAGGGTCAGCCCCAGGACTACTGAGATTTACACCAAGCAAGAAATCTATGGGGTAGTCTATTAGGAAAGATGTCTTCCATGATGCCAGGGACAAAGAAAACACACAGTGGCTTCCAGTATGAGCATCTAGGCAAACTCACTAGGTTGGATGCTCCAAGTGGAAGATGGTGATCTGTAACAGAGCTGCTATCTACATGGGCAACTCTCTTTTTAGTGTGTGCTCCGGGTGAGTTTCAACATTCTACTCCATGCATCCTCTCTGTTACCCCATCTCTCACCTCACTAACCCCCATAGCCCTTCTATTCACATCTGTTATCAACGCAACCCCTCCTATGGTTTGAATGTATCCCCCAGAATTCGTAACTTAATCCCCAATGTGACAGTGTTGGAAGGTGGGGCCTAATGGGAGGGTTGGGTCAAAAGGGCTCAGCCCTCATGAATAGGTCAATACCATTATGAAAAGGGCTTGCAGGAGTGGGTTCACTGTCTTGTGCTCTTTGTCCATCCACCTTCCGCCATGGGATGGTGCAGCTCTAAGGCTCTTACCAGATGCTGGCCCCTTGATATTGGACTTCAGCTTGCAGAAGTGTGAGCCAATAAATTCCACTTCTTTGTAAATTACCAACTATGTAGTATTCTGTTATAGCACACAAAACAGACCAAGACACCCTTCAAAGCCCTCACCCTCTTCTCTGAGCATTTCCTTCTTGTTCCTCTGGAAATCAGATGGTCTGGTAGGGAGGAAAAAATTTTTTTCCTTCCCTGGGTCTCTGGCTGGAGTTCTGGAAACTAAACTGACAAAAGACAGATTAACAAGAAAATAACAGAGTGTGTAACACATGCAACATGCATACACAGATGAGAATCAGTGATAAGAAACTCAACGTGGTCATTAGATCTTGGGGCTTGCTTAGCATCTTAATAAAGAACAATACATTTTTGGAAAAATGACAAGACAAAGGAAAAGGCATGTAAGCATTTAGGGGCAGCAGACCATAGGAAGGTAAACATATGGGGGAAACTAATGGAAGATAAGGTTAATTTAGTAAGATTTGTTTGTGCAGCCCATCTTGGTGCTGATACTCCTTCTTCTTCATGGCCATAAAACTTCCCTGGGAGAGGGATTTATGGCAGCCTTATTTCTCAGGAGTACCTGCTTTTAATAAGATAAGGGAAGCTCTGGGAAACCTTCTTTCTGCGTTGGCTCTCATTTGCCTCTGTCTCAAAATAATTCCTGGGCCAAAGCGGCATATTTTGAGGTGACATATTCTGATCCCCTGCAATCTCTAATCATATCCCTTCCCTAAAGCCAGGGCCACCATGTGGAAAGGGTCAGGGGATGCCATTCACATGGGAGGCAATGCTGTGCAGTGAGCATTCGATGTGACCATTGGGAGGTAGCCTGGGCTGCGGTCCCTCAAGGGGTGTTGCTTTCCCTTCTGCACTTCACATCCCTCAAAGCCTGGAGGTGCAAGCTCTTGGAACAGAACATCCCCAGCATCAGTCTTCACTGTTCCATACAGTTTCTATCTACCAACCTCCCAGTCACTCCTCCCCATTCACTGATGACTGCAGCATTTGTCTCAATCCCTTTCTCCTCCCACTGCTGTTATTATTCTCCATGATTTCAACATCCACTGGATGCCCCATCCCAAACTCTGGCCTTTCAGTCTTTTCCTTTAATCTTAGTTTCAATAATCTTTTCCTTCGCTGCACCATAGCCTCACAACTAGAGTCATCAATAATGGTGCCTCCTCCAATCTCAAAGTCAAACATCTAAATCTTTGTCCATCCTTTCCTATCCTTCCACTCACCTACTGCTATGGTTGGAATGTTCATTGCCTCCAAAATTCATGTCGAAGTATAGTTGTCATTGTAGCTGTATTAAGAGGTGGGACCTTTATGAGGTGCTTAGGCCAAAAGAGCTCCACCTTCATGGGTGGGATTGGTCCTGTTATAAAAGGGTGAGTTCAGCCTTCTGCCGTGGCTGATGTGGCAAGAAGACCTCACCAGATGCTGGTCCCTTGATCTTGACCTTCTCAACCTCTAGAACTGTGAGTCAATAAATTTCTGTTTATTATAAATAATAAACAGTCAGGTATTATATCAGCAAAAATAGACTAAGACACAAACTCTAGTACTTCCACTCTAGCAAAGGTTTTCTGATCCACTGGCCCAAACACTTTTTCACTATTCAGAACCCCAGTTGGGTTAAACTCCATTTAACCCAAACACATAGTGAAACTCTTCTTGAGATTCTTGCATGGCCAAGCTGACTGGACTCATTTCACATTTATATCAGATGTGCAAATGACCCTCAGGCACTCCTCCTACGCCTCCCCAAAACGTGTTCTTTCCCACTCTCTGGGATTACAAAAACTGAAATAATCCAGGCCATCAATGAACATCACCTGGGTTGTCCGGGTTGCTCCAGACTGTAGCCAGCCACCAGTGGGGTCCAGTCATAAGGATCACTCAGATTTCACAGGCTAGTGGGGGCCTCAGCCCCTTTTGCACTTCTGGGGCTGCCTGGGAGCCTCTCACATGCTCATGTACGGTCCTCTCAACATTGTACCTTTTGTCCTCCTCTCTTTGACATCTGCTACTCAAAAAGTCACTTGAGGTGGCACCTCCCTGTGGCTGGCCACCAAGAGGATGCCTTTCAGGATCATGCTTCAGTGGAAATGAGTGTACTCTTTGCTCAGGACCCTTCCCTGTTCCCTGTGGAGCTGGTAGGACTATGATCACAGCACTCCAGCCACAAGTCTAAGTACTCAACCTGGGTTCAGCTGGTCATAGTATCCCATACCCCAGGACAATGGTTGGTCCAGGAGTGAGCACTGCCACAAGCCTGGTCACCCAGAGTTCTTCTCAACAAATACTGGGAGATGAAAAGGTATCTTTCCACTGAGTCTGTTTCCCTGAATCTAGCACACTGTCAGCCATTTTTCCTTCTAGGTGGAGAAAGCCTTTCTTCAGGAGGCCAATACTCAGAGAGACAGAGAGCCCAAGTACCGTCACCTGAACCTGTACATCCATCCAGGCCTGAAGATCGGTCCCTGGGTTGGACAGATACAAGCATCAATTCTCCTTTGTGCTGGACCCAATTTGGTTTGGGTTTCTTCCATTTCTCGGCACAACTAAGCACCATTAGTAGAGCTGGTTGTCAATGCCGAGACCTGATACTCTTGATTCTGCTCCCCTTGAGGAGCCAAGACTGCTTGAAGTCCCCTGGGGTCTTCACCACACCTGAGCTTCACTGTGCTCCACACAGGAGAAGGAACAGTGGCCCCCTCGCTGTGCTGCACATTGAGTGCAACCTAGACCCCAGAACCTCACTGGTTCCTACAGCGTCTGCTAGCAGCCACATTCTCTCTAGGACTCAGATCAAGTTCTTGAATCTGAACTGAAGGTAAACGTGCAAGGCATGAGCCCTGTTGTCCTCCTCAATCCAGGCTCTTTTCGTCAGCACCAATGCAAAAATCTCTCCTCCCTCCCCTTCCAGTCAATAGCGCTCTGCCCCTCTATTGTCACACGTGCTCAGACATGTCTGAACACCAAGTTAAACTCAGTCTGCAAACACACACACACACACACACACGTACTTCTATGCCTAAGGTAAAAAGAAAGAGCCAAAGGAAAGGATTGTAGAATGTTTTGCTCAGAAAGTCAAGAGGAAGGCGATCCATGCAAAGAAAATGAAGAGAATAATAAATAACTGAAATGCCTTTTAAGAGATTCAGAAAAGACAATCTGTTTTCCCCTTCAAATGCCAGCCAAAAGGGGGGAAAAAGTTTCCAACCTCTACTTAAAAACATAGCCCAACTGTAATTTCATATGGCTGAATCCACTGCCTGACTGGTCTCTGCCTGGGACCATTTTTGAGTAGCTGCCCTTTTCTCCATCAATAGGCTTACAGTGGGAATGACCACATTCACACAGCACAACCCTCAACTCCCACCATCCCCTGACCACAGACCAACACCCTCTAGCCCAGGAATTTGGAATGAAGACCAGAAGAGGCAGCTCAGCCCTACAGGAGGGTAAGGAGGACTATAGCTGCAAGAGCTGCTGGCTGCAATTTTCTAGATACTGCATCCTGGCTCTGGTTTATGCTGAGGCCCAACCATGGTCCTGATCTTGGGTTCTGCCATGGACCCCAAAGAATTCTGTTTGCTGAAACTAGCTCAAATGGATTTTTGGTACTTGGCAGCCAAGAGTGTTAATTAGAAGAGACATTCAATGAGGCAAAGATTATTATTAGAGGAACTTAATGAAAAGAGCAAAGTGATTCCCTTCCCCCCTAAAAAAAAGTAAGGAGACCAAATCCATGTCTCCAAAGATGAACATGCTGGAGGATGAGTGTCAGGCAAGGGACCATGGACATATTATTCTTCCCTAGTGCTAGTGATGTCAAGATGAAGAAAAGGAGCAGTTACTGTGAAAAGGAAAACTGGATTGACAGCTGTCTTGGGAACATGCAGAAAGAGGCCAATCTTTAAAATTGAAGCTAGGTAGGGAAGGAATGAATAACTGCATTACCATAAGCGAATAAGTGACATTTGACCTTCTGCCATGGTTCATATGAACCCAATCAGCTGTACTGGCCCCAGAGGATGCCCTCCCTTACTTAGAGCTGAAAAGCAGACTTCAAAATTTCATAGCTAATGACAGTATTCTCAGGAAAAGCCCATGAAGTGAGATGGGAAGATGCTTTGCAAAGTTGTAATCACTCCACCAGCACAAAATAGAGAAATCATCATTTAATTTCTGTCCCACAATTATTATTTTGTTGAACATGTGGAAGGACGAGAGAGAGAGAAACTAATGAAAAATATGCAATTTTCTAAAATTAAAACAAAACAAATTAACAGAGCCCAGAAATTGGATTCCATCATTTCTGTGAGTGAAGCCTTTCTATGACTTCCTGCCACCTACAGATCAAGTCCCAGACCTGGACATTGTGGCTACGCCACATTGCTCACTTCCCCTCTCCCTGCCCCAGTCCTGCCCTCTGGTCACCAGCAACATCAAAGGCTTATGGCTCTCCTACTCACCACACTGGTCTTCGTCTCTCTGCCTGGTGGCCAGCTTCTAGCACATCTCCTTCCTTGTTGACACAGATTTCGTTTACTTACTTTTTTGAAAAATCACTTTGTTCTTACAACTTCATGTTCCTCTAACAATCATCTTTGCCTCATTGAATGTCTCTTCTAATTAATATTCTTTTGGCTGCAAGTAACAACAACCAGCTGAGCTGGCTTCAGCAGAGAGAATTCATTGGAATGACATTGCCTGCCCCCACATCACCTGGCTCATTCACCTGCTTAATTCCTACTTTTTCTTTTTTTTTTTTTTTTGAGATGGCATCTCACTCTGTCGCCCTAGCTGAGTGCAGTGGCACGATCTGGGCTCACTGCAAACTCTGCCTCCTGGGTTCAAGCGATTCTTGTGCCTCAGCTGCCAGAGTAGCTGGGATTACAGGCGCACACCACCACGTCTGGCTAATTTTTTGTATTTTTAGTAGAGATGGGGTTTCACCATGTTGGCCAGGCTGGTCTCGAACTCCTGGTCTCAAGTGATCCACCCACCTCGGACTCCCAAAGTGCTGGGATTACAGGCATGAGCCACCTACTTCTTTCTTTAACCTTCAGCTCATGGATCCCCTACCCCAGCAAGACTTCAGGGCCCTGATGGGTTAGATGCCCCACCTCTGCTCTTCCATAGTGTTCTGTACAACACTTTTTGCCATCTTCCTCACCAGTGAAACCAGGAGCTCCTCAAGGCCAGAAACTTGATTCCCCAGTGTCAGTTATTTGCATGGCTGGTTGGGAGAATTCAGTAAATGTTGGACACATACACAAATTATCAAGAAGGTGAATTCTCGCTGGTGACCAATGTAATGGATATGAATCATTGCCACCCATACATATATTTTTTAATTTCCTGAGCAGTTATCCTTGCCCATGGAATCCTATTTCTCCAGAGTCGATTTCAATCTATTTCACACACATTCTGCCTGCTTCAGACCATCTGGCACCCTCTCCCGCTCAGATTTTCCATTTGAACTTGAGATTGTTCCATTTATCACCATTATGTTGTTCTGAAACATAAGGCCACACTTATTATTGTGGACTTGACGTTACCTGGTGACAAAAACACTAATTAGGAATTATCTCATGTTTCAGATCTCAGGATGCTTTTTTCAAATGACTGAAGCTGAATGACTTGCTTGGTGTTTATTTAAATAACAATAATAAGCAGATAAGCAGGTCTTACTTATATGTAAGTGTTCCATATATGATCTCACTTCATCCTTACAATAGTCCTGAATAGTCATTATTGTTGCCATTTTATAGATGAGGAAATTGGTACTTAGAGAGATTAAGTAACTTGCTCAATATGCTACAGATAGTAAATGGTAGAGCCCAGAACCAAACTGAGGATATCAGATTCTAAACCATCCATCATCCCTATCAATGGGTGCAATTACACCCAAACACAAGCCAAATGAAGAAAAGGAGGGGGCTGAGAACGGGTGTGATGTGAACCCAAAAGGATGATAAGAAGCTTGACCAAAAACAAGTGACTATATTTCATTATGTTCCCAGCAACTATTTTATTACTCTAAGAATGTGTGTTACTTTCTTTATTCTCTTATTGTCTGTCATAAAACTGGAAACTGGAACCTGAGGCTAGGAGTGATTGGAGTACATTAATCCTCACTTCTCAGCTGGAATTTGACATAAGACCATATATCTAAGACCACCTTAGGAATCTCTTGAAAGCAATAAGTTTGCAAACTAGATTACCAGCAGCAGCACAAACCACCTTGGGGTTTGTGAGGTCTGCATCTCCTCCCACCTCCTGCTATGAATGCTGCTCACCAGGACTCACACATTCTCTGAGACCAGAATGCAAACTATAAATCATCAAGACTTTGGAGGATAAGGAAGACTCCTTCAGGGTTTCCTCTGGATGCAATAGACATAGGCACTGTTCTATGCAACCCCACCTGGGCTTCCTGATGGACATGTCCCTAAAAATTACAGCAATGCTCTAACAAATGTCCGATGAAAATTTCATTCAGATCAACTGACATAGATTTGGAAAAAAACACATCTGAGTCCGAACATGCAGTCTGCTTCACTGCTTCTCATTTGGGGTACATTTCTCCACTGGGCCAGAAACAGAAAAGTCTTAAAAGTGCTGAGTCTAGATATTTTAAATTAATGAAAAGAACATATCAAAATTTAATGGGGGAAAATAGGTCAGCTCCCATTTTTTATCAAGAAAAAGGGCTCAGTGGTAAAGCCTTGGAACGCACCGCAGACTGAAAATGTGTTGCCATTAGAAGAATTGAGGCTGAGGCGTAAGGGTTTCCCCTGTTTTTGACTTTCTTTCTCCGTAAGTGACAGAAAATGGGATTTATTTGTAGAATTTCACTATGAATTGCTTGAGGAAAGTGGACGTGAAAAAAATCTATTGAAATAAATGTTTTGTGGAAGGTAAGCACACAAGTGAAAGGAAATGTTTAAGTTCTACCAAATGGCTGATGATTTGTAAAAATGGTAACTGTGAAGCAAAGCAGGTGTGTTAGTCCATTTTTATACTGCTGTGAAGAAATACCCAAAACTGGATAATTTATTAAAAAAAAAAAGAGGTTTAATGGACTCACAGGGCGACATGGCTAGTGAGCCCTCACAATCATGGCGGAAGCTGAAGGAAGAGCAGAAAGACTTCATATGTGGTGTCAGGCAAGAGGGCATGTGCAGGGAAATTGCCCTTTATAAAACCATCAGATCTCATGTGACTTATTCACTATCATGAGAACAGCATGGGATAAACCCACCCCCATGATTCAATTGCCTCTTACCAGGTCCCTCCCATGACATGTGGGCATTATGGGAGCTACAATTCAGATGAGATTTGGGTGGGGACACAGCCAAACCATATCAACCAGGTTGGAAATATTGCTCATTCGTGTATATTAAGACTTGTCTAATTCATCTTGTGAACAGAGGGAAATAAGGGAGCAATAAAGTAAAGCTGTTCCAGTGACTTGTGAATTAACAGGAACTTGCTTCTCTTTCTGTCTCCTACAGATGAGACAGAACTGTCATTGTTCCCTTGCCACGTGCTGTGGAGTGACTCTTCCCAAAGAGAATGCTACCAACATATGAGTTGTCACATTATCCTCTCGTGTCTGATTTCAAACAAGGCATTCAATAGTCACAAGGTAGAAACAGCCCAACTGTTCATCAACACATGAATGAAGAAACGAAATGTTATCAGCATAACACACAATGGATATTACTCACCCATAAAAAAAGAATTAAGTGCTTATATATACTACAATGTGGATGAACCTTGAAAACATTATGCTAAGTGAAATAACCCAGACACAGAAGGTCACATATTGTATAATTTCTTTTTTTTCTTTAATGGTCATTATTCTTTTATTTTTCCAGCTTTATTGAGGTACAGTTGACAAATAAAATTTTATATATCCAAGGTGTATAACATGATGATTTCATACATGTGTAAATTGTGTAATGATTGCCACAATCAAATTAACACAACTATCACCATTTTATGTGTGTGTGCACATGTGTGTGGTGAAAACACTTAAGATTTACTCTTGGCTAGGTGTGGTGGCTCACACTCATAATCCCAGCACTTTAGGAGGCTGAGGTGGGAAGATTGCTTGAGTCCAGAAGTTCAAGACCAGCCTGGGCAACATAGTAAGACTTTGTCTCTACTAAAAAAATAAATAAATAAATAAATAAAGATCTACTCTTAGCAAATTTCAAATAAATCATACAGTATCATTAACTATAGCCACCATGCTGCACATTATATCCACAAAACTTATTCATTTTATAACTGAAAGTGTGTACTCTTATCCAGCATCTCCCCATTTCCCCCAACCTCTCAGCCCCCTGGCAACCACCATTCTACTCTCTGCTTCTAGGAGTCCAGCTCTTTTATCCCACACATAAATGAGATCATACAGTATTTGTCTTTCTGTGTCTGGCTCATTTCACTTAGCATAATGTCCCCTCCAGGTTCATCCCTGTTGTCACAAATGGCAGGATTTCCTTCTTTTTATGGCTGAAGTGTACTCCATTTTCTTTATCCATTCATCCGTCAGTGGGTTGTCTTTCTATCTTGGCTATTGTGAATAATGCTGCAATAAGCATGAAGATGCAGATATCTCTTCAAAATACTGATTTCATTTCCTTTGGATATATACTCAGAAGTGGATTGCTTGATTGTATGGTAGTTCTATTTTTAATTTTTTGAGGAACCTCCACACTGTTTCCCACAATGGCTATACCAATTTACATTCCCAGTGGACGAGGGTTCCAATTTCTCCACATCCTCACCAACACCTGTTATCTCTTGGGTTTTTTTTCTTAATAATAACTGTCCTGACAGGTGTGAGGTGATATCTCATTGTGGTTTTGATTTGTATTTCCCCGATGATTAGCAAAATTAAGCATCTTTTCATATACCTGTTGGCCATTTGCGTATCTTCTTTGGAAAAATGTCTATTCAGGTTCTTTGCAACCATTTTTTAATCAAGGTATTTGATTTTTTCCTATTGAGTGGTATGAGTTCCTCATATATTTTGGATATTAACCCCTTATAAGATATATGGTCTGCAAATATATTTTCCCATTCTGTAGGTTGTCTTTTCTTTTTTCTTAATTTTTTTTCTTTTCTCTTTTGATCTGCCACTTCAGGAGGTTGTCTTTTCATTTTGCAGGTTGTTTCCTTTGCTGTGCAGGAGATTTTTAGTTTGCTGGAGTCCCACTTGCTTATTTTTCCTTTTGTTTCCTGTGCTTTTGATGTCATATCCAAAAAATCATCACCAACGAATGTCAAGGAACTTTCTCCCTATGTTTTCTTCTAGACATTTTATGATTTTAAGTCTTATATTTATGTCTTTAATCCATTTTGAGTTAATTTTTGTATATGGTGTAAAGTAAGAATCTAATTTCATTCTTTTTCACATGGATATTGTTTTCCCAGCACCATTTTTTAAAGAGATTATCCTTTCCCCACTGTGTGTTCCTAATGCCCTTACGAAAGATTTGTTGACTGTATATGTGGAGGTTTATTTCTGGGCTTATATAATTCCATTTATATTAAATATCAGAATAGGTGAATTCATAGAGACAGAATGCCAATTGATGGTTGCATGGAGCTAGGGAAAGAGGAGAATAGGGAGCAACTGCTTAATGGATAGGGGGTTCCCTTTTGGGGTGAAGAAAATGTTTTAGAATTAGATAAAGGTGTGACTTTTCAACATTGTGAATGTATAAATGCCTCTGAATTTTTCACTTTAAAATTGCTAATTTTATCTTATGTGAATTTCACCTCAATTTTTTAAATTCTATAAAACAAGGCATTTACCTTAATAAATGCTATATGGAAATTTTAACAACTAAGTAAGAGGATGGTATAATAAATGCTTATAGTAAAAACACATTTATGAGAGCAGGCCTGCTGCCCTCCACATCACTCAAAAGTGAAGCGTGGAATTCTTTGGATGGGTCATAATCTTCTGAAGAGATACAGATTTAATTACAGGACTATGGGTTTAGTTGAGTAGGGAACCTCCCAGCCACAATATTCTATCTACCATCTCCTATGTCCATTCTTATAAGAAAAAAAAAATGCAAATGTCAACATCTCCCAAACTTCTTTCTTTAAAGCTGTGTCATGGTTATGTCTGCCTTTTGTTGAGTACCTTGGGTGTGGGAGAGCAAACTGTCCCACCCCAAGACGGCCCCTCAGGTTCACGGAAACACCATGCACCATAGCGCTCGGAAGCTCCTCTAGGACGTGAATCTCCATCCATACTCAGGATCCAGCCCCTGCACAGGGAAAAACCTGAGTTTTAAACAAATCAGGGAATCTGAGAACACTGGAAAGTTCACTTTTTGCTGGCTCAAGCCTTATTATATTTGCTCCATCTCCACATAAAACCCTACTCTAAGGAAATGTACTGTACAAGAGAGATACGTTAATTATGAATCCCAGGCCATGACTCTCAACTCTTCCCTCCCAGAAAGAAATACCCTAGAGTTAAAAACTACTTCACTTCTAAAATAACTTATCAGGACTTTAAAATAACTCTGCTGCCTGCAACCAGAAATTAGCTAAAGCAAGTTCAAAGCTGAATGGGTGGAAGAGATAATGCAATTCCTAGTGCAATTCTTTCCACATGGGGCCATAGGAGGAGAGAACATCTGAACACACTGCTGTTCCTTAGACACACTCTTTTCAAGTTGAACATTTGCACAGGACAATGACTAGGAAAGAGACATCTGAATGTACATAGAAAGTAACTCATAAGCAATGATGCAAAGTTGGAATCAGAAACTGAATGCAAGTCTGAAAGCTACACTTGTGCAGCATCTTCACCCAGAAATTCCTCGATACTGTAGGGGAAAAAAGTCCAATTTGTCAGTGTTGACAAGAAAACATATTATTATTCTAAAGACTGCTTTTCCTTGGGATCTATTTCAGGAGATGCAGGCCCAGAACACAATGCAATGCGTGCACTAGGAACTGTCCAAGATTCCCAAATAAATCTCCTACTGTTATCTTCCTTGAGAAGAAGGAAAGAAACAAACCAAGGAAATAAATACTATTGCACCAAACTGGTAATTAGAGAAACAGTAAACAGAACAAGCCCTAAAGTCTGGATACCATCATATTTGTCTTCCTCTCTTCGCTCTAGAATTTTTTGCACATCTTCAGATAGGGGGAAACTGATGAAAATGATAAGCTACTGACAGTCCACCTCCCCTTGCCTCAAGTCATAAACACAACATTCCTCTCTTTCAGAATCTCTATTCCTATCAGAGAACATCAGACAGACAGAGGTTTGCATTAAGAAATTCTTTTTTTATCTTTTTTTTCTTACTTCAGAGATCTTAGTTCTGATGCATTAAAAAATTCTTCTTTTTTTTTTTTAGACGCAGTCTTGCTCTGTCACCCAGGCTGGAGTGCAGTGGTGTGATTTCAGCTCACCGCAACTTCTGCCTCCCAAGTAGCTGGGATTACAGGCACATGCCACCATGCCTGTCTAATTTTTTATATTCTTGGTAGAGACAGGGTTTCACCATGTTGGTCAGGCTGGTCTGGAACTCCTGACCTCAAGTGATCTGCCCACCTCAGCCTCCCAAAGTGATGGACCACCTGATTTGTGAACTCCCTGGAATTTTGCACAAAATGTGTGTTTACCTGCATCATCTAGAGAGGGAGCAATAATTTCATCAAGACTCAGAGGCATTCTTAACCCAAAAAAAGCTGTAGGTTCATTATTTTAAAGGCTCCCAAGAGAGGTAGAATGACTGAGCAGAACCTAGTTTTGGCTTGGCCCTTTGGTTGCTGCCATATTTACCATATTCAGAATCTGGTCTTTAGGAGCTATGGAAATACTTTCGCTCTACTAGTTTATTCAAGCAATTTTTGTTGTACCTATTATGTACAAGAATGGGGAGTGGAGTCAAAAGCCATTGTAAAATTTGAAACCAAGTCCCACAAAATTAGGCAAGCATCAATTAAGAGAACTCACAATGCTAAAGCAAATCAGGTACGTTTTACAAAGACTTGCTCCAAATCAGCAATGACTTACATTGACTTGGCTTACTTGAGACTTGAAATTTAACAGATAGGCTCTTAAACCCTTCCACCTTCCTTCAGTTTAACCTGTACCTGTAGACACAACATTGTGAGGTTGCAATTTAAATTCATATCCACATCTGCAGATAGTCACAAAATTAAATCAAGTGATTAGCATATTGTGGTTTCCCAAGACTATAGTCCTATATACAATTATCTTAACAGCTGCTATTGATTTGTCTTGCATGATCCCAGGTGAGACCAGTTCTATTCTCTAGAATCTTCTCTGACAGACTCTAGAGTGTGTGTCTCATCCACACAAACTCAGAAAGCAGATGTCAGATCCACATGGGCACTTCGTTTAAAAAAAAATCAACTCGCAGCATGGAGAATGCAGGTTCTGATCTTCAACAGGTAAGTCTCTTAAAGGTTTCTCCTCACTCCCACCCCTGCTGTATTTCTCTCCAATGTATTTCTGTTGTTTATTAAGAGGTTGTCCAGGCTTAGAGATGTTCATGTTTCCATCGAAAGAAAGCAGCAGAGCTGGATGGGGAGCGAGGCAGTGCTGCAGCTGCAGAACCCAGCCTCCCAACCACAGGCCATTCTGGGAAGGTGGCATCCCAGTTTAACGAGAAGAAAACAGAGATGCATGTATGTCTATACAGTATTTGGTCACCCACAGGCCAGCATTCTTCCCATTCCTCCAAGAGCGAGGCGGTTACCTCTGACCTGTTAACCACAGCACTGAGTCAGCCCTAAGGTAAAATGTCCAGATCAGCCCCGGGCAAGACAGTGAGGCTGGCCAGATTTGGCTCTTCATCTTGCACTCCATCCAGCCTGTCCCCTTTCTACTTCTTCCCCCACCAACCTCCAATCCCGGCTAATCACCTACCAGCAGCCCACTCTGTGAGCATATCCTTCAGAGATCCTTGTTCTGATCCATAAGAAATTCTTAACCAGAGAGGGACCACCTGATTTGTGAACTCCATGGAATTGTGCACAAAATGTTATGTTTACCTGGCCCTGAAAACCATCCCAGTCCCCTGGTGTGTCCCTGGCTTGGGATCCTATGGGACATGTTTTCTCTCACTTCCGGGTGAACAGAGAGGTCCTGCACAACCAGCCTGTCTCCCTCTCTCTCTCCAAGCAAAATGTGTGTCTCTTAGCAGTGACATTTGGGGACCAAGCCTTCATACTGGCTTCCCAGCGGAACCCAGTGTAGGCTTGTCTTGGATGCTCCTGGAGCAGTGACAGATGCTGCCAGGCGGGGTGCTGGGCGCTGACTTCCACGCAGATGCCAGGGTGAATGCAAATTCCCTCCAGGCATTGCAGCCATTTGCTCCAATCTCGTTTCTGCCAGCATCTCCTCTGCCAGATTCAACACTGGGTTTGTTTTGTTTTGTTTTGTTTTGTTTTTTGCTTCTTTTACTTTCTGTGCCCCAACCTCTGAGGGAGCTATTAATGAATGGACAACTGCCCAAAGACCAGCAGCCACAGGCCGGTGGAGGCCACGAAGCTGGAGAAGCTCCAAAGGGAATAGGCCCCGCTGGCGAAGGAGCGGTGACCTTGCCCGGCCAGCGTGCGGTGGGGTCACGCCCCAGCTGCACTGAACTGTCACACCCGGAGCTGCGCTCTCGGCAGGAGCACGCATCTTAGCAGTACAGCTTCTCGACCAGAAATACAGGTGCAACAATTAACTGCAACGCACGACGGCCTCACACAAGAGCTGCAGCCCCAGCACCGAGCTCCTCGAGGGCCCTCTACGAAGGCAGCCGCGTTCCTCCAGAGGGCTGTGTACTCTCAGAGACACTGTGGGCGCTGGCGGGCTAGAGCGAGGAGCCAGGGTCACACTGCACCTTCCGAATTCTCTCCCTCTTCACTTCGGTCACTCCGGAGAGGGCCAGGAAGAGCCGCGAGCCGCGCACCGGGGCCAGACGGGGATCCTTGTCCCTCCTGTGCCACCTGCGGGCCGTTCCATGCGCAGCGACCCAGGGTCTGCAAATGGGGTGGTGACAAGAGGCGCAGACAGCTCTTTTGCGCTTCTTGGGGGGCTGCGGAGAGTTGTAGGGAGGATTGGATGAGTCCAGTGTTCAGCGTCAGTGTCCTCTATCAAAAAGGTTTGCTATTTCTATCCTATCCGGTTTCTTCTAACAACTCTTTTTTTCTCGTGTCCCTGGAATCACAAGACCTCACTGCATTTCACTACACAAAAGCACACAGCTAAAACTGAGGTATCCTGATGCAAGTCACTGATCCCAAAGAGAAAACAGTGATTTACTCCCAGGAATTACACAAGGTCTGGATGGAATAGTGCTGTTTATCTGACCACCAAGATTCTCAACCTCAGTTGTCATTTTCAGACAAAAATCAAAAACTATGTAAATATAAGGAACATCTCCTTATGTGCCCCCTCAGCAGTGTTCATACTTTACAGAAAGCTATCAAAGTTTCAATCTTTTCTGATATAAATGGAGAAACAGCAACAGAGAATTGAGAACAAGGGAAGTAACTACACTGTTTGGTAACATACATTGAAGTCCTAGTGCCCAGGGCCTCAGAATGGGACCTTATTTGAAAATAGGGTCATTTTAGAGATGGAGTCTTGCTCTGTTGCACAGGCTGGAGTGCAGTGGCACAATCATAGCTCACTGCAGTCTTGAGCTCCCGGGCTCAAGTGATTCTTCCTGCCTCAGCCTCCTGAATAGCTGGGACCACAGGCAGCTCAATATAAAGTTAGATGAGGTCATACTAAAGCAGCGTGGGCCCCTAATCCAATATGACTGGTGTCCACATCAAAGGGAAAAATTTAGACACAGGCACACACACAGAGTGATATGGTTTGGTTCTGTGTCCCCACCAAATCTCATGTCAAACTGTATTCCGCAGTGTTGGAGGTGGGGCCTGGTGGGGGGTGACTGGATCATGAGTGTGGTTCCTCATGAATGGTTTAACACCATACTCCTTGGTGCTGTTCTCATGACACTGAGTTCTCACCAGATCTGGTTGTCTAGAAGTATGTAGCCCCTGCCCCCCCACCCACTCTCCCTCTTGCTCGTGCTCCAGCCACGTAAGATGAGCCTGCTTCCCCTTCACCTTCCACCATAATTGTAAGTTTCCTGAGGACTCCCCAGAAGTCAAGCAGATGCCAGCATCATACTTCCCGTATGGCCTACAGAACTGTGAGCCAATTACACCTCTTTTATTTAATAAATTACTCAGTATCAGATATTTATAGCAATGCGAGAATGGACTAATACACAGGGAGAGTATCATGTGAGCATGAAAGCAGAGACCAGGGTCATGTGTCTACATGCCGAGGAACATCAGAGATGGCCAACAAACCACTAAAAGCCAGGAGAGAGGCCTGGAATAGATTCTCCCTCACAGCCCTTCGAAGGAATCAATCCTCCCAACACCTTGATCTCCAATTTCCACTCTCCAGAACTGGGAAATAATAAATTTCTGTTGCAGGAAGAAACCAAGGCAGCGGTAGAGGAAGAGGACGTGGCTGTGGCAGCGGAAGAGGGGGTCATAGGTCATAACGTCTCTCAAGATGACTCTTCAAAGTGATATGGGATTTGGGATATTTTTTGTACAGGTTTTGTTTATGTCAGTTTTTAATCAACATAAATGTGGGGCAAAAAAGTTTCTGTTGTGTGCTGTTTGTTAGAGTAGCTCTAGCAAACTGATACATTCTTCCACAACCAGAAAGTGTAGGGAAAGTGATGCATTCTTCCTTCCACAACCAGAGAGTGTAGGTTACGTGGAGAATAGACAACACTGGGTGGTCTGTGGATATTCATGGATTTACTCCACAAAGATTTTTGGGTACCTGCCCTGGGTAGCTACTGTGCTTGGCTCCAGGGCTATAGCAGTGGTTAAATCACGGTCCAGTCAGATAGGCTCTCAAGCCACAACACTGACTTCCCTACAGCCAGGACAAGTGCTTAGGGATCATGGGGGGAGTAGCATGGGGATTGGAGGTGTCTAGGAGGAATCTGCGTGTAACCAGGAACAGCTGTGTGTAACCAAGGAGAGCCAGAGGTGGCCAGGATAACAGATGCAACAGCAATCAGGGCTACGACAGTGAAAGAAGAGGCTTCTGGCAGCTTCACATGCGCACAACCAATGTTGCTGACACAAAAATAGGAGGAGGAAACTTCCTCTCTTAGCAACTGGCATGACATCTTATCTTGTTGAAAAGACATTTTGCTAAGAATTCAGAGTGGGCAACTATGATGAGACCTCAAATGTTATGTTCCAGTAAAACTGTAGGTCACTAAACTGCTTCTAGGTGAGAGCAGGATCTGTTACCTGCATTGATGCAACTGGCTGAGCAAGTTAGGCTGAGCCCTGCACAGGGAAGCAAAGAGATCCCTAGTAGAAGGGCAAAAGGCAAGGGACTTTGGGGACAGAGAGAAATGCCTAATTGGGATTTTTAAGTCAGTTATTGAGGTGAAGGGTGGTTAAAGTCCTCCCTCTGTTTCTTCCAGGAATTTTCCAGTGACTGCCCCCATTGTTCCTCAATGCTCAGGGAAGGGCCCAGTGAAAAAGACAGGTGAACGCTGACAGCTGATTAGCCCAGATGTTATTTTTTTAATAACTTTCTCACCATTACTCTAATTGTGAGGCATGTGCACAAACAGAAACGCCACCTGACTCCATGTAAAAACTATTCTCGGGAATAATGTTTTCCAAAAACAATGATATTTGCTACATTCTTAAACTAACCCCTCTGTGGACAGGGAGGCTTATCTTTAGGTCTCACAAACACCATGTAAGGTGTGTAGCATCCTGCCCATTTTAAAGATGAGGAAGAGAGGCTCAGGGGAGCACAAGTAACTTGCCAAAACCTGCAGTGGTGTGCGGTGGGGACTGGATTCTCTCTCCCTCCACCCAGATGCCTTTCAATTCCAGAACGTGACTGCCTGGCCCCTTCATGCCCCTCAGCCAGTCCACCAAACTGGAAATCATAGACTCTGTGTGTGACTTGAAATGAACAGCCTAACAAATTTCAGGGGTGCTGAGAGTGTGGGGAGGAGTGGGAGTGGTTACAAGACTTTTTAGGATGAAAGCACTTGTGTTCATAGAATTTGTAGTCAAGTTCTCACTATCCGATCACATCGCCAGAAGCAATGCTGGATTTGCCCTCTCTCACTTTTATACCTATATACAGAAAGATGACCTCCATACGGTGCTGTGGTCACAATCACCCAAATCTCAATTCACAGGGTGGTAGTTTTACAACTGTAAGGAGCCCAGATTTTTCTGTAAGAGGCAGAAATCTGCTGAGTGCCCAGTTTTTTATGGTATATGGTTTTAATTCCCAACTCAATTATGATTCTATACATGTTAAAAGCTACACTCAGTCTTCAGGTGGCTGAATTATTTTTTCTTAACATAGTTCATGAATTATGGCTTATATACAATGAAATTCTATGTAACCTCTAAAAAGAGAAGTAGGTATATACATATATATGTAAAAGAGAAAATATGTCTATAGTATGTCAAATGAAACAAAGTAAAGAGGAGAATGGCATATATATGTGCCTATTTTTTATTCAAAAAAATAAAAGATCAGGCTGGGCACAGTGGCTCATGCCTGTAATCCCAACACTTTGGGCAGCCGAGGCAGGTGGATCCCCTGAGGTGAGGAGTTCGAGACCAGCCTGACCAACATAGCAAAACACTATCTCTACTAAAAATATATAAATTAGCCAGGTGTGGTGGCTGGTGCCTGTAATCCCAGCTACTCAGGAAGTTGAGGCAGGAGAATTGCTTGAACCCAGGAGGCGGAGTTTGCAATGAGCTGAGATCACGCCACTGCACTCCAGCCTGGGTGACAAGAACAATACTCCATCTCAAAAATAAATAAATAAATAAAAGATAATTATATATAAAGAGATACAAGAAACATTCACACAACGACACATGGTAAAAACTGGGAAAGCAGCCCCAAAAAACAGGGGAGTTTGGCATCTGCCTTCCATTGAGCATTAAGGGAGCATTCTGAGAAAATGCTGCTCAGCCAATGGACCAGCCAAACACACTGTCAGTCTTTGGTTTGCTTAGAGTTTCTATCATGAGCAAGTGTTGAATTTCATCAACTGCTTTTTTGGCACATGTTGAGATGATCACAGACTTTTCTCCCTTAACCCATTAATATAATTTACCTCAATTGATGTTATAATGTTAAATCAAACCCAGCTTGTTCATGATTTACACAACTAATGGAGGCAGGATTTGGCTGGCTAATATTTTCGGTAGGATTTTTGTAATCATGTTTGTAAGTGACCTTCCTTTCCCATTCAGCCCTTGTCAGGTTATGGAATCAAAGTTATTCAACTCTCAAAATATGACTTGAGAATTGTTCCTTCTTTTTCGATATTCTGGAGTAATTTGTATATAATTTGGATTATTTATTTCTGGAATGTCTGACAGAAATTGCCAGTAAAAGCCATTTGGAATATCCTTTGTGGAAAGACTTTTAACAAATGGTTCAATTTTCTTAGATTATACGACTATTCAATATTCAATTTCTCCTTAAGTTAATTTTAGTAGGCTATATTTTTTGACAAGTTTGTCCATTTTATCTAAACTTAATGTTTGTAAGCTTAAAGTGGTTTATATTATATTTTAGTGTCTGATTCCTAATATTTTCATTTCTAATATTATTTGTTTCTCTCTTCTTTTCTAGATCATTTTTACCAAAAGTTTGACATTTGTTTTAGTCTTTTCAAGAATAAAATTGGCTTTATTGATCCTCTCGACAGAAAATGTTTTTCTATTGTTATTCTAATGTGTTCTATTTTGTTAATGTCTGTCCTTAACCTATTACTTTTTCATTTGATTTAGGTTTATTCTACTTTCTTTCTACTTAAGTCTGATGGTTGTTAGTTCATTAATTTTTTGCCTTTTTAACATATTAAATATTAATTTATTAAATATAACATGGGATATTTAATATTAATACTCAATATACTATTAACTTAATAAATATAAAATGGGATATCCTATATTTCATGTCATACATATTTAACATGTTATATTATACTAATATTTAACACTATCCATCTTCTTCTAAGAAATACTCCACAGGATTTACTATTTCACCAATACCTCATGCACCGCTGACCCCAAGGAGTTGTGGGGCAGCTTGCTGGGTACTGACGTCAGTTTCCATCAAAGGCCCCCCAGGTGCTGTGGCACAACCCACACTGCGCCCTTCCCCCTTTGTTGCTCACTGGCTCCCAGTTTTGCTCAGGTGTTGAGAGTCCTTGGCTTCTCAGGCTGTTTCCAGCCCCAAGGGGTTAATGCTGAGTACTGAGCCACTGTGGGAATCCAATTCCCTCCCATGTGATTGGAACAAACGTTGCATGTGACTCAATCTGAGCCATTGGAATTGGAGGAAAGCCTGGCAGGGTTAGAGGTGGGAGAATTCACAGAAAGGTTTTTGTTCCCAATAGAAAGAAACACAAAGGAGAAAACACTGCTCCCCTTTGCTAAATGTTGTCACATTCAGTGGCAGGAACTCCCAAAGCTATTTTGCAACTATGAGGGGGAATGTTTCCCACACACCGAAAATGGCAGAGCTGAAAGCGAGAAAGCAGCAAGGAACTGATGACGTGGAAGCCCTGCGACTGCATTTCTTGTTAGATAAGATAAGAAGCTCATTATTATTTAAGCTCCTTTTGCCAGGTCTCATTATTTGCAGCTTAAATTGTCCTGCAGGTGCCACAGGAAGACAGCCTCCTGCCTGCTGAATGGCACTGAGTGGCAGTTTTACGGTGGCATTGCAATGTCATCTTAGAATGCTTACCATGAATAGGGCAACTGAAAAAGACACGTGTTCTTGCAGCATTGCTTATGTCATCTTAGAAAAAGCACATTATTCTACATTATTCTTTTGTTCTTAGGAATTCAGGAAAATGTCTCTTTTGTAAACTCATTAAAATGATAGATGATCAGAATAAGCTTGTGAGAGGAAAAAAAATAAATAAATGAAGTGAGGTCAGAGCTTGTGTCTGCCATTGTGAGGACCCAGAGCAGCCTCCTGAAAAGCCACATTACCAGCTGGGCATTCACATGGCCTGAGACATGGGATGTGTCCCTGTACATGCGTCACTACCTGCCAGGTACAGTACAGGCATGTGGGAATGGTCTTGGCTAAGCACTGACTTTTCTAGAAGATAACATTTCCATGTTAGGGTCCTTGCCCATATCTTCAAATGCTGTCTTCAATTGGTATTATTCAGTGTCCTTGGGTTGCAGGTGACTGAAATATTATCTCAGAATGGTTTAAGAAGGCAAAAAAGAAAAGCACACATTTAACGGTTCGTGTGGGCAAACCAAGGAAAGGGGTGTCTGGATGTAAGGATCTAAGCACCCCATCAGGATGTTGCCTCCTCTTCTCGGCTTTTCTCTGCACATCAGCTGCCTTCTCTCAGGCAGATTTCTCCACGGGGCTGGAACCACAATGGCCAGCATCCCGTGGCTGTCACGCAGACTCTCAGGTGGAGAGTCAAGCCTGCCCCCCACCAGCTCCAGTGGGAAACTCTCTCACTGCCCAGTTTGGGTCATATGCTTATCACTGGACCAATCTCTATGAGAAAGAGTGTGTTTGGAGTTGACCCGTGTTCCCCCAAAAGATATATGCAAGTCCTAACTCTTGGTGTCTGTGAATGTAACCTTGTTTGGAAATAGGGTCTTTGCAGATGTAATCAAGTTCAGATGGGGTTGTATTGTATTAGTCCAATAACTGGTGTCCTTACAGGAAGCGAGAAGTTTGAACACAGGTTGGAGTGATACATCTACAAACCAAGAGATACTAGGGGTTGCCAGCAACTCTCAGAAGCTGGGACAGAGAAATGAAACAGATTCTAACTCAGAGCCTCCAGAAGGAACCAACCCTCTACCATCACTTTGCTTTAAGACTCCTACCCTCTACTACTGTGAGAGAATCCATTTCTATTGTGGTAAGCAACCCAGTTTGTGGCATTTCATTACAGCAGTTGTAGGAAACTAAGGTGGAGGGCAGGACACCTCATCTAGTATAAATGTGCATGGCATAGGCTTTGTTTTAAACTGTTTTTCAAAAACTTTTCTTATCTAGCACATTTATACAAGATAAGGTGACCCCTTGTGATGGTTAATTTTATATATCAACCTGACTGGACTAAGAGATGCCCAGATAGCTGATAAAACATTATTTCTAGGTGTGTCTGTCAGGGTGTTTCCAGAAGAGACCTTTGAATCAGTAGACTGAGTAAAGAAGACCACCATCACCAATGCGTATGGCATCCTCCAATTCACTGAGGGCCCAAATACAACAAAAGGGCAGTCAAAAGATGAATTTTCTCTCTCTCTGCTTGAGCTGGGATGTCCAATTTCTTCTCTCCTTGGACATCAGTGTTCCCAGTTCTTGGGCCTTTGGACTTGGACCAGGACTTACACCACCAGCTCCCCTGTCTCTCGGGCCTTTGGACTCAGACTGAATTACACCATGGAATCTCCTGCTTCTCCAGCTTGCAAACGGTAGAGCATGGGACTTCTTGGACTCCATAATCACGTGAACCAACTTCCAATAATACATATATATCTCCTAGTGGTTCTGTTTCTCTGGATTGCAGGTCGATCAGATGCCCACTGCAGTGGGAAGGGAGGCGGGGTACTATGAATGGCAGCCCCTAATACATGGCTGGAGGAGAAGAACGAGCTGTACCCCAGAAAAGGGAGAGGGGCCTTATTACTGGAAGAAGAGGGTAAAGAGTGCTGGTCAGGCAAGCACAGGAGCAACTGCGTCATTTCACACTGTCATCATCTGTGGCCAGATTTCCTAGAGATGGAGAAAGAGGAATACGGTTTTGGGTGGCAGGAAATGTTTATTCCTTCTTCTGAAGATAGTGCAGATTCCTTCACCCAAAGCTAGGAATTTACAAGCCACTGCAATTTGAACAGTTTTATTCTTCAAGGATTGAAGTAGCTTGATTTGGTTTGACAGTCAGGAAGTTCATGGATTCACTCTGTGGTGCAATTCTGCTGTAAGAAATGCTTTATTAATTACACCAAGATACATAACAACTTAAAGGTAAAGTTCCTGTGAAGCACATATTCTATTTCAGTTATCTATCAGATTGACCTTTTATCTCAGCAATAAAACTGAAATTATGCATCAAATATGATAAAAATCTATTCCAATGAATTGAAATTAGTTATCATGAATGTGCTTTTAAACTATTTTTAATTGCTAACATATTGATATTAAATGGAGAGTTAGAAGATGAAAAAGTGTACTTATACAGAGTAATCTTCAAGCGGACACCATTAGATGGCCTCGTGCTTAAAGATTCTATTTCAAGGCAAGCCCCACTGCAGTTAGAATTCTAATGAACCACACAGACAGAATCCTTTCACAGCTTGAGCAGCCAGGAATCTTCTCCACAACCATATTCACTTTCAGTATGCACGCCTTGCACGTGGACAGCAAAGGTAAAGGAATTAGCCTCATGAATATGCATTCAAACCAGTCAGCCAAGAAAGAATCTACTGAGACCTCATTCATCATAGCCAAAGTGCTGCCTTAGACACTCTATGTATATCAACTAAGTTAAATCTCACAGTACTCTTACGGGTTGGGTACTATTATTATCCCCATTTGATAGAAGCAAACTAAGAAACAGAGAGGTTATGGTACTTGCCCAGATCACACGGCCAAGACAGCGGCAGAACACCAGGGTTCTAACTTAGACTATCTGGTTCCAGAGTCTGTGATCTTAACTTGCCTGGGACACAAGGATCTGACAAAGATCCCTAAAGCGTCTTAAAATACCTCTGCCAAGATAAAACCTTTCTAAGTGAAGCTTTAGTCAACAGTACTTGATAGCAGAAAGTGAAATGGTAAGTACAGAATTCAGTTCTATCCATCCACGCGGTGTTTGACAACAACCACGGTAGTCAGGAGGGTGGTAAAGGAAGTGAGGGGGGGCTGCCCTGGAAGGACAGGCAGGATTAGGTTAAGGTGAGCTCATAACCCAGAGAGAGCCACAGTTTGTCTCTTTGCCGTAGAATAGAGTCGTCTTGTTTCCTTTCATGTAGCCTGGGCTGGAATCCACAGGTCACCAGGAAATGTATGGCAAAACCACCCAGGCGAATAGTTGCAAACCCCTGTAAACTAGGGTGACCAACTCATCCTGGCCTTTCCAGACATTCCCTAGTTTTCACACTAAAGTGCTGAGTCCAGAGATCCTGTGAGTCCTGGGCAGACAGAATGCTTGGTCACCTTACCTGTAAAATTCTAATAGGAGAAGGAAAGCTTTTCGAAAAGAAACAGTTTACAACAAAGCCTATGCCATGCACATTTATACTAGATAAGGTGACCCCTTGTGATGGTTAATTTTATGTACCAACTTGACTGGACTAAGAGATGCCCAGATAGCTGATAAAACATTATTTCTAAGTATGTCTGTCAAGGTGTTTCCAGAAGAGACCTTAGAATCAGTAAAGACCACCGTCACCAATGTGGATGGCATCCTCCAATCCATTGAGGGCCCAAATAGAACAAAAAGGCAGTCAAAAGATGAATTTTCTCTCTCTCTGCTTAAGCTGGGATGTCCAATTTCTTCTGCCCTTGGACATCAGTGCTCCCGGTTCTTGGGCCTTTGGACTTGGACCAGGACTTACACCACCAGCTCTCCTGTCTCTCAGGCCTTTGGACTCATACTGAATTACACCACTGGATTGCCGGGTTCTCCAGCTTGCAGACGGCAGACCATGGGACTTCTTGGCCTCCATAATCATGTGAATCAATTCCTATAATACATATATATCTCCCAGTAGTTCTGTTTCTCTGAAGAAACTGCCTAATACACCTCAAAAAGACTAAAACCATTGATACCACTGAACCTGAGCTTCTCTGGACACTGCCACATCGAGGCTGTAGGACCTTAGGAGAATCACCTCATCACTCCAGGCCTTAGGAGGATCACCTCATCTCTCTGGGCCCTAGTTTCCCTACCTGTAAAATTAAATTTCAGTGCTAATAATCAACCTATTATTCTTGAGTTAACGTCAGTGTTAGAGGAGAGCTCCTGACCACACACACATACACACACACACACACACACACACACACACACCCCCTATACAAAGTTTTCTTATTTAGGGGAAAAACTCATACTGCACATTATTTTTCACTTGAGATATTCATTATTTGAGGTATACTCTAGCATAAATTTAGTACTTGGGGATTTTTTTAACGATGATTTTCTAGATTTTTCACGTTTCCTAATTTTACTATAGCTAGTCTTAATTTCACAATTAAGGGCGGGGGTGGGGAGATGCCTTCAGAATAACTGATGTGATAAACATCACAAGACGCTCTTCATGAATGGTAGCTCTTATCTCCCAGACACGTACCTCGGGAAGGCTGAACAAGCTAGGTCAGGAGAACAGCAACCACCAGGAGCTCTCTGCTCCAAATAACAAGGCCCCTGTTGATTGGGCTACCATGTTGCCATTTGAAGACAAGGGTAGAATTTGTGTAGTGGATTATTAAAGAAATGTGGTTAGAACAATTCTAGTCAACAAAAATCCACTAAGCATACAGGACACAGAGAGCTGTGGCTCGGTAAATCTAACTGAAATATAAGCAACTTAATTTCAATAAGTATAAGAAAATGGTTTTGTTGGCCAGGCGCAGAGGCTCATATCTATAATCCCAGCACTTTGGGAGGCCAAGGTAGGTGGACCACCTGATGTCAGGAGTTCAAGACCAGCCTGTCCAACATGGTGAAACCTCATCTCTACTAAAAGTACGAAAAAAAAAAAATAGCTGGGTGTGGTGGCATGCACTTGTAATCCCAGCTACTCGGGAGGCTGAGGCAGGAGGATCGCTTGAACCCAGGAGGCAGAAGTTGCAGTGAGCTGAGATCGCGCCACTGGCCTCCAGCCTGGGTGATAGAGCAACTCTGTCTCAAAAAAAAAAAAAAAAAAAGGTTGTGAACTATTTTCCATGCTGATGTTGGGGAAGGGGACAGCCTAGGCACAGATAATTTGCCAGGTAGTTTATCATGTGACCCACTCACCTTTCCTCTGTGCCCAACTATGATTACCCTCTCACTCTTTGTTTCCAAAGGAATGCAGAGCCAATTTTTTTAATCATGTCTTTGTTTCCTGGAATAGAGGATATTAAGAGATTAAGACTATGAACACTGATGCCCTTCCGACCTGACTCAGCCTTGTACTTCACTCGTGAGTTCAACCTACTCATATAGATGGCAGGTGGCAAGTAAAGACAAAATTATGTTGTCTACCTACTGAGATGGGATGCATCTCAGGTAAGGGACTCATAGCCAAGGTCACGCTGTCAATCAAAGACAGAAAAATTGGATCCTAAACTTCCAGTTAACAGAGCAACAAGTATTTTTACCTTTCATATCAGTAAGAGGGTTATCTCATCTTTAGCTGCTAAGAACTTGTTCTGCAGAGAGATTACAATTTAACACCTAGCATGCCATCTCTGATGGACAACATGCACAAACTTTCTGCCTTTTCCTATCTACAAGATCAGAGTAAGTGTCCAAGGTTTGGTTTATTTTATGTATCCCTAAATACAGAGGTACCCCTGAGTTAGGGTGACACAGAGCATTCTAGAAGCAACCTTATAGAGAAACTTAATTGTAGGCTTAATCCCAAAATAGAAATTCTTTTCACTGCAAATTGTCAGTGTGATTTGGCATGCCCCAAAATACACACTTGGGTGCCATTGGTCATCCTTTCATTAGAGTTTTATTTCTGAGCTGCCTGAAGCTTTTTATTCTTTTATCTTCCTAAACTTCAGTCATTTAAAATAGTGTAGCAGTTATGAAACAATAAACATAGACATCAATGAAATAGCATACTGTCCAGAATTAGACACACATAAATGATCAGTTGGGTTTCAACAAAGGTGCCAGGGCAATGGATTAAAAAAAAAATCTTTTTAACACATGGCCCTGGGGCAATTGCTCATCCACATGCAAAAAAGAAAAGAACAACTCAAAATGCATTATAGACCTAAATATGAGGGCTAATACTATAAAATTTCTGGAATACACAGGAGAAAATCTTAATGACTTTGGGTTAGGCAAAGATTTCTTCAGTAAGACACACAAAAAGCAGGAACTTTTTTTTTTGATAAATTGGACTCCATCAAAAATATAAACATTTTACTCTTCAAAAAATCCTTTTTGCAAAAATATCTGCAAAACTTACGTCTATCCAAAGTACATAAAAAATGCTTACAATTCAATAATAAGACAAATAGGCAAAATATTTGAACAGACATTTTGCCAAAGAAGACATGGATGGCAAATAAGCACACGAAAAAATGCTCTGTATCATTAGTCATCAAGGAAATACACATAAAAATCACAATGAAATACCAGTACACACCCACTAGAATGGCTAAAATTAAAAAGACTGAAAATAACAACTGATGGCAAAGATGTAGAGGAAGGAAATCCTAGCCAGCACAATCAGGCAAGAGAAAGAAATAAAGGACCTCCAAATTGGAAAAGAGGAAGTCAAACTATCTATGTTTTCCAATGATATAATCATATACCTAGAAAACCCTAAAGTCTCCTCCAAAAGACTTCTAGATTTGATAAATGAATTCAGTAAAGTCTCAGGTTACAAAATCAATGTACACAAATCAGTAGCACTACTATATACTGACAACAATCAAGCTGAGACTCAAATCAAGAACTCAATCCCCTTTACAATAGCTGCAAAAAAATAAAATAAAATAAAATACCTAGGAATATACTTAACCAAGGAGGTGAAAGATCTATATAAGAGAACTACAAAACACTGCTGAAAGAAATCACAGTGACCCAAATGGAAATACATGTCATGCTTATGGACTGGAAGAATTAATATCATAAAAATAACCATACCTCCCAAAGCAATCTAAAGATTCAATGCAATTTCTATCAAAATACCAACATCATTGTTCACAGAATTAGAAAAAGACAATTCTAAAATTCATATAGAACCAAAAAAAAGCCTAAATAGCCAAAGCAATCCTAAGCAAAAAGAACAAATCTGGAGGCATCACATTATCCAACTTAAATTATACTACAAGGCTATAGTAGCCAAAACAGCATGGTACTGGCACAAAAGTATCCACATAGACCAGTGGAACAGTACAGAGAACCCAGAAACAAAGCCAGATACTTACAACCAACTGATCTGCAACAAAGTATACAAAAACGTAAATTAGGGAAAGGACACCCTGTTCAGTAAATGGTGCTGGGGAAACTGGATAGCCATATGTAGAAGAATGAAACTGGATTCCTATCTCTCACCATATACAAAAATCATCTCAAGTGGATTAAAGACTGAAATCTAAGACCTGAAATTATAAAAAAAATCCTAGAAGAAAACCTAGGAAAAACTCTTCTAGACATTGGCCTAGGCAAAGAATTTATGACTAAGACCCCAAAAGCAAATGCAACGAAAGCAAAAATAAATAAATGGGACCTGATTAAACTAAAAAGCTTCTGTACAGCAAAATAAATAATCAGCAGAGTAAACAGACAACCCACAGAATGGTAGAAAATATTTGCAAACTATGCATCCAACAATATTTTGACTAATATCCATAATCTACAAGGAACTCAAATCAGCAAGGAGAAAAACAAATAATCCCATCAAAAAAAAGGGGAAGCGTTCTGCATTCCCTGAGCAAAGTGTCCAGCAAAGCCACAGAAACCATCCCTGCTGTGGAACAGGAGTTGCCGCAGCCCCAGGCTGACAGAGGGTCTGGAACAGAATCTGACAGTGATGAATCAGTACCAGAGTTTGAGGAACAGGATTCCACACAGACAACCACACAACAAGCCCAGCTGGCAGCAGCAGCTGAAATTAATAAAGAACCAGTCAGCAAAGCAAAACAGAGTCAGAGTGAAAAGAAAGCACAGAAGGCTATGTCCAAACTGGGTCTTCAACAGGTTACAGGGGTTACTAGAGTCACTATCTGGAAATCTAAGAATATCCTCTTTGTCATCACAAAAGCAGATGTCTACAAGCGCCCTGCTTTGGATACCTACATAGTTTTGGGGGGAACCAAAAATGAAGATTTATCTCAGCAAGCACAGCTAGCAGCTGCTGAGAAATTCAAAGTTCAAGGTAAATCTATCTCAAACATTTAAGAAACAACACAGACCCCAACTGTACAAGAGGAGAGTGAAGAGGAAGAAGTTGATAAAACAGGTGTGGAAGTTAAGGGCATGGAACTGGTCATGTCACAAGCAAATATGTCAAGAGCAAAGGCAGTCCAAGCCCTGAAGAACAACAGTAATTATGTTGTAAATGCTATTATGGAATTAACAAAGTAACCAACTGAAAACAACTTGTTCAGTGTTTCCAAGAAGTAACTGCAGCTTGATTTGAAATTTGTACTGTTTCTAGAAGAGCAATAACAATCATTGCAGTCTGGCTCTCTAGGAAGCCCTATCCCTAGGAAAAGGGAGAACACACCACATCAAGGGATTGCCCTGTGGGACAAAAGAATCTGAACAGCAGCACTTGAGTTCCAGATTTTTCCATGGAAATAGTCTACTCAAATGAGAAGGAATCAGAAAAGTAATTCTGGTGATGTGACAAAAACAAGGTTCTATAACACCCCCAAAAGACCACACTATCTCCCCAGAAATAGAACCAAACCAAGAAAAAAATCTCTGAATTGCCAGTTAAAGAATTCAGAAGGTTGATTATTAAGCTACTCAAGGAGACACCACAGAAAGGTGAAAACCAACTTAAAGAAATATAAAAAACAATACAGGATATGGATGACCATGTCTCCAGAGAAATAGATCTCATAAAGGAAAAACAATCACAACTGCTGGAAATAAAAGACACACTTAAGAAATACAAAATGCACTGGAAAGTGTCAACAATAGACTAGAACAAGTAGAAGAAAGAACTTCAGAGCTCAAAGATGAGGCTTTCAAATTAACTCAATCAGACAAAGACAAAGAGAAAAAGAATTTTTGAAAATGAACAAAGACTCCAAGAAATTTGGGATTATGTTAAATGACCAAACCTAAGAATAACTGGTGTTCCTGAGGAAAAGGAGAAATCTAAAAGTTTGGAAAACATATTTGAGGGAATAATTGAAAAAAAAAATACTTCCCTGGCCTCACTAGAGATCTAGACATCCCAATACAAGAAACTCAAAAAACACCTGGGAAATTCATCACAAAAATTACCTAGGCACATAGTCATCAGGTTATCTAAAGTCAAGACGAAGAAGAGAATCAAGAGCTGTGAGGCAAAAGCATCAGGTAACCTATAAAGGAAAACCTATCAGATTAACAGCAGATTTCTCACCAGAAACCCTACAAGCCAGAAGGGATTGGGGTCCTATCTTTAGCCCCCTTGAACAAAATAATTGCCAGCCAATAATTTTGTATCCAGCAAAACTAAGCTTCACAAATGAAGGAGAGAAAAAGCCTTTCTCAGACAAACAAATGCTGAGAGAATTCACCACTACCAAGCCAGCATTATAAGAAATGCTAAAAGGAGTTCTAAATCTTGAAACAAAACCTCGAAATACACCAAATAGAACCTCCTTAAAGCATAAATCTCACAGGCACTATAAAACAATAACACAATGAAAAAAAGGTATTCAGGCAGCAACTAGCACAATGAATAAAACATTACCTCACATCTCAATACTAACATTGAATGTAAATGACCTAAATACCCCACTTAAAAGATACAGAATGGCAGAATGGATAAAAATCCACCAACCAAGTATCTGCTGCCTTCAAGAGACTCACTTAATGCATAAGGACTCACATAAATTTAAGGTAAATGGGTGCAAAAAGATATTCCATGCAAATGGAAACCAAAAGCAAGATGGAGTAGCTATTCTTATATCAGACAAAACAAACTTTAAAGCAAAAACAGTTTAAAAAGACAAAGAGGGGCCGGGTGCAGTGGCTCACACCTGTAATCCCAGCACTTTGGGAGGCCAAGGTGGGCGGATCACAAGGTCAGGAGATCAAGACTATCCTGGCTAACACGGTGAAACCCCATCTCTACTAAAAATACAAAAAAATTAGCCGGGCATGGTGGTGCGTGCCCATAGTCCCAGCTACTTGGGAGGCTGAGGCAAGAGAATGGCGTGAACCCAGGAGGCAGAGCTTGCAGTGAGCCGAGATCGCGCCACTGCACTCCAGCCTGGGCAACAGAGCAAGACTCCATCTCAAAAAAACAAAAAACAAAAAGACAAAGACGGACATTGTTCAATGATAAAAAGGATCAGTCTAACAGAAAAATATCACAATCCTAAATATATACGCACCTAACACTGGAGCTCCCATATTTATAAAACAATTATTACTAGACCTAAGAAATGAGATAGATGGCAACACAATAATAGTGAGGGACTTCAATACTCCACTGACAGCACTAGACAGGTCATCAAGACAGAAAGTCAACAAAAAAACAAAGAATTTAAACTGTACCTTAGAATAAATGGACTTCACAGATATTTACACAACATTCTACCCAACAACTGCAGTATATACATTCTTTTCTTCAGAACATGGAACATTCTCCAAAATAGACTATATGATAGACCAGAAAACAAGTCTCAGCAAATTTAAGAAAATCAAAATTATATAAAGTACCCTCTCAGACCAGTGGAATAAAACTGGAAATTAACTCCAAAAAGAACCCTCAAAACTATACAAATACATTCAGATTAAATAATCTGCTCCTGAACAATCTTTGGGTCAATAATGAAATCAAGATGGAAATTTAAAAATTATTTGAATTGGATAATAGTGACACAATTTATCAAAACCTCTGGGATACAGCAAAATTGGTGCTAAGAAGAAAGATCATAGCATTAAATGCCTACATCAAAAGCCTGAAAGAGCACAAATAGACAATATGATGTCACATCTCAAGGAACTAGAGAAACAGGAACAAATCAAACTCAAACCCAGCAGAAGAAAAGAAATAACAAATAGCAGAACTAAACAAATTGAAAAAAAAAATACAAAAGATAATTGAAACAAAAAGCTGGTTCTTCAAAAAGATAAACAAAATTGATAGACAATTAGCAAGATTAACCAAGAAATAGAGAAGATCCAAATAAGCTTCATTAGAAACAAAACAGTAGATATTACAAACTATATCACAGAAACACGAAAGATCATTTAAGGCTACAGTGAACACTTTTACATGCACAAACTAGAAAATCTAGAGGAGATGGGTAAATTCCTGGAAATATACAAACCTCCTAGATTAAAGCAGAAAGAAAAAGAAACTCTGAACAGACCAATAACAAGTAGTGAATTGAAACAGTAATTTTAAAATTGCCAACAACAAAAAAAGTCCAGCACCAAATTCTATCAGGCATTCAAAGAAGAACTGATACCAATCTTGCTAAAACTATTCCAAAAGATACAGAAAGAGGGAATCCTCTGTAAGTCATTCTATGAAACCAGTGTTATCCTAATACCAAAACCAGGACAAGACATAACAAAAAAAGAAAACTCCAGACCAATATCCCTGATGAACATAGATGCAAAAATCCTCAACAAAATACCAGCTAGCCAAATTCAACATATCAAAAAGATAATCCACCATGATCAAGTGGATTTCATACCAGGGATGCAGGGATGGTTTAACATATGCAAGTCAATAAATGTGATATACCACATAAACAGAATTAGTCCATATACCTTCATATGGACAAAGTTTAAAATATGTATAAAGTTGGGTTTTAATATAACTGAAGGCTGGCAAAATATCAAACAACTAAATTTAGTATTGCCTATGTCTGAGTGTTCTATCAATGGGCTAGTGGTGTTTGACATGTAACAAAGGTATACATCATTCATACATTATATTTATTTCATAAGTTTTATTTTTCCTGACTTCATTTTAGCAAAATTATATTTTTATAATCAAGATTTTCAGGCCATGCACAGTGGCTCATGCCAATTCCAGCACTTTGAGAGGCCGAGGCAGGAGGATTGCTCAAGCACAGGAGTTTGAGACCAGCCTGCAAAACATAGCAAAATCCCGTATCTATAAAAAAAAATTTTTTTAAATGAGCCAAGTGTGGTGGCATGTGCCTGTAGTCCCAGCTGCTCTGGAGGCTGAGACGGGAGGATTGCCTGAGCCCAGGAGATCGAGGCTGCAGTGAGCTGATGATCATACCTGGGCCACAGAGCAAGACCCTGTCTCAAAAATAACAATTTTCATAGAATTTGTGTTAGATTGATAGCAATGCCCTAAACTATTAAATAATAAAATGTAATATTTCAAAATGTATAAAATTAGAATGAATTTTCATTAAAAATATAAATTATTTGATTTTAAAAATTAAAATTATTTTCATGCTTTCAAGATAGGTTATTTTTCTAAAATATTCCAAAGTATATGTTTATGCAAAATACAAATTTTAATTAAGGAATATAAAATTTTTACATCAAGAGTTTTTAAAGCTGAAGTTGTATTTAATTTTTGGAAAATGTAATCAAAGCATATTAAATATATTTTATAGAAGTAAAACTATTCCTAATTTTAGTGTTCAATTTCCATCTAGCCCCCTATATAAAGAATATATAACACACTTCAGGTGTATTACTTCTAGACCTACATAAATACAAATTTAAGAATAATATGCACTGTTTTAACATTGCAAATTATTCCTCAGCTACCATGTGTAGCTATTGCAAAACTGTGCTAATTTATGAGTACCTCTGGAACCAAGAACTGGAGCACCAAGAGAAACAAGAAAATGAACGTTTGGCACTACTGAGAAACAATAATTCTTTATGCAAGAATTCATTACAAGTTAATTAAAGATAAATTAATTACATTATTTTTTCTTTACCTCTGCTGGTCAAATCATTCTTACCCTCCCAAGCAAGTCCAACCCAGGCAGCAGCACAACCCTCAAATTCGTGGCATTCAGTTACAGTTGCCTTTGTTTCAAGGACACAGGGCAAGAGTTTGTATGAAGGAGAATTTCCCTGGGACCTCAATGGTGTTAGTCAACATAGTACGTAAGCCTATGTTGAGCACCAGTTCTTAAGTGACAGAGCTGGCCATTTGGTCTTTGACAGTGTGTGTGTGTGTGTGTGTGTGTGTGTGTGTGTGTGTGTGTGTGTGTATTTATGACATATAAGACTCTCTAAAGCATAGAGCTGAAGTCTAAATGCACCAGTGCTTGTGGTAACTCTCTTACATTTTTTATCTGAATATATCCACTTTTTATTCAGATCAGTTAAATTAATCTTTAATTATACAAGTAATTTGTAAATATATTCCTTTGTTCCAAAATTATTTAAACATTGAGGATAAGGCTAAAATCTAACTCATCTATCTACCCGACTCCACGGTTATAGGTTTGGCTGCAAGTTCATTACCAATCTCTCTAAATGCATTACATCATAATAATAGCCAACACTGGTACAATACCAGTATTCTAAGCATTTTACATCCCTCATCCTTCTAGCTTTTTATCTTTTTAAAATCCTCATAACAACCCCATAAGACAGCTACTTTACATAAATATACTCATATATTTACTTCTCAAGGATCTATAGCACTGTGTGTGTTCAGCATAAAATATATCATACTTAAGGCTTAGTCTTGAAACATATTTTGTTCTCTTAATATATCTTGGAGATCTACTCATGTTAGGACATTAAGATCCTACTTTCCTTCTTAGTAGCAAGAGGTATATGTAAGCAAAATACACCCCTTGCTTTGGGAGGGAAACAAGTTTTCTAAAGACGTTCAGAATTTCCCCATTTACTGAGATTTCTAATTGCTTGATTTCTGATTATTTTCAGCTTCTGAGATCCACAGGCAATTAGCAATCAGGTGAAAGGTTAGCTGCACAGCTGGCCAACGAAAAGCCTCCCTCTGCAAAATCTCAAATGTGCTGTGCAACATATTTCTCCCACTAGAAACATGTCAGCTCTTGAAATGAAAAAAGGACAAAAGCCCCACCAAGCTATTTCAGGATGACTTTGTAATAAATACATATGAAGGAGCAGGAATAGTCACGTCCATACAATTATTCTTCATTGGAGAAGGCCCACCTCTTCGGGACTAAATGACTAACGTACCAAGTTGATCTTAGCCCTCTCTTTCACCTTCCAGCAACCTGCACCCTGCCACCACCAGCGATGCTCTCTTGCATTCTGAATTAGCACAAGCAGCTGAATTCCCCTCCAAGCTATTCCTCTTCCCCACCGCCTCGTAAATAGATCTATTCCTACATGGAGCCTTCGACTGGGTGTTGGAAGAACGATCGTCTAAGTTATTTTTTCACATTAATAAGTGAGTGGCTGCTACTTCCTCTCTCAAAACTGCCCGAACAAGAGCTTGTTTTAATCTAAACAACTCTTTGGTGAATTGAGACTCTTTGGGAGGATACATTTAGGGACAGGAAAACCACCCAACTACTTACTCCTCTTCATTATTGTCAGTAAGAAAGGCAAACTAGCTCATTAGTATTTATGATGCATCAAAGAAGATGAGACCAGAGATGCAGAGTAGAGGTAACATAAATAAACAAAGTGGTCAGCATGAAACAACTGAGCTTGCTGGGACCACAAACCTTCAGACAAGAGCTGAAAGGAGAAATGGGGCAAAATATGGGCAGAGGTAATGAGAACTGATATTTTTATCCTTTCTTCTTTGCAATAGCAAAGTAGAATTCAACTGCTTTAATAATCAGGAGTTTGGATTTTAGCATGCTAGAGCCTTTGTGTTTCTTCATGAAAAGAAGTGTCTGGATAATTTTGCTAATACTTATTATTTGCCCCCAAAGTCTCACTGGGAGAGTTTTCCACCATCACCCTACATCACTTAGGAAAATAATATTCCTGAAATCCTCATCTGTCTAGGTCTCATCTCTAGGGGAGTCTCCATGGTTTTAAGCATTCTTGCCCTTATGCATAAAACATATTTGTTACACTCACCGCCAGTGGCTGGAAAATACAGACCCAATACAGTTCACCCAGCTATACCTTTAATTAAGAGAAATGTGGTCTGCACAGACTTTATGGGAATGTTGAATTCTGTCCACAAGACCCATCAGCCTATGACACCCTGCTCTTCTCACCTCTGACAGCCTGATCCACGTCCCTCCCCCACGCCCTCCCCCACCGCCTCTCATGACACCCGCCTCCGTACATATCCCTACCGTAGCCTCTGATGCCAAGTCCTGCCCCACAACCCCCCACAGCCTCTGATGCCACACCTCTTCCCACATACCATTCCCACAGCTTCTGATGCCCTGCCCCTCCTCACACACACACTTCCCACACAGCCTCTGATGTTACCCACTTCTGCACACATCCCTCCCATAGCCTCTGATGCCAAGCTCCTCCCCACACCTCCCACAGCCTCTGATGCCACACCCCTCACTCTCACCACCCCCCCATCCCCACAGGCTCTAAGAGGGTCGAAGCAGGTGGATTGCTTGAGCCCAGGACTTCGAGACCAGCCTGGGCATCATGGTGAAACCCCACCTCTACAACAAATATAAAAAATTATCTGGGCATGGTGGTGTGCACTTGTGGTCCCAGCTACTCAGGAGGCTGAGGTGGAATGATCTCTTAAGCCTGGGAGGTGGAGGTGGCAGTGAGCCAAAATCACAGCACTACACTCCAGCCTGGACGACAGAGCCAGACCCTGTCTCTCTCTTTCTATATATATATGTATATATTTATATATAATATATAAATATATATTATATATAAAATATATTATATATACATATATAAATAAGTATATATGTATATATAATATATAGATATATAATATTTTATATATATTATATACGTGTATATATGAGATACCCCACCTACCCAGAGATCACCCTGGAACTCTGGGTCCTCACAATTTCCCACAGTTGGATGTATCACTGGCTTTGGTCCTCCACGGCCCAGGCAAGCAGTGTGGGGTCCATGTTGGCATGCTCACTGACCAACACCAGGCTTGGCAGTGAGCGGGTGGGTACACACATTGTGCAAGAAGGCTGGGTCTTCCTGAAAAACTGACATTTCTCTGGTGGCCCGGCTGAGACCAGCTCTTCTCTTTCCTGGTACTTCTTTCTGGAGCTGCTATGGAAGCTCTGGCACAAGCTCCCTAGCTGCAGGCCCAGCCAATGCCCAAACTGGGCCCCTCCACTTTGCTGCATAGCACACAGGTAGCCCAAGGGTGGAGTTGCCCATCCAGCCTTGCTACCTCCATCTGATGGCAAACAGTCAAAATAGGGAGCCACGCTGCTTTCTAAACAGGGGAAGGACAACTTCTGCATGGACAGAACCCAACCTTGATTGAGAGGGAAGGAGACAGGGAATCCCCCAGCCCTGGGTAGGGATGATATAGGCTGGCCAGCTAGAATAGTCTAACAGGTGAGCAAGGGGAAAAGCCTTAGAGTCAGGTGTATCTGCCTTCCAATCCCAGCTCTGCAACTCACCAGCTGTGGGGCCTTGAGCTTCTCTGAACCTCAATTTCCTCATTTGCAAAACAGGCATAAAAGTGTCAGTAGTTGATCCATAAGCCTGTTGTAAGGATTGAGTGAATGAATGCATGTGAAACCTTTAGTGCTCCAGGAATGTTTGTCATAGTCATTATCCAATCAGAAGAAAGCCTGAGCAACTAGACCCACCAAACATAAATCAAAGTAGATTTATAGGAGACCCTACATTCCAGGCCCAGGACAGGAAGCAGGCAAGGACATAGTCATGGAGTCTATGCTGCAGATAGAAAATGCAGGGGAGGGTTATTCCTGGGATCATGCAGAATCCAAAGGCAACCGGCACAAGGACAAGAGGAACTGCAACCCATGGGAGAGGTCATGACCACAGTACTTCTGGAAGGAGTTATGTATTTATGTTAATATAGTCCATTTTAAAGGCTGGGACTCCTCCTGTAAATGCCTTGGCCTATCCACAGGCACTTACCAGCCTCTGGCCTGGCTCCCAACAACTTGGTTCAAAGCAGCCCCTGCTTGGAAGATGAAAAGGAAATCTCCCACCCCATTCCTTCTATTCCTACTGGAGACATGTTGGGCCATTTTGCACTTAAAATAATAAAGGGCTGGGCATGGTGGCTCATGCCTATAATCCTAGCACTTTGGGAAGCTCAGACAGGTGGATTGCTTGAGCTTAGGAGTTCAAGACCCATCTGAGCAACATGGTGAATCCCCATCTCTACAAAAAAAATACAAAAAAACGGTGTTGTAGTGCATGCCTGCAGTCCCTTGAGCTATTCAGAAGGCTGAGGTGGGAGGATGGCTCAAACCTAGGAGGTGGGGGTTGCAGTGAGCTGAGATCACACCACTGCACTCCAGCCTGGGTGAACTTGTTTCCAGCTGGTTTTTTGAAAAGATCAACAAAATTGATAGACTGCTAGCAAGACTAATAAAGAAGAAAAGAGAGAAGAATCAAATAGATGCAATAAAAAATGATAAAGGGGATATCACCACCAATCCCACAGAAATACAAACTACCATCAGAGAATACTATAAACACCTCTACGCAAATAAACTAGAAAATCTAGAAGAAATGGATAAATTCCTCGATACATACACCCTTCCAAGACTAAACCAGGAAGAAGTTGAATCTCTGAATAGACCAATAACAGGCTCTGAAATTGAGGCAATAATTAATAGCTTACCAACCAAAAAAAGTCCAGGACCAGATGGATTCACAGCCGAATTCTACCAGAGGTACAAGGAGGAGCTGGTACCATTCCTTCTGAAACTATTCCAATCAATAGAAAAAGAGGGAATCCTCCCTAACTCATTTTATGAGGCCAGCATCATCCTGATACCAAAGCCAGGCAGAGGCACAACAAAAAAAGAGAATTTTAGACCAATATCCTTGATGAACACTGATGCAAAAATCCTCAATAAAATACTGGCAAACCAAATCCAGCAGCACATCAAAAAGCTCATCCACCATGATCAAGTGGGCTTCATCCCTGGGATGCAAGGCTGGTTCAACATATGAAAATCAATAAACACAATCCAGCATATAAACAGAACCAAAGACAAAAACCACATGATTATCTCAATAGATGCAGAAAAGGCCTTTGACAAAATTCAACAACGTTCATGCTAAAAACTCTCAATAAATTAGGTATTGATGGGACATATCTCAAAATAATAAGAGCTATCTATGACAAACCCACAGCCAATATCATACTGAATGGGCAAAAACTGGAAGCATTCCCTTTGAAAACTGGCACAAGACAGGGATGCCCTCTCTCACCACTCCTATTCAACAGAGTGTTGGAAGTTCTGGCCAGGGCAATCAGGCAGGAGAAGGAAATAAAGGGTATTCAATTAGGAAAAGAGGAAGTCAAATTGTCCCTGTTTGCAGACAACATGATTGTTTATCTAAAAAACCCCAATGTCTCAGCCCAAAGTCTCTTTAAGCTGATAAGCAACTTCAGCAAAGTCTCAGGACACAAAATCAATGTACAAAAATCACAAGCATTCTTATACACCAACAGCAGACAGAGAGCCAAATCATGAGTGAACTCCCATTCACAATTGCTTCAAAGAGAATAAAATACCTAGGAATCCAACTCACAAGGGATGTGAAGGACCTCTTCAAGGAGAACTACAAACCACTGCTCAAGGAAATAAAAGAGGACACAAACAAATGGAAGAACATTCCATGCTCATGGGTAGGAAGAATCAACATCATGAAAATGGCCATACTGCCCAAGGTAATTTATAGATTCAATGCCATCCCCATCAAGCTACTAACGACTTTCTTCACAGAATTGGAAAAAACTACTTTAAAGTTCATATGGAACCAAAAAAGAGCCCGTATTGCCAAGTGAATCCTAAGTCAAAAGAACAAAGCTGGAGGCATCACACTACCTGACTTCAAATTATACTACAAGGCTACAGTAACCAAAACAGCATGGTAGTGGTACCAAAACAGAGATATAGACCAATGGAACAAAACAGAGCCCTCAGAAATAATGCCGCATATCTACAACAATCTGATCTTTGAAAAACCTGACAAAAAGAAGAAATGGGGAAAGGATTCCCTATTTAATAAATGGTGATGGGAAAACTGGCTAGCCATATGTAGAAAGCTGAAACTGGATCCCTTCCTGACACCTTATACAAAAATTAATTCAAGATGGATTAAAGACTTACATGTTCGACCTAAAACCATAAAAACCCTAGAAGAAAACCTAGGCAATACCATTCAGGACATAGGCATGGGCAAGGACTTCATGTCTAAAACACCAAAAGCAATGGCAACAAAAGCCAAAGTTGACAAATGGGATCTAAATAAACTAAAGAGCTTCTGCACAGCAAAAGAAACTACCATCAAAGTGAACAGGCAACCTACAGAATGGGAGAAAATTTTGGCAACCTACTCATCTGACAAAGGGCTAATATCCAGAATCTACAAAGAACTCAAACAAATTTACAAGAAAAAAACAACCCCAACAAAAAGTGGGTGAAGGACATGAACAGACACTTCTCAAAAGAAGATATTTATGCAGCCAAAAAACACATGAAAAAATGCTCATCATCACTGGCCATCAGAGAAATGCAAATCAAAACCACAATGAGATACCATCTCACACCAGTTAGAATGGCAATCATTAAAAAGTCAGGAAACAACAGATGCTGGAGAGGATGTGGAGAAATAGGAACACTTTTACACTGTTGGTGGGACTGTAAACTAGTTCAACCATTGTGGAAGTCAGTGTGGCGATTCCTCAGGGATCTAGAACTGGAAATACCATTTGACCCAGCCATCCCATTACTGGGTATATACCCAAAGGATTATAAATCATGCTGCTATAAAGACACATGAACACGTATGTTTATTGTGGCACTATTCACAATAGCAAAGACTTGGAACCAAGCCAAATGTCCAACAATGATAGACTGGATTAAGAAAATGTGGCATATATACACCATGGAATACTATGCAGCCATAAAAAATGATGAGTTCATGTCCTTTGTAGGGACACGGATGAAGCTGGAAACCATCATTCTCAGCAAACTATCGCAAGGACAAACAACCAAACACCGCATGTTCTCACTCATAGGTGGGAATTGAACAATGAGAACACATGGACACAGGAAGGGGAACATCACACACCGGGGACTGTTGTGGGGTGGGGGGAGGGGGGAGGGAGAGCATTAGGAGATATACCTAATGCTAAATGACGAGTTAATGGGTGCAGCACACCAACATGGCACATGTATACATATGTAACAAACCTGCATGTTGTGCACATGTACCCTAAAACTTTAAAGTATAATAACAATAAAATTTAAAAATAAATAAATAAAAATAAAAATAAAATAAAGAACCTACTATGATCTGAATGTATCCCACGAAATTCATATGTTGAAATCCCAACCCCCAAGGTGATGGTATTAAGAGGTGGAGCCTTTGAAAGGTAATTAGGTCATGAGTGTTCTTTCCTCATAAATGGGAGTAATGTCCTTAGAAAAGAGGCCAAAGGGAGCTTATTCACCCCTCTGCCATGTGAGGACAGATAGAAGGTGATGTCTATGAGGAATAGGCTCTCACCAGACACCAGATCTGCTGGTGCCTTGATCTTGGACTTCCCAGCCTCCAGAACTGTGAGCAACAAATTTTTGTTTTTTATAAATTGCCCAGTCTAAGGTATTCTTGTGATAGTAGCCCAAATGGACTAAGACAGACCCCTTCCTGAGATCTGTACTTGTGATATAGGATTGCTATGTACAAACAAGTGGAAAAACATTCCACGCTCATGGATAGGAAGAATCAATATCACGAAAATGGCCATACTGCCCAAAGTAATTTATAGATTCAGTGCTATTCCTATTAAACTACTAAGGACATTCTTCACAGAACTAGAAAAAACTATTTTAACATTCATATGGAACCAAAAAAGGGCCCAAATATTCAAGGCAATCCTAAGCAAAAAGAACAAACCTGGAGGCATCATGCTACACAACTTCAAACCATACTACAGGGCTACAGTAACCAAAACAGTATGGTACTGTACATGGTACAAAAACAAACACGTAAACTAATGGAACAGAATAGAGAACCCAGAAATAAAGCCACACACCTACAACCATCTGGTCTTCAATAAAGTCAACAATAACAAGCAATGGGGAAATAACTCCCTATTCAATAAATGGTGCTGAGATAACTGGCTAGCTGTATGCAGAAGATTGAAACTAGACCCCTTTCTCTCATCACGTACAAAAATCAACTCAAGGTGGATTAAAGACAAATATAAAACCTAAAACCATAAAAACCCTAGAAGAAAGCCTAGGATATATCATTCTGGACATAGGCCCTGGCAAAGATTTCATGACAAAGACACCAAAAGCAATTGCAACAACAACAAAAAATTGACAAGTGGGACCTAACTAAATCTCCTGCACAGCAAAAGAAACTATCAACAAAGTGAACAGACAACCTACAGAATGGGAGAAAATATTCGTAAACTATGCACTGACAGAGGCCTAATATCCAGAATCTATAAGGAAATTAAATTAACAAGCAAAAAACCATCCCATTAAAAAATGGCCAAAAAGCCAGGTGCAGTGGCTCACACTTGTAATCCCAGCACTTTGGGAGGCTGAGGCAGAAAGATTACTGGAGCCTAGGAGTTAAAGGCCAGCTTGGGCAACAAAGTAAGACCCTCTCTCTATGAAAAATCAAAAACTAGCTGGGCGTGGTGCTGCATACCTGCAGTCCCAGCTACACGGGAGGCTGAGACAGGAAGATCCCTTGAGCCCAGGAGGTCGAGGCTACAGTGAGCCATGTCCATGCCATTTTTTGATACACTATCTCAAAAAATAAAAATAAAATAAAAAATAGGCAAAGGAGATGAACAGACACTTCTCAAAGGAAGACATACACACACAGCCAACAAGCAAAGCATATAAAAAAATGGTTAACATCACTAATCATTAGAAAAACACAAATCAAAACAATAATCAGATACTGTCTCAACACCAGTCAGAATGGCTATTATTAAAAAGTCAAAAAATAACAGATGCTGGCAAAGTTACAGAGAAAAGAGATTGCTTATACACTGCTGGTGGAAATGTAAATTAGTTCAGCCACTGTGGAAAGCAATTTGGAGATTTCTCAAAGAACTTAAAACAGAACTACCATTCAACCTAGCAATTCCATTACTGGGTATATACCCAAAGGAATATAAAGGAATATAAACTGTTCTACCATAAAGACACAGCACTATTCACAATAGCAAAGACATGGAATCAATCTAGATGCCCTTCAGTAGTGAACTGGATAAAGAAACTGAGCATTGACAGTGAGGAGACTCCAAATGCAGATCCTGAGACACCTCCAAGAGTCTGGGATTGGATTTTGAACAGCAACTCTAGAAGATTCTGATGTAAGTAACCCATGGGTCATAATTTTTTAAGACATATTAAAACATTCCCTAAAAATATTTTTTAAAACACTTTATAACTAAGATGTACGTGGCTTTAGTAAATAGAGTCTTCCAAAGTGGAAATGATATCACTCTTATGTAATTATCCCTAGGATTCCATCCAGGGCCCCTGGGTGGAGAGGAGTGATCTCTTTGAGCCACCAAACTCTTAGTGGAGGCCTGTTGTGTGCCAGAAACAGTGCTGAAGGTGCAAAACCTTCCAGACACACAAAATAATAATAACTTGTATTTATTCAATACCTCATGAGGTGACAGTTCATTGATGGGTTCTGATTTATTAATCTTAAGGAGAACTTCACAAGCTAGGTACTATTCCCCCCACCTCCATTTCACACGTAAGAAATATAAGACTCTGGCTGGGCATGGTGGCTCACACCTGTAATCCTGGCACTTTGGGAGGCCAAGGCAGGCTGATCACTTGAGGTCAGGAGTTCGAGACTTGACGTCAGGAGTTCGAGACCAGGCTGGCCAACATGGTGAAACCCCATCTCTACTAAAAATACAAAAATTAGCCAGGCATGGTGGCATGCGCCTCCAATCCCATCTATTTGGGAGGCTGAGGCAGAAGAATTGCTTGAACCCAGGAGACAGAAGTTGCAGTGAGCAACAGAGTGAGACTCCGTATCAAAAAAGAAAACAAAACAAAACAAAAACCAGAAATATGAGACTCAAAGAGGTTAAATATATTTTCTGAGTTCGCACAGTAAATAGGTGGTAGAGCCAGGATTCAAGCACAGGCAGCTTGACTCCTGAGCCTACACTGTCATATGAAATGACTTGTCCTATAAAAATGAAACCTAAAGTACAGCCAAGGATAAAAAGGGGAAACTAAGATCAACAAAGGTGAGCAGGATGCTGTTCTCCTCCTCCAGAGGCTTACTGTTGTCCATGAAAGGAATTCAGTCAGGGACCCTGCTGAGTCATCTGCATTTGTTTCCTAGCTGGGCACTGATGCCAACTCGCTGGGCAAACTGGGACAAATTGGTAAACATTTCTAGGGCTCTAAGAGAGAAGGAACAGGAGAGAGATGAGAACTCAACAATATTTTAAGTTCTTTCCAACTTTAAGAATCCTGTGATTCTACATACAGCCCTACCTAAATAGCTGCAATCAAAATATTCTCCAAGTGAGAATATATGACATTCTTAATTGCAGAAGACTCGATAAATTACAAGCCTTTTTAAGAATGAAAGTTCTTCTTTCAGGCAGTGCTAAAGAGAATGAAAACAAAAAACTCGTTTCCAAGAGCTTTAACCTTGAGTTCTTCTGAAAGATTTCCAAAAAAGTTCTCTTTCTGGACCTATGGCCAGTCTAAAGTCTTCCATACACAGTTAGGAATATTTGGCTTCAAGAATGTTGAGCTCATTTATATTACGTTTCAAAGGGACTTTCTTTGTGCCAAGTCATGGTGAAAACCGTGAAGAGAAATGCCTTTCAAACCTTATGGGACTTAAATGTCTCTAAGAACATCTTCAACTTAAACCTAGCCTAGTCAACAGCACAGACCTTAAAAAGCAGTACATATCATAGTAATTCATTACTGTGAAATAATGCCAGTATTTGCTTCACAATGGGACTCACTAGTTTTTCTTTTAAATAAACTCTTTTGTAGCATCATAAATGGAATTTTGTGGATAAACAGTGGAGTCCTAAATAGGGAAGAGGAGTCAGGCTGGTGGGAGCAGGGGAAAGCAAAAAAGAAAAAGCAGATAAGCTGTAAGTCTGCCTTTCTTCATGGTCCAGGACACAATCTTCCTGTGTCTAGCTGTCACCAGATCCTCAGCTGATACAAAAATGCAAGCTAGCTCACTGCAACCTTGGCGTTACCAGTAGTGCACAAAGCCCTCTTCAGCACACGGCCCAGGCACCATTCTATAAAATTCCCAGCAAGCCTTTGTCTCCTTACAGTCAGCTCCTCTCATGTTGACTTGCCTGTTGCTTTCTTGCAACATATTTTTCTTTACTACAACACCTTTTTAATGCATGGATGTATTTTCATACTTTTTCTAATAAATCTGCCTTTCTTTAACTGCAACTGTCTTGTTAAATTCTTCCACCACCCACACCATTGGCCCAGAGAGTTGCCACTTACCCACGACATACACCATTATCTTTACACAACCTTTCAGACATAAAATAATAATAGCTAATATTTATTCAGTACTTACTGAGGTGATAGTTCCTTGATGTGTTTTGATGTATTAATCTTAAGGAGAACTTCACAAGCTAAGTACTGTTTTCCCCCATTTTACATGTAAGAAATACAAGATTCGAAGAGGTTAAATAAGTTTTCTGAGTTCACACAAAAAATAGGTGGTGGAGTTAGTGTTCAAGCACTGACAGTCTGACTCCTGAGCCTACACTATTACATAAAACAAGGTGCCCTGTAGAAATGAAACCTAAAGTACAGCAGAGGACAAAAGGGAAGCTAGAATCAACAGCTGATTTGGCATCCTCTTCAGGATCGTCAAGATGTAAAATAATTTGGATTATCTATGTTGACATTTCAGGTCCATCTAATCCAAGTCTGATTGAAATTTTATAAAGTTAAGAAATAGTATCACCCCAACAGACTCAAATGGACTCCATTAATTCACAGTTTCCCATGTTTCAGTTATTTCTCCACCATCTGCATGATTTTTTCCATATTCATGTATCACCCGAACTATTATTTACCTAATAATCTGATTTAAATCATCTACTTTATTTCAAAAGGAGTACATAAAATCTTTGAACTCACTGGTTTTGGGTGCTAGTTATATTTTTAAAACTATCTTTAAAATAAATACATAGTCACTTAAATTTTTAAAACTATTCATGTATTCTCTAAGATTTTATTTATTATACTTATAGCAATGTATACCACAGTTGGGACATGCTGAAATTGAAAACGTGTGGCTTCTAGAACTATGGTAGAATTAAGAGATGTCAGCCAGAAAGTCTTCATTGGAAGCCAATAGGAGTCTAGTCTAGTATGTATGAGAATGTCTTTACCAATAGAGACAAATGCAAGGAAAGTTCAACCCAACCATCTGTGACTTTTAAACCTCAATCAATTGCCATAAAGAACTATAAAGAAATAAATATAGTCACAAGAATAGTTTTTGTGACCTTCTAATATATGGTTTGTCCTCACATTAAATGTAGTACAGCATATCATTAAGAATTAGCTCTTGTTAAACTCTATTTTGTCTCAAAATTTACAACTGTTTCTAATTGTTGGATGTCTGAGTTGACTTTAGAAGGGCATCTTTGCATGCTCAATAGAGGGCAGAGTTTTAAGGTCTCCACTGGTATGGGAAATAAGTTACTGACACTTGAAGCCTCTGGATTCTGATGAAAAGAAACTCATCGAAGAAGCGGCTTTTATTATAGCGTGTCACCCCAGTGACTAGAACATAAAAAAGTGAAGGCAGCAACTATGGCTAAATTCCAGTAACCCATTTTCCTTATTCATAGTTCTTAGAGTCTTGAAAGTCAGTTAATCCCTTGAAAGAAATCAAAGATGGGCCAGGCGCAGTGGCTCACACCTGTAATCCCAACACTTTGGGAGGCCAAGGCAGGCTGATCACTTGAGGTCAGGAGTTTGAGACCAGCCTGGCCAACATGGTAAAACCCTGTCTCCACTAAAAACACACAAAAAATTAGTCAGGCGTGTGGTGTGGTGGCTCGTGCCTGTAATCCCAGCTACTCAGGAGGCTGAGGCAGGAGAATTGCTTGAAACCAGGAGGTGGAGGTTGCAGTGAGCTGAGATCATGCCACTGCACTCCAGCCTGGGAGGCAGAGCAAAACTCCATTTCATAAAAAAAGAAAGAAAACAGTGATGCACCAGAAACTGGATGAATCACCAGTCCACGCTGACAGCCATGAGGCCACCATACATTTCCTATTGACCTTGTAGGTAGTTTTAGAAGGTACTAAGGAAACAGGAGAAAGATGAGTATTTTACAGGTGTGTGGGGGTGGAGGGAGTGTACAGCGAGCATCTGATCCTTTTCTCTGTCATCATCATCTTTCATTTCACAAAGAAGGAGCAGTAGACTCTAATCCTGAAGAAAGTTACTCTACCACCTCTTAGTTTTATAATTTAAACTACCATTTTACTCTGTTCAAAGAGATAAATGATATCATAACACACAAATCAATTTAGGCTTAAATTCATGTTAGGAAAGTAAATATAACCACTGATATTTCCATAATAAATTTAATTTTCATTCAGCCTCTCTTTACAAGACTGCAGAATTCGTTCCTTAAACCAAAATCCCATTAGCATATGTTAAAAATATATCCAGAGGAATAGTCCCCTTTTTGTTTTAAGGGTTTTTAAGTCAGTCCATCATTCCTGTTAGAGGGGAAACTGAAGGAGGTTTAATATATAAGAACTCATCTGATTGCCTCATAAATCACAAGATATAGGCAAAATAAGGACTTTGGGATTTCAGAGACAGATAAAAAAACATCTATGAAAAGACAACGTAACCTGATGGGCCATTGGAATATTGCCCTTACCTACACTGCTGCAGACACCAAATATAGCCCACAGATATGGGTTTTTTTCCACCTGCTTAGGGTTTTTGTTTTGTTTGTTTACAAGGAGTCTTGCTCTGTCACACAGGCTGGAGTGCAGTGACACGATCTCGGCTCACTGCAACATCTGCCTCCCATGTTCAAGTGATCCTCATGCCTCTGCTGCCAGAGTAGCTGGGATTACAGGTGTGCACCACTATGCCTGGCTATTTTTTGTATTTTTGGTAAAGACGGGGTTTCGCCATGTTGGTCAGGCTGGTCTCGAACTCCTGACCTCACGTGATCGGCCTGCTCAGCCTCCCAATGTGCTGGGATTACTGGCATGAACCACCGTGCTCAGCCTGCATAGGGTTTTGAAAAATTAACTTAATTGCCTGTATTTAAAATCGGGAGATTTCACATTAAAATGTGGATTGCCAATCACACTGAAAACCCAATTCCTGGCAACACGATGCCCATCCTCCAGCATGTCAGCAGTCAGTGGAACTGTCCCCGTGAGAGCTCCACTGCTCCCACTCCACTAATTCTCTCACCATCCCAGTCCTGTAAGTATTTGAAATTGAACCTCCTGATCGGCATCGAGGATTTATTAAAGGAAAGGGAGAGAGAGACAGACAGAGAAACAAGCCCAGCTGGTAACAGAAGTAGGAGCACCCTGGGAGGTCACATGTCCTTCTGTTAGTGGCCCAGCCAGTGTTAATACTCACCATCATTCCTCTTAGGAGGCAGGTAATGTTTGCAAACAAGGTGACAATGAAATTGCCTGACTCTTCCCTGCTTCCAGGCACCACTATAACTTTTCAGACAAATTAGAAGCCACCTCAGAAGCGACCTCTCGGAGTTCCTGAGAGGCTGTTCAAGTCTGGAACACACACGAACATGTAACACCAATGCTGAGACGCAAGGCACGTCCCATCTATAATTTCTTGAAGTCAACTGAAATGCTGGTAGCACTCTACTAAGCAAGCCAAAGCCGCCACATGGGATATAGCTGTGACCAGGTGGGAATAACTGAGCATGGTGGCAGCAGTCGGGGAGGATACAGGGAACTGACCTGCCTGCCTGCGGTCCTCTCTCCCAGGAAGGGAGTGGCCTTTTGCTCTCATCTCCTATCCTGGGAATCACCCCATAGTTACCATCAGGAACTATGCCTCAAAAGGGCACTTCTTGGGGAGTGAACCAGTGGCCTCAGCCTGTTTAACATTATGAGCTCATTAATTCACCAAAGCAGGCACCAGCGCAGGGAATGAAAAGAAGATATCAGAAACCTATGGCCTGGCGGTTGTGGGAAAGGATAGTTAATTGAAAAAAAAAGCAATTTGCAGAAGGTACATGTGTGAGGAAAATATCTGGAAGGATACACACCAAATGTCAACACTAACCCTCCCAGAGAATGACAGACCATTCGTTTACACAGTCTCCTGTGCTTGAGTGTTCTAAAGCAAGCAGGGATTCCTTTCATAGTTATAAAAACCCTTAAAATAGAATATTATAAAGTAGTCAATATGAAATGTTCTTATAAAATACATATTAGACATAGAGATATATTTCTGCATTAAAAAGCTTATTTCTGTGTAATAGAACTATGAGGTAATTATTTTCTTCTCTGTAATTGTATCCTCCAAATTTTCTACTTTTATAATCTGGGAAAAAATAATAAACAATGAAAAATTTTAAGATAAATCTTGTATCTTAAATCATATCTCACCCTCATCCTCTCACTCCTATATTTAACTGAAACAGAAAGTTCCTATTTGCCTTCCCCACCCTGATTTCCACATCCCATTCCCCGCTACAGTATTTCCTCTCTCACTTCTCCCTGTCATGACAGCATCTGTTGACATGGCCAGTAAGTGACAACATGTCAAACAGAATCCCAGCATTAAGACATGCTCAAGAGTAATCCCGAAAGGAAGCTGGTTCCCAAATGTCACGTTTATCAAGCTCCCTTTGTGCCCCAATTGCCCACACCCACAATGTTCAGAAGAACTGAGACTCAAAGCAAAGTCCTGGTGAAGATGACTGCAGAACATTTAGGTAGGCCAGGCGCGGTGGCTCACGCCTGTAATCCCAGCACTGAGGGAGGCCAAGGTGAGCAGATCACCTGAGGTCAGGAGTTTGAGACCAGCCTGACCAACATGGTGAAACCCTGTCTCTACTAAAAATACAAAAATTAGCCAGGCGTGATGGCAGATGCCTGTAGTCCCAGCTACTCAGGAGGCTGAGACAGGAGAATCGCTCGAACCCGGGAGGTGGAGGTTGCAGTGAGCCGAGATCGTATCACTGGACTCCAGCCTGGGTGACAGAGCAAGATTCTGTCTCAAACAAACAAAAAAAATTTAGGTAAAGTGCAAAGGCCCCAAAGAAGCCCCATTTTACGATATTTTCCAGTCTGGGCCGTGGGAACATCAAATGTCTTTTTCTAGAGCATATTCTGGGTAAAGCGTGTGTGGCAAATTAGCTGAACTCTAGATAATGTGGCTGAATGATGTGCTACCCTCACTCACGAAACCTCTTACTAGGGTGTAATCTCACTGGGGTGTAATCATCGTGTCAACTAGAATGGCCCATGGGGTGCCCAGGTATTTGGTTAAATGTTATTCTGGGTGTGTCTGTGAGGCTGTTTCTGGAAGAGATGAGCATTTGAATGGGTAGACTGAGGAAAGCAGATGGCTCTCCCCAGTGTGGGTGGGCAACAATCAATCCATTGAGGGCATGAACAGAACAAAAGGCAGAGAAAGAGAGGATTTGCCTCTCTGCCTGCTTGAGCTGAGCCCTCCATCTTCTCCCAGCCTGGGCAAGGGCAGCTTCAACTTTGTCCCTTGCATCACAGAGGCCAGGAAATAACAACACAAAGATGGCAGCAAGGGTTGTTGGAACTGAGTGGGTGCTCACAGCCAGTCACCCTCCCGAAGACCCAGAAAGGCAAGAAAAAGAACCGAAGCTTCCCCACACCCATGCCTTCCCCACGCCTAGCATCCAGGAAGGGAAGAATGCAGAACAGTGGGCAAGAGTCTGGCATTTAGGGGCCATTTAGTTGTCTGTGGAGGACCACAGACACCACAGAGAGTGCCATTGAGGACCCAGTGACATAACCAGGGCAGGAGGCCGAGGTAGGACCAAGACCACAGGAGAGCCAGGAAGGCTGCCTCAGTGGCATTTGTGAAAGCTCCGCCCCAGCTCAGCAGCCACCCCGAGAATGCCTGGCCTTCAAGATGAATGTGATTGAAGTCACTGATTTTATTTCAAATGGAAGGGACCAGATTGCATTTTCCTGTATCACACAAATGAAGGCTAGAGATCAGAAATTAAATAATAGAAGACAAAAAAAATTATATTCCTTGTACACCCAAGTCTATAGAAATGTGCACCACTCTAGAGAGAATAGATGAGAACGTGTCCTCCCCTTGCCATTGGAAATACACAAGGGCCTGCCATAGGCGACAGCCCCTGAGGGGTGGGCACTGAGGGTCCCATCTTGCTTCTACCTCATCAGTTGCAAAGTCACCCAAAGCAGCCAACAAGGTCTTGCTGGTGCCACCCCACAGTCTGGGGCACTTGGGACCTTATGACATGCCATTGCTGTCTGCCATTCAGTCTGCAGGGCCCTAATCTGTTTGCTGGCTCTCTTGGGACCTCATTGGTTTTTCCATCCCGCAGGCAGAACACAGCCTGGCTGTGATTTGGAACGTGACAAGGTAACCACGACGAGAGTGAGTTAGGCCCAGCAGCAGCCACTGTCCTGGCAGGAGCAGAAGGACCAGATCTGAGTCACCACCTTCCTCGTTCCGGCTGGGCAGGGCCCTGGCCCCATTTCTCGAGGTCCACCTCTTCAGCCTGCACTTTCTCAGGGGAAGGAAGCCTCCAACTCCCTGCTGCTCCTTTCCAGCCCTTTCTTGACAAAACTCACAGAATTAACCCCAGGAGGCTTCTCCCAGCCTCCCAGGCAGCCAGCCTCCAGCACTCCTCCTGCTGTTTCTTTAACCCCTTACCTCTGGGGCGGATCCACCGTGGGTCAGTGCTTCTGAGGCCTCCTGGATGTGCAGGGTGACTCTGGCCCCCTGCCAGCATCTCCACGATCACAATGACACAAAAGCCCGGGTGTTCCCCGGCTGGGAGGCGCTGTGGCAGGAGTTCTCCCATTCTCGCTAAGGAGGGAGGGGGGTATTTTTTCCCCAAAGGGTTGAGAAATGACCAGATGGGAAGAGCTCTGGAGGGGCTGCCATGGGGTCCAGGGTCTTTGGGTGAGCACCTTCTTGGACTGTGGGAGGCAGGAGCAGGAGGCCCTGGGGAAGATATTCCAAGCTCAGCCTGGCTCCTGGCCCTGTTACTGGCATTTAAGCCAGAATAGGACTCCCAGGGAGGATGTGCACTAAGTCCCCAAAGACAGGTGAGTGACCTTCTCTGAACCCCACTTTCCTTGACTGTCAGAAGGGACACAGGCACTTTCAAGGGCTTTGGTGAACCGCATAGGTGGCCCCAATAAACAGTAGCTGTTCCTATTTCCTCTCCCCAGCACCAGCTGTTATTCTCCATACTTTTTCACAGCATCCTTAAAAAGACAGGTAATGCAGCAGGGCGTTAAGGCTAAATACTTAGTATTTTACATATGCCTATCCCCCCACAAGACTGCGTTTAACAAAACTGCACATAACTCTTTATTTCCCTTAAAATAACATAGGGGCCAGCTGCGGTGGCTCACGCCTACAATCCCAGCACTTTGGGAGGCCAATTCAGGAAGACAGCTTTGAGGCAGGAGAATAGGGTCTGAAGGCCCCTAGGGAACCCACAGCCGATTCTGCTGAATTCCTAGAATGGAATCAAAAGGAAAACTCCACCTCTCCACGCCCAAGTAACAAAAGGATCCGCGGCCACTCCCTTTACAAACCCGCCCCCTCCACTTTTCTGCCTTGCACATGAGAAATGAAAGTATCTCTGATTGGTCCCCTCCTGCAACCAATCAGACTGGTTGTAGGCCAAGTCTTCATGCATAACTTTGTAATTTCACTTCAACTTCTGATTGGTCACCTTCCACAACCAATCAAACTGGTTGCAGGCCACTACTTTATTTACATAGGTGTTAACCAGGTAACAAATGGGAAACCTCTAGAGGGCATTTAAACCCCAGAAAACTCTGTAACCAGCACTCTTGAGCCACTTATACAACTCTGCTCCCACTCTGTGGAGTGTACTTTTGTTTTAATAAATCTGTGCTTTTGTTGCTTCATTCTTTCATTGCTTTGTGCATTTTTTTTTTTTTTTTTTTTTTTTTTGCTTAATTATTTGTTCAAAACACCAAGAACCTGGAGCACTCATAGTCAAGACCCTCCACCAGTAACAGCTTGAGGCCAGGATATCAAGACCAGCCCAGGCAACACAGCAAGACCCCATCTCTACAAAAAAAAAAAAAAAAACAAAAAAAACAAAAATTAGCTGGGTGTGGTGGCGAACACCTATAGTCCCAGCTACTCGGGGGGGTCCTTTGAGCCCTGGAGTTCAAGGCTACAGTGAGCTACAGTCACACTATTTTACTCCAGCCTGGGAAACTGAGTGAGACCATGTCTCAAAATAAATGAATAAATAAAAATAACATAATAACATAGGAAATATGTTGTAGCAGGACGAGCTGCAGACCAGAACCCCTCAGACACCGACTTGTGAAAGGAAAGGGCTTTATTTAGCTGGGAGCATCGGCGGACTCACGTCTCCAAAAACCGAGCTCCCGAAGTGAGCAATTCCTGTCCCTTTTAAGGGCTTACAACTCTAAGGGGGTCTGCGTGAGAGGGTCGTGTGATCGATTGAGCAAGCAGTGGGTACGTGACTGGGGGCTGCATGCACCGGTAACCAGAATGGAACAGAACAGGATGGGGATTTTCACAATGCTTTTCCATACAATGTCTGAAATCTGTAGATAACACAAGCAGTTAGGTCAGGGGTTGATTTTTAACTATCAGGCCCAAGGCACAGTGCTGGGCTGTCTGCCTGTGGATTCCATTTCTAACTTTTAGTTTTTACTTCTTCTTTCTTTGGAGGCAGAAATTGGGCATAAGACAATATGAGGGGTGGTCTCTTCCCTTAATGTAAAGAAATTTGTTTAGAGATCTACTTCAAAAGTTGTGTAATTTATTGACTCTGCTAGGTACCAGGAATTGTGCACATGCTTTACAGACATAATCTTACAACTCTGAGAGTGAATATTATTTTACAAATGAGGACAAAGAGTCAGATACTATCACCTCTGTTTTACATGAGTAAACTGAGATGCCAGGAAGTTAGGTCATTAATAACAACAACAGGTAATATTAAGCATTAACTATTCTGTTTACAAATATGAAATAAAAATATAAATGTGTGTGTGTGCACACATGATTGCCAGGCACATACTAATCATTAAACATGTCTTAATGACTTAATACTATAAGGAGTTTTCACTTAATCCTCCCAACAACCCTGTGAAGAAGGTATTTTTATTATCTACATTTTACACATGAGGAAATCAGGTCATGGAGAGGGTAAACAAATTGCCTTGGTCACATAGTTCCTAAGTGGTGGAAAAGAGATTTGAACTCAAGGAGAAAAGATCTCAACTACTTCAATATTCTGCTCAGTCTCACAGCTGGTAAGTGGTAGAGGTAGAACGTGAAACTGTGTCTGACTCCAAAGCCCACATTCTTGACCACCTTGATATTAATAATTTGTGAGGATCATAATTCATTTATTTAGAGAAAGCTTACACAGCCTGTTTGTTCTGGTGGGGACTGAGTCCACACTGACCCCCGGAGACTCTCTGGACTGTGCCTTATTCCTAAGCCTGTAGGTAGCGATGCTGTGATAGACATCCAGACAAAATAAGCTAGACAGTTAGGATTCCATGAATAATAATATCCATGCCCTTCAGACTCTACAGTAATGCTGCTCTCAAAATTCAGATGTCGTAGTTTCTAAAGCAATTCTAATTTGTTCTCCAAATGAATGTGAACTCTCCCTCCTCTAAACCCTCAGAGCATTTATTGGACTTTCTCATGGAATTTTCCATATTCTGACTTAACATTATGGTTACGGGAGGACTACTCTTCTCACCCCTTCTAGAACTAAGGCCTTGAGAATTGTATGGTTAAAAGATGAATTTGGGTGCTATATAAGAGGCACCTCCAAATAACAATGGCTTAAACATGGTGGAAGTTTGTTTCTCGCTCACATAATGGTACAGCTGCAGAGTGTGGGGCTGGAGGGAGGCTCTGCTCCACAGTGCTATGCAGGGATCAAAGCATCTCCCATCTGTGGCTCTGCCATCTCTAGAGGACTGCCTTCTGCTGTCCACAATGGCTCAATGCATTATAAGGGGTAAAGGTGGAAAGGGAGGGCAAGCCCCTGCCTTTTAAAGACAGAACCAAGTTAAAAGTTCTGTTATTATAATACCAAAGAGAGGGAGAACAGATAATGAAAGGAAATTAGCCATCTCAAGCGGCCATGCCTTAGGAAATACGTTCAGAATGATGCTATGTGCATGCAGACGTTTCTTCATTCAACAAAGATGAATAAAATGCCACTATATTTCATATCCAATGCAAGGCATTTATAAACAATGAATGAATACATGAATGAGTCCCTTTTTTGGAAAACAATCTGGAGGTAAGGCCATCAGATAATTTAAAAGATGGACACAAGTAATTTCTTCCCATAGAAGGTTGTAGATACAAACAGATATATTTTAAGCTGAACTTTTTGTAGCTTGCTGAAAAATATGGAAAATCAATTATAAAGAAAGTAAACAAACACCCCTGATTTATCAGGCTATGCTGCCACCAGCAAAATATATTCCAGAGTCTGAGTCCTGAATTTTTTACTTTGATGACTTTTTCTGTATTTTTTTCTGAAACATACTTTTATTTTTCCCTATACAAAACAAAACACACAAATTGTCACTTATTGCATTTAGACAAATACATGGCTCCAAAATTGAATCCCTTCTGTGTCCTCTGTAAGATAAACACTCAGGGGATTTCATCTGGGAGAAGAGCCAAAAGTCCAATTCCAATTTATTATTATTTCTAAATAATACATAAACCACCACATAAAGTCTTTAATAATAATGTTGGTTGAGCTGCCACTGGAATGCATCACTGTTGTCAGACATAGACATCACCAACTCAGCTTTTCTCATTTCCCAAATTCCATTAAGATTTATCTCCATCTTCCCAGATGGTGCCATCACCCTCTCTACATCTCCCCACCATAAACAAAGTCCAAAAAATGTTTTGCACATTTAGCATTTTAACTAAAATGCCAATAGTAATACTAAAGCGTAACATTTTTAAATTCAAATGTGAAGAGACGGTGAAAGTTTTGAATTCAAATGAAGTTGTGTTTAATTAGAATAAGGTTTTCAGAACTTAGGCTTTAGGTTTCAAAGAGGCAGAGGTGAGTCTTGGGAATTTATATTTTCTTCCCCCATGCTGTTAACTTGTGATGTTTTTCTCTACATTCGTTGCTCCTGAGAAGCCTGACTTAATTTCTCCTTTCCCTCCTTGGCACACAGATCTGCTATATTTACACACACTGCTATTTCCCAGAGAACAGCTGCTGTGCCCAGTCCAACAGCTTTCTTTCCTCCAACTGCACTGGGCTTAATAAAAAGGAATAATTCCTAGGCAGTAAGACTTCCCCATCTAGGGGAAACAAAGCATTGTCCCTCAGAAAGAATTTTGCAATCCTCATTTTATGTAACTGAATTCAATACACATTTATTTAGCTATTGCAGAGAAAGTACTTGGCAGTTGGTCTGGCATATAGTTACTATTTGCTTAAAACTTACTATAATTAAGGCAAAATTGTAAGTCCACTGTGGAACACTGCAACTCACTGGTTTATTAAAAATACTCACAGATTGGCCAGGAGCAGTGGCTCACGCCTGTAATCCCAGCACTTTGGCAGTCCGAGGCGGGCGGATCACGAGGTCAGGAGATCAAGACCACGGTGAAACCCCGTCTCTACTAAAAATACAAAAAAAAATTAGCTGGGCGTGGTGGCGGGCGCCTGTAGTCCCAGCTACTCGGGAGGCTGAGGGAGAAGAATGCCGTGAACCCGGGAGGCGGAGCTTGCAGTGAGCTGAGATCGCGCCACTGCACTCCAGCCTGGGCGACAGAGCAAGAAGACTCCGTCTTAAAAAAAAAAAAAAAAAAAAAAAACTCATAGATCATTAACTATCCATTTATTCATTAGCATATATTTATGGAGCAAGTACTAAGTGCTAGACATCACATTCTGTTTCCAAAACAAACATGGCCCCTACTTTCACGGATCTTCCAAGCTAATGGGGAAGGCAGACAACCAAATAATTGCGCAAATGAATGTAAAACTAATTGTCAAATTGGAAAAGTGTTATAACTTTTATAAAGCCTGGGTCTCTGTGGTTCAATTTCCTGGCAGGGTCACAGTCAAAGAAATACAATCTACCAAATAAAAATACTTTCAGTAGGGTTCAGATCTCTGTCAAGGTCGTGAAAAACAAGGAAAGACTGAGAAACTGTCACAGACCAGGAGACTGGGGAGATGTGAAAACTAAATATAATGCAGCGCCCTGGATTGGAACAGGAAGAAGATATTAATAGAAAAACTGGTAAATCCAAATAAAATCTGGAGTTTGGTTAATGAACTATATAGTTTGGTTAATGAACTATATAGTTTGGTTAATGAAACTAACCAATGTCAGTTTCTCTGTTTTAACAAATGTGACACGGTAATGTAAGATGTTAACAATGGTGTAAATTGGGTAAGGGACATATGGAAATCCTCTCTACTATCTTTGCAATCTTTCTGTAAATCTAAAATTATTTCAAAATAAGAAATATATATTTTTAAGAGCAGCTTAAGAGGACACACATTTTTAAGTGGAAGAGCTAGGTCTTAAATCTATCTCCAAATCCCATGTTGTTAATTGAGCTCATAGTCCACACTGAAAGACTTACCAGGGAAAAGGGCCTAATGAATGAATTGTACCTGGGCCTCCAATTTTTCACAACAGTTTATACATCAAGGGCCTCCAATTAGCTCATGTCACTTTTCTGGAACCTCTGCAACTTGAATATGAATATTCCTTAGTACTATTAGAAAGTAACCCTAGATCATATAAATCCTTGAACATCAATAGCCTGGATGTCATAGTAACAGCACTTATTAGTTTAATCTACAACTCATTTAAAACGTCATCTTCTAATAACCAGATGGCTGATCAAAGCACAGTAACGCAGAGGCCAAGGTCATGAATTTGAATTTCCAGATACATACTAGTTTACTTTAATCACTTCTACTGTCATAATCTCCACCACTAACTTCAACTAATAATCTTTCAATCATAAGAAGTCAGACTCTAAAATAAGAGGTGAGTTTTATTGTGTGCCAAAAAAAAAATGAGGAGCCGGTTGAATTGGGGGTGGGTGGAATTGCTCTATTCCTGCCAAAAAAAAAAAGTAATCATAACAGTGGTTAGAAGCAAAGAAAAGCTATTGTGTTTTCTGATTCAGCCAATAGTCCTACTGTATCCAATGGTATTAACTACCTACTACAGATTGACAACACCCAAATCAAACCTCTGGCCAGACACCTCTTCTAAGTTCTAAGCCACATAGCCACCAGTGAACTCATCCCTATAAACTTTATAAAATTAATCAGGGAGGAAGGGAGGGGGAGAAATGAAAATAAATCAAGCTTGCAGCACATTCAGCATTAATCATGAGGTCAGCTTGCTCCCTGACTACTTCTTCACAGTTGTTTGCCACCCATTGCCCCAAAATCACATAGACCCTAGATTATAGTTCCTTTTAACTGCTCTATAGATAACAACTTGAACTTGAACATTGTGAAATGTTGTTTTCCATTTGAGATATTCTTTCACGTCCTGCATACTGATGAAACTACTGATGCCAGCTGGTCTGATGGACCCCAAAAGGAGCCAACTCACCAAAGAATGCAGTTTCCACATCTTGATGATTTCATCTCCCTTATCCTGCCCAATCAATGACCCCAATGTCCTAGCCCCTTGCCCTCCACAATCTCCTTAAAAACCCCAGCCCAGAACTCCTTGGAGAGATGGATTTGAGGGTCCCTCTCATCTCCTCACTTGGCCTCCCTGCAATCATTAAACTCCTTCTCTGCTGCAAACTCTGCTGTTTCAGTTCATTGGTCAGTTACTGCACAGCTGGCATATGAACCTGGTGGTCCTGTAACACCTGCAACATATATCTCCTTCTAAATGTCCTAAGGATATCTCAAACTCAGCCTATTTAAAACGCCTCTTAGATTATATGTTCTCCTTTCAATCTCAATGAATGACACCACCCTTCAACAAGTTGCCCAAGCCAAAACTTGGAAGCCATTCTCAACCACTCTCTGTCTCTCAACAACAGTTCTGTTACCCTTCTTTCTCAACATTTCTTCACTCTGACTCCTCCTTTGTAACCCAATTTAGGCATCCTTTCCCATTCTATTTAAATAGACTTCTAACTAGTCATTTCCTTCTAGTATCTTCTCTCTCCAATGTCCATGGTCATTAGTTATATTAAAATGCAAATCCAATGTGAGGAAGTGAAGGCAGGTGGAGAGGTAGGTATGGAGTGCATGATGCAGGCCATATGAGGTATGTGTGTTTCATCTTCTGATTAGGGAACCTCTAAGCATTTTACTCAGGGGAGTGACATGGTCATAAGCTTTCTTTTGCCACTTAGGGGATGTAGGTTCTCATTGGTACTTAAATTTGTGTTTTTCTTATTGAGGTTGAGCATCTACTCATATACAAATTCATTTAGGCTTCCCCTCCTATAACTTTCCTATTATTCATATAATTCCCCTTTTCCCTTTTTCTTTTGTTTAAATGTGTTTCCTGTTTATTCCAATGCTGACTTTTTGGTATTTTTCTCTACATTCTGGAAACTAATTTTTTCTCAGTCATAGATGTTGCAAATATATCTTACCAGCCATCACCTATTCATTTACTTTGGTACTGGTGCTCACCTTTCAACATCACCCCCCTCAAAAGTATTTTTTAATATATTCAAATCTATTTTTTCCTTTATTATATATACTTTGAGGATCCTGTTTAAAAAGATCTCCCCTGCCCAAGATCACAAAGAATAATCTACTCTTTTTTCTATTAACATTGCACTTTTATCTTTAAATTTAGGTTTTTGTTTTTTGTTTGTTTGTTTTTGAGGCAGGGTCTCACTCTGTCACCCAAGCTGGAGTTCAGTGGCACAATCTCGGCTCACTGAAACCTCCGGCTCCCATTTGGAAGCGATTCTCCCACCTCAGCCTCCCAAGTAGCTGGGACTACAGTTGCATGCCAATACGCTCGGCTAATTTTCGTATTTTTTGGTAGAGATGAGATTTCACCATGTTTCCCAGGCTGGTCTCAAACTCCTGACCTCAAGTGATCCACCTGCCTTGGCCTCCCAAAGTGCTGGGATTACAGGTGTGAGCCACCGCTGGGCCTAAATTTAGGTGTGTAATCCACCAGGAGTTTACTTCTGGGTATGGCATGAGATGAGGATCCAACTTTATTTTGCTCCAGATGATGGAGCCCATTTTCCCAAGATTATTTACCAAATATTCTCCCTTTCCCTATCTCTATAAAGTACCACATTCCCAAATATAGAAGGTCTATTTCTGGATGCTTTTCTGTTTCATTGGGCCTGTTTTTATAATATATGTCAGTTTCTGATAGTGTAAGTCTCATTTCTTTGGCCCCTTTTCCCAAAAATGTCTTAGTTATTCATGAAGTTTGATTCCTCCACTAATTTGCAAAATCCATTTATTAAGTCCTCTAAAACACTCAGACTTGTAATTGGAATTGCACTGAATTTATAGACTAATTATGTGAGAATCAACCAGTGTTATAATGTTGTCATCAATCCATAGCTCTTTGTTTACATTTTATTTTATATCCTTTAATAGAGTTTCTAATTTTTCTTTATAAAAGTCTTGAGACTTTTTTATTATGTTAATTCCTAGAAAATTTATAGGTCTATGGAGTCTCGAGTTTTTTCTATTTTAATTTGTACCTTTTCTTTATATTTTATGATGAGTTATTTCTAGAGTAGAAGGTACTATTATTAAAATTTATTTTGTACCTCCAAACCTGCTGAACTTTTAATTCTCTTTTTAGTTCTAATGGTTTAGTTTATCTCTTAGGTTTACTTTGAAAAGTCTTATTCTATCTAAAAATAATGACAATTTTGTCTCTTCAATTTTGTGTTAGTTGTGATTTAGGTTCAGCTATATATAACAGAGCCCCCAAATAACAGTAGCTTAAGAAGATAGAAATTCATTTCTCTCTCATGTAATAGTTAAGATGTAGGGAGTCTAGGCCTGGTATGAAAGTTCGACAGCAGCCTTGGGGTGCATCCTCATCCTCATGCTCCCACGTGCTCCTGGCATCACATCCATGCAGGACCCACAGATGAAACACCTCAGAAATTTCACACACAGCTCCTCCTTACAACTCACTAGCCAAAACCTAGCTTTAGATCTTGAAAAATCATCTATTCACTCTTTGCTTTACTTTACTATTTCATTGATTTCTGCTTTTACCATTACTTCTTTTCTTCTTTCAAATTTACTCTATCCTAGTTTCTTGAATTGAAAGCTGAGTTCATTTCTTTTCCACCTTTCCTGTTTCTAGTTTTATTCACCACCATAAATTCCCCTCTTGGTATAGTTTTAGTTGCATCACGCAAATATCACCATGTCCCACTTTGATTCTCATTCTAATCCCGAGAATTTTGTAATTTCTCCTTGTGGTAGGGCAGCTCCTGACTTGGCTCCAGTGATCCCTGCCTCCTGGTACTCCTGCCCTTGTGTAACGCCTCTCCTGGAGAGAGGGCTGGTCCTAGAGACTTGCTTCTAGAATATGACAAAGGTGATGAGATGTCAGTTCCCAGATTAGGTTATAAAAGACTATGACACTCCTCTTGCCAGCACACACTCTCTCTTAATCACTCTGATGGAGCAAGGGGCCATGCTGGGACATCCACAGAGCAAGGAACTGTGGGCAGCCTCTGGCCCACAGCCAGTAAGGAGCTGAGGCCCTCAGTCCAACAGGCGGCAAGTTTCTAAATCCTGCCAACAACCATGTGAGTGGGCTTGGAAAAAGGTCCTTCTCCAGTTAAGCCTTAAGATGACTGCAGGCTGGGTGCAGTGGCTCACACCTGTAATCCCAGCACTTTGGGAGGCTGAGGTGGGTGGATCACTTGGGCTCAGAAGTTCGAGACCAGCCTGGGCAACATGGCAAAACCTCGTCTCTACAAATAATACAAAAATTAGCTGGGTACGGTGGCATGCACCTATGGTCCCAGCTACTTGGGAACCTGAGGTAGGAGGATGGCTTGAGCCCAGGAGACAGAGGTTGCAACGAGCTGAGATCTCACCATGGCACTCCAGCCTGGGTGACAAAGCCAGACCCTGTTTCAAAGAAAAAAAAAAAATTACTGCAGCCTTAGCTGCCATCTTGACGCTGAGCCAGAGCACACGGCTAAACCACACCTGAATTCCTGATCCACTGAAGCTATGAGATAATGTTTTGTTTTATGCCACTAAGTCTTGGGATAATTTGTTACATAGCAATAGATGATTAATATACCCCTATATCTTCTTTAACCCAGGAATTAATTTTCAGTGATATATTTTTAAATTTTTAGTCATATAGGATTTGTCATTAGTCTTCTGTATTAGTTATCTCTTGCTGCTGGAACAAACAACCACAAGCTTAGTGGTAAATTTGAAACAACTCAAATTTATTATCTTACAGTTCTGGACACAGGTCTTACCAGGCTAAAGTCACGGTGTGGGCAGGGCTGTGTTCCTTTCTGGAGACTCTGAGGGAGAATTCGTTTCCTTGCTCATTCAGGCTGTTCCTTGCTGCACTTGGCCTGAGATCCCCATTTTCTTACTGACTGTTTTGTTACAGCCATTGACCACTCCCAGTTTTCAGTGGCCACCCACAGCCCTTGGCTCACAGCCCCCTCCCTCCGTCACCAAAGCCAGCAACAGCAGGTCAGGACTTTCTCACATTCCACCTCTCCGACCATTCTCCCATAACCGTGTCTCCTTCTGGCTGCAGCTGGGAATGGTTTTCCCCTTTTTAAGGACTGATGGGATTCAAGTGGGCCCACCTGGATAAACCAGGCTACTCTCACCATCTCAAGGCCCTTAACCTTAATCACATCTGCAAAATCACTTTTGCCATGTAAAGTAATATAGTCATGGGTTCTGGGGATTTAAGTGTGGACATCTTTGCAGGGCCATTATTCTTGCTACCACATCTTCTGATACTGATTTGTAATTTAATTCTATTTCCACCACAGGATATAGTTCACATGAAGTCATTTCTTTCTGATTCACTGAGAATTCCTTTGTGACACAGATATAGTACACATAGTTTTGTGCCTGTTCTGTGTTTGCTCAAACTAATATATTTTTTTCTGAAATGTAAAGTTAAACTTCTCTCTGCTAATTTGAGATAAGTGATCACATTGTTAAACTCTTCCATATCCCTGGTCATTTTTTTATCCTTAATTTATCAGCTTTTGAGTATGTGTCAAAATCTCCAACTATAATTTTTGATTTATCTATCATCTAATTCTTTCTGTTGTTGTTGTTTTATTTATTTATTTTTTAGCAGATATGGGGGTCTCGCTATGTTGCCCAGGCTGGTCTCAAACTCCTGGGCTCAGGTGATCCTCCTGCCTCAGCCTCCCAAAATGCTGAGATTATGGGTGTGAGCCATCATGCCCAGCCTCTCATCTTAATTCTACCATAAATTACTTGATATATTTCAGGGGTATGATATTAGAAGCAGGTGTCTGTAATTGTTGTATCTTCGTGGTCCATCATTCCTTTTATCAGCACGTAGCACCTTGTTCATCTTTGGTCGGGTTGTTTTGCTGCTGCTGTGTTTCGTTTGCTGTAAATTTGTTTTGTGTGATACTAAGATTACTCCCTGAGCTTTTTCTTGTTCACACCTGCCTGCTGCATCTCTTTTTGTTAACTTATTTTCCATTTACGTATATTCTTTTCTTGTAAGAGTGACTCGGTAGATCATATGTTGCTGGGTCCCAGGATCCCCTCATTTAGCCCATCGAGACTGTCTGAGTTTTGACAGTTACCTTTCTTTCACAGGGCTTCTGCTCCTCAGATGCCTTCTAATTGTTCCTCGGAGCTCTCCATTATTCCCTTAAGATTACCTATCCCTCGGGTACTGACGGCTCCTTGGTAGAGAGGAAAGAGCCTAGTGTTTATTCTTCTCCAGGTGAGCTGGGGGTGAGAAGGCAGAGAACCTCTACGAAGGCCTTCCAGGCTCAAGCAAATCTTGCCTGGGGACCCTGTGGAGTGAACAGTGGTAGAGGTTCTGGTCTAGTAGAAGTGGGTACTCGATCAATCAGTGTGTTCATTTGCCTGCTTACTTAAGAGTTACTGGAGATTGTAAGATTTTGAGCAAGCCAACTTCTGGGTCTAGCCATACAAGCCAAGGTTTGCAATTGCACTGGGGAGGGCCTCCCAGCTCCCACCTAGTTCACCCAGGGCAGTGTCAGAGACAGGCAAGAACCCGAGTAAAACCCAGTCCAGTCCATTCTGGCCTTGATTTCCTCCCCTGCCCAACTCCAGACCCCCTGCCCCGGACCAAACGTTCTCCTTTCTCCAAAGCACTTAGGATTGGCTGCCAAGTGAGGCTTTGAGTGCATCACCCTCCCTGTCGCTTCTTGAGAATCTACAGGATTGAGACGGGAAGAAGAAGTTGGCTTCCTTGACTAGAAAATAAATTCTGAATAGCCTGTAACAGAGATTTGTTTTTCTTGCAAGAACCTGTAAAATTATTCATTGCCTATACAAGCTAATTTCAATTTTGAGCCTCTCCTGTGGTCAGGCTGGTGGGAAAACCCAAGCTCTTTATTTCCCATAGTTAATATATTAACATGGCTCAGAAATAAAAAATAAACAAAAGTGATACTGTAAAAGTCTCCCTCCTACCTGCATATAAAACTGCTGATATTGGTTCTTATGCATCTTTCCAGAGTTTCACCAAATATACACAAGCAAGGATAAAAATGTATTCTATATGCATATACACACACATTCTTATTTGTTCCCTTTTCCACAAAGGACAGCACACTGTACAATCTATTCAGCATTTTGCCTTTATTTCACTTTAAATGTCTGGTAGACCTTTCTCAACAAATAGATTGAGCATTCTTCTTTACAGCTATACAGTATCCCCTGGTGTGGAGGACTATAATTTATCCAACCATCTCCCATTGATAGACATTGAGGTTATTTACAATCTTCTGCCATTACAAACAATGCTGCATTGAATAATATAGAGAGTTTAAACAACAGGGGGAAATGTAAAAGATAGCGCAGGCATTTCATTATGGGTTTCCCAGTAATTTTTTTTTCCCTGCTGCTGTTTCTTCCTGCTGCATTTTTATTTACCTGAAAGCCCACTGTTGATGCTTTATTGCATTTTGCACCTTGTTCAGGGTCATTTTAGCCATTGGAACTATACAATAAAATAGAAAAATGTACATTTGTGGAAGTCTTGAAAGTTAACAATAACAACTACAAATCTCACACTCATTCAGGGTCTTCTGCAGCCTTGAGCGCTCAGATAGCAGGCTGATGGGGACTGTGCAAGCTCAACACACAGTAACCATCAGATGCAGACACCTCCCTCCTGTCACGGTAGACTAAGAAGCACAGGGTGCACTGGTCAGGCCACTCTTTCCAGAGCTACTGACACCATGAAAGGTACACAGAGATTTTTTTTCACAGTGATCTATAACTCTCAAAAACCCACTGGTGTTTATACCCAAAAGAATTGAAAGCAGAGACTCCATGAGATATTTGTACAACCATTTCTCTTTCTTTCTCCCCTCCTCACCCCTCCCCTCCTTAATAGAGTAAAAACATAAACATTGGCAGCCCCTTGGTTGACATCAGTCTTTCTGTATAAGCAGCCATATGCAGAGCCTTCTCTGATTGAATCATTTTTCTCCATAATCCATTTCTCCACAATCAGAGAAGAGAGTTGTACAGAAAAGATCTCATCATGAGGATGATATTAGTGAAAGTACAAGTTCATCAGGCCCCTACTGAGCCAGGCACTAAGCTAAGCTCCTTACTTTTTCTCATCGAATCCTTATTAAAGCTCTGCAAGGTCAACATTATCTGCATTTTACAGATGAGAAAACTAATGCTCAACAACACCAAGAAAAACAGCTGAAAACTATTAGCACTAATGAGAGAAAGGAGTGGGGCAGATGGACACGCTACCAATGGGAAGTCACCAATACTTTCCTAGGTACGAACAATAACCAACTTGAAATTGTTTTTTAAAAGTCCCACTCAAACAACAACCAAAACCACAAAATATTGGGAAAAGGGCTACAAAAAATCTAGTAGAGAAATGTAAATAGGAGAGGGATTAGGACAAGAGAGAGAGAAGAAATTCACCTTTTACCTGGTGTATCTCTGCATAGTTTGAATTTTTACAATTATTTTTGTAAGAACAAAATCTTAATATAAATGTGAGGTTAAGAAAATTGTCCAGAGTCAATATCTGAAAGCGAATTGGTCTAAATTCAAAGGCTATTCCTGGCCGGGCGTGGTGGTTCACGCCTATAATCCCCGCACTTTGGGAGGTTGAGGCAGGCGGATCACTTGAGATCAGGAGTTTGAGACCAGCTTGGCCAATATGGCGAAACCCCATCTCTACTAAAAATACAAAAAATTAGCCGGGTGCGGCGGCGCACGGCTGTGGTCCCAGCTACCCTGGAGGCTGAGGCGTGAGAATCGCTTGAACCTAGGAGGCAGAGGTTGCAGTGAGCCGAGATCGCACCACCACACTCCAACCTGGGCAACAGAGCAAGACTCTGTCTCTAAATAAACAAACAAACAAAGGCCATTCCTTTATGTTCTGCCATCCTAGAATCCACCCAAGAAGACTGCTGGCTGGTGCCACGTGTCATCCTGAGAGGATGCACACGTTAGAAGGACATTTTTGGATTACAAAGCCAGAAGGAAAAGACTTGGTTGGATGTCTCCTTCCATAAAGAGACATTGTGGGCGTTTTCTGTTTGCTTTTGCATTTTGTTTTTGTTTCGCTTTGTTTGTTTGTTTTAGGACAGAGTCTCGCTCTGTTGTCCAGGCTGGAGTGCAGTGGCGCGATCTCGGCTCACTGCAAGCTCCGCCTCCCGGGTTCAAGCGATTATCCTGCCTCAGCCTCCCGAGTAGCTGGGACTACAGGCGCCGGCCACCATGCCCGGCTAATTTTTTGTATTTTTAGTAGAGACGGGGTTTCACCGTGTTAGCCAGGATGGTCTCATCTCCTGACCTCGTGATCCGCCCGCCTCGGCCAAAGTGCTGGGATTACAGGCGTGAGCCACCGCACCCGGCCGTGTGTGTGTTTGTTTTCTAAGGATCATCATCAAAATAAAAACACAAAATCCACATTCCCGTGGGGGCTTAGTGACCCACCCGCATGCAGCGTTCAGTCTCGTGTGAACAGAATCGCTATAGACGACTCCCTGATTTAGGAACTTTTCGAGCCAGGGTAACCGTGTGTACCTGGGGCAAGGGTGATGGGATTGTGCTTTAAGTGAATGGCGCCCCTTGGACCACAGCTCAATGCAGAGCTACTGCTCTGGGCTCAGTTTCCCGCCTGGTTTCCCCTGAGCCTTTTTCTGTGTCGAGCCCCCAAGTACTGGCCCTTTGACTTGGATTCAGTTTTCCCCCTGCCTAGGATCCTTCAGTGACACTGTCCACCTTCACCCTGCTCGTGACTTCTGCGTCCCCTGGGCACTGAGCCTTGGAGCTCTGGACTTCCCCAGTGACAGACCAGGCTCCAGGAACTCAGACCAGGGGCAGCACTTCAGGCCTCCACGTTCTTGAGGGCTCCAGGCAGTTTCCTGAGGGTGCTTCAGAAAAAAAAAAACCATCACTTGCCTCCAGAGGCTCACATTCCCTTGGGAGACTCCCTCTCACTTTAGCCCTAGTATCCTTCCAAATCCTGGGCACTTTACAAGGCCCCATGGCAATGCATGCGTGGCCCGGAACTCCCAGTCAATTGGCACTTGTGCTCTCTCTCTCACTCATTCTCTCCCTCCCTCCTTCCTTCATGCTATGCTGTTCCCCACACCAAGATTTCTAGCCCACTAGGCATGCACGTCTCTTGTATCAATTCATTTTCTTTTTTTTTTTTTTGAGACGGAGTCCTGCTCTGTCACCCAGGCTGGAGTGCAGTGGCGTGATCTCGGCTCACTGCAACCTCCGCCTCCTGGGTTCAAGAGATTCTCCTGCCTCAGTCTCCCAAGCAACTGGGACTACAGGCACGCGCCACCACATCTGGCTAATTTTTTTTTTTTTTTTTTTTTTTTTTTTGTATTTTTAGTATAGACAGTGTTTCACGATGTGGCCAGGCTGTTCTCAATCTCCTGATCTCAGGTGATCCGCCCGTCTCGGCCTCCCAAAGTGCTAGGATTATAGGCGTGAGCTATTGTGCCCAGCCCATTTTTCATATAGCAAATTCCTCCATGCAGTGGAGTTTCTCTAACAATATAATAACATGCATTTGTAAAGCACTCTTGCATACCTTCATTTGGCCCTTTCATGTGATCTGTCCAAATAAGCCATCTACACAATAACTTGGATAATAATACCTAGCATTCTTGAGCACTGACTGTGTTCCAGATAATGAGCTAATAAGCACCTTATTACCCTCAAACCGCCTTCGGAGGTTATTATTATCCACGTTTCATAAATGAGGACACATGCTCAAGGGCTGGTAAGTAACTCTTCCAACGTCACACAGCTAGTAGGTAATGCAGCCTGGATTCAAAGCCAGGTTTATAGACCTTGGAGTTCTTTCTGTTACACTGTAGCTCAGGTAAACATGTGACTATATTTACAAATGCCAATACATGGTGAAGGGGGAAACAGAAAAGCTATAAAAATCAATAGTGAATTCAGAAGCACATACATCTGGACAAATGATCTTCCCCTCCTCCCTGGAAATGAGGAAGTCCCTGTATTACAATGATCAATGCCATTTACTCAGCATCTCCTCGGTGCCAGTCCTAAGGGCTTCATGTGTAATTTTTCTTACTAGATGTGTGATGGTAATCAAGTCTCCTGACTTCCCTTACTCCCAATTTTGTCCTGTAGAATAAGATGACAATGTCTGCTCCTGTGGCTGTTATGAGAGGTGATGGAGATGAAGCATGAATAGCACTCGGGACTGGGAGGAGCAGCAATCATGACTGTCCTGAGGACTGTGATCAGGGTCAGAAAACATTCTATATGGACCTTCCTGGGAGGGAGGCAGCCTTCCCAGAAGCACCCCACCCCCACTAGCCAGCTGTCTCCCCAACAGCACCAGCCAGGACTGAGTATGTGGCCATCCCTGGGCCATCACTGGTAAAGGGACAAGTGCCATGCTTAGGCTAGTCACATGGGGTGGAAGAACACAGGCCAAACAGACAACAATCTTTTCAAAGAAATTCCTTTTATTAATTTAGAGACAGGGTCTCACTCTGTCACCTGCACTGGAGTGCAGTGGTGCCATCATGGCTCACTGCAGCTTGGACCTCCAGGGCTCAAGCCATCCCCACAACCTCAGCCTCCCAAGTAGCTGGGACTACAGGTGCGTGCCACCATGTTTGGCTAATTTTTTAAGTTTTTTTGTAGAGACAGGGTCTTGCCATGTTGCCCAGACTGGTCTTGAACTCCTGGGCTCAAGCAATCCTCCCTCCTTGGCCTCCCAAAGTGCTGTGATTACAAGTGTGGGCCACTGCACCTGTAATTTTTTTAATTTTTTAACTTAAGCCCCTCCAAAAATATTAAGAGGGATCTAATCCATAACCTCCAGCAATATTTCTCAAATCCCCATTTCACACCACCCCGATTTCTCCAAAGCTCCTCAGAAGACCCCTCCTCCTAAGGCTCTTCCTCTACCACCAGCCCTTAGAGGCCCTTCCCTCTATGATCTATATTGACTTGGCCTCTTCTAATGACAGCTTTCCTTCTTCCCTCTGTCTCCAGTCTGGTCTTTCTCTGCTCAACTAGGGGGTGGTCCTTGACTCCTCTCTCCCATCCCAAACCCAATTGATCAGAAAATCCTCCAGCCTCTACCTTCAAACTAGGTCCAGAATCCAGCCACGCTTCACCCCTTCCCTTCTACCATGGAGGTACAGCCCACATCATCTCTCACTTGGGCTCCTGTAAGAGCCTCCTCTGTGGCCTCATGGCTCCCACCCTTGCCCTGTAGTTGAGGCTGGGACGTACCACCCTGGTCAACTCTTCAAACAGAGGCATTCATTTCCCCAGCTTCCAGAAGTGTCACCTGCCAATGGCACTCAGTCAAGTCCCTTCAGGAACTTCCCTCTTAGGGAAGGGGCTGGGTTTAGGATAAGAGCTGCCTGGCTGAGCTCACACCCCCTTTCTGGGAGCAGCCCACATGCTATGACTGGTCGATGCAGGGGTATCAAGTCCAAGGCCCCTCGCCTCCATTCGAGACATCTCTGAAAGGCCATCCCACTGGGCCTCTGCTGCAACTGCCACACTTAGGCCTCTGCCCAATCCTGCCTCCCTCACTCCCCCACAGATGTTGATCCCAAGGGTGCACCCCAATAAACTTCCTGCATGTTTTCCTCTCTCTCAGAGTCTGTTTCTGGGGAAATCCAACCTGTGACACCCCTGCTGTCCTCTCTCCCCACACAGCCAGAAGGATGCTATTGAAATACAAGGCCCATCATGTCACACCTCTGCCCAGGTTCTCCAGGGGCTCCTCATTTCTCTAAGGGTAAAAGTCAAGGCCCTAATAATGGCTCCAAGAGCCTGACCAACCCACCCTGACTTCTCTCTCCTTGGCTTTTTTCCTACAGCCTCCCCGGCCTCCTTGCCTCGCTAGGTGTGTTCCCACCTTCGAGCCTGGGTTCCCACTTTGGATTCTCTCTGCCCACTGCACTCTGGCCTCAGCCCTCCACGTGGTCATGCCCTCACTTCCCTCTGGTCTCTGCTCAAATGTTACCTGTGCACGAAGTCAAGACCGATACCACTCCCAAATTACCTCCCTTGGCCCACTTTTTTTTTTTTTTTTTTTTTTTAAATAGGCTCTCACTCTGTCACCCAGGCTGGAGTTCAGTGGTGCAATCACAGCAGCCTTGAGCTCCTCGTCTCAGGCAATCCTCCCACCTCAGTCTCCCAAGTAGCTAGGACTACAGGCATGCACCACAACATCTGGCTAATTTTTGTATTTTTTGTAGAGATAGGGTCTCATTATGTTGCCCAGGCTGGTCTCAAATTACTGGGCTCAAGCGACCTGCCCAACTTGGCCTCCCAAAGTGCTGGGATTACAGGCACGAACCACAGCGCCCAGCCCCACTTTATTTTTTCCATAGCATCTGTCACATTCCAGCCTGCCATACATCTCCACATACCATTTATCCTGCACGTTGCTTATCTGCTGCCTCCCTTCCCACTGGAACTTAAGCTCATGACAGGGATCTCTGTTTTGTTCACTACCATAGCCCAAGTGCCAGGAACAGAGCCTGGCTCGTGGTAGGCTTAACCGCGAATCTTTAGAATGGATGAGTGAATCCAAACCTGCATCATAGAACCCTAGACGCTCCTCAAACAACAACAGCAGAGCTTTCCATGTCAGTGTGGGAAATAGGAGTGAGTCTATGAATTCTCTCTCAATCACTGTGTTCTGCGTCATCTACCTTGCAAGCAAAGATTGCCACCAATTTCAGTGTCCAAATTTACACTCACATTAAGATCATATTTTTGCCTAGTGAAAAAAAAGAGAATGATGCCCTTGGCCCAAAGTAAAGGCTTCTCCGGGTGGATGTGACAATTGGATGAGACCACGCATGGCGACAGCTTCATCTAGTGCCTGGCACACAGCACGTGCTTTATGAAAGGCAGATGCGGCTGCTTCTTTTATTTCCTTCTCAGTGCTCCTCAGTGCTGGCCCAAGGAGAGACAATACATCAGACAGGTTGATGTCAATGGTAGTTGAGTTTAGTCTTTGATATTAGGTGAAATTTATTTTCCAATTTTCTGTAATGTAGTTATAATTACAATTTAAATTGTATACATATGTATTTACTTAAGGAGAAGTCAAATATCTAGTGTGTAGATTAAGAAATTTATGTGAATATATGAAAAAAATGTATTAACCAAGAAGTAAAAGTAGTCAGGTTGATGTCCAGAGTTGAATCAGAAATAAAAGATACAATGGCCACTGTGGCTCACGCCTGTAATCCCAGCACTTTGAGAAGCTGAGGCAGGAGGATCACTTGAGCTCAGGAGTTCAAAGACCAACCTAGGCAACATAGCAAGACCCCATCTGTATAAAAAAAAATTTTAAAAATCAGCCAGGCATGGTGTCACGCTCCTGTTGTCCCAGCTACTCAGGTGACTGAGGTAGGAGATTGCTTGAGTGCAGGAGGTTGATGTTACTGTGAGTTATCACTGCACCACTGCACTTCAGCCTGGGCAACAGCGTGAGAAAGGAAAGAAAGAAAGAGAAAGAAGGAAGGAAGGAAAGGAAGGAGAGGAAGGAAGGAAAGGAAGAAAAGAGAAAAGAAAAGAAAGAAGAAAAGGAAAAAAGCAGGAAGAGAGGAAGGGAGGAAGGGAGGGAGGGAGGAGGGGGGGCAAGGAGGAAGAGGAAGGAAGAAAGAAAGGAAGGAGGGAAGGAAGGAAGGAGAAGGGGGGAGGGAGGAAGAGGAAGGAAGGAAAGAAGGAAGGAAGGAGGGAGGGAAGGAAGGAGAAGGGGGGAGGGAGGAAGAGGAAGGAAGGAAAGAAGGAAGGAAGGAGGGAGGGAAGGAAGGAGAAGGGGGGAGGGAGGAAGAGGAAGGAAGGAAAGAAGGAAGGAGGGAGGGAGGGAAAGAAGGAAGGAAGGAGGGAGGGAGGGAAAGAAGGAAGGAGGGAGGGAGGAAAGGAGGGAAGGAAGGGAGGAAGGGAGGGAGGGAGGAAGAAATGATTCCATTAATGGAAATTGTTATGAAAGAATTTTCTGATACAGAAGATGGTGCATTCTATGCATCAATTTTTTTTAAGGCAGAAACAGGAAATCAAATTTAAATTGGGTCAGAAAAGTTAACTTTTACTATAAGGAGAAAATCCTTTAACCTATCCAGGTGTTTTATCAGGGTCTGCCTTCTCTAACTCTGGAAACTTTTCAGACTTCATGTTCACTTCCTCCTTTAAAGAGTGAAGTCCACCAACTCTTGTACATACTTAAAGAGATTAATTTTTAAGCTCTCTGCTCTGATATAAAATGTACACCATCTCCTCTCCTTTCATGTTCAGTTCCCACTGGACCAAACCAGGCATAAAAAGTTTGAAGAAGCCTCAGCTATTATTAAGGGAGAAATATATGGTTCAAGAAATGGGTCAAGGAGATTTAAAAATAAGCCCATCTATTAATTGTTTTCTATATGTAAAACACATACACCCATGGGCTCATTTAAATCTCGTAATAGCCCTAAAAAGTAAGGAATGTTATAACCCTTCTTGTACACTTAGTACACTAAAGCTAGGACGAGGTAGCTAGTCCAAGATTATACAATGAGTAAGTGTTGGAACAAGAGCTTGATCAGACATAGGTAGTCTGTTTCCAGCCTGTGCTCTTAGCCACTGGCCTACACCCCATCCAACTCCTCAGTGATATGACACAGTGAAAGAACTGTTGGGGCAGATGAGGCAGTGGCACTGTTTCTCCCCTAGAATTACAGACAAAGGTGCACAGAGGACACTAGTTGTGCATGCACGGCAACCTTACTAAGGGCCAAGGCTGGTCCTTGGGAAGTGTTCCCCAAAAAAGAGATGTGACTGGGAAGAATTCTAAAGGCAAAGCTATAAAAGCCACTGTGGAAATTCACAGAAATGGTGTCTGCCCATTATGTGAAGGCCTGTTCAGTACAAGACATCTTTGTCAAGTAACGACTTAAGAAGTGATTTAAAGCCACCCAGCATTTTACCATGATGCGCCTCAGTGTTGGGTTTTCTTTGCATTTTTCTTGCCCGGCTTAGGGTAAACAGTACTTCCTGAAACCATGAGCCAGTTTTGGAAGATCCTTGTTAACGATCCCTTCAAATACTGCTCCTGCCCTAATCTCTGTCCTCCCTGCCTTCAAGGACTCCAGTTACACACGTGAAACTTTTCACCATATCCTGTGTGTCTCACATACTCTTTCCTGCGTTTTCAATCCTTTTCCTCTCTCTGCTCCAGTCCATTTCTTTTTGACTTACCTTCCAATTCACTATTTGTCTCTTCAACTGCCTTATCTGTTGTGAAGCCCACTATTGAACCCTCAAAATTCTGTTGTTCTATTTCTCAGTTCTAGAATTTCCATCCAGTTCTTTTTTATCTCCAGTTCTTTACTAGAAGTCACTAAACTGGATTTAATGTCTTGATATTAATCAGTTACCTTAATGTCTGTGTCTAATACCTCCAATGTCTGGATCTACTGTAGATCTGTTTTTACTGTGCTTTTTCCTTTTGGTTTTCAGTCGTGTAGATTAGACATTGTGTATGGCAAACTATAGAAGTAATTTGAAGCACTGGGTGATGTTATCTTCCTCCCAAAAGCAATCTGTTTTGCTTCTGGAAGTCAGTTCAAAGAGGCGTAGATCACCCTAATAATATCAATAATTAAGCTGATTTAACTGTGGGCTTGTCTTTGTGAGGGTTTCTCTACTTCTGGCTCATCCCCTTCTGAAGAAATAGACCCAAGGTACATACCAGAGCTCTGTCTGCTTGTTGTGCCCTAAATACAGCTTTTCTCTTCTCCATCCTATAAGTGCCAGAGGCTCTTCTCTCACCTTTTCAGCCTCTCATTTGCCACTTTCTGCTTTGGCAGTAACCTCGAAGGGAGAAGTGGCACCAAATGCCATACTTACTTTGCTGTGCTTCCTTTCTCTCTGAGATGGTGGCCCCTCATGTCCTCACTTCCTTGGGAGGCTCTGCTACCTTCAAACAGATTTTTTACATACATTATATTTTCTAGTTGTTTTCAGTGGGAGGGCTGGTATACAGTAAGTTAGTCCACCATTACTGAAAGTGCAAATCTCCCTCATGGCATTAGCCGTTGAAAATGTGGCAAGCTGGGTACTAAAAATTGGATGGGGAAAAAAAGGCAACAAGGAAACAGTTACAATCTGGAAGACAAGATTTCTTGGCAAGACGAAACAGGGGATGGACTACTCTGATCTCTCTCTTCTCCTCTCATATACATAATCTGGATTTAAGAGCTTTAGGAAGGTAAATTAGAGGAGCTAAACAGGTTTGTGGGAAAATAATACCTATAGCTAATAATTAGATTTTCTGAAAATAAAGGGACATCTTCAAAGGCAAATTTCATTTTACAATAAAAGTAAATTAATAAAATGCCACCGATACTGCAAAAATGATTTAAAATATTGCTAATACTAGCTATGTCGATCAAATCAAATACTAAAGTAAGACACAAGCATCTGAATGAAAACAAACAAATATAATACAAATCACATACATGGCATAAACTAGATAATTCAAAACTTTCTAAAATATTAGTCCTTTCCAGAAAAGTTACATATTCCATAACTATATGTGCAAGTCACATTTAAATAGCATCCACTGGTGAACCCAGGATTCAGACACAAACTACTGCCTTTTGGTAAACTCTCTCCTTCTAGTTGAATCAGACTTGAGAGCCCTGGGAAATGTATTAAATAGCCACTGTGTTCAATGGAATGCCTTCCAGAATTCACACTTTCCGTGACACACACACACACACTCTCTCTCTCTCTCTCATTGGGTTCTTTGGTAAAATTAATTTTTGGTTGAATAACAGAAAAGTCACTTTACTACCTAGCTAAGTAGCTGAGGTTTAACTCTAAATTTATCATAGAGTTTTGGTGGATGCCAACACTGCCATTCAGGGAACAAAATCTTGAGAATGATGAGCCTTCAAAGAGGGTGAATGAAGACTCAGGGTCAAGTGAAGGAAATCTCATTTCCTTAGCAACTTCCCATTTCACTTGATCTCAGAGGAATCTTACCTGTGCAGTGTAAACTGAATTTGAAACCTAAGTCAGATATTCACAAAGCTTTCTCTGAAAACAGGTTCATCAAAAGGTGGATCTATCTACATATCTATCTTTCTATCCATACACAGAGATACAGATAGACAGACACACACACACACATAATTAGAAAACTGGACTGTATTAGTCCATTCTCACACTGCTAATAATGACATACCCAGGACTGGGTAATTTATAAAGGAAAGAGGTTTAATTGACTCACAGTTCAGCATGGCTGGGGAGGCCTCAGGAAACTTACAATCATGGCAGAAGGGGAAGCAAACACATCCTTCTTCACATGGCAGCAGCAAGGAGAAGTGCTGAGCAAAAGGGGGAAAAGCCCTTTATAAAACCATCAGATCTTGTGGAGAACTCACTCTCATGAGAACAGCATGAGGGTAACCACCCCCATTATTAAATTATATCCCACCGGATCCCTCCCACAACACGTGGGGATTATGGGAACTACAATTCAAGATGAGACTTGGGTGGGAGACTTGAATTGGGAACTACAATTCAAGATGAGATGTGGGATTATGGAAACTACAATTCAAGATGAGACTCAGCCAAACCATACCATGGACACAATCCAAAGATCAAATAGGGGGTTGGTTAAGTAAAAATGGATTTTTACTTAACTAGTATCTTAATAGAAGATTTTTTTAATAACATGAAAACAATTCACATTCTAGTAAAGGAAAAAAGTTCCAAAGATTATAATGTGATCAAATTTTTATAAGGAAAAATGCAAAATGGCACGGGTAGAATATATGTGATTTTTATTTTTTCATTTATGCCTTTTTGCATTTTCCTAATTTTCTAATCCAACACAGTGCCAAGAGCTATTTCCTATTCACTCATTTTAGGGCCTATCAGTTACCAATAATCTATTTCCATAGAGAAGCAAAACAGTATCACAGAAAAGGCCTTGACCCAGAGTAGGAAGATATAAGACAAGTCCCAGCTTCACCGTTCACGCCTGAGTCACTCTGGACAAGTCGCGTCAGTTCGGGGACTCTTAGCTCTCCCTTCTACGAAGATGGAGGTCATCTAAGTACATGAGGTGATGCATATGTTAATTAGCTTGATTTGGCCATCCCACAATGTATACATATTTCAAACCATCATGTCATACAACATATATACAATTTTTATTTGTCAATTTAAAAAATGAAAATAAAATGATGGAGACCATCATCCCTGTCCTGCCTTCTTCCCTCAATAAGCACGAAGGTCAAATGAAGTAAAGTCCATGAAAGCCATCTGCAAAGTGGAAGCATGATCCAAGAAAAGAAATAATTAGTAACTATTAAAAGTGTTTCTTTTTTTTTTTTTTTCTGAGACAGGGTCTTGCCAGGCTGGAGTGCCATGTGATCACAGCTCACTGCAGCCCTGAACTCCCAGGCTCAAGCAATCCTCCCGCCTCAGCTCCCAAGTAGCTAGGACCCAGGCATGCACCACCATGCCCAGCTATTTTTTTGTTTTTCGGTAGAGACGGGGTCTCACTGTTGCCCAAGTTGGTCTCAAACTCCTGAACTCCAGCGATCCACCCACCTTAACCTCCTAAAGTGCCAGGCATTACAAGCATGAGCTGCAGCACCCAGCCTAAAAATGCTTTTAAAGTTCTTGTAGATCTACGACTCAAGCTTCTAAAGTTAAAGGCTCTGCATTTTACATCAGATAATATAGCCACCCTTACCATGTACCTGCTCCCTCAAATGTGAATGTGGGACCTGAACAGAACACCAAGTCGGGACTGCTGGACAGGTGGGGAGCACCAGCCAACAGAGAGAAAAAAACAAGATGTTTATAAAAACCACTGCAGTGCGGCCGGACATGGTGGCTCACGTCTGTAATCCCAGCACTATGGGAGGCTGAGGCGGGCAGATAACGAAGTCAGGAGATCGAGACCATCCTGGCTAACATGGTGAAACCCCGTCTCTACTAAAAATACAAAAAGTTAGCCAGGCGTGGTGGCAGGCGCCTGTAGTCCCAGCTACTCGAGAGGCTGAGGCAGAATGGCGTGAACCCGAGAGGCGGAGCTTGCAGTGAGCCAAGATCCCACCACTGCACTCCAGCCTGGGAGACAGGCGAGACTCCATCTAAAAAAAAAAAAAAAAAATGTAGAGATGAGGTCTCCCTATATTGCTAGTCTCTAACTTTTGGGCTCACACAATCCTCCCACCTCAGCCTCCTAAAGTGCTGGGATTACAAGCATGAGCCACTGTGCCCAGCTGAGATCATCTTTTTTTTAGATAATCACATATTCCTCTCCCTTCCAAATCCACTAGAAACAGAATCTTGATCAACACACTCAGAGATTTTTTCCAAACTTTGGGAGAACATTCATAAATAAAACAAAATAAATAATGGATTTTTTTGGATTTTCATCTAATTTTTAAATTTTTGCTTTCTCTACGCTGACCACAATCCTACCACTTAATCATTTTGTGATCTTGAGCAAGTCACTCAACTTTTAAAATCTGTTTCCTTACCTGTAAAATGTGCCTGTGCCATTCCTGTGCCACAAACGTCAATATGATGTATGAAGCTCTTAATCAGTTTTGGACTCGAGGTGGACATGAATGGATCTGGACACAGGAGACTGAGACCCTAGTTCTGGCTTTGTCATTATCTACAACCGTAATCACACCCCCTCCCTTCTCAGATTGGCTGGGACTGGTTGGCAGATTCCTGAGTCTGCACTCCAGCCACGGTTCAAACTATACACGTCTGCGCATCCACTGGTCTCCCAGAATGGACTGTTTACATACAAGTGACCACCCTGTTATTTCAGGCAGCATTCTGCCTCTGTCTGCTGTGCTGACTTTATACAGATGGTGCTGCAAAGCTGCCAATAACAGCGTTCATTTGAGTTGTTTTCATAGTTACAGAAATAAACAGATTTGCACTGATGTGTCCACGGGATTTTATTGTCTGATAAGACACCTGTGACCAAGACTAGAAATCTGTGACATTTCAAGGCATCCTCCCTTCTTTCCTCCAGTTTCTTACCAAATTGACCATCCTATTTAGCCACACTGAACATTTGTTTCCAGGTTTCCACTCTATAAACTTCCCATGATGAATAATCCAGCTTACATAAATTTTTGTCTTTTTTTTTTTTTCTTTTTTTTTTTTTGAGATGGAATCTTGCTCTGTCACCCAGGCTGGAGTGCAGTCACGCGATCTCGGCTCACTGCAACCTCCACCTTCCAGGTTCAAGCGATTCTCCTGCCTCAGCCTCCCGAGTACCTGGGATTACAGGCGCATGCCACCATGCCCGGCTAATTTTTGTATTTTTAGTAGAGACAGGGGTCTCACCATGTTGGCCAGGCTGGTCTCAAACTCCTGACCTCAAGTGATCTGCCCGCCTTGGCCTCACAAAGTGCTGGGATTACAGGTGTGAGCCACTGTGCCCAGCCCTGTCCATTTTTTTTTTAAAGACTCTATTTCTGAAGGTTCAATTATTGGATTAAAAGACACAGATCATTTTAAGGCTCTTGATACATATTACACCAAGTCATTTTCTAGAAAAGAAGCACCAATTGATATTCCCATGAGCAATATATGAGCTTGTGGGCCCATCTCTTTTTATTTGCCAATATGAGCAGTTAAAAAGAAGACATCTCTTTATAAATTTTAATTTTTATTTTTGAGATAAGTAATAAGGATGAACATCTTCTTCAACTGGGTTTTTTTTTTCCTACTGAATTGTCTGTTTATGTCCTTTTCACGTTTTTAAGTTGTTAAAAGTTCACCATAAGAAAATCTGTACAATTTCTTCCACAGCTAAAAATACGGGAGACTTAACTGTCAACATAAAAATAAAAAGTGACCACTTTCAAGCTGGTTGGGATTTATACTATGCAAATTTAAACATCTATAAAATAAAAACTTTTTAAATGTTCATTTCTTTTTGGATCTTAGCAAATGGGAATTTAGTTCCAGTTGACTCCCCATGATCCCTCCTGCAATTCAAGAATGCTTTCCAGAACTTTCAGATATGCCACGGAGTAGAATGTTGATGATGTTCTGTCAGCACCAAAGAAAGTGGTGACAGATATGGCTCTAAAACCCAGCCACCAGACTGAATTTAATTATTTACACATAAGCAGCACGTGTTCGACTACAGAGATGCCCAAGGATTCTGAAACCTTAATTTTAACATGTTTCTTCTGGAGAAGACTTAATTTTTTTATTGAGTCTCAAAATCAATTCAAAACTCATTATATTTGACAACAGTTGAGGTTAACAGACTATTATTGTCACTTAACAAAATTATCCTGATTATATAAAGGGTAGAACTCCTTAGGACCCCAGCAATAAAAAGTGATGGCCAAGGGAGATAGTCATACACAGTCATCCAAGGTCACAGTCATGCTAGATTCGGATGTTGACAAAACTGATTTGGAAAACAGGCAAAAATGTAGAAGTATTTGGCTGGATTCTAAAATGTGTTAGAAAATGAAAAGTGGTATCAGAAAATGAATTTTTACAAAAGTTAGATGAAAGGTATCTGCGTTAAATGAGACACAGCATCAAGAAAAAATCTCGGCCGGGCGCGGTGGCTCATGCCTGTAATCCCAGCACTTTGGGAGGCCAAGGCGGTTGGATCACCTGACATCAGGAGTTCAAGACCAGCCTGGCCAACATGGTGAAACCCCATCTCTACTAAAAATACAAAATACAGAATCTCACTCTGTCTCTCAGGCTGGAGAGCAGTGGCACGATCACAGCTCACTGCAGCCTCGACATCCTTAGCTAGGACTAAGGCATGTGCCATCACACCCAGCTATCTTTTTTTATTTTTTGTAGAGACAAGGTCTTGCTATGTTGCCCATGTTGGTCTCGGACTCCTGGTCTCAAGTGTTCCTCCCACCTCAGCCTCCCAAAGGGTTGGGATTACAGGCATAAGCCACCACGCCTGGCCTTTATACTGTTTAGAACAATTTGGGGATCTTCATTAACACAAGGTCTTTACTCCCACATTTAAAAAAAAATTAAAATGGGCTTTGACTGCCTAAATGTTTGCAAAAAGAGGCAGCAATTTGTAAGTATTTGAAAATACATCCTTCTATAGTAGAGGTTTCCCTTTATTTTTATGTTTGAGGCACAAGCACACTTTCTTTATGCTGCCCTGCCATTAACTGTGTAGGTTTGGGCAAGATGAGTAGCTTCTACGAGCCTTGCTTCTCTCCTCTGTAAAACAAGGATGACAACTCCCTCAATCGCCTCTGTAAAACAAGGATGACAACTCCCTCAATCGCCTCTGTAAAGATTACACACATGAGCTAGAGCTTGTGCAGTGCCTAAGACACAGTCAGCACCCAAAACGCATGAGTTCCCTCCCCAGCCTCTTCCAGGAGGTAACAGCCAGGGAACTACAACAGCCTCCTTCACTTGAAGTTGCTCTAGGGGTCAGAAGCGCTCTTCAAAATAGCTTTACAACTCCTGACTAGTAAATATACCCTGAAAAGAGGAGCAAATTGGCCTCAAAGAAACAGCTGGGCACAGGTGTTCAGCGGCATAGGAGAGTAATGCATCTTAGCTGGTAGCAAGCACTTTCCAATATTCCAAACTGTGCTCCTTTCAACAAGAGTGAATGCTATTAAGCGGCTGCAAAAATAAAAGCACCACTAGAAATGCTTTCTTTAAAAATTGTTTAATGAAAATCACACTCAACACATTCACATAGCTCTCTCTCTGCATTTCGTGCTTAACAACATAATTTCTTCAGTCGCCCCAGTTGTGATGTTCTTTCCAACCTCGCGTCTTTCCACAGGTCTGGAATGCACTGTCCTTTTTCCGTCTTCACCTGGCCACATCTCTTTACCTGTCTTTTAGGTCCCTGACTGTATTAGTCCATTTTCACACTGCTATCAAGGTACTACCTGAGACTGGGCAATTTATAAACAAAAGGGGTTCAAGTGACTCACAGTTCTGCATGGTTGGGGAGACCTCAGGAAACTTACAATCATGACGAACCTCGGGGAACTTACAATTGTGACGAAAGGCAAAGGGGAAGCAGGCACCTTCTTCACAAGGTGGCAGGAGAGAGTGCAGGGAAAACTGCCACTTTTAAAACCATCAGATCTTGTGAGAACTCCCTCACTATCACAAGAACAGCATGGGGAAACAGCCCCCATGATCCAATCACCTCCCACCAGGTCCCTCCCCTGACACGTGGGGATTACAATTCAAGATGAGATTTGGGTGGGGACACAGAGCCAAATCATTATCACTGACACCACCCCTGAAGCTGGGAAAAGGGCACATGGGGATTCACTGTACCATTCTCCATACTTTTGAGTATTTGTGAAAATTCCATAGTAAGGTCTTTTAAAAACCACTCTTTATACAAGAAATGAAAGACAAACATGGTGGGTTATCCCAACCACACCAGTCCCACCTGTCCATGAACCTGAACTGCAGCACATCCACTAACGAATATGTAGCATTGCCCACTATCTCACAGATGTGTCCTCAATAACCCCTGGCCTGTTTTATGTGTCATCATAAAATTTCATATATTGAAATATGTGAAACTCATTTCACTTAATCTGAAGCTGAAAGAAGTATTAAAGAGCTGGAATTATTTCCCAAACTCCCACTGGTGTTAACAACATGACATTATTTTCAGTGTTCTCTGGGACCAATACATTCGGGAAATCTGCAAGAGTTGCTGTTTTATTTTTTATTCATTTATTTTTTTTTGAGACAGAGTCTCGCTCTGTCACTCAGGCTAGAGTGCAGTGGCGAGATCCCAACTCACTGCAACCTCCACCTCCTGGGTTCAAGCAATTCTCCTGCCTCAGCCTCCTGTAGCTGGGACTACAGGCACATGCCACCATGCCCAGCTAATTTTTTTTATTTTTAGTAGAGATGGGGTTAACCCCCTGAGGAGTATTATAGAAATGTCATGAAGACAGGTTAGCTGACAGTCTGTCCCGTGCACCGCAGGGACAGTCAACAGCAGGAACACAATGTCAGCACCCCAGCTCATAGAGGAACTGAATTCTATCCACTCTCCTCTGAGGACCCAGCCCTGGGAAACTGACTCAAACTAAGCTGGAATGCCAACTTATTAAGTTACAATGAGAACTATAACTTGGAGGAAAACCAAAACACTCAGTGTCTGCAGTTCAAGTTTCCACCAGAAAGCTGCTTGGTAAACACTAAAGTACAGCATTAAGATAGTTAGATGCCTCAAGTCATAAAAACCTGAAACAATGGTACTATAAATACCAATCATCCTAGGTTTTCTGGGATAATCTTCAGTACTCTTATCATGAGACCAAATGCTGTGAGTTACTATTTCAAATACATGATCATCCCTGCCAAGATAGCGGCATCTCCTCCTTTTCATGTACAGGGTTCTATATAGATCACACCTTTCCAATAACATACTTACCTCAAAAATCACTCGAATCTGTGCAGTTTCCTTGTCTTATACTGTGGTTTTGAGAAAACATGCTTGTCTGGTTGGATTCAAGAAGCACGCGTGTCCAGCAGACTTAGAAAGCAGGTTCCTCTTGTCATACAGCACGTTAACATAGCTGACGAGGCCTGGGTGTCTTCATCAGTACTGTGATGACTCTTTCACCTTTGACTTCAGATGCTGGCGCTTTTTACTTTTTGTGCCAAACTCTACACATGAAACACTTTTGGAATAACTACAGACATGACTTTCTTTATCTGGGGAAAAGGAGGGCATTAAACCAGATTAGGGGCTGGGAGGGGAGGTTGTCAGGGGATGAGCTGCTCCTGAGGAAGAGGCAGAGATCAAGCTTCACTCAGCAGCTGGATTCTCACCTAGTTTATAGACTGAAATCCTGCAAGGTGGTTACAACAGTGAACAATATGTTCATACATAAAGACTCTACCCTCAGGGGATCTACTGTTTTTTGGTTTTTAAGAGACTGAATAGTAATACATACATACATACATATGTGTGTGTGTATATATATATATGTATGTATGAGTATATATATCCACAGGCAGAGTCACTCAAAAATTCTATTTTCTGTGTACTCAAGTATTAAAATGAAAGGGCAAGACTGCTGCCACTCAGCTGCCACATGCTTCTTCTACGAACCCTGGTCCTTCTCTGCCCATTACTCAGAAGACAGGCTGAATGACACAAACAAAAATCAGATGTAAGTTGAAAAATCAAATTGGATTTTATTGAAATGTATATAAATAACCCTCATTTTTCTTTATTTCATCAGTATTGGGAAATTAAGTGAAAAGTAATTAAAAAGTAGTAGTCCTGAGAGAGAGAAATGAAGGCTGAAAGGGAATCAAGAAAACCATATTCCATCCCAGATCTGCCACTACCCAGTCTGGGAAAGGCATTTATTGTCCTGGCCTCAGCTGTAGAATGAGGTGGCTGAAATCTATGTTGTCTGGAGTCAATTACAGCTCTACAATCTTGCTGTTCTAATTCTACCATTAGGAGCCAATGCTAACGTTACATACTGACCATATAAGCAGGTACTCAAAATGAAAAGGGAATAAACACTGAGTTCATGGGGACACTTTTAAGGAAGACAAGAGAAATACATAAGTTTGCTGCTTAAAAAATGCATTAATGTTACTGCTTTATTCACACTAATTAGAATACATACACAAAAAATGTGTATCATATATCACTTTCAAAAATTTCCATGTTCCATGAGAACTATGTAAACAATGCAAAATGTTTCCACTACGTAACAAAAGAAAATCAGCATTCCCACATAGTATTAGGAAAATATTTGGATAATCTGAATTTATAGTAAAACAAAGTGATCTGAATTTGTAGTAAAACAAAGTGAAATATTACAAAGCAGTCTTGTCATGAAGTAGCCTTATATAACTCAGAAGCAACACATTTCATACTTTCAAACACTTTGGTATAAGTGAAATTAATAGAAAACAAAAAGAAGAAGAAAAAAACCTCTACTTTGGTTTTCACATTATTGGAACTTCAGCAACAAGGCAAGTGCACAGCTACCTTGGATGACAAAATGGAAAACCTCTCATCTGCTTGCTTCTCCTCCTGGAAATGGACGTGCTAGGAGAGCGCTTCCCAGGACTTCTTGAAAATAAGGTGCATCTCACTTCTTTCCACAATCAGGCTCTCAGCAATCGTTTGAGGGATTTATAAAACCTCAGATTCAGTTGGGATATGAGTGATCTTGATTATTTCCTCTTAACAAATATAAATGACCTTGCATTAAGGCAGCTCAGAAGTACAATTCACATTTTAAGTAGAACATAAATCTCTTAAAAATCATATTACTATAGTTTCTCAACAAGTTCATACTTGAATAAAAAGAACATACTGCATTAATAAAAAGAAAAATCCAAGTTTAATAGCCCACTAACAATACTTTTTAAGAAACAGAAATAACCGTTTACATGCTACAAATATTTCTTCATTGATATCACATATAACTTTGACAACTATACAACTAAACTGATCTGTGGAATTTTTCATGGCATCATTTTTATAATTATGTTTTCTCACCTATACTGTCCAAATGTGGTACTGATTTTTTTCACTGTGTTAGTTCTGTGTCCTGTCTTTTGAATCCCTATATCCGAGAATTGTGGCTGAGCAATTGTTAATGAATCACTCTTCTGTCATCCATCACAGGAGCGAAGTGGGAAAGTCCTCTGAGGATTTTCTCAGCAATGGAAGTTGTACTGGGACTTTCTGTGCAGACAAGAAAGTCTTAAAAAGGAAAAAAAAAAAAAACCTCAGTGAACTTTACAAATTTACAGTCAAATACCATGCATCGTTGTCTTTTCTGAAGTAAAAGAACAGACAATCGGCCAGGCACGGTGTCTCACGCCTGTAATCTCAGCACTTTGGGAGGCCGAGGTGGGCAGATCACAAGGTCAGGAAATCGAGACCATCCTGACTAACATGGTGAAACCCCATCTCTACTGAAAATACAAAAAATTAGCTGGGCATGGTGGCGGGTGCCTGTAATCCCAGCTACTCTGGAGGCTGAGGCAGGAGAATGGTGTGAACACGGGAGGCGGAGCTTGCAGTGAGCCAAGATGACGCCACTGCACTCCAGCCTTGGGGACAGGGTGAGACTCCATCTCAAAAAAAAAAAAAAAAAATGGACAATCCAGTGCTCAACTTTACTGACAAACACTGCAAACCGCCTCCAAAGAGCACAGCCTGTAAGCAAGTCCTCAGGCCTTCCAAAGGGACAAGAATGCCCAGGAAACACTCAGTAAGATTAACCAGCATGATTTCTTCATAGCAAAGCCAGTACAGAGAGTAAAAGACACAATTTAAAGTTAGTTATGGCCAAGTGTTGTGGCTCACGCCTGTAATCCCAGCACTGTGGGAGGCCGAGGCAAGTGGATCATCTCAGCTCAGAAGTTCGAGACCAGCCTGGGCAACTTGGGGGAACCCTGTCTCTACCAAAAAATAAAAAAATTAGCCAGACGTGGTGGTGCACACCTGTGGTCCCAGCCTCTCGAGATGCTAAGTTAGGAGGATCGCTTGAGCCTGGGAGTCAGAGGTTGCAGTGAGCCAAGATTGCGCCACTGCACTCACACAAGCTGGGTGACAGAGTGAGACCCCTTCTCAAAAAATTAAAATATTTTATTTTATTTTTTTTCTTTGAGACAGAGTCTCGCCCTGTCGCCCAGGCAGGAGTGCAATGGCACGATCTCAGCTCACTGCACCCTCAGTCTCCCAGGTTCAAAAGATTCTCCTGCCTCAGCCTCCCAAGTAGCTGGGACTACAGGTGTGTGCTACCACGCCCGGCTAATTTTTGTATTTTTAGTAGAGACAAGATTTCACTATTTGGCCAGGCTGGTCTCGAACTCCTGACCTTGTGATCCGCCTTGGCCTCCCAAAGTGCTGGGATTACAGGCATGAGCCACCGTGACCAGCTAAAATATTAATAAAAAATAAAGTTAGTTATCTGCCATGTTAATTTGAGGCTTTTTTATTTTTTATTTAATTATTTATTTTTGAGACAGGGTCTCACTCTATAATCCAGGCTGGAGTGCAGTGGTACGATCACAGCTCACTGCAGCCTCAATCTCCCGAACTCCAGCAATCCTCCCACCTCAGCCTCCCAAGTTGCTGGGACTACAGGTGCACACCATCATGCCCCAGTGATTTTTTTTTTTTTACTTTTAGTAGAGACAAGTAATGTCTTGTCTATGTTGCTAAGCTGGTCTCGAACTCCTGAGCTCAAGCGATCTGCCTGCCTCAGCCTCCAAAGTGCTAAGATTACAGGTGTAAGCCACCACACCTGGCCAATTTGAGGCTTTTCAAAGAACAATCCTAAAAAGGTCTAAAAGGACATGAACATAAAACAACCATTCAGCAAAACTGATCTAAGCTTGAATGAACTATGTATAGAATAATTGTTAACATTTTAAATGGATTATCTTATGACATTAGTATAGTATTAGAAACTTAAATTCTTGCCTAAATTTTACAGCCAAGTGTAAGAAGAAGTAAATAAAACAATTATAGTGAACGAATCATATGTGAAATAGAAGGTTCTGAGTTTTCCATATAAGGTGATGGCAAAATCCTAGAATTACTATTCTTTTGGTTTTGTTTGTCTTGCTTTGTTTTGTTAGGGGAGAGAGCGTCAGGGGAACTTAAATTATTTCGAACTTCATTCGGGATAACTGCAAAGACTATGGTATACTGAGAACTTCTACTGCCAGATATTATGTAAAAAATTACAATTATTAAAACACCATATTTCACCAAATCTAAGACACTGTTGATTGTGACACTTCACTGTTATGTACCATAAAAAGATGCCCAGAAAGGGAGTCTCAAAGGAGAACCCCTCACAAAAAGTGGGGGACTAAACATCTATAGTCTCAATGAGGGATAAAAGCAAGCAACTACATGCAGAAGGGATGGCAAAGAGGCCTGCGCACCTCTTCCTTGACAATGGAAAGAGGGAACAAAAACTCCAATATCTGAACTGACAACCCCATCCCTGCAAATTTTGGGGGCTGAAATCACACTACCAGCATCATCCTAAAAAATCCCAAGCAGAGAAATTAGCTTAAGCAGAGGCAAGTTGGTAAAGCCCCTCCCCCAGTGACCAGCAGAAGAGAATGCACAGCTTCTCAGAAAGAACTCAACTTCCGTTAAGGCAACAGCTGACTTAAATTTTTTTTTTTTTTTTTTTTAAGAGACGAGGTTTCACTATGTTGCCCAGGCTGGTCTCAAACTCCTGGGCTCAAGTAATCCTCCCACAGCGCTGGGATTACAGGTATGAGCCACTGCACCAGCCCCAACAGCAGATTTTAAGATGCATTACAAATTTAAATATGTTAAAATGTGGAAAATAAATGGCTTGAAATCAATGAAGTATCATAGACAAATAAATCACCAGAAGAGATGAGAAAGCCTAGGAAACAAATATTAATTAAAATGTCAAACAACAGCAAAATATTTGGCATATGATAAAAATATCAAACCAATGACAAAAGGGTACATTATTCAATATATGGCACAGACAGAAACGATTATGTAAGAAAAAAGTTAAATTGTTCTCTACACCTTACTCTTCTAAATTACAAAGCCAAATGGGGAAAAAAAGAACTAAAAAGAAAATAAATGTAAATATCTAAAAAATAATTAATCATAAAAGACTGGGCTATGTTTTTTGTTTTTTTGTTTTTTTTTTTTAGACGGAGTCTCGCTCTGTCATCCAGGTGGGAGTGCAGTGGCACAATCTAGGGTCACTGCAACCTCCGCCTCCTGGGTTCAAGCAATTCTCCTGCCTCAGCATCCCAAGTAGCTGGGATTATAGGTGCCAGCCACCACACCCATCTAATTTCTGTATTTTTAATAGAGATGGGGTTTCTCCATGTTGGCCAGGCTGGTCTCAACCTCCTGACCTCAGGTGATCCGTCCACCTCGGCCTGCCAAAGTGCTGGGATTACAGGCGTGAGCCATCATGCCCAGCGTAGGGCTACGTATTTTTAAAACATGCTCCCCTCAAACTGCCGCCAAAAAAATCCAAAGTATAAGGAAAAATAAAAGGCTAATTTCAAACTGGGAAAAAATACTTATAATGACAAAGGTTAATATCCTTAAGTATCATATTTATAAATCCATAAGAAAGAAAAGGACCCTGGCCGGGCACGGTGGCTCACGCCTGTAATCCCAGCACTTTGGGAGGCCAAGGCGGGCGGATCACGAGGTCAGGAGATCGAGACCACAGTGAAACCCCGTCTCTACTAAAAATACAAAAAATTAGCTGGGCACAGCAGCGGGCGCCTGTAGTCCCAGCTACTCGGGAGGCTAAGGCAAGAGAATGGCATGAACCCGGGAGGAGGAGCTTGCAGTGAGCCGAGATCACGCCACTGCACTACAGCCTGGGCGACAAAGCAAGACTCCGTCTTAAAAAAAATAAAATAAAATAAAATAAAATAAAGAAAGAAAAGGACCCTACCCCGTACCTCCAAGAAAACACAAAGGTCATGAACAGGCAACTGACAAAAGAAATATAATCAGCCAGTTAAGATACACCCAAAGAGCTCAACTTCACTAATAATAGAAATGTAAGTAAAAACGGTATTATAACTATTTCTGGCTATCAAATTAGCAAAAAAAAATTTTTTAATCAGTAATACCCAGTGTTTCCAAGAGTGCAAGCATACTGGCCTTTACATACTGATGGTAAATATGAAAATTGAGCAACTTTTCTGGAATGCAATTTAGCAAAATGTAGGGATCAAAAAGCTTTTTTTTTTTTTTTTTTTTTGAGACGGAATCGCATGCTGTTGCCCAGGCTGGAGTGCAGTGGTGGAATCTCAGCTCACTGCAACCTCCACCTCCCAGGTTTTAAGAGATCCTCCTGCCTCGGCCTCCCAAGTAGGTGAGATCACACCCTGCTAATTTTTCTGTATTTTTAGTAGAGACGGGGTTTCACTATGTTGGCCAGGCTGGTCTCGAACTCCTGACCTCAAGTGATCTGCCCGCCTCGGCCTCTCAAACTGGGATTACAGGCATGAGCCACCGCACCCAGCCAAAAATCTTTTCAAAATATGCAATATTCTCAGAAATAAGAACACTGCTTCTAAGAATGTATCCAAAGCAAACAGAGATTGGCAAAAAGTGTGTAAAACTACATATCAGAGTTATTTATAATGGAGAAAATTTGGAAAATCATCTAACACCCAACAATGGGGTAAAATAAAGTATTTTAATAAAAGAACTATAAAATGGAATGAAATGCAACTATTAAAATATCACGTATCACTGTAGTACTGTTCATACTAATAAAAGATTAGAATAACTTCAATGCCCATCAGTAGGGACTGCTTAAACAGATTATGGTGCAATAGTCAATGGAATACCTAAAAAGAACGAGGTCACTCTCATGTTCTGATCCAGATTCTTCTCTCCACCTGAAGTGGTCTTCTTCCTCCAGATATCCACCTGGCTCGCTTGCTCAAATGACACTTTACTTTACCCGTGAAGGGGGTCCCTTGCCATCTTATATACATTAATAACTTGAACCCATCCCAAATGAATTCCTCTCCTCCTTGTCCAGCTGCTCAGTCTTTACCATGTGGTTCATTTCAACTGTCCACGTGCTGTCTGCCTTCCATTAGAGGAAAAAAGGTCCTTGAGGGCAGAGGCTTTGGTCCACTGCTGTGAAACCCAATACCTAAAATAATACCTGGCACTTAAGTAAGGTGCTCAACAGATACTGGACGGATGGATGAATGGACGGATGGGCGGACAGATGGATGAATGGATGGATAGATAGATATGGGACAATCTCAAAGACACAAAGGTAATAACGGTGTGTCAATTTTGCTATCATTTGTCTTTTTTTTTTTAGATAGAGTCTCACTCTGTCATCCAGGCCGGAGTGCAGTGGCGCAATCTCAGCTCACTGCAACCTCCAACTCCTGGGTTCAAGAGATTCTCCTGCCTCAGCCTCCTGAGTTGCTGGGATTACAGGCACCTACTACCATGCCCGGCTAATTTTTGTATTTTTAGTAGAGACAGGGTTTCACCATGTTAGCCAGGCTAGTCTTGAACTCCTAACCTCAAGTAATCCACCTGCCTCGGCCTCCCAAAGTGCTGGGATTACAGGCGTGAGCCACTACACCCAGCCTCTTTTGTCTTTTAAAAAAGAAAAACTTAAAAGTGTGTGTGATGTGTTAACAGATATCTGGAAGGATACACAAAACGTGGAACACTGGCTGCCTCTAGGCAGGGAGGTTGGGGATGAGTTATGGGAAAGCCATCTTTCACTTCTGGCCTTGCATTTCCCAACTACAGGCACCCGCCACCACACCCGACTAATTTTTGTATTTTTAGTACAGACGGGGTTTCACTATGTTGGCCAGGCTGGTCTCGAACTCCTAACCTCAGGTGATCTGCCCGCCTTGGCCTCCCAAAGTGATGAGATTAGAGGTGTGAGACACCATGCCTGGCCTACACTTTAGTTTTCTTTTACTTTGTTACAAGTTTAATTTTGGAAATGGAGCCAAAAAACTTTCTCTAAGGAAGCCCTACTAAAAGTACTTACCTCTCTAAAACGAGGAGGTAGAAGATGAGGCTGAAGGGAATGTTCATTTACCACTTACTATTAGAAAACCAAAAATGGCAGGAACTTCCTTTGATTTCAGTAATTTAGAGCTCAGCATTTTGTGTCTGATTCTTTCAAAGCCTTTAAAATTTCTAACTTTGTAAAAAACACATTACTTGTTTTTAAAAGTAATGCATAATCTAGTGAGGAAAACCAGGTATCTGGTGTCTCAGGAGGACAGTTAGGAATACAGAGTGTGGCTGAGCTGCACGTCAGCTGACCCATCACAGACTTAACCTCCTTCTCTATTCTTTCCCTCTATAAAGATTGGGAATGCTCAAAACATTACTTCTACAATCTTTCATACAGACTGGAGATATTGGACATTAGACACAGGCCTAGTCAATAGGTATGAGTAAATTTTTGGACAAGCTTCTGCTTCCCTAATTAAGAGCGACAGATGTGAGGAGTACTACCCTCTCCCCTCTTATTCATGTTGTGAATGTAGATATGGTATCTGCAACCATGGGGGCACCTTATAACTATGAGGCAGCAAGAGCCAACATTCAGGTGGGAAGAGGCAAGCACTCTGGGTATCTGGTGGAGTCACTCAACAGAAGAACCCTTCTTGTTACGGAAGAAAAATAAACCTCTATTTGTTTAATGTATTGTAAACTGGGTTCTGTGAACCTGCAACCAAAGGAATTCCTAACTGATATTCTTGGGAATCTATTTTAAAAAGAAACTAAAAATAACTCAAATTCTATGTAAATTTAGAAAGAAGACTGTAATAAATCAGAAATGTAAATTACAAACCAATTATCTTCCTTAATGTCTCTATTGCAAATTTTTAAAAACGACGACAAAAACTCAGAGGAAACAGAAAAAAGCAAAATCAGTCAACATCAACTCCATACAACAGATTTGAGAATGCAAACATTCAGAATTTATACATTCAATAAGGATAAACTCACACAGTAAAACTGAAGTTTGATCAATGCTGGGGCTGTTCTGGACTAATGTTCATTGTTCGATAAATTTCTTTAAGTAGTAACAGAGCAGTATCTTCAGATTCCCTATGAAAAGGAAAAGCATATTTACTTAAGAGACAATTAGAAGAAATTAACTTCTATGCACAATGGTTGAAAATGCAGGTTCTATTCTATTCAACTCTATCTAAGAAGGGCAAATGATAGCAATGTAATCTCAGTGTAATAAATAAAGCAGCGTAATCTCAGAGCTGTCCTTAAAAACTAGATGAATACTGATTAGCTCCAAAATAGCTGTGTTGCAATTCTCCTTGGTGACAGGGATACAGGAAAGAATGGCATTTCAAAGTCCCTACCACTCCCACTGTGAAAGGCATTCCCACAAAAACAGTGTGCAAGAACCAAGGGTCTTTGGTCAAAAGCAGATGACATACTGCCATCTTGTGGGTAACTAAGGGGGAAAAATAACGATTCTGAACATATAGTAATTCAAATGAATATTCATAGTACATTGTATCAGTAAAAGAATCTCACTAAAACTAAAATTGCTGCACGTGCTAGCACCAAAAGCCCACTCAAATGTTACCAAATTTAAGAACACTTACCAATAGCATAAGTGACTCTGAAGAGCGAAAAGGTATTCATTAAAACTCTCTATTGGTTTTTCTTGGAGAACGTAGTCAATTCGGCGGCCTCCATTTAACATTCCAACCTTTCCTAAGTAGTCCTCATCCTTGGAAAAATCTGGACTTTCAACAACCTTTTCTGCTAGAATTTAAACCATTTCAATATCAAAGTCAATCACTTAATCTTTATCCTTTGACTTTAGCTGACTTTCTGGGCTCAATGAGAATACTGCTTGACGCATGTAGCAACCTGAGGAGCTACCAGGCTCACTCCCCGTTCCTCCAAAGAGCCAGGGGAAGAGGGGCTGGTTACCCGAGAGAGAGGAGAAAAGAGCCAACAAGCTGAGAGAAGTTGTGAAGATAAGGGGTGAGAAAGCATTGTAGAAAGAAAGGAAACAGGATTAGAATCTGAAGAAGTCAAAAACATCACAGCACGATGACCTTCACATTGCATGTCAAGTCTGTAACATAGTTAAACAACAGTTTCAGGAAGAAAACCTCTCAGATTGAGTCTTTAAAATGCAAACCCTAAAACAAATTGAGTTCTCAACTCGGATATTCCACTCTGGCCTTAAGAATCTCAATATAATTTTTAAATTGCAGAGGAAAAAGTTCAGTAACTATCAGATAAAAACCCACTAAAAAAAGATGGCATGGATTTTGAAGTAATGCTATTGACAGTACAGTTTATCTTAACAGATTTTCCTTTAAAGAGCTTCTATAATTTAACCAAAAAGTCTAGAAAGGAAATGCATCATCATATAACTTTTAAGTATTATGTTCATATGAAACATTTGTATTAGAAAATGCCTCAAATGTCAAATTTACCTTCAACTACTTGCTTTTCTTCTTCTTCTTTGATCTGATTGGCCACCTTCTCCAATTCTTCTTGCAACTGGGTTGAAGACGTATGAGCACGGGCAAACTCATTTAATGTCTGCCAAGCACTTTTGAGAGAGCTAATAAAACCCTGCTTCAAATCAGATCCCATACGAGAGAGACTCTCTTTCAATTCTAAAGAGATTAAGATGACACAACAAGTTAATTAGTCACTGGGTAAACTTCTGCCTCACAAAAATTGTAAGTTAACACTCTTCTCAGACAGGATAAGACTGTTTCTTCCTCTTTTCAATGTCAAATATACGGAGTGCCTCAGCCAAGAACCCTCAGCATGTTAAAATGTCATGGATAGTCTTATTGCTTTTTTTTTTAATGACTAAACTTGATCCAGCAAAAATCTATAAATTTTCTCTCTCCAAATAAAAGAAGTTCAAATACCATAAAAACGTAAGCACATTCAGGCGCGGTGTCTCACACCTGTAATCCCAGCACTTTGGGAGGCCGACGTGGGTGGATCACGAGGTCAGGAGATCGAGACCATCCTGGCTAACACGGTGAAACCCCGTCTCTACTAAAAATACAAAAAATTAGCCGGGCGTGGTGGCAGGCGCCTGTAGTCCCAGCTACTCAGGAGGCTGAGGCAGGAGAATGGCATGAACCCGGGAGGCAGAGCTTGCAGTGAGCCAAGATTGTGCCACTGCACTCCAGCCTGGGCAACAGAGCAAGACTCCGACTCAAAAAAAAAAAAAAATGTAAGCACATTCTTATGCCTTTTTTGTTTGTTTTTACTGTAAGTTTAAACATAGGGGCCAGACACAGTAGCTCATGCCAGTAATCCCAAAACTTTGGGAGGTCAAGAAGAGAGAATCATTTGAGGCCTGGAGTTCAAGACCAGCCTGGGCAACATAGTGAGACCCTGTCTCTATTTAAAATAAAAAATAAAAATAAAAAGAGGCCTACGAGATTTAAAAATCACTGTTTTTCTAATCTGTAAACAGGAAGTGGTTTTGAGGATTCTTTTTTTTTTTTTTTTTTGAGACGGAGTCTCTCGGAGACTGGAGTGCAGTAGCACGATCTTGGCTCACTGCCACCTTCGCCTCCCAGGTTCAAGTGGAGAATTAAACATTCTGATAAAACCACAATTTAAACTCCAATTTAGAAATGAAGAAATCCCTGCTCCTTCACTTTTTCTACTGTTGTCTAATAATCACATGTGAATTCAAGGTCTCTGAGTTATCAAACGCATGCCTTATTTTAACTTCAAAAGAGTTCAATATTTTTAAAAAGCATGTTAGCAAAACAAACAAAAAACACACTTTCACATAAGAGTGCGTAATCACTTTTCCTTCTCTTCTACCCCTCCCATCCCTTCCACCCAAACTTTTAAATGTAGCGTTAATACACACCATTAACAGGAAGAAGAGAAACCTAAATTCAACTTGGAATCACCAATCCATTATGTTTAATGAATTTTTTTAACAGGAAGGTGTGTCTAGTTAGCAAGAAAATAACAGCTCACTTCGACAACATCAAGTTTATTTCTTGATGGTCTGTTCATTACTTTAAATACTGTTCTTCTTCCTAATTCCAAAACTTGTAACCAAACTCTATCAAAATCTAATTATGCATCTTATTGCCTTATTACCAACTTCTCCCTATTCCTAATTACCTTGACAATTAGAATGCCATCAAAGAGAAATAATTCATTTGTAATTTTGTTAAAGCTCTTCCAAATTCTTAGTTTAAAAGTTCTGAACATAGTAGGCACTTAAATAATATTAATTCTCTCAGAGACGATTTAGTGTCAAAATTTTCATAATTCATTACAGATTACAAATGACAGGAAAAAAAGTTTTTATAGTATTTGCTTTTTACCTAAATGAAGTCTTTTTCTGCCTTTGTGATGTGGAATGAGAACAGCTTTTAGGTCCAAATCTGGAACAATCATAGGTTCTAATCTATATGCCACTGGATCAAGCTATAAATAGAAGAATTTATGAATAAATAAAAGAAATTTATGAAAGCTGTTTTGAGTTATATGCCTTCGCTGGGTAAGAAAATGGATACATGGCAAATCAGAGATTTTTATTTTTCTCCACACCTTATTCAAATACTGACAATTATGAAAAGATTTTCTAGTTTGTGTGTAAGATTACTTTGCAAGCAAAGCAAAAGAATTATTTCCCTGAACAAAGGCTTTTGATAAGTTTATTGGAAAGTGTCAGACTATACCTCTTAGAACAGAAAGCTGAACCTTATAAAATCAAGATAGGTATTAATTCCCAAGAAATAAGAATATGAGAATTTACTAGGATAAAGAGGACAGGTTCTTCATCTTCTTCAAAAAAGAAAGTAAAAGGTCAGGCACAGTGGCTCACGCCTATAATCCTAGCGATTTGGGAGGCTGTGATGGAAGGATCACTTGAGGCCAGGAGTTTGAGACCAGTGTGGTCCACATAGTAAGACCCCATCTCTATAAAAAAGTAAAAAATGTTTAAAAAAGAAAAAAGGATTTTAAAAAACAAAGTAAATTCAATTACTCACCGGATGATAAATATTGAAGAACCCTTTACAGGTAGGAAGGCTGTAATTCTCATCTATCCTATCAACTCCTCGAATAGTGAGAAACATAGCAATTGGAGACCCCAAGGCAAAGAATATCTCTGGTTCAAAATCTAATGAGTTGTAAGCAACAGAAACCTGGAAAGAATCAAATAACAATGAAAGATGATTGTTCCAATGTCACCTAGTAGAAAATTCTTTTGAATTTTCAGGCCGGGCGTGGTGGCTCATGCCTGTAATCCCAGCACTTTGGGAGGCCAAGGTGGGCGGATCACGAGATCAGGAGATCGAGACCATCCTGGCTAACACAGTGAAACCCTGTCTCTACTAAAAATATAAAACAATTAGCCAGGCATGGTGGCATGCGCCTGTAGTTCCAGCTACTTGGGAGGCTAAGGCAGAAGAATCGCTTGAACCCGGGAGGTGGAGGTTGCAGTGAGCCAAGATCACACCACCGCACTCCAGCCTGGGTGACTGAGCAAGACTCCATCTCAAAAAATAAAAAAAAAGTACTAAAAAATTTCTCTTTAAAATCTTTATAGACTATTATATCCTCTGGCTATACTTTTACATATTGTTTTGCACGGCATAATAGTATATAAGAATTACTATATTTATTATGGTTATAAATATGGTTAAAACTTTAGACTTCTAAACTCAAACTGCCTGGGTCTGAATCATGGTTTCATTCACTGTGTGACCTTGGGCAAGTTTCTTAACCTCTCTCTCCTCCACCTCAGTTTCCTGATTTATAAAATGGGGATTATAACAATGCCAAGCTCACATGTGATTGAAAAATAAATAACCTAATCCACATAAAGTGCTTAGCACGAGCTCGGCACAGCTTAAGCACTCAATGAGCATTACTTCTGTTACTATTATAACTATCATCCTCTCCAGTTAAGTTTCTTTCCATCAGAAAAATGATTTGTCCTGAAAGAGCACATTTTGAGTAGCTTACATGTAGCCTCTCTCAAGAGAAAGCACTGTCATCTGAATAGCACTGTACAATTTGCAAAGCTCTTTCATTTGTTTCTCAGTAGCAGGAAATGTGTCTTTTTATTTTAGTATCTTGAGAGTGAAGCACAATGAATGGCATAATCCAAGTGTTCAACAGAGGTCCATAGAAAGAGGGAGGCAAGGCAAGAACCATTATGCCTATGGCAAAGCTCAAATATGTGACATGACTTAACCCAAGAACACAGAGCCAGTGAGTGATGGAGTGCTGACTTAGATGTGGGACTTCTAATTCCAAATCCAATTCTCTTTCTACTACACTAAGCTGCCCCTTCTAACAAAGTCTAGACTTCACATTCCTAGGCTTGCCCTTATATTTGCAAATTCGACAGTTTTGTTCCAGCAAACAAAAAGAAGAAAAAGAAAGTTAAAGAACAATTACAAACTGGAAGAAATATTTATAACATACATGACAAGGAGCTAATAACCTTAATATGTAAATATTTTATAAATGTCAGTAAAGGAAAAAAGAAACCAAATAGAAAAACAGGTAAATTCAACACTTCACAAAAGAAAAATGTTTAAAAAACATATGAGAAAATAACCTCACTAGTGCTCAAAGAAATACAGTGTGATACCATTTTCCCTATGGGGTTATCAGAAACGTAAATGAAATACTAAAAAGTAAGAAGTACTAACAAGAAAGAAAAAAACTGTATGAAAATACACACAAAAAATTAATTCTTTACAATAGCGTTGTCAAAGTGAAACTACTACATATTTTTAAAGGAAAATGATAATACCAGTACTGGCAATGGACAGAGGAAACAGGCAACCTTCTAAACTGCCAGTGAGAATACAGATTGATGTCTCTCCCAGCGAAGGGACTGTGTCCATCCTTTGGCCCAGCTACCCTATGTCTACCAACTTAACTGGAAGAAATAATAAAAAATGTGCACAGAAAACTGGCTTTAAAATGTTCATCACTAGACTACTTAAAAGAGTAAAAAGTAGAAATTGCCTACATGTTTAATATGATGGGTTGAATTGTGTCCTCACAAAACATTTATGTTGAAGTCCTAACCCCTAATACCTCATAATGTGACTTTATTTGGAAATAGGGTATTTAAAAAGGTAATCAAGTTAAAATGAGATCACTGTGGTGGCCCTAATCTGACTGATACATAAAAAGGGGAAATTTGGACACACTGACAGACACTCACAGAGGGAAGATGATATTAAGAGATAAGGAGAATATGACATAGAAAAGAAGCCTGGAGGGATGCATCTATAAACCTATAACTGCCAAAGATGGCCAGCAAATCCCTAGCAGCTCGAAGAAACACGAAAGGATTCCCCTCCAAGTTTCAGAGAGAAAATAGTCCCACCACCACCCTATCTCTTCTGCTCTGCAGAACTGTGTGGCAACAAATTTCTACTGTTCAAGGCCACCCAGGTTGTGGAACTTTGTTATGGCAGCCTTAAGAAACTAATACCTTCAATAATAAGGAAATAAGAATAAGTCATTATCTCTCCAAACAGTGAAATTAGTCATTACTGATTACGGCAGTCATTAAAAATGCAGCTGGAGGCCCGATGCAGTAGCTCATGCCTGTAATCCTGGCACTTTGCGAAGCCAAGTCAGGAAGACTGCTTGAGGCCAGGAGTTCGAGGCTAACCTGAGCAACACAGCAAGACTGTCTCTACAAAAAATGAAAAAATTAGCCAGGTGTGGTGGTGCAGGGCTACACTCCCAGCTACCTGGGAGGCTGAGGTAGGAGGTATCCCTTAAACCCAAACCCTAAACCCTTGTTTTGAGGTTACAATGGGCTATGATTGCATCACTGCACTCCAGCCTGTGCAACAGAGCAAGACTCTGTCTCCAAAAAGGGAAAAAAGAAAAGAAAATGAAGTTGTAAAGGAACATTTACTTACATAAGAATATATTCCTCTAAAACTTCATTTTTAATACAAATCAAACATCCAATTTCATTTTGTACCTTCATGAACTTACTTATGGAAATGCATCTTTATATACCCAACTGTAAATATCCTGACAGTAACACTGTCTAAAAGGATTTTAATAATTCTAAAAGCCACTGTGATACAAGTATGTTAAAGTATATCATTAAATGCAGCATTGGTCAATTTTTATAAGACTTTTTCCCCAAGGGAAGAATTATGAGTACTAGGAAACATAAGTTGAGTGAATACAGCCAAGTTGCTCTCACAGAAACTGAAGTATATTCTGAACATAATTTCTTAACTATGGCCACTTCTGTTGTTAGTGGCTATAAGAGACTGATGCTATAAAAGTATGAGCGGTGGGAAAACTGAAATAGAGACAATTTCAAAAGTTAGACAACACGTTCTGTATGCATTTAATCCCTTATTGTGAGCACTGTTGAAGAAGAAAAAAATTTTCACTAAGAGAAAATCAGTTTTTTCCACATCACAAATAAATGTTAAATAAATATTTAAAGAACTTAAAGCCAACCCAAATGATAAAGATTATGATTCCAACATGAACTATGTAGCCCCAGTCAATATGTAAACTCACCTGTCCGGCGCCAACTTCAAAAGATTCATAATTCACACACACAGAAGACACGCAAGCACCAACTGGAAGTTTCCTCTTTGGCTCATTGGATTCTGAGGGGAGGGAAGCCATGTCTTTAGTCTTCTGGGCACTTTGCTCTTGTCCTTTTGTAGAAGTGGCCGCCACTGCCTTCTTTTCTGACGCTGCTTTTTTCTGTAAAATACCAAAATTTAGTAACATAATCATGAGAAAAAGTTCAGCTCTCAGCTATCATTACAAAACATGCTATCTCAGTATTAAGGAATGATTAGCTACTTCTTAGGAATAGTAACAACATTGTGATTACTTTAAAAAATGCCTTTTTATTCTCTGCAGCTTTTGCTTCAGCTAATTTAAAAAAATGTCCAGGTCAGGCACAGTGGCTCACCCCAGTAATCTCAGCACTTTGGGAGACCAAGGTGGAAGGATAGCTCGAGACCAGGAGTTCAAGACCAACCTGGGCAACATAGTGAGACCTCCATCTCTAGAAAAAAGAAAAAATTAGCCAGGCCTGGTAGTGCACACCTGTGGTCCCAGCTACTCAGGAGGCTAGGGTGGGAGGATCACTTGAGCCTAGAAGGTCAAGGCTGCAGTGATCTGTGATCGTACCACTGCACTCCACCCTGGGCAACAGAGAGAGACCTGTCTCAAAAAAATTTTTAAATTAAAAAAAATGTTTACATGTCCTTTTTAGAAATGCATACTAAATATTTAGGGAACAAATGTCATGATGTCTATAGTTTAAAATTCTTAAGAAAAATAATTAAGAAGCAAAGAAAGTATAGCAAGACAGTTACAACTAAGCAGAAGTATTGGCTCTCATTAGACGAATCTCAAAAATACTGAGTAAAAGAAACCAGGTATAAAAGAATACATACTGTTCATGCTACTTAGATGAATTTTTAAAATAGGCGAACTATTCCATATTGAAGGAAATCAGAAGAGTGGTTTTGTGGTAGGAGGAGTTAACTAGAAAGAAGCATGAGGGAGCTACCTGAGCTCTCTCATGAAACAGAAATGAACACAGAACATAGAAATGAACTCAGAAATGTTCAATTTCTTGTTTTAGGCAGTGACGACACAAGTGCATACAATCGTGAAAACTCACCCTACTGCACACTGAAGATCTATGCATTTCAGCACAGTGGCTCATGCCTGTAATCCCAGCACTTTGGAAGGCTGAGGTGGGTGGATCTCTTGAGCTCAGGGGTTCAAGACCAACCTGAGCAACATGGCAAGACACCATCTCTAAAAAAACAGAAAAATTAGCTGGGCATGGTGGTGCATGCCTGAAGTCCCAGCTACTTGGGAGGATGAGGTGGGAGGATTGCTTGAACCCAGGAGGTGGAGGCTGCAGTGAGCCATGCGTGCGCCACTGCACTCCAGCCTGAGTGACAGAGTGAGATCCTGTCTCAAAAAATATAATTTTTTAAAAGATCTATGCGTTTCCATAAATAAACAAAAGTTTTGGGGCATCTATATAAAAGGTGTTATCTCAGCTGGGCCCAGTGGCTGACGCTTGTAATCCCAGCACTTTGGGAGGCCGAGGCGGGCGAATCATCTGAGGTCAGGAATTTGAGACCAGCATGGCAAAACCCCGTCTCTACTAAAAATACAAAAAAAATTACCCGGGCATGGTGGCGCGCGCCTGTAATCCAGCTACTCAGGAGACTGAGGCAAGAGAATTGCTTGAACCTGGGAGGCGGAGGTTGCAGTGAGTCGAGATCCGCCACTGCATTCCAGCCTGAGCAACAGAGCGGGACTCCGTCTCAAAAAAAAAAAAGGTGTTATCTCTATAACGAGAGAAAAGCCATTCACACTGGTTTTCTAATTTGCCTTGAATACAGCAGCAACAATAACATCAGAGAAATTTAAACAGTTGGGTGGGAGGGGGACTTGTTAGGCTGTGAATGGCTAAGTGTTAGTCTCGATTTAAACAGCTATCGACAGTGCCTAAACAACCACAGCTGGCCAAAATGATCTTATTATTTAATTCCAAACACCAGGAAATCAGGAAAGTAAGTAACTGGTTAATTGAAAAGGCAATCTATAAAAAAGAAAACTCTTAGCCAGCTTGTAACTGTTTCCACCGTTAATGTTTTAGAAGGCTTGGTTATCTCTGCCCTTCGGAGGCAACACAAAATTAAGCCTAAAATCCGAAATAAGGAACATTTTCAGGGTTCCTCACTTTAAATCTGCTTTCTCACTCAGAAGTACCTCCTGTTAAATTCATAAAACATTCTAAATTGCTGAGAGCTGTCTAAGGAGATCAGAAACTGTCCTGTTGCCAAGAGTTGCTTTGTTAAATTTGCAATACTTTTTAAACTGTGAACCAACAGTGTTTAAAAGTGAACCAACATAGGCTGGGCGTGGTGGCTCACTCCTGTAATCCCAGCACTTTGGGAGGGCAAGGCAGGTGGATCACCTGAGGTCAGGAGATTGAGACCAGCCTGACCAACATGGTGAAACCCCATCTCTACTAAAAATACAAAAATTAGCTGGGTGTGGTGGCAGACGCCTATAATCCCAGCTAGTTGGGAGGCTGAAGCAGGAGAATGGCTTGAACCTGGGAGGCAGAGGTTGCAGTGAGCCGAGATCGTGCCACTGCACTCCAGCCTGGGAGACAAAGCAAGACTCCCTTTCAAAAAAAAAAAAACGGAACCAACATATACATACTTGACTATCAATATCCCCAACACTAGAAACAATTCCTTTTCAAATGAAAATTACTAAGATGCTTTAAAAAGAAAAAAAAAGCACACAGTCACAAATATCACAAATATTTGATCTCCTTGTTATAAAATAATCGCTAATTTTGGTCCCATTATTTCAGTTACAGTAAATCAACAGGACACACCATATTACTTTTGTATTGATCTAGTAGCACCTTGTTATCTGTAAGAAGTGTAAAGCAATCAATGGCAACTCAGCTGAGAAAGTTTCATGGTTCATCCAAAGGCAATTACCTTTTAATTTAAAAAATAAGATCACTCTATAGATTTTTGCTCATTTCAAAACATTCTTATAATGCCATAATTTATATATCTAAGCAACTGCAGTCCATAAACCAGTCTCCTTCTAGAAATTCTTCAAGAACTATAGAATCCTTTTCTACTTTTTTCCCTTTCATTACAGAATAAATTAAGAACATGGTGTAGGGCCTGAACACAAAGCTTCTCATTTCTTGTTTTTTTTGTTTTTTTTTTTATAGGCTTTTGCTTCACTGATGTATACACGGAGACAAGCATTTTTCTGTATGGAGCACGCAGCCTGTATACAGAAACAACACTGACATGCTTGTGTCCTAGTCTCAGTTTGACTATTGTGCTCATCAGAGACAAAAGCCTGGGGATCTACTCACAGGGTTGTTGTGAGGCTCAGGTGAGATGAAAAGCTCTTTGTAAATTGGAATTACAGAACGATTCAACACACAAGAAAAATGACATGAAAGATACCTCTTAACTGCCAAAACTAATAACCTTTCTCAGCACTTAATCAAATACTGCTTGTCTATGTCTAAAATGTCTTTTGAGTTGCTCCCTTCCTCTCCACCTCCTACCTTATACCCCTATCATCTCTCTTTCAGTCACTGTACAATTACAATTACTACTATGTAAGATTGCAGCCGCCTCCACTTCACGCCTTTCCAACTTCATCTGTGCACTGTGACCAAGCAAACTCTCCACAGTCCAAAAGTTAAAATTAAAATTTAGACTACACAGATGATTTGGTGCTAAATCATAACTTGTGATAGAATAAGCAGGTCAGCATTTTGTAATGTTTAAAAACACCATGACTTTCATGGCCATAAGAACATGTTTGAAAACCACTCCCTTACAAGAGAAAATCCAAGCCTCCACACCTGCCACCTGGGCCTTTGGAACCCTCTGCCCTTCCCAGTTTCCAGCTTCCCTGATGCTACAGGAAAACACATGCCAGATTCCAGAAGGCCATCTCCCCTGACCTTACCCCTCCTTCAAGCTCAAGCACCATCACCTTGGAGAAGTCTTCTCTCACCAACCCCATGCTTGTCTCAACAAGCCAGAACTGCCACCTCTCATCTGCCTCAGGACAGCACACACAGCACGCTATTATGGGGCTGGTATGTTGTCATTTGAGCTCAACGTGCTCCCCGCAACTAGACAGCACACTCTTGGTTAATCTCCGGCTCCCAAGAATTGAACACAGTGCCTGACTCAAAAGAGGTAGCTGCTATTCAATAAAATGCTGAGAAGACTCAATTCCTTAAGCTAACCATTAAAAAAAAAATCAGTCCTATGACTTTATAGTCATTTCCCATATAAAGAAATGATGTAGGTTAAGTTCCAAACAGGTAGTAAAATAATAGAACCATAGAAATTCAAAAGATGGAAGGATCATCAAAGAGCATGTTAATAACAATACAAATAAGACGGCCACCCTAAGAGTCATCTAATTTTTCTAATTAGAAAACCTCTGTAAAATTAATTTGATCAATAAATTAAAATTAATAAAACAAGTATATTTTCCAGTTGTTCTAGTTTTAAATGCTTTTTAGCTGTTGCCTTGTTTTGTATTGTTAACAATTTTTGCTGTTTAGTGTTTAAGACTTCAGTGTGTATGTTTTTCCTCATCTCTTTAGATGGTAAGGACTGGGAAGAAAGTGAGCTATTACTTGGTGCTAAGCTTTGCATGCATTATTTCATGCTTACTCCAATCCTGTAAGGAAGGTATTATTCCATTTTAGAAATGAAGAAAACAAAGGATCAGAAAAATTAAGAAAATCACTCATGATCAGAAGGCTGAGGCGGGAGGATAGCTTGAGCCCAGGAGTTTGAGACCAGCAGTGGGAAACACAGCAAGATCCCATCTCAAAATAAACAAATGAATAAAACCAAATACAAATTGCTCATTAATACGCAGTTAATGAGCAGTTGAGCTGAGAATTTATTTGTCAGAACTTAACCACTGTTTGCACCAGGAAAACCTTAAATATCCATTTTAAAACTGAAAGCCCTTCATCCTAGGAACTTAGTCCCAGGAAAACCAGGATGGTCACTTAGCCTAATGTGGACTTAAGCCCAACTCTGACTCCTAAGTCTGGGTTTCCATCAGCTCCATTACTGTGCCCTAGGTAGGGAGCAAACTAGCTTACCTAACCATAGTAGTATTAAAATTTTCTATAATATAAACGAGCTGGTCACACCATGAGTTTTAGTTTTTCTTGAGTCAGAGGTGAACTTTACCAGTTTGGCTGCTTTATGTTCTACAAAGTTAGCTATCTTCTTTCTGGGTCCAAGGGGTATCCCCATTTCCTTCAGGTCATCAACTGTACACATAAGCTTTAAAAGGAAACAGACAAGCACATTAATCAATCTAGTGATAGAAGAACTGAAATGAGAATATGAAAATTATAAAGAAACCACATCATCTAAAGCAATCTAAGAGCCACTCAACTTTTTACAAGTTAGTTATTTTGTATTTAAATCATGCATCAGTTTAGGCTATAAAATCTTAGGCTTCCACACCTAAATCATTCTATTAATTAACAGAAAATACACATATGGTATACAAAATTCCAAAGCTATAGTCAAGCATACGATGAAATATCTTCCTCCCACTGCTGTCCCAAACATAGAATTCTCCTCTCAGCGCAACTGTGGAAACTTGCTCTCTTTGAAGCGATGTCTTATGTATGCATAGCACTTACATGTTTTTCTCTGTGTGTGTGCTCTACTATGCACACAGTAATGAACTCTGCTCTCTTCATGTAAATGTACCTTAGAGACGGGTATCTCTGACACTGCATCATTCATTCAACAGCTGTAGGGTACTCCGTTATGCGGATGCACCATAAATGATTTCACTAGCACCCTACTCCTCAACACCAATGGTGTCTCTAATGTTTTGTTACCTTGCAAACACTGCTGTGAGTATCCTTGTAGATAATTCTTGTTTGAATATTTCTCTATAGGAAATATTCCTGGCAATGAAACTGATGAAGCAAAGGGTAATTTTTATATTCTTAAAGATATTGCCAAACTGCCTTCCAAAGAGTTTGTAATATTTTACAGTCTGACCAACAATATATAACAATGCCTAGTTCCCTTCACCCTGGCCACATAGCATATTTTCAAACTTCCTATTTTTTCAAACTGGTAAGTTAAAAAAAATCCCATTGTACTTTCAATTTCCATTTCTCTTATGAGTTTTCATATGCGAAGACACCATTTGTTATTTCCTTTTCTGTAAATCATGTTTATATTCTTTGCCTATTTACATATCACACTGATGTGATGGTCTTTCTGTAACTGATTTGTAGAAGCTTTGAAAATCAATGAAGTAAGCCCTCTGTCTATAATGTGTGTTGCAAATGTATCACTGGCCTTTAGATGTTGTTTATGGTGTCTACTGTTATACAATTTTTTTCTTTGATGGCTTCTGGATTTTGCATCATACTCAGAAAAGCCTTTCAGATTATAAAAAAATATTCTTCTGTGTTTTTCAATTTTTTAAAACATTTCAGTCTTTGTCTACTCTGGAGTGTATTTTGATACGAAAATGTTTATTCTTAATTTTCAATCTACACAAGAAAAACAATTTCAAACAAAATGAAGCAAACTATGATCAGTACCAGGGACTCCATATCAATCTTTTCCTTTTCAAAAGTGCTAAAATATTCAGAGAGGCTAAGTGCTTCCAGAGTTTCTTGCAAAGTTAGGACTTCTTTATTTTCAACAACAAGGTCATACGACTCATCCAAAGTCAGCTTTGGCTCTTCAGGCATCTTTAAAAAAAAAAGTATGAAAAACATTACAAGCTCAGAAAAACTCCCATATAATGACTGCTGATCTACGAAAACTCTCAAACAATTTTGCTTTACACAGAAATCATAATTTTAGGCACAGTACTTTGCCATTCAAAGTTTGAATATTCTGGCCAGGCCCAGTGGCTCACGCCTGTAATCCCAGCACTTTGGGAGGCTGAGGCAGGTGCATCACCTGAGGTCAGGAGTTGAAGACCAGCCTGGCCAACATGATGAAACCCTGTCTCTACTAAAAACACAAAAATTAGCTCAGCTTGGTGGCAGGCGCCTGTAATCCCAACTACTCGGGAGGCTGAGGCAGGAGAATCGCTTGAAACCGAAAGGCGGAGGTTGCAGTGAGCCGAGATCACACCATTGCACTCTAACCTGGGTGACAAAAGTGAAACTCCGCCTCAAAAAAAAAAAAAAATTGAATATTCTGAAAAGTATATAAATTTAATAAATCACTCAAGTCTCCATTTCCTATAATTTACATTTTTAAAAATCACAAACTTTCACATTTAAATTTATAACCCATAAAGAAGAAGAGTGAGAAACTCAAATAATGAGCTATATGATTCCATTCCATTTCTAAACCTCGGTGTACTTTAATATGTAAAACCAGTTTCAGGGCTGGACACGGAAGCTATTATATTTGGGCCTATAACTGTACTCTGAATTTGGGGATTCTCTGAAGAGTTATTGATGCCAGCACTTTGGGAAGCCAAGGCAGGAGGATCGCTTGAGGCCAGGAGGGAACTCAAGACTAGCCCAAGCAACCAATGAGGCTCAGTTAAAACAAACAAACAAACAAACAAACAAACAAAAGTTTCAAGAAACAGTTCAGACTTTTGAAAATTGTTCAGCTCCATAGACTCTAAATCGAAATGTTAATTGGCCACGTACAGACGTACCTGCTTTTCCTGAAAATGTAGCTGCTTCACAACTCCATTAGCAACAGCAAGAGGTCCAGGGCACTTTGATAAATTCAAATCTTTTTGATTAGACAGGATGTCAAACAATATTAAAGAACCTATGAAAAAGAAACATTTTGCCTTATAATGTAGTAGGTACTTTTATAACACTAATTCTTTTTTCACTGTCTATAGTCAAAAGTCATACAGAAGTTACATGTTATTCAAGACCTGATAATTAATTATTTTATCAAACAGCAGAATAAAGTAAAATACATAGCATTCCCTAGGTAATACTAGAGGTGAATATAGAAAAGGCAGAATCTAAACTCAGAGCATTCATTTCTACCTTTTCTGAAACTTAAAATCTGTAATTCTTAATTTTGCACTAACAATATCACCTACACTGAAAGCAGTTATGACTCAACAAAAATTGTATTTAAAATGTGAATATTTGACAGTTTTACCTAAACTGTGACCAGCAACAGAGACACCTCCTTTGAAGTCTGGGTTCCGACTCATAAAGAGTGCATGCAGATGGTTTATCTCCATTCCTACTTTTTCCACAATTGTCTGACAGTAGGTGGGGCTGTTATAAAATAAAATATCTAGCAAAGTTTCATTGGTAAAGTGACGAAATCGACCAATACTTGGCAAAGTGATTTTCTTAATATTCCTGTTTAAAAAGAAAAATACAGCACATTCAGTCAGCATCTACCTTAAATTTACAGATTTTTTTAAAGTTTAGATTTTTGACTCCTGAAAATACACTAAGAAAACCCCACAGACTATGAGTTGTTTCTGTAGATAGTCATTATAAATAAATCAAGATAGGCCAGATGCGGTGGCTCACACCTGTAATCCCAGCACTTTGGGAGGCTGAAGTGGGTGGATCACTTGAGGTCAGGAGTTCAAGACCAACCAGGCCAACATGGCGAAACCCCGTCTTTACTAAAAATACACAAATTAGCCGAGTGTGGTGGTGTACACCTGTAATCCCAGCTACTCAGGAGGGTGAGGCAGGAGAACTGCTTGAACCTGAAAGGCAGAGGTTGCAGTGAGCTGAGACTGCACCACTGCATTCCAGTCTGGGCGACAGAGCAAGATTCCACCTCAAAAAAAAAAAAAAAAATTTAAATCAAAAGTTAGCCACAAGTCATGGCACACACCTGTACACCCAGCTATTTGGGAGGTTGAGGCATGAGAATCGCTTGAACCCAGGAGGTGGAGGTTGCAGTGAGCCGAGATTGTGCCACCACACTCCAGCCTGGGTGACAGAGCGAGACTCCACATCAAAAAAAAAATTAAAAGTATAAATAAAGGTAAACCAAAAAAATTTGTGCTGCCACATGTGGTGGCTCATGCCTGTGATCCTAGCACTTTGAGAGGCTAGGGCAGGAGGACCGCTTGAGCCCGGGAGATCAAGACCAGCTTGAGCAACACAGTGAGACCCCATCTCTACAGAAAATTTAAAAATTAGCCAGGCATGGCGGCTTGCACCTATAGTCCCAGCTACTTGGGAGACTGAGGTGGGAGGATCACTTGAGCCCAGGAGGCCAAGTCTACAGTGAGCCATGATCATGCCAGCGCACTCCAGAGCCTGGGTGACAGTGAGATGCTGTCTCAAAAACAATTCAGTTTTTTTTTTAAAGTTATTTGTGCCTATAACTATACTATGAATTTTGGGATTCTCTGAAGAGTTAGTTGCTATATAAGTCATATGCAAAGATTTCTATTTTATTTTTAAAGAGGGAAGATTACTCTTCCATTTTTCTTCCAGTTAACTGCAAATCTGGACACCTGACAAAACTTGTGGGTCAAAAGGACTAAAGAGAATATCAAACAGAAAAAACAGGGCTACATGGAATGAAAAATCTTCCCTAATTTGAGAATGACCAAAATGAAGTTTAGGAATACACACAGAGAAAGAAAACACCCTTACAATAGGGCCTAACATAGACAAAACGCTGTTTGTAGAAATAGTTTTATTAAACTATGTACCCTGAAACATTACGGTGTTCACTAAAATCTAGACATGTGCCAGCATAACTATTACCTGTATTTATGATTCTCAATTGGGAGCATTCAAAATTGAGCAGAGTATTTTTAATTGTCACAGTGCCTGGTGAGCACTGCTAGTACTGAGTGGCCTTTACACTAAGGAAGTTAAGTGGTCTGCACTGCGACAGCAAAGAATTGTCCTGACAAGAGCATCTCCACTGAGAAACAATATTCTGAATCTGTGGTTCTCAGCCAGGGGTGATTTTTACCCTCCAGGGGACATCTGGCAATTTCTGGAGACATTTTTGTTGGGGTGGAAAGCCCATTAGGCATCCTACTACATAAAGGACAGCCCCCTGTCTAAACTGCTACAGATTAAAATTGTATTTTAAAACCAGCTAAAATTTCTTAAGATTCTCTTAAATATTTACAAAAGGAATGCACACACACAGAGAGAAAAGTAGTGTGTAAACTTTACAGCCAATATTTAATTATATGTCAGAAGTATACAATTTTTAAAAACATATTGATTGAAGCTACAATAAACTATTTCATATTACGGTTTAAATCTTAAATTTAAATATGACTAATCTGAAAAACAAGTTATCAAAATCCACAAACCTGTCCACACCTGTGGCGTCCCCACCCAAAGAACTATGCCAATGAACTGGAAGGAACTCCACTCTGCTTACTTTCCCGTCATCTAAAGATTTCTTGAAATGTGTCCGCAGCAATTTGAGAGAAACCACCCTAAAATCATCCACTTCAAAAGAAAAAAAAAAAAGAGAAAATAAATTAAATTCTCCTAGCTTGATAGCTAGTCAGCAGTTACCTCAAATATGCCAGTATTTTTAATAACATAAAGATACATTTTTTAAAGAAAAAAATGAGGATAAGAGAATTAGTAAAATTTTTTAAAAAGAAAGGAATAAGTAACTTTTGGGAACCTCTTTTAAACTTTCCATTATTGCAAAGGAATAGATGCTTGGGATATATCAGTTTAACCACCACTGCTGGGAGGTAGCGTGGCACCTTGGGGAAAGGCTCTGGAATCACACTGCCGGCTCCAGGCTCCAGGCCCTACTGACTGTGATAAGGGAGAGTTTCACTTACCCCCAACCCCTACCTTACCTCTTCACCCCCAACCCCCACTATCCCAGGCCTCAGTTCCTCATTAGTCACAGTAGTGGCGATAACAGTGACAGCGCCTATACCCCAAAGGTTTATTTGTGAGGGTCAAATGACAAGGCATCTAAGATACTTGGCATATACCAAATATTCAATAAATACGAACTATTATTACATGGACATAAAAATAAAACTTCAAAAATTTAAGTCAACCAGGCAGATTCATGTTTCCATTAAACAACTTCTCCCAACTCACTGACTATAAATCCATTCAATGCAGAGGTGCTCCTAGCTGCTGCAGGTGCTCAGGCAAAGGCTGTCAACAAGGCTAAACTACTTCCAAGATCCCTTCTAATTCCTCACAGTCTGGGATTGTATGCGTCACATATGTCACAAGAGCAAATCAAGTACAACTTAGTATTTCCCACTGACCATTTAAATTTCCTCTTACAGACTCCTCAGCAAGTAGTACACAGCTGGGAACTATCCTAAAAATGAATACTCCAAAGCTCTTCTATTAGTTCTCAGATCATCCCATGAAATACAATATACCCAACACTTACCACACTCAATAATGCTCCTAAAGCGTAAGTCACACACAGGTCCAATGCCATGCACCACAAACACCAAATGGTCAACTTGAGGCATCTCCCCTATCAAAAAAAATTTTTAAACCTACATAAAAGATGGGAATTTGTTTGGATTTTCCTAATGGCAATATTCTAGATATCCCTTTCGTCATCACAAACTTGCCAAAGAAATTCATGACCCTTCAAAGAGAATAAGCCTCATTACCCCTATCAAATTAGAGGAACAATTTGTCCCTCTTGGCATATAAAAGCGAACTAGAACAAGAGGTGGAGGCAGCAGGCTCTCTCTGTTCCTGGAAGCTAATAGCACATGATGAGCAGCAGGTTTGTATCTATGGAGGCTCCACAACCTTGTGATGCTTCAGAACTCCCCAGGACACTAAGCCCCAGTGGAGATTACTCAGATTTCATCGTGTGAGTATTTATTTTACAAGAAACATACATTTTATTGAAACATTTTACATACACTTCAATAAACATGAAGTGTATGTAATTGTAAAAATAAAATCCATTCTTAAGTAATAGTACAGAAGAAACCAAAGCACATACACCAAAGCAGGCAATGGCAAACAATGGCCCACAGGCCAAATCCTACCCACATCCTACCTGTTGTTTTGTTTTGTTTTGTTTTGGAGATGGAGTTTCACTCTTGTCGCCCGGGATAGAGTGCAATGGCGCCATCTCGGCTCACTGCAACCTCCGCCTCCCGGGTTCAAGCAATTCTCTTGCTTCAGCTTCCTGAGTAGCTGGGATTACAGGCACCCACCACCACGCCCAGTTAATTTTTATATATGTATTTTTTTAGTAGAGACAGGGTTTCACCAAGTTGGCCAGGCTGGTCTCGAACTCCTGACCTCAGGTGATCCACTTGCCTCGGCCTCCCAAAATGCTGGGATTACAGGCGTGAGCCACCAGGCCCAGCCACCTGCTTTTATAAATAAAGTTTTTGACGAAGGGGAAACCATTCAAGGAAAAACATAAAAATAACATAAAGTTTTGTGGGCCGGGTGTGGTGGCTCACGCCTGTAATTCCAGAACTTTAGGAGGCCGAGGCACGTGGATCACTTGATGTCAGGAGTTCAAAACCAGCCTGGCCAACATGGCAAAACGCTGTCTCCACTAAAAATACAAAAATTAGCCGGGCGTGGTGGTGGGCGCCTGTAATCCCAGCTACTCGGGAGGCTGAGACACAAGAATTGCTTGAACCCAGCGGGTGCAGGTTGCAGTGAGCCCCAGATCACGCCACTGCACTCTAGCCTGGGCAACAGAGTGAGACTCCATTCAAAAAAAAAAAAAGCTTTATGGAAAACGGATATGCTCATTTGTTTACATACAGTCTTCAGCTGATTTCACACAACAATAGCAAAGCTGAGTAGTTTGTAACAGAGTCCATGTGGCCTGCAAAGCCTATCTGCTATCTGGCCCTTTACAGAAAAAGTCTGCAATCCCCGCACCAGAGGAATACAAACCAGTGAGGTGTAAAACCACAAGCCTAAAAGTGTTGCCAAACCTTAGTTCCAACCAGCAAAGTGCTTCTCCACACAACAAAACATATTTTAGAATCTATACTATGTGGTATGTGTATTTTAACAGAATTCCAAATTTAAAGATAAAGATATCTGTATGTCCTCACTCATATGTAGGAACTAAAGAAGTTTATCTCATGGAGGTAAGGGCAGAATGATGGCTACCAGAGCCTGGGAAGGGTCGGGGGGAAGTGAAGATAAAAAGGGGTCAATTAATGGGTACAAACATACAGGTATGTTGAAGGAATAACTTCTACTGTTCGATAGCACAGTAGGGTGACAACAGTTAACAATAATTTATTGTGTATTTCAAAATACCTAGGAGAGGTAGGGTGCGGTGGCTCACACCTATAATCCCAGCACTTTGGGAGGCTGAGGCAGGTGGATGACTTGAGGCCAGGAGTTTGAGACCAGCCTGGCCAACGTGGTGAAACCACATCTCTACTAAAAATACAAAAATTAGCCGGGCGTGGTGGTGCACGCCTGTAATCCCAGCTACTCGGGAGGCTGAGGCAAGAGAATCGCATGAACCTGGGAGGCGGAGGTTGTAATGAGCTGAGATCACGCCACTGTACTCCAGCCTGGCCAACAGAGTGAGACCCTGTCTGAAAAAAAAAAAAAAAAGAAAAAGAAAAAGAAAAATACCTAGGAGAAAAGATCTGAAATGTTCCCAACACAAAGAAATGATGAATGTTTGAGGTGATAGACATAATACTTACTTCAATTTCATCATTACACATTCTATGCATTTATCAAAATATCAGGTGTACCCCATTAATATGTATCAATTAAAAAATAAAGATACAAAAGTAATAAAATCAAAAAGAAAGATATGGCCAGGCACAGTGGCTCACGCCTGTAATTCCAGCACTCTGGGAGGCCGAGGCAGGCAAATAGCTTGAGCTCAGGAGTTCGAGAAAAGTCTGGGCAACATGGCAAAACTTCATCTCTACAAAAAATAGAAATATTAGCTGGGAGTGGTGGTGCAATGGCTGCTGTGGCAGGGCATTCTAATAACTGTTTATTTCTTCATCATTCTAAAGAATGATGCTAAAATGGAGAGGACTAAAACAGACCTCAGTTCTAAACAAACTATACACACCGTCGGGAATTTCATCAAGGTTATCATCAATTCCACGCTTTACAACCCTGGGCCTTGTCTGTCCATCTTGCGTGGTGCCCCATTCATCTGGCACTGAGGAGGGCTGGAACTGAACAATAACCTTCAAGATGCAACAGAATTATGACAAAGCTCATTAACAAATTCTTTTCCACTACAGGCTAAGTAGTTTAACACATAATAAGCTATACCTCAGAGTACGGAGAGTTTATAAATTATTAGTACTGTTCCCCCAAAACAAACTTTGAAGGAGTCTTGCTAGTGTTCATTAACCACCAAAATTAAGCAAATCGATACCTTTCCAATGCTTATGTTGAAAATTATACAATTAAATCAGAAGTATTACACCTTGATTTAAAAGCTAATAACATAGGCCAGGTATGGTGGCTCACACCTGTAATCCCAGCACTTTGGGAGGCTGAGGTGGGAGGATCACTTGAGCCCAGGCGTTCAAGACAAGCCTGAGCAATATGGTGAGACCCATCTCCACAGAAAACTTAAAAATTAGCCAGGCATGGTAGTGCATGCCTGCAGAACCAGCTTCTCAGGAGGCCGAGGCAGAAGGATTGCTTGAGCCCAAGAGGTCGAGGCTGCAATAAGCTGTGTTTGTGCTACTGCACTTCAGCCTGGGCAACAGAGCAAAATCCTGTCTCAAAAAAAAACTAAACAAAAATAAAAGCTAACATAAAACTCCAGGTTTACACAAAAGAAATCAAGGACAGGCCCGGTGCAGTGGCTCATGCCTGTAATCCTAACACTTTGAGAGGCCAACATGGGAGGACCGCTTGAGCTCAGGAGTTCCAGAGCAGCCTGGGCAACAAAGTTAGAGACCCTGTCTCTACAAAAAAAAAATAATAATAATAAAATAAAAACAAAAAAAGAAATCAAGGACAAGTAACCTGCAATTGAAGAGTCTTTGTCTTATAAAAACAAGTAAAGCAAAATCCTTTCAAAATAGTAAGATTCCCAATTAAACTACAATTTCAATTTCAGTGACAAAAACATAATGACAAAACCCTACCACTTTTTAGGAAATCCATTCTGTTAAACCAACTGTATTAAATTCAGCCCTGTACCACAAAGAAAATTTTCTTTAAAAAAAAAAAAAAGAATATATACTTGATGTAGTATGCAAAATGTTTATCTAAAAAAAAAAAAGGTTAGCCAAGCGTGTTGGCTCACACCTGTAATCTCAGCACTTTGGGAGGCCGAGGCAGGAGGAAGACTTGAGCCCAAGAGTTCAAGACCAGCCTGGGCAAGATAGCAAGACCCCATCTCTGCAAAAAAAAGTCTTAAAACTGGCCAGGCAAGGTGGCGCACACCTGTAGTCCTAGCTACTCGGGAGGCTGAGGCAGGAGGATCCCTTGAGCCCAGAGTTCGAGGATGCAGCGAGTTGTGATTGGCCACTGCACTACAGCCTGGGTAAGGGAGTGAGACCTTATTTCTTAAAAAAACAAACAAAAAGATTAAGAGTGGTTACTATGGAGAGGAGAAATGAGGAAGGCAGAGATAGGAGGCTTTTATTTTTCATTTAATATCCTTTTAAACTGTTTACATTTTGTTGGCATATGAATGTTATTTTTATTTCAGTATCAATAAGGACTATAGAAGTAGTTGGATTATAAGTTTTTTATATACTTTTCTATAAAAACAAATGAATAAATAAAAAGCCTATGTTCTCAGAAACTACTGTGTGCTAAGCCCCATGCTAGATGCTTTTGCATAAATTACCTTACTTCATCTAAAATATGACCCTGGGAGATCATTATTGCAGGTGAGGAACTTGGAGCTCTGAGAAATTAAGGTTGGCAAATGATAGAATCAGAATACCAGCAATCAATATTTTTTTAAAAACAAGATAAACTCATAGAGACGATAAAAATAAAAAGAAAAAGGACACATTTTTACTTGAAAGGTTAGAGCAAACCACATCAAGGGCAGACAGGCATACTACAGCCCACAGAAAAATCTGGCCATCTGTTTTTATAAATAAAGATTCATTGAAAATATCATACCCATTGGTTTACACATTGTCTCTGGCTGCTTTCACACCACGGTGGCAGAGCTGGTGGCTTCAACAGGGAACATGTAACTTGCAAAGCCTTAAATATTTTGTCTCTGGCCCTTTATAGAAAAAGCTTGCCAACTTCTGATCAAGTGAAAAAAATTATCAAGCAACTTCTACATTGCATACTAAACTCCAGTTATCATGTTGCCATAAACAGAAACTTCATAAGAAATACTTATTTTATTTATTTATTTAGACAGAGTCTTGCTGTGTCACCCAGGCTGGAGTGAGCGTGATCACAGCTCACTACAATCTCAAACTCTTGGGCTCAAGTGATCCTCTATCTCAGCCTCCCGAGTAGCTAGACAGGTGCACACCACTATGCTCAGCTAATTTTTTTAATTTTTGTAGAGACAGAGTCTCTTTGTTTCCCAGGCTGGTCTCAAACTCCTAGCCTAAAGCAATCTTCCCACTTTGGCTTCCCAAAGCGCTGGGATTACAGGTGTGAGCCACCACACCCAGCCTGAGAAAAATTTACTTTTTATTTTGAGACGAGGTCTTGCTCTGTCACCCAGGCTACTAGAGTGCAGCGGGGAGCAATCCTGACTCACTGCAGCCTCAACCTCTCGGGCTCAAGTAATCCTCCCACCTCAGCCTCTTGAGTAGCTGGGACTACAGGCATGTGCCACTACACCCAGCTAATTTTTCTATTTTTTATAGAGACAGGGTTCTGCTGTCCCCCTGGCTCAAGCATTCCACCTGTCTCAGCCTCTCACAGGTGTGCACCTCGCCCTACGAAAAATTTGTGTTTTTGTTTCTATGATCAGTGTGAATCATAGAAATAATATCTGTATTATCCACTATAATAATAAAGTATTTTAAAAGCAATGCACTTGTTACAAAAACATTCCCACTGTAGAAGTTACTAAAAATGAACAATTTATCAAACATACACAGAAAAATATTAAAATGAACTTAATACCTTAAAATTTTGAACACCATCATTACCTTTGGATTGTGCATAACAATTGTCTCTCCACTTGGAAACTCTAATCTTCGGTGCCACTGATTAGTGGTTACAGCTTTTTTATATTCAGCCTATAATGGGGGAAACAACATATATTCCAACATGACAAATTTATACCACATGGAGAGAAAGTATGGAGGAAAACGGTCACTATAATGGTGATAAAAATAACAGTAATAGCAGTTCTCATTTCCTGACTGGTTAACATATTTTTTATCACCTTACACATACCATTGAAGTAATTACTCTCAATCACGCCTAAGTAACAGGATCCCCATTATATAATGAAGAAAACCAAGTTTTAGATGGTCTGTTCATTTCCTAGGGCTGCATTAACAAAGTATCACAAACAGAGTGACTTAGAAAAAAAATGTATCATCCCATAGTTCTGGAGGCTCCAAGTAGAAAATTAGGTGCCAGGAAGGCAGGCCACCGTTCCTCTGAAAGCTATAAAGAAATCCTCCTTCCCTCTTCCTAGCTTCTGGTGGTGGCTGGCAATCTCTGGCTTTCCTTGGCTTGCAGTGTAACTCCAGCCTTTGCCTCCATCATCATATGGGATTCTTTCTGTGTGTCTGTCTTCACATCACAAGTTATATTGGCTTTGGGGCCCATCCTATTCCAGTAAAACCTCACCTTAACTAATTACATCTGCAATGACCCTATTTCCAAATAAGGTCACATTCTGAGACACTGGGGATTAGTAATTCAACATATTTGGGGGATGGGGAGACACAATTCAACCCATAATAGACATTTTAAGTACTGTATACAGTTGCACAAGATGACACAACTGGGAAGCAGCAATGGGAGAACTGTAGTTCATTGCCACCCAGGACTGACTTTTTCTTTTTTTTCATGTGGGCTGGAGTAATATCACCCAGGACTTTCTGACTCCAAAATCTTCACTGTCCAACCATCTTCTTACTCTTCCTCCAGATATAGTCTTTCTTTGGTTTCTGCAGGGCACTGGATCCAAGACCCCTCAAAGATACCAAAATCCCTGGTGTTCAAGTCCTTTATATAAAATAGCATTATTTTTGCATAAAACCTACATACATCCTCCCTTATACTTTAAATCTTCTCTAGATTACTTATAATACCTCATGAAATGTAGATGTGATATCAATAGTTAAACTGTAATTTTTATTTTTTATTTTCTTGAGACAGAGTCTTGCTCTGTTGCCCAGTCTGGAGTACAGTGGTGCAATCTCTGCTCACCGCAACCTCCGCCTCCCAGGTTCAGGCGATTCTCCTGCCTCAGCCTCCCGAGTAACTGGCACTACAGGCAATGAGCCACTACATCTGGCTAATTTTTCTATTTTTAGTAGAGACAAGGTATCACCATATTGGCCACGCTGGTCTCGAACTCCTGACCTCAGATGATCCGTCCACCTCAGCCTCCCAAAGTGCTGGGATTACAGGCGTGAGCTACGGTGCCCAGCCTGTGTTATTTTTATTGTTGTGGTTTTCTAAATATTTTCAGAGTATTTGGTTGAATCTGCAGATACGGAACCTGTGGATACGGAGGGCCGATCGTACTATTCTAGTTTCTATAAAGAACAAGCGTGAGGACCTCTTGGGGAGAGATTCAACACAAAGTAAGAGGGAGCCTCTGGCATATCCACAAGTCCTTTTTTTTGTTCATTTATTTTTTTAATTGACAAGTAAAAATTGTTACAAAGTCTTTTTTTTAAAACTAGTAACAGTGAGTATTTGACAATCACGTGAAAATAGAAGTATTTCCTTCTGTTTCTTGGACAATCATTGAGTAACAGTAACAATTCCTCTTCATCAGTCTTCCGTACTTTTTTTTTTTGAGATGGAGTCTCACTCTGTCACCCAGGTTGGAGTGCAATGGCGTGATCTCAGCTCACCGCAACCTCCGCCTCCCAGGTTCAAGAGATACTCCTGCCTCAGCCTCCTGAGTAGCTGGGATTACAGGCGTGCATAACCATACCTGGCTAATTTTGTATTTTTAGTAGAGACAGGGTTTTACCACGTTGGCCAGACTGGTCTCGAAATCCTAATCTCAAGCAATCAGCCCGCCTCGGCCTCCAAAGTGCTGGGATTACAGGCGTGAGTCACCATGCCCAGCCTAGTCTTTTGTACTTCTGACCCTCCTCTTCGATTTAAAAAAAAAAAAAACTTCAAATATAATTCATAATTTCTAAAAGCAAGGCCACAAACAACAAGGATTAAAGAAAGAAAACTTTCACCACCTTAAAAATTATTTTCAGGCCACGTGTGGTGGCTCACGCATGTAATCCTAGCACTCTGGGAGGCCGAGGTGGGTGGACCACCTGAGGTCAGGAATTCGAGACCATCCTGGCCAACATGGTGAAACCCTGTCTCTACTAAAAATACAAAAATTAGCTGGGCATGGTGACAGGCGCCTGTAATCCCAGCAACTCGGAAGGCTGAGGCAGGAGAATCGCTTGAACCCAGGAGGCTGAGGTTACAGTGAGCTGAAATCACGCCACTGCACTCCACCCTGGGGGACAGTGAGATCCTGTTTAAAAAATAAATAAATAAATTATTTTCACTTCTTCATATTCCCTTTCAATCCACAGCTTTATAGTAAGTATTATCTGGTAAAGATTTCACATTTCATTGTCGAAATGGTCTTGGTTATCCTTGACATTTTGATCTTCCACAAAAAATTTAGAAGCAGCTTGCAAATTTTACCAAAAAAAAAAAAAAACCCTGATGTGAATTTTGATTGGGATTGCCTAAAATTTATCTGATAATTTGGGAAGAATTGACATCTTTTATGATAGTGCCTACATGAACATAATGTTTAGCTCCGTTTCTTTTTTTTTTTTTTTTTTCTGAGACAAGGTCTTGCTCTGTTGCCCAGGCTAAAGTGCTGTGACACGATCACAGTTCACTGCAGCCTCAAGATCCCAGGCTCAAGCAATCCTACTGCCTCTGCCTCCTGAGTAGCTAAGACCACAGGCATGGGCCACCATGCCCAGCTAATTTTTTTGTGTGTATTTTTTGTAGAGACGGGGTTTTTCCATGTTGTCCAGGCTGGTCTGGAACTCCTGAGCTGAAGCAACCCACCCACCTTGGCCTCCCAGAGTGCTGGGATTACAGGCAGGAGCCACCACGCCCAGCCTAGCTCCATTTCTTGAGGTCACCTTTTACGTTCTTCAGTGTTCCATAAAGTTTACCGGTACTTTTCTTGGGCTTTTTTCCTACATTGCCTGTAGTTTTATAAATATATAGTCTCTCTGTTATAAATACATAGTATCTTCTTTTTCTATTTTTAATTGGTTATTTCTATGGCACAGGAATGTTACTAATTTACGTATGTTAATTTTATATACACGGACTTGCAAAAAAACTCTTGTATTGGTGCTAATATTTCTAGAGGTTCTCCTGATTTTCCACGTAGACAATAATCATGTCTTCATCAAATTAAAGGTGTTCTCTGTCTCCAACCCTTCCGTTGTTTTGTCTTAGTGCTCTGACAGAAGAGGATCACCAACAGGATGCTGAGCAATACGTATCATTTTGTTCCCTTTCTATTATCGGCTTTCTCACTTCCTAACCTCCTCTGCCTCTTCCCTGATCTGGTTTGAGTTTCCTGGAAGAAGCCGAACAAAAGCTAAGGTCTCCCTAGGTAGCCATGTGTTGCTGCAGTGGTCAGTATGTGGATATCTATCCCGCTTCAAAGTCTATGTCACCCATATAAAATCAAATATAGTTAAGAGAAAGTGTAGACTTTCAGACACTGCTTGGACTTGAAAATATATACTTCAGCTTCAAAATAGTAAAACTAAACATTTAATCTGGGGACATGATAGCTTCGTAGGGGCCTACCAAAAAGGTACCAAAAATTACAATATATCTTTATTTGTTTATTTATATCTAAAATTAAGCTATAGATATCAGCATTCCTTTACACTTTTTTCTTTATATATATACACACACACATATATGCACATATACAAATATATACTTTTTTTTTTTCTGAGGAAGGGTCTCATTCCCATTGCCCAGGCTGGAGTGCAGTGGCATGATCTCAGCTCCCTGCAGCCTCAACTTCCCTGGCACAGGTGATCCTTCCTCTTCAGCCTCCCGAGTAGCTCGGACTACTAGCGTGTGCCACCACGCCTGGCTAGTTTTTGTATTTTTAGTAGAGACATGGTTTCGCCATGTTGGTCAGGCTGGTCTCAAAACTCCTGGCCTCAAGTGATCTGCTCACCTAGGCCTCCCATAGTGCTGGGATTATAGGCACGAGCCACCACACCCAGCCAGAAGTTAACTAAAATGTTCTGTATCTCATTTCCTATCTATGCAACTGAATTCACTGAACGTATTTCAAATATCTAACATTCAACTCTTAAGTAGAATTAACACAAGCATTTAACACAATTATATAAAACAACATATAATTTCTTGAAGAAATTATAGATTTAAGATGGCTAATAAGACTCAAGACACTTCTTCCAATTCTATTTATTTATTTTCACAAATCAGAGGTTAATTTCAAGCCTTTTACTGAATACTAATTTGAAAATGTCCATATGCTTGGCATCTTCTATCAACAACAAATCCCAGCGGCCTAGGTTCTATTGAAGGCTTGACACAAGCACCTTATTAGATCTGTGATGTGTCTCTGCAAATCATATTCTATCTTTAGACACAGATGCCACGATTAGCACCTCATGAGTGATGACACCACTTAAAAAGTAATCTTCTCTGTGAACAGCATCAAAACAAGCTGTCTTGTAAGTAAAGTCCGCTCCACTGTGAATGATGTTACTCACCAATGTATATAGGACCTACATTTTTTAAAGAAACTCATAAAGAAATAAAGCACCCGTACCTCTAGTTTTTCACTGAACTCCTCAGTATAGGGAATAAATCGACTATCTGTGTCCCCCTTGTAAAACCAAGTACAGCGTCTCACTTCGGCTGGCTCCTCTTCCCAGTAGGCAGCCTTCCTTATTCGGTCATAGAGGTAAACATCGTAGCGCCCTCCATCCGTGCCAAGAACCACGCTCTCCGGATCTGGCTGAACTAGAGAACAAAATTAACACTTTTCCTAACTGCTGCAAGGCATATTGTAAAATAATAAATAATCTGCTGGGCGCAGTGGCTCATGCCTGTAATCCCAGCACCCTGGGAGGCCGAGAGAGGTGGATCACTTGCGGTCAGGAGTTTGAGACCAGCCTGGCCAATGGTGAAACCTCCCTGTCTACTAAAAATACAACAATTAGCCAGGCGTGGTGGCACACGCCTATAATCCCAGCTACTTGGGAGGCTGAGGCATAGTAGTTTGAACCCAAGAAGCAGAGGTTGCAGTGAGTCCAGATTGCGCTACTGCTCTCCAGCCTGGGCAGCAGAGTGAGACTCTGTCTCAAGAAAATAAAAATGAAATAATAAATAATGAATACGGTGACTACTCAATCTTTAAAGACAAAAAACTAGGCTCATTTTTATTTCAAAATAGAAGTTTAAGATTAATCTGTGCTGCTCAAAATTATGACTCTTAAGTAGAAAAGAAACAGCTAGGGCAAACTTTAAAAACATAATTCAAAGAACTGATGGATTTTTTTTATCAGAACAATAATATCTACATACAATAATACAGTGATATAATAATATATCAGGATAAACAAAGAAACACATTTCTACACTGCAGGACTTCTCAAAGCATTAATGTACTCCTGCACACCATCTCTCTCAAGACCTAGATACAGAGAGCAGCATTTCCAAAACTCATCTGACCAGGGAACCCTTTTTTCACAGAGCATCTCCAGGATAGAGAGTTCCACAGAATGCCCTTTATAAATGCCCCCATAACTACAAATGAACAAGGGAAACAGAAAAATTGAAACCTGGATTATATGAACTGCTCAACTTCTCTGATTCAAAATACCTTTAAACTACGAAGTAAATTACTAAAACATTTCTTCAAATACCTTACCCAGGTAACTCAGGACTTATACTAATATCGTCACCTTAAGGTACAGAGTCTGGGGTCTATAAGGATTAAGGTATTTGACATTCACAGAAAATAGATCATGAATAAATGATCTCATTCCTTCTCTTCCTAAAATCAGATATGAATGATGTATGACCAATGTTTACCTGAATTATAGATTTCTTCAAGATTCAAAGAGTCGAACACACTAAAAGGCATCCACAGTTGTTTGTATTCTACCTCCTTGCAGTAAAACCAGTGGGGCTGAACAGGCTCATATTGGTTTTGAAGTAGAAAAGGAGATGGCACTTGAACAGAGGGAGCCCCAGGTCTGGCAGGTACCTGCTGCTGTGCCGGTGACTGCACTGAAGAAGGAACCTGGAGGGGACGGCAAAGTTAAGACTGTCATGCTTGTCCAAAAGAATTCTGAATATGCTTCACACCCAAACTGATGTTAGTAGATTATCCTACATGTATATCTGGACAATTACTTAGTGTAATAACTAGACCCCAAAGCAATTTTAAGAAGAATTTTTAAACCTAACAAAACCCCAAATCAAGGATAAATGCTTGAGGTGAGGGATATCTATACCCCATTTATCCTGATGTGATGATTACACATTGCATGCCTGTATCAAAATATCTCATGTAACCCATAAACATATATACCTACTATGTACCCACAAAAATTAAAAATTAAAAAATTTAGAAAAAAATCAATTACAAGGTGAACCAGACCTTCTCACAGAACACAAAGTAAACTAACACCTTTACAGAAATCAATCTAGCAATACATCTCCCATGATTTATTTAACCTTTTTTGTGTGTGTGAGGCGGAGTTTGCTCTTCTTGCCCAGCCTGGAGTGCAACGGCGCAATGCACAGCCTCCGTCTCCCGAGTTCAAGCGATTCTCCTGCCTCAGCCTCCCAAGTAGCTGGGATTACAGGCATGCGCCACCACACTCAGCTAATTTTGTATTTTTAGTAGAGACAGGGTTTCTCCAGGTTGGTCAGGCTGGTTGCGAACTCCCAACCTCAAGTGACCAGCCCGCCTTGACCTCTCAAAGTGTTGGGATTACAGGTGTGAGCCACCACACCCGGCCTATTTAACCTTTAAAATGTGCCTACTCCTTGACCTACTCATTCCATTTCTAAAAATTTATCCTAAAGATAGAATTATAAAAACAAATAGCCCAGGTGCAGTGGCTCACACCTGTAATCCTGCCACTTTGGGAGGCTGAGGTGGGTGGATCACCTAAGGTCAGGAGTTCGAGACAAGCCGGGCCAACATGGTGAAACCCTGTCTCCACTAAAAATACAAAAATTAGCTGGGCGTGGTGGCACAGGCCTGCAATCCCAGCTACTTGGGAGGCTGAGGCAGGAGAATCGCTTGAACCCGGGAGGCGGAGGTTGCAGTGAGCTGAGACTGCACCACTGCACTCCAGCCTGAGTGACAGAGACTCTGTCTCAAACAATAAATAAAAAATAAAAATAAAAAGTTATCCCCAAGGATATACATCAAAAGGTTATTTAAAATAGGAAATTGGTGTGTACAACTGTCAAAACTCAGCTAATTGTACACTTTAAATAAATCGAATTGTATACTGTAAATGGATGCCTTTTACTGTATGTAAATTATACCTCAATAATGTTGATTATAAAATCATAGCTAATAAATTTGGAATGTTTGCAAAAAAATAAATAAAATAGGAAATCACTGGAAATAATCAAAATGTCTAACAGAAACCTGATTAAATAATATTTAACTCAAATGCTAGATCCTCCAGCGCCATTAAAAATGTCTTATATCCTTTCTGCAGGAGATAGCTAAAAAAAAAAATAAGTAAATAAACAAAAATAAAAGTTTTAGAGGATAGACACGATGGTTCACACCTATAATCCCAGAACTTTGGGAGGCCAAGGAAGGAGGATCATTTGAGGCCAGGAGTTTGAGCCCAACATGAGCAACACAGCAATACCGTTTCTACAAAAAAATCTAAAAATCACACGGACATGGTGGGGCACACTTGTAGTCCCAGCTACTCCTGAGGCTGAAGTGTAGTTCAAGGTTGCAGTGAGCTGTAATCACACCACTGCACTCCACCCTGGATGACAGAGCAAGACCCCCCCCCCACTCTTTAAAAAAAAAAAAAAGAAGAAGAAAAAGAAAAAAATTTTAATGTTTTAGAAAAAATCTTAGTAACATTTAAAGTATGTTCACACAAAAAAAAAATAGATTATAGAAACCATAGGTATTATATGTTTGCCAAAAAAAGACATATAACAAAATGAAAACAGTGGTTATCTATGGACATTTTTTATTAAATTGAGTATTCTGCATTTTTCAAATTTTCTACAAAAACGATTTTAAAATCAGACTAGACTTATTTTAAAATTTTTTAATTAGACACCATTTTGGGACAGGTGTGGTGGCTCACACCTGTAATCCCAGCACTTTGGTAGGCTGAGGCAGGAAGATCACTTGAGGCCCAGGAGTTTGAGACTGCAGGTGAGCTGTGATTGCGCCACTGCATTCCAACCTGGACAACAGAGTGAGACCCAGTCTCAAAAAAATATATAATTTAGCCCATAATCCCAGAACTTTGGGAGGTCAAGGCAGGAGGACTGCTTGAGCCCAGGAGTTTGTGACCAGCCTGGGCAACATAGTGAGACCTCATTTCTACAAAACATAAAAAAAAAATTAGCCAGGTATGGCAGCATGTGCCTGTGGTCCCAGCTACTGGTGAGGCTGAGGTAGGGGGATCACTTGAACCTGAGAATTCGAGGCTACAGTGAGCCGTTACCATGCCACTGCACTCTAGCCTGAGTGACAGAGCAAGACCTGGCCTCAAAAAAAAAAATTTTATATATATATATATACACACACACACACACATACACACACACGTACATATACATACACATATATAATTTCTAAAAAATCATTTTGAAGTATTACATCAACACTCAATTTCCTGAGATTCATAGCTGCACTGTGCACATAAGAAGAATGTCCTTATGCTTAGCAAATGTACACCAGGAATTTAGGAGTAAAGAATCATAATGTATTTTACTGACCTTCAAATATTCCCCCCAAAATTGCATATATACAGAAAGAGAAAAAAACGATGAGGGGAAGGGAGGGAAGAGGGAGGGGCAGGAGGAGAAGCAGGAGGAAGGGGCAGGAGAAAGGGATGGGGGAAGAGGGAGGGCTCACATATGCCAGGGTGTGCACATGCACAAATTAAAAAACAAACGGGATGAAATGTTAATGATAAGTAAACCTGAGTAAAGGATATTAGAGTGCTCTTTGTACTCTTTTTATTTTTGCAACTTTTCTTCAAGTTTGAAATTATCATTTTTTAAACTTTTATCTAAAAACCTTTTTAAAAATTTAAGCAACAAACTACAATTAGTTTGTTATAGTTAGCAAAAATACTAACTATATACCACATGCTATGAATCTGGTTACTTTTCAGAATGCCGAAATCCAACATTGTCAAAAATTTGTGTATTGGTATGATTTAAATGAAATGATAAAACAGAGTCCATTCTCTATCTCTAACAGAGAAGTTAGTTACATTCTGATCACAATACTGCTATCTCCACCACACTGAAATGGGTTCTTAATTCTTTTTAATCATTTCTCTTTTTGTTTAATTCTGTTGATTTTTCTTTGGAAATCAAATAAACAATTAGTTGGGAAAAATGCATAAGGGAATTTCATGAAATTTACCCAATGCATACGTTATTCCACCAACTCTCCCTAGATAGAGTTTGACTGATCTAGATCCAAACTCCATAAAGAAATTACTGAAGTAATCAATTTTAGTCCCTGTAATTGAGTGTTTTGATTGACTAGTGTAATTGAAAGATGAGAAACTAGCAGTCTGTTAAGACAATAACCGCTTCAATTCTCCTATGTCTCTAGACAACACTTATTTTTACCGTACTCTAAAATCTGGAAATACTGACACGTAGCTAACTCATTAAAATCAGTTACTGCTTCAATAAACAGGTAATATACACTAAAATATGAGCCATCCAATAAGCTATCTTTAAGACAATGTTTACTTCATGTAGCTTACAAAGAATACCCTCTGAAACTAATTTGTCACCATATTGATTATAAGATGTGAAATGTTTTTTAAAACATAGGTTCAGGTGAGAAAGAAGACACAGAGTGAATAAGTAGGACACAAAATCATGTCTCCATACCGGTGGCAAAGATCCTGGAGGCATCTGGTACATCTGAACAGGGGGTCCAGAAGGTGGAGGATGAGCAGGAGGGCCTGGTGTTTGGCACTGCTGCAGCTGGGGTGGTGCAATGTAAGGATTAGCCCTGCTGCTGCCAGGGGTATGGCGATATGGATTGTATCCTGGTTGGGGAATTCCTTGGGGTTGGTTCCCAAAATATGAAGGAGGGAGACTACTTGGCTGAGAAGGCAGATAAGAATTTATTCCCATCAGTGAGGAAGGTGGAGCACCAGGTTGAGCCTTCGAAATGGATGGTGAAAATGCATTCGAGACATCTTGGGATCCAGTTGTAAAAGGGAGAGCAGTCAGGGGCTTGGGGAATCCTGATTGTCCAACTGAGGTTGCTGCAGTTGTTAATGGTGACTGTCCAATATTCCCAAAAGGATCACTGCTGCTTGATACCTGAGAGAAGTAACTAAATGTCTGTGGGGCAGATGTGTGAATAGAAGTCTGACCAAGGAAGCTGTCCTCCTCACCAACATCTGTGGAATCCTCTGAAATGGAACAGGAGAGCATGTGGTTTAAAGGGTACTCTATCACTCCGCAGATACGATTCTATAAGGAAGGGCTAGCAATTATACTTCCTTATTTGTTCTTCAAACTTGCTATTTCTGCATTACAGAAAAAAACAGTTTTTTCTTTTTTTCTTTGAAAACTTGCTTCTTAGAAATGAAAAACTAGAAAACATGAATAAGAAAACATAAGAGGAAACAATTATAATTCATTCATAAGCCCACCTGCCAGAGACAATCACGCTGTTAACACTGTTAACATTTTGCTACATACCCTTCCATACTTCTAAAATAAATACAAATAGTTATTTATTTTGTAAATATATATTTGTATATGTTTTTAAAAATAGAAACAAAATCTATACTTACTATTTTTATTTATTTTTTTTTTTTTATTTTTTTTTGAGACGGCGTCTCGCTCTGTCGCCCAGGCTGGAGTGCAGTGGCGCAATCTCAGCTCACTGCAAGCTCCGCCTCCCAGGTTCACGCCATTCTCCTGCCTCAGCCTCCCGAGTAGCTGGGATTACAGGCACCCACCACCACACCCAGCTAATTTTTGTATTTTTTTTTTTTAGTAGAGATGAAGTTTCACCATGTTGACCAGGCTGGTCTTGAACTCCTGACCTCAAGTGATCTGCCTGCCTTGGCCTCCCAAAGTGCTGGGATTACGGGCATGAGCCCCCGTGCCCAGCCTTACATATTATTTTTTATCTTTTTTTCTTGGTAAGAAATAATTCAACTGTTACTCGACTACCCAAATACATATATTTTTATTTCTATAGTGATAACAAGAGACTAAAGATAACTCTGTTGACAAGAAGGGGTGTGTCAGGAATCTCACCTACAAAGCACTTATTGTACAAATGAACACGTGGTATTTGTATTCCCAAGTAGGTCAACCATTAATTGCCATTCCCTAAAATCATGCACTATCACAGACTTATCATTACAGAATACCAAATTGCTGAGAAGGTCACTTTCTAACCAAGGGAAGATCTCCCATCCCTTTGCCCAACTTGATGTTCACTGTGGGTATTAACGACTCCAAATAATTTAGCTTCTGTTCTACTACCAAGTTGTAAAATAAAAGCATCTTCCCTGTATATCACCTCAAAAGTCCACGTTACTATTATTCCTTACGAAACTTTTATGTTCCCTAGCTTGTAGCTTTCATATTCCTCCTCCTAATCTTCCCTGCTCCTGCCTCATTCCCTCTTACCTCCTTGCTGGAGGCATGGAATCCATCAGAGGGCTGGACTCACTCACAGCACACAGGCACACTTCGGTCCCTGCCCTTGGAGACCTGCCAACAGGCAGCCTTATTCCAAGCTCCGGGCTCCAAGCTTCTTGACCTCTGCTGAGACTAGGGCTTGAGCTTCTTGAGCTCTCATTATTTACACACATCAGTTTAACTAAAATACTCCACCATTCAAAATACTCCTTTTGGTAGTTTCTTTGTAACTAAAAATAAAATATCCCTTGCTGCACAAGGCCTTGTGTCTACTTGAATCATTCCACTTCTCTGATATATTTCCAGCTCCCACCCCTCTTTTCAGGTCAGTGACCCTCACTTGGACTTATTTGTATTTCTTAGTTCATTCCCAACAATTAAAAGAATGAAAAAAAAAAAAACTCAGTGGTATCTTTCATCCTTTAGAAAAACTTGAGGTCAACCTGGTCCGAGAAACTTTTTTTCTGATTAGCATCAACTACAAATGAAGTGCTCTCCATATACTGCTACCCTCACCTCAGGGGCACTTTCTCATTTCATTTGGACACATGTCATCTAAAGCCACAACTTTAACAGGCACTTGTATATTTGTGACACTCCCAACTCCATCGTAAGCCCAGACCATTCTCGTGTGTTCCAGAACTTGTTTTCCAACTACTTCCTCAATGTTTTTGGCAGATTCAGTCACATATACCTCATGCTTAGTAAGCCTAAAACGGAGTTTATCTTAACTACCCACCTCCATGCTCCCTTTTCTGTATTTCACAATCTCCACAGATGTTTGCCAACATTCATTCAGACATTCAAACCAGAAACCTCAAGTCTGAGACTCCTCCCTCTCTCTCAAACCCTTCATTTAATCATTCAAATATTTATTCAAGAAATATTTACTCAGGATGCATTCTGTGCCAGGTACAGAGCTCAGTCTTGGGTCTAAAACTAAACAAAAATGGGCCTCTGTTCTGACAGACAGAGCTGACACTCTGGTCTTCTGTGAGTCTCTACAACTGTATAGTCCACACATCTCGCACATCTGCTCCCTGCTCCTCACACCCAATGTGGCTGACTCAGGCTAGACTGCCATAGCCACTGCCAGCCTCTCACTATGCCTCCCAACTGAATCCTCTTGCTACAGTCAACCTTATTCCAGTGCGACTAGAGAAAACTCCAGTCTTTCTGAAACACACGTCTAATTTCACTGCCTTGTTGAAAATCCTTCAAAGGCTCCCCAACACCCCACAAGATGAACTACAAACTCCTCCTGAGTATGGCATATGTGGCCCATAGATCACTGAGGCCACTCCACTGCACACACTCTAGTCAAAGTGATCTACTGGGGGCAGAGGACACAGGGGAGAGGAGACAAAGGTGAAGGGACAGGAGAGAGGGATGAGCTCCATCCCTGTCCCATTCCACCAACCACTAACTCCTGCCAAATCTGAAGATTTTTTCACACCTTCAGACTTCACATATGCCTGTCTCTCCAGTTTCCCTCACTTCTATGTATCCTTCAACACTCAGCTCAAGCATCACCTCCCCTAAGAGGCCCTGAAGGCCTAAGGGACATCCATTCCCCGGCTCAGCCAGCCTGATACCCGTAGCATTCATAGCCATCTATCAATCCCTCTTTCTAACTGTTCTAAACCTGTATCACAGTTGCTTACACAGGTGGGTGTGTGTGTATACACACATACTGTGCAGTCATTGAGGGCAGGGCTGTCTGCTCTTCTGTGTCTCCCAGGTTCTGGAACAGTGCCTGGCAAATAGAAACTGCTCAATCCATGTCTGGTTTTTGTTTTTGAGATGGAGTCTCACTCTGTCGCCCAGGGTGGAGTGTGCAGTGACATGACCTCAGCTCACTGCAACCTCCTCCTCAAGCGATTCTCATGCCTCAGCCTCCCGAGTAGCTGGGATTACAGGCGCCCACCACCACATCCAACTAACTTTTGTGTTTTTAGTTGAGATGGGGTTTCACCATGTTGGCCAGGTTGGTCTTGAACTCCTGACCTCAGGTGATCCACCCGCCTCAGCCCCACAAAGTGCTGGGATTACAGGCGTGAGCCACTGTGCCAGGCCTTCCATGTCTGCTGAATGTATGAAATTGCTTCCTGTGTCTCTCTTCCACTTATATGATTAACTGTTGCTTCCAGGGAGACAGGTTCTTCTTTTGTCTCTGGAAATTCTCTGAATGGGTTTCTGAGATTTTTAGAGATGAATTTTAGTTCTAAAATTATTAATATTCACACACACACACACACACACACACACACACACACACACACACAGACTGTCTCCAAGAAACAAAAGCATTAAAGACAGGTGTAGCTATACCAGACTTAACAATGAAAACGTTTAGCATGAATTCACAGTGACACACACAAACCAAACACTACATAGCAAGGAAGACGGACATAACCAAACAACTTTAATGGTGCAGAGGATAATTAGAAAACCCCAAGTATAGCCCTATTTATTCCTGCATCCTCCCACAGCATTCTGCTCCAACCATGCTGGTTCTTCACCAAAGACAGCAACACCTAACCTTTCAACCACAGGTCAAAATGAGACATCATTTTGACTCCCATCCTTTCACTCATTCAACAAACATCTACTGAATAATTGGTCTACTAAATACCACACACCATTCTAGGCAGTGGGAATATAATCGTGAATAAAAGTAAGTTTTTGCTTTCATGGTCTTACATCCTAGTGCAGTGGAATAAACAAATATGTGTACATGTCAGGTAGTGACAAGCATCAAGAAGAAACATAACACATGGGCAGGGGAACCTTCATGTACAGCTGTTCCCAGTGTGCCTGTCTTCGCTTCTCCATGAAACTGTCTTTCATCCTTCAAACAAGAATAAATTATTCACTGGAAACTCAGCATCCAAAGAGGATCTATGTACTAGGCCCTAAATAAGATCCTGGAGATAAAAAGGCAATTAGGTCATAGCTGCTGAAGAAGACTGCAGTCCAAATGGAGAGGCAGGTGTGTTTATTTCACAAACATTAAATCACACTGTCTGGCACGCACTATACTTAGCGCTTTGCAAAAATTAAAGCATTTCTAATTACAATTCTGTGAGGCTACACATACATAGAAACTGAAGCACAGAGAGGTAAAGTAAAATGCCTACAGTCACACAGCAAGTTACTGGCAGGGCAAGGACTGGAATACAGACAGTCTGTGCTCTTAAACACTATGCTCTGGGCAATGCTACATAATCATCAAAAAGCAATCTCCCTGGACAATAATACAAATATGAAAAAAGAGCTAGGAGTGCACATAGGAGTGGGGGCCTAAGAGAACAAGAAACAGCTTCTTGGAAGAAGTGATGTATTGTCTTGAAAGATGAGGAATGGGTGGGGGGTTAAACCTGTAATCCCAGCACTTTGGGAGGCCAGGGCAGGCGGATCACTTGAGGTCAGGAGATTGAGACCATCCTGGCCAACATGGTGGAACCCTGTCTCTACTACAAATACAAAAATTAGCCAGGCATGGTGGCAGACGCCTGTAGTCCCAGCTACTCGGGAGGCTGAGGCAGGAGAATCACTTGAACCTGGAAGGTGGAGGCTGCAGTGAGCCGAGATCGCGCCACTGCATTCCAGCCTGGGCGACAGAGCAAGACTCCGTCTCAAAAAAAAAAAAAAAAAAAAAAAGATAAGGAATGCATTGTATATGTCTACTTCACAAATATTACAGGCTTCTAGAAGAGGGGCACAGTCCATCTTATAAGATATCTTACTGTAACCTAGAAGATATTGTACTGTATCACAACAATCTCCTAGTAGGAGACAGTGTACCGTATCCTAGGAGAGGGGCACAGTCCATCCTAGGAGGTATCTTACCGTATCCTAGGAGTCTCCTAGTGGGAGACAGACTACTGTACCCTAGGAGAGGGCCACTGTTTAATTTATTTGCATTTCCTGCCAGCACCTGGCGTACCAACAACGGGTATTCAGCAAAGATTTGCGGAATGCCAGGGTACGAATGAATGTCCAGCACTCTGGACAACTCGGAACAGGGGGTTTCCGTGAAGAGCAAGTCTCATCACCTGCCACCTCCAAGATCCCAAAGCCCCCGACCCACTCAAACCTGGCCAGTAATGATCCTGGCAAGCTATCCAGAGGGTAGCTCGAGGCAGAAGGAAAAACTCCCGTCTGACCTTTGTCATTGCACGTCCCCCGCCCGCCTCCCACCACACACGGGGCCGCCCTCCCCTTATTACCTCCCGGTAAGAGCAGGGAGGCCGGAGAAGCGGAGGCCTGGGTGACTGGGATGAAGGGCACATTGAAGCTGAACTCCGTGGCCGAGGAGGAGAAAAGTAAGTTAGTGCCCGATGAGGAAGTGGAGGCGCCGCCGCTGCCACCGTTAGGTTTTCTCTCGGCCATGGCTGCGGCCCACCGTCCGATACACGTCTCCGGGTACCCGGTACCACACCACTGACCGGAAACCGATCACGCTCCTGGCCAGCGCACTTCCGCACTTGCGCACAGGAGCCGAAATTACGGGTAGCTAGTCAGCCGCCCTCTCCCTTCCCCTACACGGCGACGCCAGATATCAACATGGCGACACTGTCTTCACGCCCGCGTCTAGCACGTGACACCCTCGGAGGCGGAGGCCGGGCGGGAGGATGGGGACGTGGTCCCCGCAGGTTCTGGATAGACGTGCGAATTGAGACGCAATTGACCCTGAAAGTCACAGGTTGTGGCGGGTATCTATGGGCTTCCTAAAGGTACCGTCAGGATGGCTCTCCTGACAAAGATTTTGGAGGAACAGCGGAATCCTGCTGGACGCTACCGGAAGGAGGAAGGGAGGAAGAGCGTTGTGCGGGAATGGGAATTCGCATGCTAGGCGGAACCAAACACCCTCTCCAAAACCCACTTGTCTTTCTGGATGGAACCGAACATTGTGGTTGACCCAGAAATAGAAGTGGTAAAACATTTTTTAAGTGTTTAATCCATAGGGAGAAAAAAATATTTCGTTTTATTTTTGTTGTTTTTTGTTTTGCATTTGTTTTTTGTTTTTTTGGTTGGTTTTGTTTTTTGTTTTGAGACAAGTCTGCTGTGTCGCCCAGGCTGGAGTGCAGCGGTGCAGTCTGGGCTCATTGCAATCTCCGCCTCCCGGGTTCAAGCGATTCTCCTGCCTCAGCCTCCGAGTAGCTGGGACTACAGGCGTCCGCCACCACGCCTGGCTAATTTTTTGTATTTTTAGTAAAGACGAGGTTTCACCGGGTTGGCCAGGATGGTCTCAATCTCCTGACCTCGTGATCTGCCCGCCTTGGCCTCCCAAACTGCTGGGATTATAGGCATGAACCACCACGCCTGGCCAAAAAAAATATTTAAAAGAGAAATCAAACCAGACGCCATGGCGCAGGCCTGCAATCCCAGCACTTTGTGAGGCAGAGCGGGAGGATAGCTTGAGCCCAGAAGGTTGAGACCAACCTGGCCAACATGGTGAAACCCCGTCTCTACTAAAAATACAAAAATTAGCCGGGCTTGGTGGCATAGCACCTATATTGCCAGCTACTCAGGAGGCTGAGGCGGGAATATTGCTTGAGGCCAAATTAACCCTGATCTTGCCACTCACTGTGCAGCGAGACCCTGTCTCCTTAAAAAAAAAAAAAAGAAAAAAAAAGAAACCAGGGCATTGAAATTAGAGATCTGACATTTTAGATAGCTTTCTATATCCACAGTAAGCTGACTTACTTCAATCCAGGAGGTACTGTGGATAACTTGGACATAATTGTCATCTTTCATAGTTAGAGATTTTGAAGGAAAATATAACTTAAGCCATATTTCAGCTTCTTGGAGGTTGGGAGAGGAGATACCAAAAGAACGCTCAAAATAATGAAACTCTGCTCAGCTGTTTACACATATATAGAACCTAAGTTTATTAATTCAATAACGATTTCATGTGCTTACTGTCAAGAAAAATTTTTTAAGTGGGACACTCGTTAAAGCAGTAAATTAGATTTTATTTAATGAAAACTATTGCTAGGGAATTGGGTCCAGCATGAACTGAACACAACTTTGCTGAAACAAAAATTTGGAGGCTTTTTAGAGGCTGTGGTGTGCTAAGGGAAAGGTGCTGAGGAGTGTGAAGGGTTGGTTCGTCCTGCAACTAGGCCATCTGGGTGTGTTAATCCATGCTTATCCAGAGGAGACATAATTTTTCTGTCTTCATGACAAGCAGTGGTGTAAGAGAGCAAGGTAGCCACAGGGACTGGGAATGAGAATGAGAACCACCTCCTTGAAGGCTTGCAATTCAAGAGACAAACCCCCAGGTCCTTGAGAAGACAGTTCTCAGTGGTCATGTGTCCGGAGTTGGTTCCTTCCGGTGGGTTCTTGGCCTCACTGACTTCAAGAATGAAGCCGCGGACCTTTGTGGTGAGTGTTACAGCTCTTCAAGGTGGCACAGACCCAGAGTGAGCAGCAGCAAGATTTATTGTGAAGAGCGAAAGAACAAAGCTTCCGTAGCGTGGAAGGGGACCTGACTGGGTTGCTGCTGCTGGCTCGGGTGGCCAGCTTTTATTTATTTATTTGTCACTGCCCTCATCCTGCTGCTTGGTCCATTTTACAGAGCGCTGATTGGTCCATTGTAAAGAATGCTGATTGGTGCATTTACAATCCTTTAGCTAGACACAGAGTGTTGATTGGTGCATTTTTACAGAGTGCTGATTGGTGCATTTACAATCTTCTAGCTAGACACAGAGCACTGATTGGTGTGTTTTTACAGAGTGCTGATTGGTGCATTTACAGTCCTTCAGCTAGACACAGAGCACTGATTGGTGCATTTACAATCCTCTAGCTAGACAGAAAAGTTCTCCAAGTCCCTACTCAACCCAGGAAGTCTAGCTGGCTTCACCTCTCAATCCCCCCTCTAAAGAGGACACCCCAAGAGCTGTTGGGAATTGGGCAATGACCTCTGTAGCTACTTCCTGCTGGATGGGTTGAAGAAGGAGCCCTGCAGTTGTAGTGTCCTCCAGAGGGGAACTCTTTATGCCAGTCAAAGGGCCAGCGGGTTGGTGCAGGGGTCCTCAGTAGAAGTTGTTAGTTGAGCTCATTGGGGTTCCATTTGTAAGACCATCTGTAGCTTGATGGCCTCAATCCTAGAGGAAACAAATTTGACAAGGAGGTTAAAAATACAGGGCCCGAAGGTGAATAATAGCAAGATGGCCATCACAGGACCTAGAAAGGGGAAATGCCATATCGCCCAACTCCAGAGGTTGATATAAGAGTTTGAAAGGCGTTGTCTGATTTCAGAAGCCTTTTCCTGTAAACACCAGGCGGCACCTCATCCTATCCCTGACTGGTTAGTGTAAAAGCAACACTCTTCCCCTAAGAAGGTGCAAAGTCCTCCTTTCTCAGCAGTGAGGAGGTCTAGGCCTCGGTGGTTTTGGAGGGTCACTGCTGCCAAAGAGTCTATTTGGAATTGTAGAATAAGGATAGATTTTGTTATTTCTTGCAAACTGTCTGAGAAATCCTTTGAGAGTGTGTGGTAGTAGGATAATATATGTTACACTGTTAACTTTTAGCAAACTTTACTTTTGTTGAAAACCTTGTAAGTTTGGGATTTCAATTATTCTTTGTATTAATAAGACCTTGTTCAATCCATATTAACTTACAATTGGTATAGATGGCTTCTTCCTGATTCTGTGAGTACTTTAAGGTTTGGCTGAGTACTGATAGCTGGAGCACGTTTGAACAGACCAATTATTAGGCAATTTTCCTAACTCTGCTTCTACAAGAGTTTCCTTATCACTTACTGAATACTCATTGTGTCTTTCTCCCTTAATCGCTGGGGAGGAACCAGCTATAGTCCTGTCCTGAAGGGAGTTCCTCCTAGATCTGGTTGGACCTTTGTATGGTAATTAAGATTTAGATCCCCTGTTAGGAAACCTGCTGGGTTAAGGATTTTTGATAGGAAGGCTATGGGTTGTCAGTGGCCTCAGTGCTTTCGGGCTATGCCCTTGTTTACACTGACAACCAGGTGGTGTTGGAGTGTTACAGGGTCATGGAGAAGACCTTCAATTATCAATTATAGGTTTTAAATTTACTCTGGCTTTTAAAGGAATAGGGTACACTGTTTTTTCTTTACTACTTCTCTCCCTTTCTCTCTTTCTTTCTCTTTGACTTTCTGTCTCTTTCTCTCTTTGACTCCTTTTTTGTCTCTGTCTCTTTCTCTCTCTCTCTTCGACTTTCTGTCTTTCTCTCTTTCTTTCCTTCTCTCTGCTGGTCTTTCCCTGCTTCTGCCAGCCGCATATGCTGCTATGCTGCTGTTCTCCCCTCTCCTTCCCCTTTTTGATGGCTTCAGCAGTGTAAGACTGCCACCTCCTTGGGTTTTTGCACTGCATGCAACAACTCCATGATTTCCTTGTGGTATTTAGTGGGGGTTCCCCCGGAGGTTAGGAACTCCCTTTCTTTCCATATTGCAGCATGGGCATGTAGGATTAGATAAGCATAATTGCTATCTGTATACACATTTATTCTTTTTCCCTTTCTAAGGCTCAGGTAAGTGCCAGTAGTTCTGCTAACTTGGTGCTGGTCCCTGGGGGAAGAGGCTTACTTTCAAGTATTGTTACATCACTAACTATGGCATAACCTGCTCTTCGTATCCCATTCTCCACAAATGAACTTCCATCAGTATATAGGTTAAGGTCAGGATTAGCTAAGGGGACTTCTAAGCGATCCTCTTGGGTAGCATAACTCTGGACTATAATTTGTTGGCAGTCATGCTTGATTGGTTCTCCATCCTCTGGGAGAAAAGTGGCGGGATTGAGGGCCACACATATGCGTATTTGAAGCACCGGTCCCTCAAGAAGTAGTGCCTGGTATCTGAGCAGGCAGTTGTCTAATAGCCATAAACTTCCTTTGGCACCTAGTATGCCATTTACATCATGAGTAGTCCAGACAATGAGATCCTTTCCTTGTATTATTTTGATAGCCTCTGACACTGAGATGGCCACCATCACAACTACCCATAAACAGTGAGGCCAGCCTTTTGCTACTATATCAATTTCCTTACTTAGGTATGCCACTGGTTGTGGGGTTGTCCCTCAAGTCTTGAGTAAGGACTCCAAGAGCTATTCCTGCTCTCTCTGTGACATATAAAGAGAGGTTTTTGTCCTGTGGGAAGGCTTAAGGCTGGAGCTTGTACTAGGGCCTGCTTTAAAGTTTTGAAGGCTGTTTCTGCCTCTGGTTCCCATTCTACTAGATGAGTATTTGCCCTCTGGGTCTCCTTGATTAGAGTATAGAGGGGTCTGGCCATCTCACTGTATCCAGGGATCCATAGTCAGCAAAGCCAGTGATTCGAAGGAACCCCCACAACTGTTTAAATGTCTTAGGGTAAGGATAAGCCAGTATAGGCTGTATTCGTTCCTTGCTGAGGGCCCTGGTTCCTCTGGCTAAAATTAGGCCTAGATATTTGTCTCGTTATAGGCAGAACTAGGCCTTCGATTTAGACGCCTTGTACCCTTGATTAGCTAGAAAGTTTAAGAGATCTAGGGTAGCCTGCTGGCATGAGGCTTCCAAACTGGTAGCCAAAAGTAAATCATCCACATACTGAAGGACTAGAATGCCTAGACTTGAGAAGTGGCCTAGATCTTGGGCAAGTGCCTGACCAAACAGATGAGGGCTATCCCTAAACCCTTGGGGCAAGACCATCCACGTAAGTTGGGACGTGTGGTCTGTGGGATCCTCGAAGGCAAAGAGAAACTGGGAGTCAGAGTGCAGGGGAATACAGAAGAAGGTATCCTTGAGGTCAGGAACAGTGAACCATTCTGCTTCCTCTGGTATTTGAAAGAGCAGGGTATAGGGGTTGGTTACAACTAGATATAGAGGAATTACTGCCTCACTGATGAGTCTAAGATCTAAGCACTAGTCTCCACTGACCATTCGGTTTTTGTACTCCTAGAATTGGGGTGTTGCAGGGACTACTGCATTTTCTTGGTAAACCTTGAGCTTTTAGATGTCTAACAATATCCTGTAATCCTTTATGAGCTTTAGGCCTTAAGGGATATTGTCTTTGATAAGGAAAAGTGGTGGGGTCTTTTAGCCTGATTTGGAGTGGGTGGGCATTTTTTGCCCTTCCAAATTGTCTTTCCAATGCCCATATTTCAGGGTTGACTCCCTCCTCAAACAGGGGGCAACAAATGGGTAAATTGTTCCCCATATTCATGTAGATAATAGCTCCAGCTTTGGCCAATATGTCCCTCCCTAATAAGGGTGTGGGACTTTCAGGCATAACAAGAAAGGCATGTTTAGAGCAAAGTCTCCCAGTTACAACTGAGGAGGTGGGAGAAATACCTGGTTACAGGCTGTCCCAGGACTCCTCAGATGGTAACAGACCTTGAGCACACTGTCCAGTACAGGAGATTAACACTGAGAAAGCCACACCAGTGTCCAGGAGGAAGTCAATTTCCCAGCCCTCAATAGTTAAACATACCTAGGGCTCAGTGAGGGTGATGATATGAGCTGGCGCTTGCCCCGGACACCCTCAGTTCTGTTGTTGGATCATCTGTTTGGGGGCTTCTGGCCCAGAGAACCTTTGTCCTCTGGTGCAGTCGCCTTCCAGTGATTGCCTCGGCATAGTGGACATGGGCGAGGGGGCAGCTTGTTTCTTGTTGGACAGTCTTTTCTAAGGTGTCCTTGCAAACCACACTGATAAAAAGCCATACCAGGTGATTGGCCTGCTCCATTTTCTGTCCTCTCTGAACCACCAAGGTTTGTTTGTTTGAGGGCCATGACTAAGGCTGCAGCCTTTCTCTGATCTCGCTTTTCCTTTTTGGCCTGTTCCTCTTGGTCCCTAGTATAGAACACCAAGGTTGCCAGGTTTAATAATACCTCCAGATTTTGTTCAGGGACCAGGGCTCGGTTTTGGAGCTTTCTGCTGATATCTGTGGCTGATTGCGTAATAAACTTATCTTTTAGGATCAATTGACCCTCGAGTGAGTCGGGTGACAGGGGAGTATATTTTCTTAAGGCCTCCCATAGCCACTCAAGGAAGACAGAAGGATTTTCTTCCTTTCGCTGAGTTATGGTGGACATCATTGAATAATTCATGGGCTTTTTCCTAATTCTCCTTAGTCCTTCCAGAACACAGGTCAACAGATGTTTGTGACTTCAGTCCCTGTGATCTGAGTCAGGGTCCCAGTGGGGATCCATACTGGGGACAGCTTGCTGATCGGTAGGGAATTTGTCCCTTTCCAGGTATCTCCAAACTCTCAGGCTGCAGCTAAAGCTGCATTCTTTTCATTAAAGGCCAGGGTTTGATCTAACAATAGCATGACATCTCTTCAAGTGAGATCGAAGGTTTGCCCTAGACCCTGTAGGACATCTGTATACCTATCAGGATTATCTGAAAACTTTCCCAGGTCTGCCTTGATCTGCTTTAAATCAGAAAGGGAGAAGGGGACATGTACCCAGGTTGGGCCAAACTTTCCTCCCCCTACAGCTTGAAGGAGACATAACCAATAGTCCAGGGTGTTTTGTGGTCCCTTGGAGATTTCTTTGCTTGTTTTCTTCTGGGTGGGGGAGATTAGAGGAGGCTTATCATTAATAGGAAGGGGAGCTATAGGGAGGCTAGGATATAGGGGTAAGCTGAGAATTCCTCTTGTGGACGGTAAATTGCAAGCTTTGCATAGTTGTGGATTCTCCTTCAATGAAAAGAAAGCTTGAACATAAGGTATTTCACTCCATTTGCCTTTCCTCTTACAGAAAAGGTCAAGCTGCAGGATAGTATTGTAATTTATACTTCCCTCAGGTGGCCATTTTTCCCCATCAGAGAGAGAATATTGGGGCCAGGCCACAGTGCAGAAAAAGTGAGCCGCTTCTTTTTCAGAGTTTGTGGGTCAAATTGGTCTCAGTGGCTTAGGATGCATTTCAAGGGTGAGGCTGTTGGTGCCTGAGTGTTTCCCATCTGAAAGAAAAAACTGCCTGTAGTTTTGGTTTGTTTGTTTTCCCCCTCTTGCCCAAGAACCTGCAATGGTCCCTGGAACCTGCTGATCAGAATAGTTGTGCTCACTGACACAGCAGAAACCCCTCTTGCCCAAGAACCCGCAATGGTCCCTGGACCCTGCTGATCAGAATAGTTGCACTCGCCAACGCAGCAGCAGAAACCCCAGTTTTCCTCTTAGACCACAAAGAGGACCAAGGAAGGTTGGATTTAGTGGCCCTTACCGAAGCATTCTCGAAAATTAGAGTCCTAAATGTTCTCCTGTTAGTATTGGGAACTTACCCCTGTCCTATAAAGGTGTTATGCCCCAAAACTGAAGTGGAGGGCTATACCCTGAGGAAAGGAAGGGATCTCCAGGGTTGGAAGAGTGACTTTTGTCCTCACTTCTCATTATATGAATAGGAAGGATAACATTTCTGAGGCTCCCCATATCCTAGCTTCAGGAATAGGCTTTGTTAGGCCTGCTTGTTTGAGGAGGGATCCTAAAAGGATAGTTGGTCTCCTCACCTGATGGGGCTTTGCACAAAAATTATGTCTTTCTGATTGGTGAGCCCAGGTGCCTAAGGAAGGGAACAGAGTCCTGAAGTTTATACTAGAAATCATTCTTATAGGAGAAACTAGAAAAGCACCAGAGGCAGGGAGTGGTTTTTAGAAGCAGGACTAGCCTTGGAGAAGAGAGGCAAGAGGAAGTTTGTCTGACAGGCGTTAGGACCCAGGAGGCAAGGGTCAGGATAGATAGGATAGATGAGCAAGTCTCACTTGGGCGACGTGACTTTGAGAGTTCCACTCATGGCTACAGGGCCAACCAACTTTTTGTTGGGACCCTGGAGCTGAGTGGCTTTCCTGTCAGTCAACCCTCGGCTCAGCCCAGAAGTACAGGAAAAGTGGAAGCTGGTTCCAGGCAAACCAACACTCCCAACTCCAAAGAGTCGGGGTTGTTGGAGAGCCCTTTCCCAGAAAGCCTGACACCCATTTCTTTAGTCCAGCAGCCATGCTAGTTTAACTGGCCGACAGGTGCCCAGGATTTAGCCCCCAAATTCTAAGGAAACATAGGAAAGAATAGCAAGCAAAAGAGGTCCGTTGTTACTCACTGCTTGGCAGCTTGGCAATAGTCCCTTCGTGGTTGCCAAGATTTGTCCAGAGTTGGTTCCTTCCAGTGAGTTCTTGGTCTTGCTGACTTCAAGAATGAAGCCACGGACCTTTGTGGAGTTACAGCTCTTAAAGGTGGCACGGACCCAAAGAGTGAGCAGCAGCAAGATTTATTGTGAAGAGCAAAAGAACAAAGCTTCCACAGTGTAGAAGGGGACCTGAGCACGTTGCCACTGCTGGCTGGGGGTGGCCAGCTTTTATTCACTTATTTGTCCCTGCCCACGTCCTGCTGATTGTTCCATTTTACAGAGTGCTGATTGGTCCATTTTACAGAGCACTGATTGGTCCATTTTACAGAGTGCTGATTGGTGCATTTACAATCTTTTAGCTAGACACAGAGTGTTGACTGGTATATTTTTACACAGTGCTGATTGGTGCAGTAAAAGATTTACATCTTCAAGTAGCAGAGGAAGGGTTTATAATTCCAAGCTTTCTAAAGTAACTGCTCCAAGGTATAGTAGGGGACAGTAAGCTACTTTAACAGAAAGACCCAAAAATGCAATGGCTCAAACATGATAGAAGCTCAGCCCTAACTCACATAAGAGTACCTGTTGGTGACCAGCTTTCTGTCCTCAACATAGGGCTGCCAAGGCTGCTCTAGTTGTTGCCATCCAAGTTAGCAGGAAGGGTCAAAGCAGTTGAGGGGCAAATATTTCATCTTAACAAGTGGGGCAGAAGTTGCATCCTTTCTGTTCACATTCCATTGATGAGAACTTCCACAAAAGGCATGTCTGGGTGCACGAAAAGCTGGTAAATACAGTCCCCACCTGGATAACTACATTCTAACTACATATAACTGTGGACGAAGAAGATTTGGTGGGGAATGACAATTGCCACCACAGTCTGCCCCTCTGGCTAGCATATTCCCACCCTTCCCAGACATAGAACATATGTCTATGTCCCTTCCCAAGGGAGGCAACCACCTATATCCAACGTAAAAGTCCAGGATCTTTGAGTGTAGCTCAGCCCTTTTGACTGTGTCCAAATGTGGCTCTTTATAGTCTAGTGAACCATGACTTTAAGATGCCCAATAGCCAATAGTGGAGCAAGAACAACGTAACTTCCATCAAGCCCCCACTGGAAAAAAGGAGAAATGGAAAACACAGCAATCACTTTCATAGAAATGATTGAATCCTGATAGGCATGAATTGGAAATACTCCCTGCTCTGACAGTGGAAAATTGTCATGGTTTGTCCAGCTGCCTCTTGTATATTAATAACTCCCTGGCCCCCTGGAAATAACTCCTAAGTCTACAGTCCTCTGAGGCACTGGCTTTGCTCTCTGGGAGTACTATGGTTTAGGTGTTTGTCCCTTCCAAATCTCATGTTGAAATGTGATTCCCAATATTGGAGGTGGGACCTGGTGGGAGGTGTTTGGGTCAGGGGCTCAGATCCCTCATGGATGTCTTGCACTTTGGTGCTGTCCTCACAATAATGAGTTTTCATTCTACGCTCAGGCAAGATCTGGTCATTTAAAAGAGTATGGCTGTAATCCCAGCACTTTGGGAGGCCGAGGTCAGGAGATCGCGACCATCCTGGCTAACAGTGAAACCCCGTCTCTACTAAAAATACAAAAAAATTAGCCGGGCATAGTGGCGGGTGCCTGTAGTCCCAGCTACTTGGGAGGCTGAGGCAGGAGAATGGCATGAACCTGGGAAGTGGAGCTTGCAGTGAGCTGAGATCGCACCACTGCACTCCAGCCTGGGCAACAGAGCGAGACTCTGTCTCAAAAAATAAAAATAAAAAATAAAATAAAAGAGTATGGTACCTGCGCCCCTCTCTCGCTTGCTCTCACTTTTGCAATGTGATGCACCTGCCCTCTCTTCACCTTCTGCCATGATTATGAGCTTCCTTTTTTCTTCTTTTTCTTTTTCTTTTTTTTTTTGAGACAGAGTCTCGCTCTGTCGCCCAGGCTGGAGTGCAGTGGTGCCATCTCAGCTCACTGCAAGCTCCGCCTCCTGGGTTCACGCCATTCTTCTGTCTCAGCCTCCCAAGTAGCTGGGACTACAGGTGCCCGTCACCACGCCCAGCTAATTTTTTTTTTTTTTTGTATTTTTAGTAGAGACAGGGTTTCACCATGTTAGCCAGGATGGTCGCGATCTCCTGACCTTGTGATCCGCCTGCCTCGGCCTCCCGAAGTGCTAGGATTACAGGCATGAGCCACCGCGCCTGGCTGATTGTGAGCTTCCTGAGGACCTCAACAGAAGCAGATGCCAGCACCATGCTTCCTGTACAGCCTGCAGAACCGTGAGCCAATTAAACCTCTTTTCTTCATAAATGACCCAACCTCAGGTATTTATAGCGACATAAAAAGCAGACGAACACAGGGAGATGTCTCCTGATCCATGATCTTCCTTGGCCATATCTAAAGTGGCATTAGGGGGTCAGGTGCAGTGGTTCACGCCTGTAATCCCAGTACTTTGGGAGGTCGAGGCAGGAGGATCACTTGAGCCCAGGCATTCAAGACCAGCCTGGGCAACATGGCAAGACCCTGTCTCTACTCAAATAAAATAAAATAAAGTAAGATAACCAGGCATGGTGGTGCATGCCTGTGGTCCCAGATACTCTGGAGACTGAAGCAGGAGGATCACTTGGGCCCAGGAGGTCAAAGCTGCTGTGAGCTGTGATTGCACCACTGCACTCCAGCCTAGGTGACACAGTGAGACCCTGTCTCAAAAAAAATTTTAAGTGGCATCAGAGCCAGGCATGGTGGCTCACACCTGTAATCCAACACTTTGGGAAGCCAAGGTGAGCAGATTATTTGAGGTCAGGGGTTCAAGACCAGCCTGGCCAACATGGTGAAACCCCATCTCTACTAAAAATACAAAAATTAGCTAGGTGTGGTGGCGCATGCCTGTAGTCCCAGCTACTCATGGCTGAGGCAGGAGAATTGCTTGAACCCAGGAGACGGAGGTTGCAGTGAGCTGAGATCATGCCACTGCACTCCAGCCTGGGCAACAGAGCAAGACTCCATCTCAAAAAAAAAAAAAAAAAAAAAAAGTGGCATCAGGAAGCATGTCTGTCTCTCTTTGGCAGTCCATTTCTTGCTGGTAAAAGTTTGAGGCCTAAGACTTGCTTTTGAGGCCTGCACAAGTTCCTAGCTTTTTTGCTTTTTTTCTTTCTTTTTTTCTGAAACAGGATCTTGCTGTGTCACCCAGGCTGCAGCACAGTGGCGTGATCACAGCTCACTGCAGTCTCAACCTCCCAGACCCAAGCGATCCTTTCACCTCCACCTCCTGAGTAGCTGGACCACATGCCTGGCTCATTTATTTTATTTTAATTTTTGTAGAGGTGAGATCTCCCTATGTTGCCTAGGCTGGACAGTTGCTGGCTTTTTCAGGCCCTGCTCCTGGTATTTTTATTTCCAGTCCATTCCGAATTCTTTACTTCCTTATCTGATTCAAGCTCATTTTTCAGCCTAACTGGGGGTTAACTTGAAGTGATTTGAAATAGCCTCCAGTAGGAGAGGACCATCCTTGATTTGAACTTTGCTGTAAGGCTGGATTCTTCTGATTACCCAAGAAGTCTCAAAGGACCCTTGAAAATAGTTTTCAGCAAAAATTTTACCTCCTGTGATTTGAATATTGAATTGATTAGCATTTCCAGTCCTGTAACGTTCTAACATCTCTTGTGCTGTCCAATCTGGTAGCCTCTAGCCACCCGTGTCTAGTGAGCACTAGAAATATGACTATCTGAAGTGAGAAGTGCTATAAGTATAAAATACATACAGAATTTCAAAGACTTCAGGGAACAAAGTAAAATATCATATTAATAATATTTGTATTGATTCTTTTTTCAAATTGTATTATTTTTGACATGCTGGGTTAAATATACTATAAAAACTAATTTATGGCTGGGCATGGTGGCTCACGCCTGTAATCCCAACACTTTGGGAGGCCGAGACGGGTGAATCACCTAGCCTCTACAAAAAATACAAAAATTAGCCAGGCGTGGTAGCACGTGCCTGTAATTGCAGCTACTCAGGAGGCTGAGGCAGGAGAATCACTTGAACCCGGGAGGTGGAGGTTGCAGTAAGCTAAGATCACACCACTACACTCCAGCCTGGGCAACGGAGTGAGACTCCATCTCAAAAAATAAAAAAATTAAAAATAATTTACCTATTTATTTTTACTTTTTAAAGTATGACTGCTGACAACTTTTAAATTACATACATGGCTTGCACAATATTTCTAAGCAAACTGCATATACAAACAGACAATGGTCAGATTATATTTAATTTTTATTTTTTTAGACAGGGTCTCAATCTGTCACCCAAGCTGAAGTGCAGTGGCACAATTACGGCTCACTGCAGCCTCAACCTCCTGGGTTCAAGTGATCCTCCCACCTCATCCCCAAGTAGCTGGGACTACAGGCACACACCAACTAATTTTCATATTATTGTTAGAGACAGGGTTTCACCACATTGCCCAGGCTGGTCTCGAACTCCTGGGTTCAAGCAATTCGCCCACCTTGGACTCCCAAAGTGCTGGGATTACAGGCAGGAGCCACTGTGCCCAGCAGTCAGGCTATAGTTAACAATAAAACTCTGACCCACAACCTCTGCAGCAATTAGACCAGATACGTTGTGACTCGGTCAATGAGTGCCATCTTCCCTATTTTTTGCCTACCCCCAAAAAACAGAAACAGTTCAGGAATCCCCCCTACCTTTTTGTGTTCTAAGACAGGGTTAATTGCAAAGGACCACTTTGCTCTTGCATATTCCAACATAAGACCTGCCTCCACCCTTCCACAATGATTCCTTTGTTTTTATAAAGCCCCAAATATTAACCCTCCTGTTTGAGATGCTCATGAATGAATGCTCTCCCGCTTGCAACAGCCTGAATCAAATCATCCCCTTATTTTTCTGGAGCATTCTGCTTTCATGTATCACCACCCACTATCTGACCACGAAATTAGAGCCACATTATTTTCTGTTTGTTATGATACCATCTCACTTCTGATACCAATTTCTGAACTAATAAGAGCAAATGCTGGCAGCTGTATAAAGAGACCTCAGACTGCAATGTTCACATAAAAATCCAAGGTGTCTTTAAGCAGGTCATTCTAGTCATCACCCTCCTATGCATCAGGAAGGAGGAAAAAACATGCAGGGCCAAATCTTTTTCCCCTAAAAAATGGAAGTTGGGCTGGGCACAGTGGCTCACATCTGTAATCCCAGCACTTTGGGAGGCCATGGCAGGAGAATTGCTTGAGCCCAGGAGTTTGAGACCAGTCTGGGCAACGTAAGGTGTTGTCACTATAAAAAAAGAAATAGAAGTGGGAGTTCCAAACATCTCACTCACTCAGAGTTCACTGGTAAGAACTTAATCACACAGCCTTATCTGGCTGCAAAGAAGTCTGGGAAATGTGGTTCCTTGCTAGGAAACCAACCTCAGCTACATCTCTATAGGTGAGAAATGCAGTTCTTCGCTGGGCAACCTATCTGTAACTATGGAAGAAGAGGAGAACAGTTTTTTTCTGAGGCCTCAATAAAAAGAAAAAAGAGGAAAAAAAGATAATCTTTAAGGTAATGGTGGTAGAAGATCCTAGGAAGACGATTTTGGACCAGAAGTAAAAGGCAGCAAGTCCAGATTGGAATAGGTCAAAAGACTCTGGAAAAGAGGTCCAAGAAAATGAAGTAGTGTGTCTAAATATCTGATGTGTCTAAATATCTAGAGATGATATTTAGGCAGTTTATAGAAAGTGGGCATTATTCATTCAGCAACTATTCATTGAGCATCTTTTATAAATCAGGTACTATTCTAGGTGCTGGGAAACAAAACATACAAATACCAAAATCATTGCTTCAGGGATCTTATAACCTAGTGGAAAATCTAGTTGGGATTGCATTTTTGATAAGTACACAGAAAACTAGCAAATGTTTACCCCATTTAGCGCAACCTGGAGGCAACTACTTTTACCTCTTTAAGCTGATTCTTTCAGTATTGCTATATTTCTAAATTAACATGATTCCATTGCTACTTGTAATTTTTCCTTTTTTCCTCCATTGTATTATCTGTTAATTTTTCAGAAGAAAGATTAGGATTTTTCTCTTTTTTATCTTCTTGGTCATCATCACATATGTGAGTCCTTCGCATCCCCCCAGCCTCCCAATATAGTTAACTATAAAGTTGGTTAGATCAATGTTCAAATTTTAACTTTATTGTGACTATGTAAACACTTTTAATAGCAAGTCATATACTAAATTGTAACTATTTTAGTTTTCCTGTACAAGTTTTTGTTTTTGCAGTCTTAAAGCTTAAAAATCTTTCCCCCACAATTTTCACCTAATTTACTGTTATTTATCTTTCAAATTCTAGTGTAAGTGTCACATTTTCAGAGAAGCCCTGAAGCATCCTTTTCTCCTACCCCACAATTCTTCCCCATTCTCTTGTTTTAGAGCATTTTGTGCTGCCATAACATTGCCACAGACTGGGTAATTTATAAAGAAAATTTATTGGCTGGGCGCGGTGGCTCACGCCTCTAATCCCAGCACTTTGGGAGGCTGAGGCAGGCGGATCACCTGGGATTAGGAGTTTGAGACCAGCCTAACCAACATGGAGAAACCCCGTCTCTACTGAAAACACAAAATTAGCCGGCCATGGTGGCACATGCCTGTAATCCCACCTACTCAGGAGGCTGAGGCAGGAGAATCGCTTGAACCTGGGAGGCGGAGGTTGCGGTGAGCCAAGATCGCGCCATTGCACTCCAGCCTGGGCAATAAGAGCCAAACTCTGTCTCAAAAATATATATAATAATAATAAATAAATAAATTTATTTCTCACAGTTCTGGAGGCTGGGAAGTTCAATATCAACATGCTGGCATCTGACAAGGGCTTTCTTGCTGCATCATCATAAGGCAAAGGGAAAAAGGGTGAGAGAAGGTGAAAGAGCATAAGCAAGAGCACGCATGTGTGTGAGTGTGTGTCTGTGCGTGCCTGCACACACGCGGAAGAAAGAGCCAAACTCACTTTTATAACCAACCCACTCCTGCAATAGTGACATTAATCCCTTCATAAGGGCCCTGCCCCTGCCCCTTAAAGTTCCTACCTCTCAACACTGTTGCATTGGGGATTAAGTTTCCAACACCCAAACTCTGGGGGACACATTCAACCCTTAGCATTCCCTCACTAGAACATATACACATCTGTTTATTCCTCTTATAAATATTCATCTATTCTTGCCTAGCACCTCTCGTGAGTAATTAGTAATAAGTCTTCTGCTAGACTGTATGTTCCATGAGGGCAGAGATGGAATCTCTTTTTTCACCCCATATTTCCAGTGCTCTCTCAGTAATTTTTTTGTTTGTTTTTGTTTTTTTGTTTGTTTTTGAGACGTAGTTTCACTCTGTCGCCCAGGCTAGAGTGCAGTGGCACGCTCTCGGCTCAATGCAACCTCCACCCCCAGGGTTCCCCCAATTCTCCCGCCTCAGCCTCCCAAGTATCTGGGACTACCAGCACGTGCCACCACGCCCAGCTAATTTTTTGTATTTTTTTTTAGTAGAGACGGGGTTTCACCATGTTAGCCAGGATGGTCTCGATCTCCTGACTTCGTGATCCGCCCGCCTCGGCCTCCTAAAGTGCTGGGATTACAGGCGTGAGCCACCGCGCCTGGCTGCTCTCTCAGTAATTTTTTATAGACAGAGTTACTTAATGCCCTCCATAAAAATACAGGCTCGCGGTCGGGGCAGAAGTGTGGTTACTGATAGTGGGAAAAAAGAAATCTTGCCATAGAAACAGACCTTCATGAACACTCCCCTGGCCTTTTACATTTTCATGACTACTTATTATTATTGTCATTGTTATTATTTTTAGAAATGGAGTGTTCCTCTGTCTCCCAGGCTGGAGTGCAGTGGTGCGATCATAGTTCACTGTAACCTCGAACTCCTGGGCTCAAGTGATCCTCCCACCTCAGTCTCCCAAGTATCTGAGACTACAAGTGCACACTACCTCCCCCAGCTCCATAACTACTTAGTATCAAAACGTCTTGCCACAGAAAAATCAGAGGGTTAAATTATTCACATTATAAAATAATTACATTTCAGAAGGATCACAGTGTCTCCTTAAGTAAAATCCGAGCAATTTTTTTTTTATAAATCACTAAATACTCTACCAAGGAAGAAACCAAAAGAAGTTTTCACAGAGATGGGATTCACGACTTGCTACCCCAAAATATGGCACCTTGGCATATTAAGTATTTTAAGCTGAAGGAATTTGAGAAATAGCACATGCAGGAAAGGCTCCCTGGCCTTCCCCTGAAGCAGATTATAAGACCCTGACATGAGAGCTGCCCTCCCTCTTCCTGGAGGACAGGAGCATCCTATCTTAAAGATGAAGGGACACGGAAAGGAATCTAATGCACAGGCCTTGCTAAATTTCCCCTAGTTTGCTGGACTTAGCTCACAACCTTTGTCCTATCACATTCTTCTATGACTCTCTTCATCAAACCTAGCATAAAAACACTTGGTTTTAACGCTTCTTTGGATCTTCATTTCCTTATGAAGGCTCCCATTTCTTGTAAAACGTGTATGAAATAAAGTGCATGCTTTTCTCTTGTTAATCTATCTTTTGTTACAGGGGGTCCAACGTAGAATCTAGAAGGGTAGACGGAAAAGATATTTTTCCTCCCTTACACTAGCCACTGCTGAATTGGTATCAAGCTGCAATTTAGATAAAGTAAATTTGAATTTACAGGGATTTAAGAGCAGACATTTCCATATCATACATTTAATTTGCCTGTTACTGGCCATGAAGCGAAAATATGGGATTTCCCCTTTTGATGCCAGGGTCTTGGCAACCCTGTCTCTTAAATGAATGAATGGAATGGTGGTAATGACCTGGATTTGAAACTCAAGTTTTCTCAACGTACCCAAACTCACAGGAACCAGATGTACAATTGAGTGTGTCAATTAATTACCTTACACTAAGAAATACAAACTATTCGTTTTTGCCCTGAAGTAAACCAGAATGTCACCCCAAAATGTGCCACTTTGGCATAAGGATTATTTTCATATTATTAATTTAATTATAATATTATTATCTTGGTAACTGAAAAGTAGATCCAGACAGTCCCCAACTTAACGGTGGTTTGACAAGATTTTTTGACTTTATGATGGTGTGAAAGCAACACCCATTCAGTAGAAACCATACTTCAATTACCCACACAGCCATTCTGTTTTTAAATTTCAGTACAGTATTCAATAAATTGCATGAGATATTCAACATTTTATTATAAAACGGGCTTTGTGTTAGATGCTTTTGCCCAACCGTAGGCTAATGTAAGTGTTCTGAGCATGTTTGCAGTAGCCTACTGATGTTTGATAGGTTCCGTGTATTAAACACATTTTCAACTAATGACATTTTATTTTTTTGAGACGGAGTCTCGCTCTGTCACCAGGCCGGAGTGCAGTGGCATGATCTTGGCTCACTGCAACCTCCGCCTCCCGGGTTCAAGTGATTCTCCTGCCTCAGCCTCCAGAGTAGCTGGGACTACAGGCGTGCGCCACCAGGCCCAGCTAATTTTTGTATTTTTAGTAGAGATGGGGATTCACCATGTTGGCCAGGATGGTCTCCATTTCTTGACCTCATGATCCGCCCGCCTTGGCCTCCCAGAGTATTGGGATTACAGGAGTGAGGCTCCACGCTGGGCCTCAACTAATGATATTTTCAATTTACAATGGGTTTATTGGGATGTAACTCCATCCTAAGTAGAGTAAGTAGAGGAGCATCTGTACAAAACAAGCTCCCTACCCTTCCACTATGTACCTAAGAGCAGGACATACATTTTCAAAGGTGTCCCACCTCCTCTTTCTACCAGGGACAAAAGTTAGTCACCAGAGACAACTTTAGACCCTTATCAGCCAGCGATGGCGCTAGAAGAACCTACATAACACACTTTACTCACTACCTGTAACTACCATTAGTTTCTCGTATCTCTGCCTTCCCACTCTGCTGTTTTTGGAAACTTCAAACTGCTTTCGCCATTTCTCCCCAGTTATTGTTCTTTATTGTAAATGCTACGTAATTCCCCCATTCTAAGCCACCTGTTTGAGTTACTCTTCCTTGAGTTTTGCCCATATAAGATGTACATGTTACTAAATTTTTCTTTTGCCAATCCGAGCTTTGTGATAAGGGCCGCAGTGGAGAACCTAGAAAGGTAGAAAGATTTTCCCCCCTTCCTACAGCCCCAAGGAGGGTTTGAGACACGGGTTCCGTTTTTTTCCTTCAGCTCCTCACTTTGTAGATTCCATTCAGGTCATTCCCCTTCCGTCACCATGCCCTTTTTTCATTGAGTAGATATATCTGATGGGCCTGGGGTTTTCTTAGGTACATTTCAGGCCCAGGGGAGACACAGTTTCATTCTTTTTTTCTTTTTTATCGGACAGCCTCCTGAACCAGAAGAGGTTCAGAGCGACTCCCACAGTTTCACTCTTGAACTTGGGTATTTTCCAAATTGCCTCAGCAAAAGGCTGCTGTAGTCGGTCTTCGTAGCTTCCTTCTCCAGGGTATCCTAGCGGCGCGCAGTGCAGGAGCCTCGCACCGCTCCCCGACGGCGGCTGCCAGCTTCCAGACAGACGCCGACCCGGTGTTCGCAACCAGGGCGCAGGCCGGGCCCGGAGCGTTTAGAGCGCCCGCCCCTCGGTAAGGAACCGTCCCTGAGCCACAGGGCCTGACGCGACTGCAGAAGGAGCGTGGGGTCCTCCGAGGTTCCCCTTCTCTAAATGTGCACCTTCCTCAGGGAGACCTTGTGCAGCTGAGGGAAAAGTCACCACTCAGGGTTTCGGGCCGGGGACCCAAATAAAAGTGCTGCCATCAGCAAAAAAAGAAAAAAAAGGCACGAAGAGGAGGTGGGCGGATTCCCAAGGCGGTTTCGCCCACTAATTTTGCCCAGAGATGACTCTGAGGTCTCTGAGCTTAATGCTTTTCAGCTGTTGTGCAGACTCGCTTTGCCCTCTTATAAGCCCACTATGGGAGTTCCCGCTACACGCCGGCCCAGGGGTACAAACGACAACGCGCCGCCCTTGGAGCGCGTCGCCGGGCCCCGCGCTGCGCAGCCTCCAGCGGCGCTGCGTGCCCTTCCTTTTGCCCGTCTCCAAGATGGCGGCGCCGCCGCCGCCCCTCCTCCTCGCCGCGCAGAGCCGCGCTGCGCCGCGCGCTCCCGCCGCCCCTCCCCACGCGAGCTCCACCCAGGTCGCAGGCAGCGCGGTCGGCGGCGGCTATTTCCCGCCATTGTGCGAAGTGAAGGCTAGGGGCCCGTACGCGCCCGCCTGACTGTCGCCAGCAGCTCCTCGGCGGCCCCACCGCAGCCGCCGCTCCCTGAGGCGCGGGAGGCCCGCGCCCCGCGGCTCGCTGTGCGTGGGAGGGCGCGAGCGAACGCGGGCGAGGAGCGGCCGAGCCGCTGAAGAGGAGCTGGGCGCCGGCCGCCCGGCCGCGCTCGGCCCGCGGATCGCCTCCGCCCGGTCTTCGCCGGCCCCGGCCCCTGGCGAGATGCCGTGTGGGGAGGATTGGCTCAGCCACCCGCTGGGAATCGTGCAGGGATTCTTCGGTGAGTGGCGGCGCCGGGGGGCGGGCCGGGCGGGCAGCCGAGTTTGCCGGGCCCCGGGGCAGGGCCCCGCCGCGCGGCCCCCACGCGGTACCATCTCGAGGGCTCGCGTGGCCCGAGACGGGGCCCCGGGGCCTGCACCGGCCCCAGCTGGGACAGCCTCTCCCCCGGTCGCAGCAGGCAGGGGCAGGAGCCGGGCCGCAGGTACCTCCCACCTGCCCGAGTCGCAGCTTGGGAGCCGCCAAGGTGAAGTCGTGGGGCGCGGGCTGTGATTCGCGGGCTGTGATTGACGGCCTCGCTCCCAGCCTGTGGCAGGGCCAGGGCCCCGGCCCCGGGCGCAGCAAACTCGGAGGTCCTCGAACCCTGGGGAGGGCCCGCAGAGCCGCGGGGAGGGAAAACCACTTTGCCTGTGGGAAGCCCACAGGATATTTCAAAACTTCCGGTGCGTCGGGGAGTGCTCGCTTGCACAGAAGTTGGTTCTAACTCCTGTGCTACCCTCATTCTCTCTTTCAGAGATAAGATTTAATGTTCATAGCTTAGTTTTCCTGTTGGGATGACTTTAGAACCCATCTAGTCTGGATCTGCTCCTGTGCCAGAGCCAGCAAGAAATATTGAGCTACTTGAGTTTGTACACAGGGCTGAGAATCCTGCAGGCGAGCTTAGTAAATTTTGGTTGCGATTGCTGTTGCTACTTTACTGCGAAGGGTATACGAAGAAAAGTTTATATTTGTTGTCGTTAACTGGGCATTTTGACAACCGTTCCATTCCCCAGTGTCTTTTTACACGTAATGAGTGGCGGAGTCAGATCCAGCTAGAAATCACTGTAGATGGCAACACCTGACTTGTCTGGAGTTAACTTAGAGTTGTAGAGCGGCCTTAGCTCATTGAAAAAAACATCTTGGGGTACTAGAGAGAAAAGGCAGTGGGAAGCTAAATCATCCTCAGCAGCCAAAATCGACGGCAAACAATGTATGGTATTTCTTATAGGAGGGCCTCTAGTGCTTACTCAGGAAGTCCTTATTAATTTACCTGTAATTCTAATTAGTTTAGTTACCTGGCTTCCCAGGCTGTAACTAATGGCATTATATTAGAAAAAAGCCTGGATAGACGTCCGAACTTAGCCAGTGAACACTGACAGCCTGATGAAGAAATTTAAAACTACCTTCATACTTGAAAAAAAAAAAAATTCACTATATAGCAGTCAAGGGTGCTTTGAGGAAGGGGCATATATTTCTCCACTAAATCCTAGTAATTTATGTTCATAAGAATTCTAGAAATGATAATCGATGGTCAACACAATGGCCCCAAAATGTCAAGTGAAGATTCAATTGTAGCATTGGTTTAAGAGGGTGCAGATGCATAGATACTTTTTAGGAAAAATCCCTCCAAAGTAAAAAGGTTTGGTGCTTAAAGGGTTAAATTTCAGTTACTAATATTAGAAAGTTTATTTATTAGAAATACCCCATACTCTGATTTTGCTGGATAAATGAGATGATTTCATATTTGATAGAGATTTGAATGTATTTGTGTCAAATTTTGTCTTCTAAATGTATGATCCTAAGGGACACATCTCATCATAGTACAGGAAGGATGTAACTTAGATATAAAATAATAGCTTCAGAGTATTTTATAAATTATGTGGATTGTTGTGGGAACCTGAGAAGTTTCTTGATGTGTTTCTCCCCAGAATGTCTTGTTCCCGTGTACGTTGTGTCTTATAGAAAAGTCATAATGTGTTCGTAGAAGCTGTTGCTATATTTTCGTATCACTGTGATTGTATTGCATATCTTTATTATAACAGCATTACAAGTATGTTTGTGTGATAACTTATAGGCACTTTTTGGTTTAGTAGGAAATTGTTTTCCCCCCAGATAGGTAATGCATATGCATTGTACAGAAAGAAAAAAGCAGTTCAGCAACATATAGCAGAAAAGGAAAGATCTTTGAAGATCCTTCACCTTCAAGATAACCACTGGTTCGTGGTTGTGTAGTTTATTTTCTCTGCATATATTTAGACAGTTTTTTTAAACTGAAAAGTTAAGTTTTGTTGTGTATTTTATTTTGAAATATGCATTTTTTTTTTTTGAGACAGTCTCGCACTGTCACCCAGGCTGGAGTGCAGTAGCGCAATCTCGGCTCACTGCAACCTCCGCCTCCTGGGTTGAAGCGATTCTCCTGCCCCAGCCTCCGGAGTAGCTGAGACTATAGGCCCGCGCCACCACGCCCGGCTAATTTTTGTATTTTTAGTAGAGACGGGGTTTCACAGTGTTGGCCAGGATGGTCTAGATCTCTTGACCTCGTGATCCGCCCGCCTCGGCCTCTCAAAGTGCTGGGATTACAGGCGTGAGCCACTGCATCCAGCAGCCTGAATTTTTCCCTTTCTTACTGTCCTTGTCATATAGTATTGTATAAACTTATTAACCCTGTCATATATTTTAAGTTAGGTGTCACAATAATCTAGAGTGTGCTGTCCAGGGCAGTAGCCATGTGTGGCTATTTAAATGTAAATTAATTAAAATTACACAAAATTAAAAATTCACCTCCTCGGTGTTAGCACATTTCAAGTGCTCAGTAGCTACATGTGGATAGGGGCTATTATATTAGCACAGATCTAGCATATTCCTAACATCAGGAAGTTCTCTGTACAGCACTGATCTAGAGGACACCGCTTTTTAGTATGTGATGCTAGTTTTTTTGGATAACCAGCTACTCACTGACTCTCTTTCAGGATCTGAATTTGGTCACTGTATCTTATCCGTTCTAGGGGTTTTGTTTTTGTTTTTGCTTTTTTTGTTTTTGAGATGGAGTTTCGTTCTTGTCACCCAGGCTGGAGTGCAACAGTGTGATCTCGGCTCACTGCAACCTCCTCCTCCCAGGTTCAAGCAATTCTGCCTCAGCCTCTGGAGTAGCTGGGATTACAAGTGCCTGCCACCATGCCCAGCTAATTTTTTTTTTTTTGAGACTGAGTCTTGCTCTGTCACTCAGGCTAGGGCGCAGTGTTACAATCTTGGCTCACTGCAGCCTCTGCCTCTTGGGTTCAAGTGATTCTCCTGCCTCAGCCCCCTGAGTAGCTGGGATTACAGGTGCATGCCACCATGCCCAGCTAATTTTTGTATTTTTAGTAAAGACAGGGTTTCACCATGTTGGCCAGGCTGGTCTTGAACTCCTGACCTAGTGATCCGCCCACCTTGGCCTCCCAAAGTGCTGGGATTGTAGGCGTGAGCCACCACACCGAGCCGCTAATTTTTGTATTTTTAGTAGAGACAGGATTTCACCATGTTAGCAAGGCTGGTCTCGAACAGGTGATCTGCCTGCCTCGGCCTCTCAAAGTGCTGGGATTATAGGCGTGAGCCACCGCGCCCGACCCAGACCCTCATCTCCAATGCTACTGTCAAAATTAAAGCCATCGTAGTCTCTTTCCTGGACGCTGGAACAGCCCTCTAACTGGTTTCTTGCCTCCAGTCTTGCTTCTCTTCCACCTGCCATACTGGAACCAAGTCCTTCAGTGACTTCTTGTTACCCTTACTATCTGATCCAGGACTTTTAAAGTGGTTTATGAGGCCCTTGTTGGCTCCACCCTTGCCTTGCTCTGAGACTTTATCACTGCGTACCCCCTCCTCATACTCCATCCCAGCCGCACTGAACCTTTTTTCAGTTCTTTAATTTTGAACCTGTGTCTAGGCCTTTTTGCATCTGCTGATTTCTTGTGCCTGATTCCCCCTCCCATCCCATGTCCACTTTTCTGGCTAAGTCTTACTTTTCCTTTGGGAACTTAAGTTAGGTACCAAAGTAGGGTACCCCTGCTCCATGTTACTGCAGGATCCTATTATATATGTCTTTGAAAAATAGTGTGTAAAGTGCATTGTTGAAATTCCTTGTTTCGGAAGTTCCTTTGCTGGATTTTGACCCCGCGAATTCAGGGCCCCTGTATCTGCATTATTCACCACTGTATCCTAATTTCTTAGAATTTGCCTTGTACATTGAAAGTGCTCAGTGGACACTTGTTGAACAAAAGCAGTGAAAAGACTGATTAATCAGAAATGTTGTTAATTGAAATGGCTAGTGAGATCACAAATCTCAAAATTTTTCTTTTCTTTTTTTCTGGAGTCAGTGTCTTGCTCTGTTGCCCAGGGTGGAGTGCAGTGGCGTGATCTCGGCTCACTGCAACCTCCGCCTTCTGGGTTCAAGCCATTCTCATGCCTCAGCCTCTCGAGTAGCTGGGATTAAAAGTGTGCACCACCATGCCTGGCTAATTTTTCTATTTTTAATAGAGACAGGGTTTTGCCATGTTGGCCAGGCTGGTCTTGAACTCCTGGCCTCAAGTGATCTGCCCCCACTTGGCCTCCCAGAGTGCTGAGATCTCAGGTGTGAGCTGCTGCGCCCAGCCTCTTTAGCTGTTTTCCCTTCAACTATTGGTTAGACCAAGATCATTATTCTCGTTATATTTAAGCTTCTTTGGTTGTATCTAACAGAACTAGACTAGCTCATGCAAAAAAGAGCAGGGTTGGGTGAAGAGGGGCAGAGCAGACTATTTTATCACTAGCATTTTAGAGAATTTAAAGCAATAATAAAATGAACTAAAAGTTAGTTGGTCTGCTTTTTATTATCACCATGAATCTAAACAGACAATCTGTGCCCTTATTGTCTGTACCCAGCTTGGACCTCTTCTACCACTCTGTCCTTGGTAGGCCACTGAAAAAAGTTAATTTATATTAAGGCTATAAAACCCAAGAACAGGGGAAGTGGTTGGGTATTCGAAGAGACTGAGTGGAATCAGGAACTGGAAAGCTAGCAGGAATCCAAGCAACTCAGTATTTCTTCTCTTGGGATACATTAATCTCTGCACACTTTCTCTTTCTCTACTCCATGTCTCCCAAATTTACTTGTTCTCGGTTCCAACCCACGCTAGCTAGCATCTTTATTTTCAGGCATAGAAAATCTGATTGGCACAACATGGAGTCAGGAATCCATTCACTCAGGGATCAGTCATCTGTGGCCATGGCACAGAGTTAGGTAGGACAATCGTGACTGTTATCCACACCTCAACATTGGGGGCGTTCTCAAAGAAGAAGAATAGCTCCGGCAGCCATGGCAGATGGCATACGTAGGAGTTTTTAAGTTATAATAACTTACACATGGTTTTAAAAAAAATCAACATGATGGTATGAACTGAGTGAAAGTACGTGCTCCCTCCATTGAAGTAACCACTTTTTTTTTTTTTTTTTTTTTTTTTTTTTGAGATGGAGTCTCGCTCTGTCGCCCAGGCTGGAGGGCAGTGGTGCGATTTCGGCTCACTGCAACCTCTCCCTCCCAGGTTCAAGCGATTCTCATGCCTCAGCCTCTTGAGTAGCTGGGACTACAGGCGACCACCACCACACCTGGCTAATTTTTGCATTTTTAGTAGAGTCGGGGCTTCACCGTGTTGGCCAGGATGGTCTCGACCTCCTCTGCCCTCGTGATCCACCACCCTCGGCCTCCCAAAGTGCTGGGATTAGAGGCATGAGCCACCGTGCCCTGCCTGAAGTAACCGCTTTTAACTGTTTTTGCTTTTAGAGGTTTTTTTCTTTGAGACAGAGTCTCGCTCTGTCACCCAGGCTAGAGTGCAGTGGCACGATCTCTGCTCACTGCAACCTCTACCTCCCAGGTTCAAGCAGTTCTACTGCCTCAGCCTCCCGAGTAGTTGGGACTACAGGCGCCTGCCACCACACCCAGCTAACTTTTTGTATTTTCGTAGAGATGGTGTTTCACTATGTTGCTCAGGCTGGTCCAAAAAAATTTTTTTTCTTTGAAATAAAATTCACATAACAAAATTTAACATTTTAAAATGTACAATTGAATTTTTTTTACTGTATTCATAATGATGTTGTGCAACCATCACCACCACTATCTTTTTCTCTTTTTTTTGAGACGGAGTCTCACTCTGTTGCCCAGGCTGGAGTGCAGTGGTGCAAACTTGGCTCACTGCAACCTCTGCTTACCGGGTTCAAGCGATTCTCTTGCCTCAGCCTCCCAAGTAGCTGGGATCACAAGCATGCACCACCATTCCTGGCTAATTTTTGTATTTTTAGTAGAGACGGAGTTTTACCATGTTGGTCAGGCTGCTCTTGAACTCCTGATCTCAGGTGATCCACACGCCTCGGCCTCCCAAAGTGTTGGGATTACAGGCATGAGCCACCACGCCCGGCCACCCCTATCATTTTCATCACTCCAAAAAGAAACCCCATACCTTTAGTAGTCTCTCCCATTTCTTCTGTCTTCCATCTCTGGCAACAACTATACTTCTGCCCATGGATTTACCTATTCTGGACGTTTCGTGTAGGTGGAATTATACAACATGTGGCCTTTGAGGTCTGGCTTCTTTTCATTTACCATGATATTTTCATGGTTCATCCATGTCATAGTATGCATCAGTACTGCATTCCTTTTTTTTTTTTTTTTAAGAGATAGAGCCTGGCTCTGTCGTCCAGGCTGGAATGCTGTGTGGCAAGATCATGGTTCACCGCAGCCTTGAACTTCCAGTCTCAAGTGATCCTGCAGCCTCAGCTTCCTGAGTAGCTGGGACTACAGGCATGTATTACCTGTATTACCACACCCAGCTAATTTTTAAATCATTTTTTGTAGATTTGGGGTCTCACTATGTTGCCCAGGCTACACTCAAACTCCTGGCCTCAAGTGACCCTCCCGCCTCGGCCTCCCAAAGTGCTGGGATTACAGATGTGAGCCACTGTACCCAGTCTGCATTCCTTTTTATGGCTGAAAATAACATTCCATTGTATGTCTATACTGCATTTTGTTTATCCATATATTTGCTGATGGACACTTAGGTTATTTCCTGGCTGTTATAAATACTGCTACTATAAACATTCATGTACAAGTTTTTGTGTGAATGTAAGCTTTTTGGTTCTTTCCCAGATATACCTAGGGATGGAATTGCAAGGTCATATGATAATTTTATATTTAACTTTTTGAGGAATTGCCAAACTTTTCCACAGTGGCTGCACCATTTTACTTCCCAGGTTCAAGCAATTCTCCTGCCTCAGCCTCCCAAGTAGCTGGGATTACAGGTACCACCAGCAAGCCCAGCTAACTTTTGTATTTTTAGTAGAGATGAGGTTTCACCATGTTGGCCAGGCTGGTCTCAAACTACTGATCTCAGGTAATCTGCCTGCCTTGGCCTCCCTAAGTGCTGGGATTACGGGCATAAGCCACTACGCCTGGCCTAAAATGTTTTTAAGAAAGGTTGTGTGAGAAGAGAACAAGAGGCACATTATATAATGTTAAAACAGTCAGTTCACCAAGAAGACCTAACTATATATGCACCAAGCAACAGAGCTTCAAAATGTATGATGCAAAAACCAGCAGAAATAAAAGAAGAAATAGGCAAATCTGCAATTGTAGTTAGATATTTTACTACTCCTCTCTCAGTACTTGACAGAATAGTGGGTAGAAAATCAAAAAGAATACTGAACAACACAAAACTACACAACACTGTCAACCAAGTAGATCTAATTGACATTTGTTTACCTAATGACAGCAGAATACACATTCTTTTCAAGTGCACATGTAAATTCACCAAGATAAACCACATTCTGGGTCATAAACCAAATAGTAAACTTTATATATAAGAAGAACACTTCTAAACAATCCATGGATTAAAAACTCTCAAAGGAAAGCTTTGAATATTGTGAACTAAACCAAAATGAAAACTCAACATACCAAAATTTGTGGGATACAGCCAAAGACATGCTTAGATGCATTAGCTGCCTTAATTAGAAGAGAAGGTCTCAAGTGAATAATTTAAGCTTCCACCTATGAAACTAGAAATGAAGAGCAAAATAAACCCAAATTAAACAGAAGAAAGAAATAATAGAGAACAAAAATCCATGAAATAGAAAACAGAAAAAAAAGAAAAAATCAGTGAAACTCAAAGCTCTTTAAAAAAAAAATCAATAAAATTGTAAACCTCTAGCCATACTGGCAAAGGAAAAAAAAAAAGGAAAACAAATTACCAATAGTAGAAAAGAAAAAAAGGAAGACAAATTACCAATATTAGAAAAGAAAGAGGAGATAACCACCGTAGACTGTACAGGCATGAAAAGGATAATACAAACAGCTCTACAGATAGAAATTCATCAACTTAGATGAAATGGACCAGTTCCTCAAAAACCACTGTATTAGCTTTCTATTTCTCCTGTAATAAATTACAAATGTAGTGACTTTAAAACAAAAGGTTTTTATTTACAGTCCTGGAGACAGAAGTCTGACATGGGTCTTACTGGGATAAAATCAAATTGTTGACAGGACTTGCATTCCATTGTGGAGGCTTTAGGAGAGAATCTGTTCCTTTTCTTTTCCTGCATCTAGAGTCTGCCCACATTTCTTGGCTTGTGGCCCCCTTCCGTTTTCAAAGACAACAAGTCGAGTTGTTCTCACATCTTACTCTAACTTCCTCTTTTGCCACATCCTTCCACATTTAAGGACCGTTGTGATTACATTGAACCCACCCAGATTGTTTTTTTTTTTAAGTTCAACTGATTATTAACCTTAATTCCATCTGCTACCTTAATTCCTATGTAACATATCTTTACAAGTTCTGGGGATTAGAACATCAGTATCTTGGTTGGGTGGGAGGGGGTCATTATTCTGCTGATCACAGCCACAAACTATCCAAACTCACCCAAGTAGAATAATATTTCACCTTTTACGTCTGGCTTATCTCACTTAGCATAATGTTTTCAAGGTTTATTCCTGTGTCTTCGTTGCTTTTTTTTTTTTTTTTTTTTTTTTTTTTTTTTTTTTTTGAGTCTGAGCCTCACTCTGTCTCCCAGGCTGGAGTGCAGTGGTGCGATCTCAGCTCACTGAAACCTCCGCCTCCTGGGTTCAAGCAATTCTCCTGTCTCACCCTCCCGAGTAGCTGGGATTACAGGCGTGTGCCACCACGCCCGGCTAATTTTTGTATTTTTAGTAGAGACGGGGGTTTGCCATGTTGGCCAGGCTGGTCTTGAACTCCTGACAGGTGATCCGCCCGCCTCGGCCTCCCAAAGTGCTGGGATTACAGGCGTGAGCCACCCCGCCTGGCCCTCGCTGCATTTTAATAAAGATACAAAAGCTAATTCAAATGGAAAAAGGATATTCTTTTCATCAAAGACATGAACAATTTAACATTTACATGGAAAAATAAAATCCTCAACCTTTACCTCATATTTTATATAAAATTAACTCAAAATGGATCATACATCTGAGTATAAAACCTGAAACTATAAAACTTTTAGAAGAAAACAGATCTTTGTGACCTGGGGTTTGGCAATGAGTTCTTAAGACATGACACCGAAGGCACAGTGCGTAAAACAAAAATTTGATAAATTGGGCTTCATCAAAATTAAAAACCTTTGTTCTGTAAAAAAAAATTCTATTAGGAGCATGAAAAGACAAGCTATACACTGGGAGAATATATTTGAAAATCCGGTATCAGAAAAAGAACTTGAATCCAGAATATATAAGAAAACACAGCAGTAATTTAAAAACTCAATTTTAAAAGGGGCAAAAGATTTAAGTAGGCTTAAATAGACATTTCACCAGATAGGATACAAGGATGGCAAATATCCCCCTGAGAAGAGTTCAGCATTGTTAGCCATTAGGGAAATGCAAATTTAAGCCATGATATTGCATATTAGAACAGCTAAAATTTAAAAATACATAGTGATAGTACTAAGTACTGGCAAGGATGGGAACAGCTGGATCTCTTAGCAAAATGGTGCAGCCACTCTGGAAGACAGGTAGAATCTTAATCATACATTTACCATGTACTCAACTGTGTCATATCTAGATACTCATTCTAGAGAAATGAAAGCTCATGTTCACATGAAAACCTGCAGACACGTGTTTTATAGTTTTGTTTATAGTTGTCAAACCTGAAGACAATCTAAATGTCCTTCAGCAAGCAAATACATAAACAAATTGGTTGTTATTCAGAGGAATAATAGGAATAAAAAGAAATGAAGTATTGATATACAAATGTGTTGGGGAGTCCTATAACCACCCATATGCTTGAAGATTTACTAGGACTTATATGATTCACTGTATAGTTGTACTCCTCCTAAGATTTATTGCAGCAATATGGTAAGGATACATAGTTGGATCCTAAGGACACACATGGAGTCTGGAGGAATCCAGTGTCTTGATAATTTTTTCTTTTTGCGTGGTGGAGGAGGTGGTGTGGGGGGGGACGAAGATTCACTCTAGTCGCCCAGGCTGGAGTGCAATGGGGCAATCTTGGCCCACTGCAACCTCCACCTCCCAGGTTCAAGCGATTCTCCTGCCTCAGCCTCCCAAGTAGCTGGGATTACAGGCGCACACCATCACGCCTAGCTAATTTTTGTATTTTTAGTAGAAAAGGGGTTTCATCATATTGACCAGACTTGTCTCGAACTCCTGACCTCAGGTGATCCGCCTGCCTTGGCCTCCCAAAGTGCTGGAATTACAGGTGTGAGCCACCGCACCCAGCCAAGAGGATTTTTTCATTTTAAGTGCAGAGGCAGGAGGATCGATCACTTGAGCCCAGGAGTTCCAGACCAACCTGGACAACATAGGGAGACCTCCATCTCTACAAAAAGATTTAAAAATTAGCCAGGCGTGGTGGCCCGTGCCTGTGGTCCCAGCTACGCAGGAGACTGAGGCCAGAGGATCACTTGAGCCCAGGAAATTAAGGTTGCAGTGAGCCAGGATCACACCACTGTACTCCATCCTGGGTGACAAAGCAACACAACACCCTGCCTGAAAAAAGAAAATTGCATTTATATACATTCAAGTAACTTAGAAATAACTTGCTGCTCCCCAGTCACTGCTTGATGTAGCTTTACTATTTGTTATGTGGTATTCTCACGTCTTTTACACAATTGCAGGCAGAATAGTTGGTGTGGCAGTCGTGGCTGTGTAATAGTCTTTTCTTTAAACATCCATTTTGAATACAAGCGAAAATACCCACTTATCTTTTACCCAATTCACTGTATCTAGTAGAGCAGCGATTCTTAAACTTCAATGTGCATTATAGTCAGTCACATAGAGGGCTTTTTAAAATATGAATTGCTAGGCCCCACCCCTAAGAGTTTCTGATTCTGTGGTTCGGGGTTGGGCTGAATAATTTGCATTTCTAACAAGTACTCAGATGATGCTAATGATGCTGGTCAGGGAACCAACTTTGAGGACTAGTTTGTTAGTGGATTTAACGCCTACACATTAGTATCACCTGAGGAGTCCCCCATCCCTACTTCTTTTTCACAACTGGCCCTTGTCCAGTTAAGTAAACGTGTTTGGAAGTCCTGCTCAAACATGGTGTTAGGATTTTATGGTCCTTTTCAACAGATGCAGCTCCATAACAAGTGTAGACTTTTTATTTTTTACTCCAAATCTTCATAACACTTGTGTGATGAATATAAACAGCAGGATTGGCCAGCTGTGTGGTTTGGTGGTTTTAGTTCACATAAATCTGTATTCCGTCAATAGCTCACTTTTTGGTCTTGGCCAGTTCCCATAAGTGCCTGCTGTAGATGGCTTGTTAATTGTAAGGAGTAAATAGTAACTACACAGTAGAGTAATTGGCTGTCACTTTGGGTGATCAAAATTAACATCACCAATGAAGGGAAGATGGACATCATGTCTTTTCAGACATCTGGAAGGATAAACATCACTTATACAGTAGTTTGACAACATTGTTTAAACAGCAGTTCGGTTATACTTGATTGGAATCTGATCATAAGGGAACCAACAGATCCAGATTGAGAAGCATTCAATTTTTAAAAAAGGACCTTATTCTTCTTAAATAGCAATGTCATGAAATATAAAGTTTGCAGAACTATTCCATATGAAAGGAGATTAAAGAGATCTGATAGCTAAATGCAAAAGTGATCCTAAGCTGGGTCCTGTAACTGAACGGAAAAAAGTGCTATAGAGGGGATAGTATTGGGTCATATGATAAATAGGAATATAGATGGTAGATTAAATAAAAAGTATTGTGCCAATTTTGAATTTCCTGAGGTTGATAACAGTACTATGGTTAGTACTGTTCCTTAGGAGACACGCTGAAATATTTGTAGGCAAAAATACCTGATACTGCAACTTAAATGAGTCAGAAAAAATATGAGATGGAGCAAATGGGGCAAAGCATACAGGTGTTCTTTCCAACTTTTTTGAATCTGGAATTATTCCCAAATGAAGTTATAAACAAAAAAACTTAGGCTCTTTATTTCAGGATAGTTGTAAAGATAAAAAAACTACATAAAAATGTATTGAAAGAACAGAATGCTTTACAAGCAGTGCTTCATATGCTGCTGAATCTAGGTGGCCTTGTAGCACATTCTGTAGGTGTCCCCAGCTACACTGTGGGTGCTAGAGAGCCTGCAGGAGGTCAGCATCCTCCTGATTTGTAACTGCCCCTTCCCCTGCTCAGTACAGCTTCTTGAATGTGTCTTGTGCAGTACTTCAGACACACTGAAGCATAAAATACACCCTATCTAAAAATTCATTCTATCATAGTAGCTAATTTTAGTTTGTTTTTTGCTGACTAAACTATTGTGTGACTCACCTGATCATAGTCTTTTATTATATATTGCATGTACATTAGCTTTGAAAAGTATATTTCTCTTTCAGCCCAAAATGGAGTTAATCCTGACTGGGAGAAGAAAGTAATTGAGTATTTTAAGGAAAAGCTGAAGGAAAATAATGCTCCTAAGTGGGTAAGCTTATTGCTATTTTCGAGGGAGAGGGTTGGACAGACTATACAGTTTCTCTTAGTAGAGTAACTAAGTAACCCACATGTAATTTAAAAATATGTAAATTAATGTACTTCTGCTTCAAGTACATTTGTATTAAAAGATTTTGGTCTTTTGCTAATTAAGTTTAAGCATGTAAATACTTATACATTATGCCTCTAGGTGGCAGTAACTGACTGTTACTTCCTGAGACAAATCTTTAGTTGCAAGAGTGTCAGTTACCTTTGTTTTATTACCTTCATTTTAAAAGAATTGGCATGTGCTAGTTTTAAGAGAAGAGCTCAACAAAGTAAATGCCTTTTTGATCATTGAAAAGTGTTCTGAATGAAAAGCATTTTTTAGCATTCTTTTACATTGTGGTCAAATGTTATCTAAAACTTGAAAGAAATGGAAGAGAACTTGGGTTCCAGCAATTATATTGACCATTGAGATCATTTGGCTCTCTGATGTGGCATGGGTGTGTGTGTGTGTGTGTGTGTGTGTGTGTAACAGTTTGAGTCTGGATATAAAGTTTGTGTATATATGCTTAATGTTGTATAGACAGGATATTTAGTTGACTGACTTGATTATTTTCCTTTAAGGTACCATCACTGAACGAAGTTCCCCTTCATTATTTGAAACCTAATAGTTTTGTGAAATTTCGTTGCATGATTCAGGATATGTTTGACCCTGAGTTTTACATGGGAGTTTATGAAACGGTTAACCAAAACACAAAAGCACATGTAAGTATTGCTGTTTTCATGAATTTGTGGTATTAATTTTGTCCTTTTACTGTTGGTGGTAGTTTTGGTTCAGATATATTGATATAATTCTGTTTTTCTATGTTTGGGGTCATAGGTTCTTCATTTTGGAAAATATAGAGATGTAGCAGAGTGTGGGGTATGTATCTTTAATATATATGAAACATTTTTAGTAAGAATTTTTTCCTAAACAGAGAATTTGTTTAGCTAATCTTAAATTTATTTATCTTGTGTATAAGTTACAAGAAATCATGTGAAATGTTTTCCTTATTTGGTTTTATTTAGGAGTTTGATGTGACTTTTTTTTAATCCTCTAAAGATCTTTTGAAGGGGAAATACTGTTAATGCCAAAATTAATTCCTCTCTCCAATATCTGTATATAATATATGTAAAACAAAGAACCCTAGGTTGCAAAATTAAATCCTTTTTAATTCCTTCAAAGACAAAGCCAATGGTAATCTCACTGTTTCTTTCATAGAAAGCTGTCAGAATCAGCCTATAATACAGAAATTTAATGAAATATTCATTCCTAGGTAGCTCGGAGATGAGATTCAAAAGTCATATATTATTCCCTAGGAAAGGCATGTTCTCTTTCAGATATACTTAGAAAACTCTAAGAAGTGGAAAGGACCCAGGAGACATCAAATTTGAGCCTAATACATACAAGCAAGGATTTTTTTGTTTGCCTTTCTTTCTAGGCCTAAGGTACCTTTCTCCTAGAATGAGTCTTTTATTTATGACTCTTGAGCAACATGTGTACCAACTCTCTGTTAGCCTTTGGTAGTGTCACACATGGACAGCCTCATCTATTTTATTGACCCATTTCCAGATGCTGGGATTACCGAGTTACATTAATACACAGCTTTTTATGGTATACAGTAATGTAATATATTAGCCTAATGTGTTAGGACTCCTTAAACAAGGGATACTGTAATCATTAATACAGTTGATCCATTAGGCTTGGCACAGTGTTTATTTTATGGAAACACTCTAAAAGAAAAACAGACCTGAAGTTCATCATGTGTAAGGTTACACAAATCTATCTTTCAAATGAGTTCATTACTCTAAATAATTGTCAGAAGTTACATTTTTGTTTAATATAATCTTTGCAGTAACCTTCCAAATTAGGGCAATTTTTCTGTCCAGATCTGCCTACTGAACTAGAATATTTAATGAGCAACAACTTCTGTTGTGAATTAACGGACTGATATTGGGGTTTGATAAATCAGTTTCCTAAGGTTTGGATAAGCCAAGAGTTAGACTCTAAGAATATAAAAAGGCCTAGATAACATCATAAAAGTAAGGTTCTAGATCCACAAAGCAGAGAACTAGACCCAGATTATAAGTCACTCCAGAGGTCCCATTTTTCTGGATTTGAGGGAGGAAGTGTTTGATGACAGTATTTGAAGTGATTTTATATCCATTTTCTTTTAAAAAGTAATAGTTTGGAATTAGTTACTTGTTAATTAATCTGTAAAATATTTGCTGTGGTGTTATAATGTGAAAATGTGGTTGCTAATTTTAAAATAAATTTTGGGTTTTTTAAAGTAAATTTTTAAAAACACTTTTTATGTATATCACAGCCTCAACAAGAACTTGATTTAAACTCTCCACGAAATACCACTTTGGAAAGACAGACTTTCTATTGTGTTCCGGTGCCTGGGGAATCTACGTGGGTAAAAGAAATATCCTTTATCTGAACTTTCTTACTGTGTTGATGGTTTCTAAAAACTTAGCCTTTAATTATTCTTCCTTTGCAAAGCTTGGCTTTATTTTAATAAAGTGTGTTTCATTTGTTCTAATTGAGAAAACCCATAAAACGGGCTAAGTATTTGTCACTGAGTAATGCTAAAATAACAGTACATTCCTATAGTGAAATACTGTTAAAATGATTGAAGTAATTTTTTTTTTTTTTTTTTTTTTTTGAGATAGGGACTCACTGTCACCCAGGCTGGAGTGCAGTGGCACAAACATGGCTCATTGCTGCTTCAACCTCCTGGGCTCAAGCAGTCCTCTTGCCTCAGCCTCCCAAGTAGCTGGGACCACAAGCGTGTGCCACCATCCCTGGCGAATTTTTTGATTTCTTGTAGGAACAGGGTTCACTTTGTTGCCCAAGCTGGTCTTGAACTCCTGGGCTCAAGTGATCCTCTCACCTCAGCCTACCAGAGTGCATGCTCCGCCTAAGGCACATTTAAAGGTACTGAAAAAATATGATAATTAAAGTAAAAAAATAGTTTCAAATTGGAATTCATTCTAATTAAGGGAAGACAACGTGTTGGCTCTTTTGAGAGGGGATTGTAGAAACATTTCCTTTTTATTTACGATAGTAATTTTTTAAGGCATGGCCCACCTACACTGAAATGCACAGATTTTAAGGTAATGCACAGTGATTTGGATAAACACATACACCTATATAATTTATACCCCAAAGTAAAGAACTTGTGCCTAAAAATTCCTTTCTGCCTTTTTCTAGTCACTACCTCCTCCCCTGCAAGCACAATCCTGAATTCTTGACTATGGCTTGGTCTTGTCTGTTGAATGACATCTAAATGGACTCATATAATATATAGTCTTTGTGTCTGACATCTTGTGTTTAACATCATGCATTTGAGTCATGTGTGTATCAGTAGTTCTTCATTTCTTTCTTGTTTTCTTTTGCTAAGTATTATTTGTTTATACAGTCTCCAATTGAGCATTTAGGTTATTTACGGTTTTAAGCTGGGCATTTTCTTTGTGAGAACATTTTAAACTACCAATTCAGTTCTTTTTGTTTGTTTTTTGTTTGTTTGTTTTTGTTTTCTTGAGATGGAGTCTTGCTCTGCTGCTAGTCTGAAGTGCAGTAGCGTGATCTTGGCTCACTGCAACCTCCATCTCCTGGGTTCAAGTGATTCTCCTGCCTCAGCCTCCCGAGTAGCTGGGACTACAGGCACACGCCACCATGCCCGCCAGTTTTTGTATTTTTAGTAGAGACGGGGTTTCACCATGCTGGCCAGGATGGTCTCGATCTCTTGACTTCGTGATCTGCCTGCCTCGGCCTCTCAAAGTGCTGGGATTACAGGAGTGACTAATTCAGTTTTTTAACAGATATTTTGAGTCAGTTGTGATAAATTGTATCTTTCAAGGACTGTTTTGAAGTCATTTAAACCCAGTTGTTGAATTTATTGACATAAAACTTGTCAGAGTATTTTCTTTTTAATGTCTGTGGGATATCTAGCATTGATCTCTTTCATTCCCAATAATGTTAGTCTATTTTTCACTTCAATTTTCTGTTTTCTGCTTCATCCATTTCTGCTTTATTTTGTTCTTTTTGGTTTGGTTTTAATTGGTCTTTTTCTAGCCTTTTTTTTTTAGACGGGGTCTTGCTGGCTCTGTCACCCAAGCTGGAGTGCAGTGGCACAATCTCGGCTCACTGCAACCTCAGCCTGCCAGGTTCAAGCAGTTCTCTGCCTCAGCCTCCCAAGTAGCTGGGATTGCAGGTGCCTGCCACCATGCCCGGCTAATTGTTTTGTATTTTTGATAGAGACGGGGTTTTACCATGTTGGCCAGGCTGGTCTTGAACTCCTGACCTCGTGATCCACCTGCCTCAACCTCCCAAAGTGCCGGGATTACAGGCGTGAGCCACCGCGCCTGGCCCTTTTTCTAGCTTTTTAAAGTAGATGCTCAGATTATTGATTTCAAATTTTTCTTATTTTCTAATGTTAGCAACTAAAGCTATAAATTTCTCCCCAGTCACTGCTTTGGTTGCATCCCACAAGTTTTCATTTGTTAGGTTTTTACTGTCATTTAATTCAAAATATTTTCTAATTTCCCTTGTGATTTCTTCTTTGATCCTTCGCCCTTGCAACAATCTGCTTCTGTGTAGTCTCATTCTTCGTGCTATTTTTGTCATAGATTTCACTCATCCTTAGATTATACAGCTCACAACATACTATTTTTGTTTTTAACAGTCGTTTGTCTTTTATATAAATTAAGAAGCAAGAAGAATTCATCTTTTTTTATATTTGGCATCATTTCCTTTAGCGATATTATTATGATTATGATTTTATTTTATTTTTTTTTTTTTTTTTTTTGAGGCAGAGTCCTGCTCTGTCACCAGGCTGGAGTGCAGTGGTGCAATTTCGGCTCACTGCAACCTCCGCTTCCCGGGTTCAAGTGATTCTCCTGCCTCAGCCTCCAGAGTAGCTGGGACTACAGGTGTGTGCCACCACGCCAGTTTTTTTGTGTTTTTAGTCGAGACGGGGTTTCACCATGTTGGCCAGGATGGTCTTAATCTCCTGACCTCAGGTGATCCACCCACCTTAGCCTCCCAAAGTGCTGGGATTACAGGCATAAGCCACTATGCCCGGCCAGCAATTATTTTTTTTTTAAATACAGATCTGTTGGTGACGAATTCTGTCAGTTTCTGTTCAATTGAAAATGTCTTTTATTCCACCTTCATTTTGTTTTATTTATTTATTTATTTATTTATTTATTTATTTATTTTTGAGACAGGGTCTCTCCCTTTGTTGCCCAGGCTGGTCTCGAACTCCTGAGCTCAAGTGATCTACCCGCCTCAGCCTCCCAAAGCACTAGGATTCCAGATGTGAGTCACCACACCCGGCCTCACCTTAATTTTTGAAGAACATTTTCATTGGATATAGAATTTTTATTTTTTATTTTAATAATTTATTTTAAAAAAACAGACCAGGCACAGTGGCTCATGCCTATAATCCCAGCACTTTGGGAGGCAGAGGCAGGAGGATCACTTGAGGCCAGGAGTTTGAGACCAACCTGGCCAACATGGCAATACTCTGTCTCTACAAAAAATACAAAAACTAGCCGGGCTTGGTGGTGGGCACCTGTGGTTCCAGCTACTCCCATGGCTTGAGACGGGAGGATCACCTGAACCCAGAAGGCTGAGGCTGCAGTGAGCTGAAATTGTACCACTGCACTCCAACCTAGGCAACAGAACGAGACTGTCTCAAAAAAAAAAAAAAAGAAAAGGAAAAAAGAGATGAGTTCTCACTGTGTTGCCCAGGCTACTCTCAACTTCCTGGGCTGAGTGGTCCTCCCACCTGAGCCTCCCAAAGTGTTGGATTTACAGATGTTAGCCACTGCATCCACCTGGGATTTGTTAGGGGTGGTGTAGAACAGCCCTTGTTGAACAGTAGATCATCCTTATTCATGAGGTCTGCTATTTCTGGGTCTTACCCAAATGCCTAGGATGACTAGTAGGGTCCATTATAGTATTATACTACTTCCAGAGTCTCCATTTAACTCTCTGCCAACTAGCAGCTGTTCTCTGCTAGTCCTCAGGGAGTCTTGACTTGTATATCCACAATTTAGTGTTTTGTCAGAGATCCAAATGGAACCTTCAGGGTCTTTTATCCGTAACTACTTCCTTTCTAGTACTTCTCTGCAAATTCCAGTTGCTTCACTAGCCCTGAACCATGTGCTCTGTCTTCTCCACCCAGTAAGAGAGGGCCTCTACTGCTCTTTGTTGCAGTTTGGAGAACGTCTCCAGGAGAGAGCTGGGAGAATTTGGAGTTTACCTGCTGTGTTTCTCCTCATTCAAGGATCATAACCTTATGCTCCCTGTTGTCCAGTGACTGAAAACAGTTGCTTCACATATTTTGTCCAGTTACATTGTTGTTTACAGCAAGGATAGCAGCATAAGGTTGATACCTGTTATTCTCATGACCAGAACTGGAAGTCTAGCCTCCTTTTATGAAAATGCATTCTATTTTAACTGAATTGCCAAACTAGTAATTTTTTATAAGTCATATAATTAGCAAAACTTTAGGATATTCCTCAGTTTATGATAGTCTTTTCTTAACTTTTCGTTTAACGCCTATGTTAATGCAAACCAAGCTCGAGTCAGTCCCTCAACATCCTACACTCCTAGTCGCCACAAGAGGAGTTATGAAGATGATGACGATATGGACCTACAGCCCAATAAGCAGAAAGACCAACATGCAGGTGCCAGACAAGCAGGTAGTGTGTGCCAACAGGTTTTCTCTAGACTTTGCTCTCTTACAGTAGATTGGTTTTCAGAGTGAATTGTTACATAATATAGCTCTATATTTAGGAGCTGGCAATTTATCAGAGTTACAGACATGTTGAGAGTTTTTACAGTACTCTGATGAGACTGTGCTTCGCAAATGAGCAATTAGGCATCACTTTGTGACAAGTGGCTGCTCTGATGTATGTGTTTGGAGTCTCAAGTGACTATCTGGAAAGGTCTTTTCTATCTTCATATTTATTTTTAATACAGAAGCCTGGTACTTTACCCTAAAAATGAGTTATTTTTATCTGAAAACATGCTTTCTCATTTTCTTTTTAATTTTCTTGTTTGTTTGTGTTTTGAGACAGGGTTTCACTCCCATCACCCAGGCTAGAGTGCAGTGGCATAATCATGGCTTATTGTAGCCTTGACCTCCTGGGCTCAAGTGATCCCCTGTCACTTCAACCTGCCTAGTAGCTAAGGCTATAGGCGCATGCCACCACATGCAGCTAACTTTTTAAATTTTGTGTAGAGATGGGATCTCACTATGTTGCCCAGGCTGGTCTCAAACTCCTGGGCTCAGGTGATCCTTCTATATCAGCCTCCCAAAGCCATTGGCATAACAGGCGCGAGCCACCACGCCCAACCAGTCTTAGCTTTTATAAGCAGTGGATTTCTTTGTTATGGTGGGTATATAAGTTTGTCTTTATATTTGTAATATATTCGAGTTTGTAATATATTCGAGTATGTGCTATCCACTTCCCTTCAGCACCTTTAATCAGAAGGAAAAATTAAAGGACAAGGAGGCAAAACAAATCAGTCTGGTCATTTACTATCTGCAAGATTGGGTAGAGAAGGCTTTTTTTTTTTTTTTTTTTTTTTTTTTTGAGACAGAGTTTCGCTCTTGTTGCAGTGGCTGGATTGCAGTGGCACGATCTTGGCTCACTGCAAGCTCCACCTCTTGGGTTCAAGCAATTCTCCTGCCTCAGCCTCCTGAGTAGCTGGAATTACAGGCATGCGCCACCACGCCTGGCTAATTTTGTATTTTTAGTAGAGACGGGGTTTCTCCATGTTGGTCAGGCTGGTCTTGAGCTCCCGACATCAGATGATCCACTTGCCTCGGCCTCCCAAAGTTCTGGGATTACAGGCATGAGCCACTGTGCCTGGCCAAGGCAAATTTAACAGTCAGTGGTAAACAGGGATTTACTAATGAATTTTATTTACCCTTATATTACTCTACTTTATAAATTGATATTTCCAGATTTTCTTAATGCTAAGATATATTTTAATGTGTTTAAAATTGGAATGTTTTACTATAAATACATATAAATGTCGTAGTATTCTTTTTCTCCACCGATCCCCAGAATATATTAAAATTAATGGTCTATCATCTAGCCTGGACAGCATGGCGAAACCCCATCTCTACTAAAAATACAAAAATTAGCCAGGCATGGTGGCAGGCGCCTGTAATCCCAGCTGTTTGGGAGGCTAAGGCAGTAGAATCACTTGAACCCAGAGGGGCGGAGGTTGCAGTGAGCTGAGATCATGCCATTGCACTCCAGCCAGAGTGACAGAGAGACTCCATCTCAAATAAATATCATAGTAACTTATATATTGTAATATATTCGAGTGTGTATTTAAGTCCAGGAAATATGTTAATTCTCTTATCACTTAAGCAGTTGATGCTACTTTTTATTTCTTACCATTCTTGTTTGAATGTCTTAATGCAGGCTTTTTATGCATTTGAGTACTTTATTTATATAAAGTAACACTTGTTGGTGTTTAGTCAATGTTTTAGGCTATACATATTTTTAAACTTTTTATTTTGACACAGTATAGACTTACATGCAGTTGTAAGAAATAATACAGAGAGGCTGGTTGCGGTGGCTCACACCTATAATCCCAGCCCTTCAGGAGGCCGAGGCAGGCACATCACTTGAGGTCAGGAGTTCCAGTCTGGCAAACATGGTGAAACCCCATCTCTACTAAAAATACAAAAATTAGCTGGGCATGGTGGTGCACGCCTGTAATCCCAGCTACTTGGGAGACTGAGGCAGGAGAATTGCTTGAACCCGGGAGGCGAAGGTTGCAGTGAGCGCTGATCGCCACCATGCTCCAGCCTGGGTGACAGGGTGAGACTCTGTCTCAAAAAAAAAAAAAAAAAACAGATCTTGTATACCTTTTAGCCTCTACTTCCCCCAGTGGTAATACCTTACGTAATTATAGTAGAATGTCATAACCAGGAAGTGGATATTGATACAATCATTTTTTTTCCTTTTTTTTTTTTTTTTTAGACGGAGTCTTGCTCTGTCACCCAGACTGGAGTGCAGTGGTGCAATCTCTGCTCACTGCAAGCTCCGCCTCCTGGGTTCACGCCATTCTCCTGCCTCAGCCTCCCGAGTAGCTGGGACTACAGGCCCCCATCACCACGCCTGGCTAATTTTTTGTATTTTTAGTAGAGACGGGGTTTCACCGTGTTAGCCAGGATGGTCTCAATCTCCTGACCTCGTGATCCACCTGCCTCAGCCTCCCAAAGTGCTGGGATTACAGGCTTGAGCCACTGCACCTGGCCTGTTCTTTGCAGTTTTATCGCATAGGTAGATTCATGTGACCACCACCACAGTTAAAATCGGGAATATTTCATTACCCAGATCTCTCATGTTGCCCTTTTATGCTCCTAACTACCACTCTCCTGCCTCCTCCGTCCCCAGAAGTCTCTAGACCCTAGCAACCACTGGTCTCTTCTCCATCTCTTATAATTTTGTCATTTTAAGAATGGAATTGTATATTACATAAACTTTGGGGATTGTCTTTTCTTCAGCACAATTCCCTTGAGATCCATCCCAATTGTTGCATGTATCAGTAGTTTGTCCGTTTTATTGCTGAGTGGTGTTTCGTGGTATGGCAGGCTATAATTTGATTCTCATGTTATCAGCCCTAAAGTGTAACTACTTCAGGAGTTGGGGTTATTCTTTTAATGACCTGTATATCCCCAACAACTGGTTTGATTCCTGGTACATACTGGATATTAATAAGTATTTGGTAAATTAATTTATTGCTGTATGGTTTTATTCTGCTTAATTAATAGAAAAAGTATGTTCTACCAAGGAGTTTTGCTGTCGGTAGACCATGTATTCCTTAAATCAAAGATGTCAAAGTAACCATATTGCAAATCAACTTTTGAAACTGGTTATACATGAGATTTGATGGGAGGAATTTGTTGATATCTTACAGTAAGGGAAAAAAAAGTAAAATTTTTAGATCTTCATGTTTATCTTTGTCCTCTTACAGATCAAACAAAAGACTTTGTTAGTATGTGCTGTTTCCTTAAAAACTGTAACAACTTGAACTTTGCAAGCTCAGAAGCATCACGTATATCAAACTTGAAAGGCACTTATGGAATGTTCTTTTTCTCCAGGAGGCCTTAGAAATGACTAAGTGCAATGCTATCCTTTGAATTTAGGGAGTGTTGGTGGTCTTCAATGGTGTGGAGAGCCAAAACGTTTAGAAACTGAAGCTTCTACTGGGCAACAGCTGAACTCTCTGAACTTGTCTTCTCCTTTTGATTTGAATTTTCCATTGCCAGGAGAGAAGGGCCCTGCATGCCTTGTGAAGGTAATAAAACCTTTCGTAGATCCAACACTGAAATGTTATGTGTCTCAGAAAGTAGCTTAGTGTCTGAGCATTTGCATTTGTTCCCTTGTGCTGGGCTAGCTATAGCAAATCACTGCAAATTTAATAGCCTAAAGCAGCAAAAGTTTATCATCTTACAGGCTTTAGGTCAGAAATCCAACATGGTCTCACTGGGGTAAACTCGAGGTGCCAGCAGGGCTACATTCCTTTCTCGGAGCCCCTAAGGGAGAATTTCCTTGGCCTTGTGGCTCCTTCTTCCATATTCATAGCCAGCAACATTGCATTTGTCTGACCATTTTTTTCATGTTGACATCTCATCTGACCACAACCAAGAAAGTTTCCCCAATTTTAAGAATCCGTGTGATTACATGGGGCCCAGCCAGTTAATCGAGGATAATCCCCCCCATTTCAAGGTTATTAATTTAATCACACCTGCACATTCCTTTTGCATGTAAGCTAACAAGTTAAAAGAATCGAAGAACATCTCAAATGCAGAAGCAGAACAACTTTTAAATTATGTCTGTTCCCTTCCTGTATCATTTCTAACATAATATCTTCTTCATTTTTGTCTTCTTCCTTCTCTCAGCAAAACCTATTTTTCACTTATATTTAAAATAAAACAGAAGGAAGAAAACTTTTAATAGTTTGTTCTTCCATCTTACTTATTCTAGTGTTTTGATCCTGATAAATGAGCAAGTGATAGAAGGTTCAGAAATGATTGTTAAGGATTTCTATCCTTATTCTTTGTGCATTTTGGGTTTTTTTGTTTTTGGGGGGTTTTTTTGTTTGTTTTTTTGAGGCAGTCTCACTCTCTTGTCCAGGCTGGTGTGCAGTGGCACGATCTCGGCTCACTGCAACTTCTACCTCCTGGGTTCAGGCAATTCTCGTGCCTCAGCCTCCTGAGTAGCTGAGATTACAGGCATGCACCACCACACCCAGCTCGTTCTTTATATTTTTTGTAGAGATGGGGTTTCACTATGTTGGCCAGGCTGGTCTCGAACTCCTGACCTCAAGTGACCCACCCACCTCAGCCTCCCAAAGTTCTGGGATTCCAGGGGTGAGCCACTGCACCCAGATTCTCAGTGGTTTTAACTGAAATGACACTTAAGTCATATGGCACAGGGACCAAAATTACCATTTTTTCCCCTGCCTTGCTTCTACCAGGTCTAATCAGTAAATGGCCTTGACTATTACTAAGTCCATCATGACAGACAATTTTGAAAGGTTTTTTTTTTTTTTTAAATTGTGAAAAATCTTCTGGCCATTCCAAGTTTTGTGTTAATCCGATGTTGCAGTTTATGAATAAATGCAAAGTTAATCATCTTGTTTTTGTTTTTTCCTTTTCTTGGTGTGGTTTAATAGGTTTTGAGATAGTGCACAGTTCTAGTTTTAACTGTCAGCCTTTGGGAAAAGGCTTTTTTTAATTTTAGGAAAAGCCTTTTTTTTTTGTAGTACTGTGGTATATTGAAAACAGACATTAGTCTGGAAGTTAGGCATCCTGTGTTTTGGTTTTTCACTTATTTGCTAACTAGCAGAATGACTCTTGGTCTCAATTTATAAAAATTTATAAAATAAAGGACTTGCTTTAAGGTCTGTTTCCTGATCTAAAATTCCAAGATATTGGTACTTCAAGACTAATATCTTAAGCTTTGTGTCTGTTCTAACAGTGTGATTTCATGTGGTCTCTTGTTAGGTTTATGAAGATTGGGATTGTTTCAAAGTAAATGACATTCTTGAGCTATATGGCATACTGTCTGTGGATCCTGTGCTGAGTATACTGAATAATGATGAAAGGTGAGTCTGTGTGCTCTTTTTTTGGTCTCCTTTATTTTTATATAATTTCAAGTTTTCAGGAGAGTTACAGGATGGTTTTAAAGAACTCCCTTTTCCCTTTCTCCCAGATGTACCAGTTGTAAACACTTGCACCCCATGTGTTTTGTCATTCATTTGTGCTCTCTATGCACACATTTTTCTGAAACACTTGAAAGTATGTTGCAGAAATCAAGCCCTTTTACCCCTAACTGCTTGTCAACATTTCCTAAGAGTACTGACTTTCTCATATATAATTAGAGTACAGGTATCAAAACTAGGAAATTTGCCACAAATATACAATACACTAATCCACAATCTATACTTAATTTCACTAATTGTCTTAATCATGTTCTTTCTTACACGTCTCCCTTCTGCATCCCCCAGTCCAGGGTTCAGAAGCTCGCTCATTCTCTATTTCTACTGAGTTCATACTGTATTTCTGATTCCAGTTCAGCACCACAGGTGTCGTTCTGCTTGTTCTCCTTTCTGTATTAGTGTAACTCTCTTAAACTTGATTCCCATTTTTCACAATCTTATCATTTGCACATTTTTACAACATAGAGAAGGGAATTTCAGAATTGTTAACTCATACCTTTACAAAACATAAACCTAAATAACTAGAGTTCAATCTGAAACAGTCCTCAGCCTTTGTCTTTCATGGTCTTGCCACTTTTTTTTTTTCCTTAAACAACAGAAATATATGTCTTCCAGTAGTTCTGGAGGCTGGGAAGTCCAAAATCAAGTTCCCAGCAGATCTGGTTTCTAGTGAGGGCCCGCTTCCTGGTTTACAGATGGCTGTCTTCTCACGTGGTAGAGAGCAGACAGCCTTGATGCTTTTGAAGAGTGTAAGCCAGTTACCAGTTACTTGTTTCCTCATGGTTAGACTCAATGTTTTGCATTTTTGGCAGGAATATTACAGAATTGATGTATCCTCAGTATGTTACAGCAGGAGGCATGCGATGTCAGTTTGTCCCTTTACTGGTGAGGTTAATTTTCATTAGTTGGTTAAGGTGGTGACTTCCAGATGTCTCTTCTGTAAAGTTACATTTCTCACTTTGTAATTGACAAGTAACTTGGAGGAAGGTACTTGGGGACATAAATATCCAGTTTCTCATTAAACTTTCACCAATTTATTTTAGCATTCATTGATGATTCTTGCTTGAATCAGTTATTACTTTGTTGGCAATTTTCTAACGCAGTACATTTATTTATTGGCATTCTACTATAAAAGATACCTCTTCCATTTGTTTATTCAAGTAATGTATTTACTTATATTTAGTATAGACTAATAGATTCTGATTTTATTCAATGTTAATATCATTATTTTATTTCGAGACCCAAATTTTCCCAGATTTGGCTAGTGGGAGCCACTTTAAGCAGGTGCCGGGTCCTTTTTTTGAGATGATGTTATCATTTTTTAACATTTATTTTCTGGCATATTAAGCTGTTGCAGCTTCATCGTATGCTTTGAAGATCTGAGTCCTAGATGTGCTCGTTGGTACTGGATTAGATTTGCATCTAGGCCCTTAAAGTAGACAGAGCTAGGATACATGCAGCATATGGATACATATATACGCACCCACATTTAAATGCACACATACACACTCACATGCATGTTTTGTGTATTTCTAATGTCTGTGAAAAACCATGGGTTCATATTTCTGATTCCAGTTCAGCACAGCAGGAGTCACATGTTCTAGTTGTTCTCCTTTCTATATTTATGACTTCTTTTTCTAACAAATTTGATTCCCATTATTCACAATCTGTTGTTTCCCCATTTCTACCATATACAGAAGGGAATTTCAGAATTGGTAACCCATACCACTACAAAACAGAAACCTAGTAATTAGAGTTCAATACATTTCCAGTTCATTTTTATTTTAGAATGCAGCTGTGTAGTCAGAGCTATGTTCCACTTACTCAGGTAACTTTTCTTCCCCTTCAGTGTGATTTCATTATTTATTTTACTTAGAAAGATTCTCAGAGGTGTCATTCTCGGCTATCCCCATTCCTGCTGTCTGTTCCCACCCAGCCTCCTTAGGGAACCACAGTTTCTGGTTTATCCTTCCTGTATTTATTTTTTTACAAAAATATGAAGATACGTATACATTTTATTTCTACCTTTTTCTTCTATAAAAGGTAACATGGTATATATACTCTTACACTTTTTAATTTTTTTTATTAACAACATATCTTGGAAATCTAGACCTTCCTCATTCATTTTTGTTTTGTTTTGAGATTGCCAAAAGCAAGGGCTGATGTCCCTCATCTACACCAGAGTCCTCTTGTTGAATACCGGACATTAATCATCTTAGTTTCTGTGTAGGATGAACTTAACATTTTTCACAGTTAAAAAAAAATGGTACAAAACAAAAATTTTAAACAACTTTAAATAAGCTTAACCGTCCCTTAATAATAGTATATGAGATTGTTCATCTTGGCAATTTCTGATTGTGATGACTTTCCTGCTTTAGTTACTTCACTATTGATGTAGTTTAGTTTAGAGGTTGTATTAGGGGTCTCTAAAGGGTCAGAACTGATAGGATAGATGAATATATGAAGGGGAGTTTATTAGGAGAATGACTCACATGATCACAAGGTAAAATCCCACAATAGGCTGGGGAGCAAGGAAGCCAGCCTGAGTCCCAAAATCTCAAAAGTAGGGAAGCCACCAGTGTAGGCTTCAGTCCGTGGCTGAAGGCCTAAGAGCTCCTGGTGAACCACTGGTGTAGGTCCAAGAGTCCAAAAGCTGAAGAACTTGGAGTCTGATGTTTGAGGGCAGGAAGCATCCAGCATGAGAGAAAGGTGGAGGCGGAAGACTCAGCCAGTCTGCTCTTTACATGCCTGCCTTTATGCTGGCAGCTGATTAGATGCTGCCCACCCAGACTGAGGGTGGGTCTGCCTCTCCCAGCCCGCTGACTCAAATGTTAATCTCCTTTGGCAACACCCTCACAGACACATCCAGGAACAATAATTTTCATCCTTCAATCCAGTCAGATTGACAAAGTATTAACCATCACAGAGGTTAAGAGCACAGACAGGCAGGCAGCCTGGGTTGGAGTCCTGACTTGGCCACTTACTAGCTATGTCACCTTGGGCTTGGTTTCCTCATTGTAAATAAGGGTAGATGTGAGGTTTTGGTGAATTTGTACGTGTAAGGCATTGAACGTTGTCTGTCACATGGTACGTACTATGGAAAAGGTTATTATGCTTGTATTAAAAAATACAGGAGTATGAATTTATTACTTCAGTGTCTATAGATTCTATAAAGTCAAGATCTAAAAGATTAGCTATTTGTTTTGGTCGTCTCACAAATCTATCATCTGCAGATTTATTTAGCAAGTCTGAAAAATTCATACTTTCATTGCTTGTCTACTCAGTCTTCGAGGGATCATGTAAGAATTAAATTTAGGAAAAACAATTAGCAAGATAAGAGATGAATGGATTCTCCACACGCTGAATAATAGATACCAGATGGCTTTTGAGAAAAAGACCCCAGTTTTTGAGATCTGCTGTCAAGTATTCGATGTCCCGGCCAATAGTTCAAGGAGTACCTGTGTTTTGAAATAGCCTTATGAGTGACATCCTACATTCCATTTATTGAAGTGCTGAATAACAAATATTATTGTTTCTGGCCAGGCATGGTGGCTCACGCCTGTAATCCCAGCACTTTGAGAGGCCAAGGCAGGCAGATCACTTGAGGTCAGGAGTTCGAGACCAGCCTGGCCAACATAGTGAAACCCTGTCTCTACTAAAAATACAAAAATTAGCCAGGCATGGTGGTGTGCACCTGTAATCTCAGCTACTCAGGAGGCTGAGGCATGAGAATCGCTTGAACCCAGGAGGCAGAGGTTGCAATGAGCCAAGATCGCATCACTGCACTCCAGCCTGGGCAACACAGTGAGACTCCATCCAAAAAAAAAATAAAAATAAAAATACCGTTCTTGAAAAATTGAATAAATGCATTATTTCATGATATGTCTTAACAAGCCTGAAGTCTGTGTGATGTAACACTTTAGAATGAGAGGCCACTTTCTGTTCTTTAAGGAGATGTACAGGTGGAAATATTCTTGGCTTTAACTCTAATTTTGTTTTCCAAGATGCACATTATTTTTGCATCTGTGCAATTGATGTCTCTCTAAATTGAAACTTTATCACCTCTCCACAGGGATGCCTCTGCACTGCTGGATCCGATGGAGTGCACAGACACAGCAGAGGAGCAGAGAGTACACAGTCCTCCTGCTTCATTAGTGCCGAGAATTCATGTGATCTTAGCCCAGAAGTTGCAACACATCAACCCATTATTGCCTGCCTGCCTTAACAAAGAGGAGAGCAAAACCTGTAAGTGTAAGTGTTACAGCCTAGTCAACTATCGACTGTTAGCCTCAGTGTGTCCAGAGCTGCCTGTAACGTGCTCATAGTGGAATTGAGAGTCAGGTCTTCATTCCTCACAATAAGTGTTTTCAGTAATCTCTCTCTCGTTGCCCCATTTTTCTCTTACATTAATTCTCTTCACTGAAATGAGGACAAAAGAGTATACAAGGCTGGGTGCAGTGGCTCACGCCTGTAATCTTAGCACTTTAGGAGGCCAAGGTGGGTGGATCACCTGAGGTCAGGAGTTCGAGACTAGCCTGGCCAATATAGTGAAACCCTGGCTCTACTAAAAATACAAAATTAGCCAGGTGTGGTGGCGTGTGCCTGTAATCCCAGCTACTCGGGAGGCTGAGGCAGGAGAACTGGAGGCAGAGGTTGCGGTGAGCTGAGATGGCACCATTGCACTCCAGGCTAGGCAAAAAGAGCAAAACTTGGTCTCAAAAAAAAAAAAAAGGAGGATGCAAACTGCCTTATTTTTAAGATTAGCATCACTTACTGACGGATATGTTAAGCTTTACCTACTGTCGACTGAATTGTGCTTTGCTCACGTAGTTATTTTTTTACCTAAGACACTTGAGAGGAACTGGAGTGTGTGTCCTGACTCAGGTCTTCCTTTCTCCTTCAGTTGTTTCAAGTTTCATGTCCGAATTGTCTCCAGTCAGAGCAGAACTTCTTGGGTTCCTTACTCATGCCCTTCTGGGGGATAGTTTGGCTGCTGAATACCTTATATTACATCTCATCTCCACAGTGTAAGTGCTGTATCCTGGTGGGAATTAGGGGAGTTTGGTGTGTGTGGAAGTGGAAGAGCGGGAAGATTGCTGGTGTCATTTGTGTGTTTTCCTTATTGGGCTTCATCACATGGTTTTTATCTGTCCAGTGTTAACTGTTATACCAAATCACAGACAAATTCCTTTTCTCACAGTTCACATTTAGCATTTTGATTATGTCCCCTTAAATTTTAGAGCCAAAATCAGATAAAGCAGTGGTCCCCAACCTTTTAGGCACCAAGGACCCATTTCATGGAAGACCATTTTTCCATGGACCGGAGTGGGGATGGTTTCAGTATGAAACCGTTCCACCTCAGAACATCAGGCATTAGTTAGATTCTCATAGGGAACACACAGATGTGCAGTTCACAATAGGGTTCGCGCTCCTGTGAGAGTCTGATGCCACTGCTGATCTGACAGGAGGCGGAACTCAGGCGGTAATGCCCACTCATCCACCCCTCACCTCCTATGTTGTGGCCCGGTTCCTAACAGGCCATGAACCAGTACTGGTCCACGGCCTGGGCGTTGGGGACCCCTGAGATAAAGGACCTGGCTGATGAGTAAAATGAGCTGTTTTATCCCTTTTGCATTCTGAACGCTCTGTTTATACATCCCAAGGCGCCCACGTCATGTGCACGTTTAACGTGGACATTGACACTAGCACCGCATCCCTTGACTCCACTGTATTTCTTTGTTTCTCATTTTAAAACTAGTGTGGGCCTTTGACAAGTTCCAAGAACATAAGGAGGAAAATGCACATCATCTGTAATTTCACCACTTAGAACCTCCGTTAACCTTTAGGTACATGTTCATTGGTTTTTGTTTACATATGTATACATCCTTGCATAGGTCTTAGTTACACTCTAAGCACAGATGCGTGTCTTGTTTTCAGCAGTTGATATATATTAAACATTTTCCCATCATAATGCTTCATGAACTTTGTAGTGGCTGCAAAGTATTTCACTATGCAGTTGTACCATACTGTAACCATTTCCCTAAATGTTAGCTTTTCCTAGCTTTTCTCTATTATAAAGTTGCAGGAAACATCTTTGTGCTGTAAATCTTATCTTTTCTCAAATCAGTCTGTGACAGTAGTACATAATGGTTGAGAGCACAGGCTCTGGAACCAAACTACCCGGATTCATATCCCAGCTCTGTCAGCTTCCATTTAGATGAACATGTTGCTTATTATCATCTCTGTGCCTCGGATTTCTCATCTGTGAAGCAAAGACAACAGCACCTACCGCTGAATGGTTAGGGGTTAAATGAGGAAGCATTTACATACTCAGAACGGTCTTTGGCACGTGACCAGCAGCACTTACGTACAAATATTGGCTATTACTTTTATTGCTGTTATTCTGATAAAATAACTGGTCAGAATATTCTGGTTTATTTTTAATGACAATATTAAGCTAATTTTTCTATTCTTCGCTATTTGATAGAAATCAGGAAGTCACTTCAGCATCTTATTGATTGATTTCTTTCTTTTCTAGATATACAAGAAGAGATGTCCTTCCACTAGGAAAATTTACAGTTAACTTGAGTGGTTGCCCACGGAATAGTACCTTCACAGAACACTTGTATCGAATTATTCAACATCTTGTTCCAGCAGTAAGATGAATATAAATATGTATTATAAACCTAAGCACACTTAAAAAATCCATCTAACTGTCTTTCATTCACTTCAAATATTTAACTTAGAGATTTTAATAGATCTTATTTAAGGGGAAACAAAGCCTGCCAAATTACATAATTTAAAATGTACGTTCCCCTAAACATTTCACTTTTTTTTGTCTTTTTGCCTAAGCACAAATTTCTGTAAGTCTAACAAAACAATTGTAGTAACTCCCTTAAAATTACACTCTCTTGATACCAATTTGTCCAATTTGGTATCCTTTTTGTACACTAAAGTCTTAAATCTAAATAAACTCTAAATTGTAGGAGCATAATTCTTTTAGTTGAGGTAATAAAGTTCTTTATCTCCATTGCCTCAATTTTAATTCCTGTTTGGAAAGTTGAGCTCACTTTATTTGCCAGGGTATCTGGAATGCAGTATTTGCGTGGTGGTAGGATCTTGGGAACAGGGGAATTGCTTCTGATTAGTTGTGTGACTGAAAATACTGATCACTTCTTTGGAAATTGAAGAGGGTGCACTAGATCTTTATTGAACCGAATGTATTCAGTGTCTCAGTGCTAACACTCGTCCAGGCCCTCAAGAAGCAGAAGTGGACTGGAATATACCAGCAGTTCTCAGTCTCCTTAGACTCACTTTACACTCTGAAAAATGTGTTCATACTCAAAGAGCTGTTTTTCACGTTATGATTATATTTATCATTAATTTACCAAACTAGAAGATAAAGTAAATACACCTATTAAAAATAAAAAATTACATATAAATATTTTTATAAAAACAACTTTTCCCAAGCCAAAAATGATTAGTGATAAAGGTGACATTGTTTTACATTCTTGCAAATCTCTTCAATGTCTGGATTAATAGGAGACAATGGATGCTTGTATCTGCTTCTGCCTTCAGTCTATTGTAGTCTCAGGTTTTGGTTGAAGTATATGAAGGAAAGCTGGCCTCACACAGATGGAAAAGTAGATGGTAAAGGAAGGATGGTTTCGATAGCCTTTGCAGATAACTGGGTGGTGGTCTTTGATACTAGACCAAAACTGTCCACATGAGATTTTCTTAAAGATAGTTAAGTGTGGAATCTGAAATCCTATTCGTAAACTTTCCATAGTCTGCTATGGTAAAATTCATTAGTCTCGCACATTGAAAGGATCTTTTATCCATGCATGATTTTGACCTGATTGACCCTGTAAAAGGGTTTAAGCAATTCCCTGGGGGTTCTCGGGACCACATTTTGAGAATTATTGAAACAGATCCTTTGCCCTCACAGAGTTTAGGTAGAAGACCAACAAATAAATTAATACATGGTAGGTCATTTAAGCACCCCTAAGCTCCCCGTTTTCTTAGAATCACTGAGGTAATACACAAAACTCCTCTAAATTTTCGCAATATATCTTACCTCTTCCTTGACAGCCTTCCCCCACCATACCCTCTTCTCCATCCCTGCCACATTGTTTGAGGCTGGAGGGATGGAAGAATGGATTGGTGTATAAGGCAGAGCACAGAGGGTGTTGGGAATGGTGGCTCAAGAGCTGGAGGAGGAGCATAGATGGTTCGCTTACTCGTTAAACACTGAGTGAGAAGGTGCTCGCGTCCTGGAGGCACCTCCTGAGAGCTGCAGGTCCATCCACAGCTCAGTGTGCTCTGCTCCTTGATTTTTCTCTGAAAAGTTTGTTCAAAAATGTCTATGATAAATGAATACAATTTTAACTCAAAGAATATAGAGGAAAATTAAGCTTTTCTCTCCCTGTCTTGAAGAGTAAAATTAACATTTTCTTTTTGCTAGCTAGCTTGTGTTAGGTGAAAGAGGTTAGGTTTTGGGGTATTTAATATTTATATGTCAGTTATCTACCATTTGTTTCATTGGTTAAATTAAAATTGATTTTCAAGAATATTGAACAAGACATTTGAGAATAAAGTAGCTCATAAAATGGATGAAATTCAAATGTAAGATCTAGATACTATTTTTGCTTCTGGAGTTCAAGAAACCATATCACTACTCCCTTAGAAATTTATAAGATCACTTTTTCCATATGAAACACAATGTTTAATTCCAAGTACATATTTTCTTAAAACAGGGAAACTTAAATTCTTGTTCACTAAAAAATTTCTCTTTGCAGTCTTTTCGTCTGCAGATGACTATAGAGAACATGAACCATTTGAAATTCATTCCCCACAAAGACTACACAGCCAATCGCTTGGTCAGTGGGCTCCTCCAGCTGCCCAGCAATACTTCCCTTGTAATCGATGAGACTCTCCTGGAACAGGGGCAGCTGGATACCCCAGGTACGTACATAGATGTTTCTCTTCCATTTCTGACTTCCTTCGCACTAAAGCCAGATCTAGGAATAACTTTTAGAAGAGTATCTATGGACAAATTCACATTTAACAACGTAAGATAAAGGCTTGGCATATGAATTTGATTAAAGCATATGTTATAAACTAATTATATACACCAACTATGTTTTGCCATAGTATTCTGAAAGTAGTACAATGGAACAGATATATATCTTATATAATATATCTTATATAATATATATCATATATAATATATAATGTCTCATTTAATATATATCATATATTATATATTTTATATATTATATAATGGAGCAATAATATAAAGGGTAGTATTAGTATAATGGAGCAGTAATATAAAGGGTAGTATTAGATGTTGAGGGTCGTAAGGGTTCTTTGGTGAAAAGTTTTATTGTGTCAGCGAATGGTTGGAGCAGTCTTTATGGGCCTACAGTGTTGGGTTCTTTTGCGTAGTTGTATATAACCTAAAATTTTTTTTTCAGTGAGTGTAAGGAATGGTAGAGACAGGGTCTCGCTATGTTGCCCAGCTGATCTTGAATTCCTGGGCTCAAGTGATCCTCCTGCCTTGGCCTCCCACAGTGCTGGGATTACAGGTGTGAGCCACTGCACCTGCCCCAAATAGCTTTTTAAAAAGCTGAAATGGGAGGAAGCTTTGCCTTTAGTCATCTAATACCTCAAAAGGGAAGTGTAGAAAAGATCTAATATAATTTTTTTTTTGTTTTGAGACGGAGTCTTGCTCTGTCGCCCAGGCTGGAGTGCAGTGGCCAATCTTGGCTCACTGCAACCTCCAACTCCCGGGTTCACACCATTCTCCTGCCTCAGCCTCCCGAGTAGCTGGGACTACAGGCACCCGCCATCACGCCTGGCTAATTATGTTTTAACCTCCCGTTGTAAAGTTTGTAAATGGTTTTCAGAGAATGTCTGAGAAATAATAGATCAAATGGTTTGCACTAACCTCAGTTGCGGAATATATTATAAAATCACAAGAAAGCAGATTGTTTACCAGTGCTCAAATGAAGACAATTAAGAATACACTGCTGGCGATCAGCTCAAGAGGTAAAGGTAGAAGAAAAAATGAGGTAGACTGGGCATGTTTAAGGCAAAGGGGAATATAAAATCTGTAAAATTCACTAGGCTGATCTATGTATGACGGTAGTTTTAGTGTTTCCTTGGTTTAGCCCTGTAAATACACCACTTAGAAATAATCATACTTGGGAACTATTTTATGTCTAGGTGCATACCAGATGCTAGGTATTAGATTTGCGGGGGTATCGCCTGCCCCCAGAAAGTTCTACCTTGACCAAGACTGTTGTAAGCCTACACACTTAGTGACGTTTAGCTTAGTAAACTGGACAGCGCCTCATACCCTTTATTAAAAGTGGTAGAAACTTCATGGCTCATCATCGGTGTCAGCAAAACTGATGTGTTTAGATGATTAAAGTCAAATGACTGAAAGTGTTTTCCTGCCTTTGTAGGTGTTCATAATGTGACAGCCCTGAGCAACCTCATAACGTGGCAGAAGGTGGATTATGACTTCAGCTACCATCAGATGGAATTCCCCTGCAATATTAACGTTTTCATTACTTCGGAGGGGAGGTCACTCCTCCCGGTATGATGAGTCATTTTTAAATGGAGGGAGGTTGACATTGGAAAAATACCTACATTTTTGCTGTTTCTTGGTACCGCTTATTAATAAGTTACATTTGTTGTAAAAAAAAAAAAAAAAAAAAAAAAAAAAAAAAAAAAACTGTGACTGCTGATCATTAAGGGAATTGAGTATTTTGCACTGCCATGGATGAAAACCTTACATCTACCAAGCTCAGGTATCAGCAAGTCATGAGACCAGCAAGGCTGTTGGCAGCAGAAACACCCACATCTGAGCATAGCGAGATTGCCTGATTTTAACATCCAGACTTCTGTTCTTGCTACCTTTGACCCATTGTTTTCTGCTAATCTTATGTGAAAAATATTTCAGAGTTCTTTTAAAATGTCCTTGGTCACTTGGTAGTTATTTTCATGCTTTGTGGTGAAATGCTCTGGTATGTCTTCAGAGTGGCTGGTAAAGAGAGCTTTTAATTCTGTGGATGATGGGAAATGCTCCCAGTTGTCAAATGGTGTGTAGTCTCTGAATAATAGTATTCACCTGCGATTGATGAGAAACCGCCTTTGACTAAGAATGAAATGGCTCAAGGATATGTTTTCTGTGTGCAAGTATTGATAGACCTTTTTAATTAGCTGCTTTTTAGAGGTTGGCTACATTTTTGTGTGCTTACTGATACCATTGAGGAAACATAAGTAACCAAGAAAAAGCTTTCATAATTATTTCTGAGGTAGTTATAAAGCATGTAAATTAATATTAAAAATAGATGCTCACTGGCTGCGGTGGCTCACGCCTGTAATCCTAGCACTTTGGGAGGCCAAGGCAGGTGGATTGCGTGAGCCCAGAACTTTGAGGCCAGCCTGGACAACATGACGAAACTTGTCTCTACAAAAAATCCAAAATTAGTCAGGCATGGTGGCGTGCACCTGTGGTCCCACTACTGAGGAGGCTGAGGTGGGAGGATCACTTGAGCCTGGGAAGCAGGTTGCAGTGAGCTGCAATCACACCACTGCACTCCAGCCTGGGTGACAGGACAAAACCCTGTCTCACACACAGAAAAAAAAACATTATTCCCTCCCCCTAAATAATAAGTGGTATTTTCTAATTCCCATAGGGGCTGACAGAGATGATGCATCTTTCTTTAAAAATGTAGATTAATTTAGGAACTCAGAAAATACAGTGTACTCCTTCTCTTTTCAGGCAGACTGCCAGATTCACTTACAGCCCCAGCTAATTCCACCAAACATGGAGGAGTACATGAACAGCCTTCTCTCAGCGGTGCTGCCTTCCGTGCTGAACAAATTCCGCATTTATCTAACTCTTTTGAGATTCTTGGAATATAGCATATCTGATGAAATAACCAAGGTATGTCTAGGTTAAAATAAAGGATTTCCCTGTGTTGAATTGCAGTATGCAACCAATTTACATTTACCATAATTACTGATAAGGTAATTTTGTTATTTGTTTTCTGTCATGTCTTTTTTTATTCCTCTGTTACTCCATTATTGTCTTTTTGTTTGAAATAGGTATTTTCCAGTGTCCCATTTTAATCCCTTGAAGTTTCTTAAAGTTATTTTCTTAGTAGTTGTCTTTGGGGGATAAACTTAACATGTTAGTATAATCATCTATTAGGGATTAATGCCAGTTTGTTTAGTTATTTTTAATTTAAAAAAAATTTGTGTGGCTAATGCCATTTTAATTATATTATACAAAGACTTTGCCCCTTTATAATTCCGTTCCTTCTCCTCTCCCTTGTGCTCCTGTCATACAATTACCTCTCAGTACATTGTATGTCCATCAACACATTTAGAATTACTGCTTTTGCAGTTGTCTTTTAGAGAAAAAAGTTAGAAATGGAAAAGACTTCTGTACTATTTTTTCTATTTGCCTATGCAATCACTTTTACCAGCACCCTTTATTTCCTCATGTGGGTTCATGTTACTGTCTAGTATCTTTTCATTTCAGCCTGAAGAACTGTCTTTAGTGTTTCTTGCATGGCAGGTCTACTTGTGCAAATTCTTTTTTTTTTTTTTTTTTTTTTTTGAGACAGGGTCTCGCTGTGTCATCCAGGCTAGAGTGCAGTGTTGTGATCATGGCTCACTGCAGCCTCAACCCCCCCAGGTTCAAGCGATCCTCCCACTTCAGCCTCCTGAGTAGTTGGGACCACAGGCATGTGCCACTGTGCCCAGCTAATTCTTTGTTTTTTGGGTTTTTTTGTTTTGTTTGGGTGTGTGTGTGTGTTTGTGTGTGTGCAGATAGGGGATCTCTTTATGTTGCCCAGGCTAGTCTCGAACTCCTGGGTTCAAGTGATCCTCTCTCCTTAGCCTCCCGAAATTCTGGAATTAGAGGTGTGAGCTACCTCGCCCAGCCCTCTTTTAAGTTTTTGTTTATCTGGGAATGTCTTAATTTCTCCTTAAGGCTAGTTTTGCTGGATGTAGAATTCTTGGTTTATAGTCTTTGTCTCATCATTTCGAATATGTCCTCCCACCACTTTCTGGCCTCTGGTTTCTACTGAGAAGCCAACTAGTTTCTGATAAGGATCCTTTGTACACACTGAGTCATTTTTCTGTCACTGCTTTCAAGATTTTGTGGCTTTTGACAGTTTCGATTATGATGTGTCTATGTGTGGATCTCTGAGTTTATCCTACATGGAGTTTGTTGAGCTTCTTGGAGGTGCAGAATAATTCATATTTTGGGGAAGTTTTCAACAAGTTTGGGAAGGTTTTGGCCATGTTTCTTTCTGCCTCATTTCTCTCTGCTCTCCTTCTGACACTACCACTGTGTATCTGATGTTGCATTTAATGGTATCCCACAGGTCTTCAAGGCTCTGTTCATTTTCCCTCATTCTTCTTTTTTTGTTCTGTTTCTTAGACTAATCTCAGTGAACTTATCTTCAAATTTAGTGATTTTCTTCTGCCTGATCAAATCTGAGCACCTCTAGAGAATTTTTACTATATTTTTCAACTCCAGAATTTTTATTTCCTTCTTCTAAAAAATTATTTCTCTCTTTTTATTGATACTCTCTATTTGGTGATTCTCATATTTTCCTGAAGTTCTTTTTATGTGGTTTCCTTTATTTCTTTGAATGTTTAAAATAGCCAATTTAGAGTCTTTTTGTCTAATGTTTGAGTTTCCTCTGGGACAGTTTTCTACTGACTCCCTTATCCCCAAAGTGTGAGCCATACCTTCTGGTTTCTTTGTACTTTTTTGTTGAAAACCAGACATTTTATTTGGTCAGTGGGGTCTCACTGTATCACCCAGGCTGGAATAGTAAGTAGCACAGCCACAGCTCACTGCAGCCTTAAACTGCTGGGCTCAAGTGATCCTCTTGCCTCAGTAGCTGGGACCATAGGTGTGCACCACCATGCCCAACTAAAGTTTTGTTTTTTTGTTTTTTCTTTTCTTTTTTTTTCTTTCTTTTTTTTTTTGTAGTGATGAGGTCTTGCTTTATTGCCTAGGCTGGTCAACTCCTGGCTTCAAGTAGTCCTCCCACCTTGGCCTCCCAATGTGTTGGGATTACAGGTGTAAGCCACCACATCTAGCCACAACCAGACATTTTAAATTATATAATATGGCAACTCTGCTTTGGAAGTTACTCTGGAAATTAAACCTCCCTAGGGTTTATTGTTGTTGCTGTTTGTTACTGTTGGTAGGTTGTTTAGTAACTTTTTTGACTAATTCTATAAAGTCTGTATCTTTGTCACATGTGGGCACTGAAGTCTCTGCTCTGTTAGTTTTGTGGTTAATGATTGGAAAGAAATTTCCTTAAATGCTGGGTAGTAGTCTCCCAGTCTACGGGTGAATAATAATCATAAATAAAAATAAAAGTTGGGGCAAGCCCTCAGTTCAACACTTAGCCATGCAATTTACAAGCCTTAGCCTTCATTTCCTGCTCGCACAGAGCCTCCAGGTCATGCAGAGGTGGGAGCTATGGTCTCTGAGCATGTCTGCAGCCTTCTGAGTTCCTAGGAGTTACATACTTAAGGTTTTCAGAGCCCTCTACAGACATGTCATTTCCCAGCTAGCTTTTCCATTGAAGGGTTTGGGTTAGTCTGTCTGCCGCAGCTGTTACCCAGTGTCTCAGGTAGCTAAGGTGATTGGTAATTTCTTCCGATTGTTTTTGATAAATGCCCTGGGGAAAGAGGTGGTTCATAGTAGACAGGCTTCCAGTCAGGTTAAATAAAGACAACCTTGCAAATGGGTCCTTCCAGGGAGCCACCAGACAGGTGGTCAGATGACAGTTCTCCGGGAATGGCACTTGGAAGGAGCCCTAGCCCTGTTCTCTCTCCGGTGGCTGCCAGGCTGTTGATTTTTGAAGCTACTAATTATCGCCTGGAGGGGAAGGGGTTGGAATTTAGGAGTAGGACATGTTAAAATGCTGCCAGGCTCAACATTCTTACCAATAATCACCTGGTTTTCTTGCATAAATGCTCTCTGGATTGCTGCAAGTATGGTTTTATTTCTAGTTTTTAAAAAGCTGATTTTGATCAGTGTTAACAGTAGAGACAGTTTTCTGCGGTCCCTTCTCTGCCATTTTCACTAACATCACTCTTCCTTTGTGGAAAAGCATTGTTTCCTATGCCAGTTGCTGATTTATATGTTTGCTTGACCTTAAATGAATCTGAGTTTCATTATTTTATTTTCATCAGCAGCATTATGTATGTATATGCTTTGGTACTTTCACCCATATTGCCTCCTTTGTCTAAGAGGCTGACATGCACCTTACTACATCAGTCAAGGAACCATGTTAATTTTCTTTTCCTTACAAAAATGCACATCATTTACATTTACTCTTTTGATAAAGGCAGTTGAAGATGACTTTGTGGAAATGCGGAAGAACGACCCTCAGAGCATCACTGCTGATGATCTTCACCAGCTGCTCGTGGTGGCTCGGTAAGTGGCGCACGTCCATTATTGCTGTTTCGGTAAGCTTGTGTATATGTCTTCTGAGTTATTCAGCAGTAACTGAGGCAGAATTCTAAAAACGGAAATGAACTTTTCCTTTTAAAAACGCTGTATGAAAGGGCTCATTGAGGGGGAATCGAGTTTGGCTGGTGATCTCTTCAGTGGAACAGGCATGCTGCTTGTTCTCTAAGCTTCAAAGAGTGAGCCACTTTCCAATTCTGACTCTTCAACGATTTCTTTTTAGAAGCCTAACTTGGCTGTTGACTTGTGTGTAACTACCATACGGTCTTGTCTCCTAACGTGCTCTGTGTTTTCACAAAGTATTCCTAGGTCTTAAAAAAAATTTAAAACTTACTATCCCAGCTCTAGACTTAAATTTGTTTCTGTGTTTCAAACCAGGTGTCTGTCTCTCAGTGCTGGTCAGACAACGCTGTCAAGAGAACGATGGCTGAGAGCAAAGCAGCTAGAGTCTTTAAGAAGAACGAGGCTTCAGCAGCAAAAATGTGTGAATGGAAATGAACTTTAAAGATGTAATACCTATGAAGAGTAATGGGCAAACTGTAGCCACATAATTGTAAAATTCAGATATTCATTTATACCACATTGTTTTATAGGTAATTTCTATCACAAACCAGTGACATTTCCTGAAATCAAGCCTGGTAACACCTGATGTTTATATGATATTCAGTAAGGACTTTTACCTTACTGATTTCATGGAGCTTTTGAAGTTTGTTTTATAATAATTATATAAATTAGTAATGATGTAAAAAAAGTATTTGATATTAAAAGTTTAATATTGATAATGTTGCTGATTGTACCATTTCCTTAGCTTCAGCTGAGTCATAGGCCAGACTGTTGAAATGCTGAAATGAAGAAGGTTGTTGCAGTTTCAAAGTCAGAGGAATCGTGCTTCGGATTTCTTATGTTTTCTAGTTCTCTGTTTTTCCAGTTCACAGTGGGTTGGGGTGCATTCAGTAGTCCATCTTTGGGGAACGGAGGCGTACTTGCCATTGATTCACATGACTACATGAAATTCTGTACTGTCATTTCCCAGATGTTTGGCCACAGAAACTTTTTCCCACTTAACATTTGTTAACAGCCTGCAAAACTAAACTTGTACATGGCAGTGGTTCCCAGACTTTTGTATTTTATGGACCGGTAGTAATATTTCCAAAAATCTGGGGTACTATAAGGTTGCCAATTTACCTTGCCAAGTAATCCGAATAAATCACTGTATTATCACCATTTTTTTCATAAAAGGAAAGGACAATCTATCTCTGAATAAGAGGAGTCCTTTAAACGGAATGAATGTGGCTTTTGGGGGCAAAAGAAACCAAGACACTACATTGTCTTTATTTTCTCCTATCCCAGTGCATTTGAGAACCATGCATAAGGGAATGCTGTGCTACAAAGCTGTGCCCAAATATGAAAACAAAATAGGAAACTTAAAAAGCAATACCCCCTTTAGAAAGTTTTTATTTTCTTAAATGTCATTGAGTTGCTTTGATTCTATTGGATTTTTGGCATTTTTTATGGGATCATCAGTTGGTTCCAAGTATGTTAGATCAGCTAACATCTGCTACTCCAGTAACAGCCTCGTACAACTGCAGGTAGGTTTTCTCCAGACCAATTAGTTTTAATAGAGCAAACTAACAACAGACTGTAGTAGCATGGTTATGGCAACCAGAATCTTCAGAAAGGTTAGGACATTACTTTTTAAGCTGTCAGTGGTATCAAATAACTTACCTAGTTGGAGGCAGATAAAGGATCCCTTACGTTTTTTCCTATAAGGCCTAAATTGAAATTGTTAACCAAGGAAACAGGGTCAGCCTTGAAAAATCAAGGAATTCATTGTACCTAATAACTGAAGTAAAAATAACTAGTTGTTCAACTTTTCCTAAACTCAAATCTATTTTTATAAACAAATGTAAATAATGTTTATATTAGAGTTGAACTGGTTTTCATTTTTATAACTGGTAGACTAGACCTTCCTTAAACTTTTAGAAATAAAATGAAGGCTTCACTGGATTTGTGAGGATAAAATACATTTTCTTTAATTGTCCTAGAGCAAAGTACATTAGTCACCATGTGTTTTTTGTGCCAATGTAAATTGTAATTTACCAAAGAAAAATACATACATTGCTTGGTCTTGCAGAAAAGTTCCCTTGAAAGAACCTTTCCAATAAATAAAACGTCCCAAATTAGCAGTACCTTGGGCTGTTTTTCATGAGTAAGAAGATTCACCATCCCATGTGATCTGTGTGGAAAAAGACCATGTCCTCTTGGTGGAAGACATGAGAGAGCTGAACTGAAGTGGAGGAGGTGGTGCAAGAGGGACCTTCCTGCTCAAGGCCCGCCCAGGCAGCGGAATGGAGTGCAGTGCTTGGCTGCAGAAACCCTTTGTCCCTCACCTATATATACACGGACAGTCAAGTTTGTTGCTCTAACGTAAGGCACAGCGTTAATCCTGTATGGCCAGGAAACTGAGTAGACTCCTGTGTAACCCTGTTTGGAACTTTGCCTTCTTAAAATGATTTTTCAAAGATCTCTTTCGAACTAATTTCTGTAGAGTTTAAACGTGTATTTTATCACCTAATGTTGGGTTGTATTTTCTCCCATGTTGGGAACCCTTAATATTTTCAGGACCCGGAAGAAAAGTTGGTAGAAGCAAGCATTCAGTTTTGAATGTTTGGATTTAAAGTATAGTTTCTGATCCATTTCCCTTTTTACATCATGAGTATATTTCAAAGGAGTAACATACTGGCAACAGCTAGACCAAGTGTTCAGTTATAGCAAATCTGCCGTTTACAAATTCTTTAATCTGTTATGCAAGGAATTCTCATACCCATTTGTCACTTTAAATTACAATGGTACTTTATTTTAATAATCACAAGATTTAACACGTAAAAAAAAAAGATAGCACTAATAAATAACAAAAGTGGAATGCTTATCAAAGTAACGACATAATGTTCAGTTGAGAATCAGTCACTTCAACAGAGTAAAGCTCTAAAGACACCAGACGAACCAATACTTGTTGGAATATGCCATACAACTTTCTTACTGTGGGGATTACAGGGGCAGCCCTGGTTCTGTGTGGTCAGAGTTATAGTCAGACAGATTCAGCACAATTGTGTTTCAGACTAAATTGTTTTTGAGACACGGTCTTGCTCTGTCCCCCAGGCTGGAGGTCAGTGGCACGATCACAGCTCACTGCAGCCTCAATCTCATGGGCTCAAGCAATCCTCCTGCGTAGCTAGAAACACAGGCATGCACCACTATGCCCAGCTAATTTTTGTATTTTTTTGTAGAGACAGATGTTTCCCAGGCTGGTCTCAAAACTCCTGGCCTCCCAAAGTGTTGGGATTATAGGTGTGAGCCACTGCACTAGGCCCAGACTAAATTTTGAAGTTGTGGATCATCTACATAAGATGTCGAGGATGCCCCTCCTGGAATAAATTAAAACCTGACTGACTTCTAGAATTTCCAGTAGCCAATATGGGTGTTCTTACATTCCTGAAAACAGCAAAATGAAACCTAATAGGTGCTGGTATTCACCTCTGATGTATCAGGTTTACTGTGTGACAAGTCTTAATGCTCCTAGGTTTACATTGTATAGGCAGCAGAGTATTTTTAATGTGTTCAAGTAGAATACGGGGAAAATTAGGATCAAATGAGAATTCATTTCTCTAGTGTCAATAACCCTCAACTCCTCAGGGAACAGTTAAGCCATCAAAACTAAAATAGCTTTATATTCAAATGCTTCAGTAACATGTTAAAGTCACTAAAAACTAAATGTGTAATTTACTTTGTAGAGGTAAGAACACACAGGAATGAACTGACAAACAGAACAAATTATGAAAAACGCTAATCCCCTAAGCATCTGCATGTCCAGCCCTTGTGTCTACTGTAGTCTACCCACCCCACTCCAAAAAAAGGTTCAGGTTATATCCCAAAGTGACCTGTTGCTGAATTACTTTCAAATAAGCAAAGTGCTCTGTAGTGTATAAGCTACTCAGGTCTACACATTCTAGAATGATGCACTTCTGTAGTCCTGGCTGTAAAATTTGGAAATCTACTCAGGTTCCGACTCCGTTTAAAACCCTTTCCAATGAACAGAATTTGTGATCCCTGGGTTCAGACAGTACAATTAAAATACCCCAAGAGGTGAAAATTTCATATTTTTAAATAAAAGCCATGGAAGGATTCTTATGGCTAAAAGCTAAATCTGAATTATCCGTGTCTGGCATTGTATAAACATCTTTTTAAGTTCATTTTGCTGGACTTGATTAATGATTTCAGGTTCTGGAGGACTCTTCTGAACTTTTGACACTGCAAAGTTTATCCCATGGGTTAATCCAGCTTGGGTAATACTAGCAACCTGGACCATGGAACTTCGAATCTTGGCAAAGGGAGAGACTGCTCTGCTGCTACTGCTCTCTGAAGGAGAAGGAGTTACATGAAGCCCTGTCTCAAGTTCAAGCATGCTGGAAGCGGAGGTGGGGGTTTTTTGAGATGCAACTGAATGCGCTGGCTCAACTGACAAAAACTGTGGGCCTGTTGCAGAAAGAGAGACATCTAATTGCGATGGCCGAGAAGGTGTCTGTTCTGTTGATTCTGATTGGGTTTCATTTGAAACTTGATTGGTCATTTGATTTCTTTCCTGACTAGCCTGCTGAGACACAGATCTGGTCTCTGATAGGTGGGTCACTTTGTTCTGTGCATCTTGCACAAATCTGTGGCAGTAAATATCCATAGGCTTGGCAAAGCCAGTCAATATGTGTACGTCGCCAGCAGAAGGACTTTTCTTCAAAGGAGACTCCTGGCCTTTTCCAAGCCCACTCCCATGAGCAACAGTAATCTCTGAAGGAGCATGAACGCTACTATCTGTGCTGCTAAGAGACTGGGACCGACTGCCCAATCGAGGCGCTGAGGCAATAATACCACAACTAGGAAGAACGTAATCTATTGGCCCTACACTCTCTAATGAGTTAGCTAGCTGCCTGTCTTCATCAGACTTAGAATTTGTAAGGAATTCATCAGAGTGGTATGAGTCATTATCTGAAGACATGTCCCCATCAGACTCTGCCTGAACCTTATCCATCACTCCTGTGTTTTCCATAGTTTCAAGACTACTATCTGATTTCCAAAGATTTACTTTTAAGTTTGGTTTTAGAAAGTTAACTTTCATTTCAGGTTTGGTAAAGTTTCCTAGCTTTCGGAGGTTGCCAATATTTACATTGGATTTGGTCTGCTTCACTTTTTGATTTAGAGATGAAAATTTGCTCATTAAAAAATTCTTTCCCTGGGCCAAAGAACCTTGGTTTTGAGACCTGATACCAATGATGTCTTCGTGAGGTTTACTGCTCTTCCTACAAATTAGAAGAGAAAAAAAGTTAATTCCCCATGGAATCCAATATGCCAGTTCCAGTTATTAACATAAGTGAAAACAGTTATTCAAATTGGTCCCAACTTCTTGAAAACAGTGCATTGCTAACTGACAGATAACCCTCAGAGTTGACATTAAAACAGTGCTATCCAATAGAAATATATGAAATACATGCATAATTACAATTTTTCTAGCAGCCACATTAGAAAGCAGCAGTGAAATTAGCAGCATTTCATTTAACCCAATATATACAAAATATTTCAACATAAAAATATTAAAAGATGATTAATATTCCTTTTTGGACTAATTCAATATAGGCAATGTGTGGTGTTCTATAATTACAGCACACCTGAATTCAGCCTAGTCGCATTCTAAAAGGCTTCACAACCACATGTGGTGAGTGGCTACCATTGTGAGCAGTGCGGGTCTAGCACAGCCACCATCTGTACAATCAGCAAAGACATCTCTGACTGTAAATGGGAATCTGCAGCACCTTAACTAAGGTTATCTATACACATCCCAGTGTGGCTCAAATTCAGATAGTGGGGGGAGACAGGAGTAAGACTTCCATTTTCTTATATGTCCTGTGGGTTACCTGATTTTAAAAGATTTGGGACATTTAACAATTAGTGTCTTCTCTCCTTTGGTATCCCTCATGACAGCTATAAATAAGAAAGAAAAGTTGATGCTATTTGCCACAAATGTCTCAGTGTGTGCATTTGTACTGTTGGATCATGCAAGATCACTGATCATGAGCATACTGCAGAAAAATTATGGGTTAAAGTAATTCTTTAACAAAAGCCTGAACAATTTTCTTCCGGCCAAATGGCTCTCTTCACTAGCAGAATGTGGACCACAAAACCTGACAGATGCTCATTAGAAAGAAAAGCCACACTTTTTAAATATGAAATAATCTGTTGATAGGCATTCTTTTTCCAAATTCAAAAGCCTAGTGTTTAAAACATACTATTTTCTCTACAAAGTATTTAGAAAAAATTTCAATGTTTCCTCTCATCAGTTTACTTAGGAGTTAAAAATGTATCACTTGTGGCCACGTGAGTTGTGTCAAGGATGGCAAAATCCTTGCAGGGCCCTTGCTCTCAGACCGGTTCTCTTGGCAAAATACCACCTACGTAAATACTTGTGGAGACAGTCAGTGTTACTCTGTATCAAAACTTTTAAACACACCTAGAGGGATATCCTAAGCATATTTTAAATGCCATATCACTCAAGATAATGAAACTCTGGGTCTTCAGAGTTTTTCTTGAAACTGAGGATAAGCAATAACCTTTGTATGGCACTGTTAGGGACAAGTGAAATACCCACATCTTTTAATCCAGATTCACAACCTGAGGATGCTATTCTAAAGAAATCATCCTAAACATGAAAAAGTAATACATGACAAAGGTATCTGTCATGACTTCTTTATAAAAGGAAAAAATGCTTAGCAACCAAAATTCTTGGCAATTGAGTTTAATAGCTGTGTGCCAGGTCTGAGTGCGTTATTCAGTTCATGCAATGCACTGACATGGATTTTCTCTCATCTTACAGATAACAAAACTGAAGTAAAGGAGTATGTTTTCCAAGGTTAAAGAGTAATTGATAGAACCAGGAGTCTCAGAGTCCATGTTCTGAACCCACACAATACATTTCCAAACTGATCACAGGAGGCATCTATTTAAATGGTAGTTATGAATTCTACAGTAATGTGGAAAATGCATAAAATACAATCTTTGGCAATAAAAGGTTATTAATCTGTATAGGTTAAAAATGTGTACAAGAGGCTGGGTGCAGTGGCTTTACAGAAGAATTCCAATTAACAAGTGTAGAAGGAATGAAAATTAGAAAAATGACCATAGATCATGACAGGAATAATTATTATAGAAAAGATCCACAATGGTTATGAAAATGAATAGTCTTAGGTTTACACAGAAACAATATTTACATAGTCTCAAAGTAATTTCCCCTAAATATTTAGCAATTATAAAGAGGAAAACACAAAGTTTGCAGTGCAGAATCCTGGCAGATGCTACCCCAGCCAAGTAATCAAGCTTAACCTCAACAATACTACACAGGCCATCACGCCCTCCCTCCCCACAGCACGAGGCACTAAGAAGTGCACGTGGCTTCTGTGGTGTCCTTCCTGACCATGCATAACCTTAGCTTCATCAGGAAAGAACACTGGACAAACCTACATGGAGGGATGTTCTACAAAACAGCTGACCAGTACTCTTAAAAAATGTCAAAGTTATGAAAGAAAAGACAAGATTGAGGAAATAACATTAAACTACAGAGACAACTAAATGCAGTGTGGAATCCCAGACTGGATCCTGGAACAGAAAAAGGATGCTAGTGAACACCTAGTGAAATCTGTACTTTGGTTAATCTTACCGTGCCAAGGTTACTTTCTTAAGTTTTGATAAATGGTCTATGGTTATAAGTCGGTAATATAAAGGGAAGCCGAAGGAAGAGTACATGGAAACCCTCTAAACTACCTGTGCAACTCTTCTGTAAGTCTAAAACTTACCTGAAAATTGTATACATGAAGAATGTTGAAAGTATTTTGATCTGCAGAAATTTGATCCTTACCTCTCTAAATACCAACACCTTACCATAATGTGATCTCCTCCCCTTTCCCCCTGCAAATAATTTTAAACAAATAAGACCTTGGATAAGAATGCCTTTATTCTTGAGAGAAGCAGTATACTCACCTCTCAAGTTTCTTCTCAATTATGGGTAAATCCGATCCCATGGCTTGCTTGGTGATCTGCAGCATCTCTGCAATGCACTGAAGGGTATCTGCAACCCAAATATAACTGCCTGCCAATTTCTCCATAAACATACTAAAAAAAATAGCAGTTCTAACCCATTTAGCGCTGAATGAAATTTGTCGTCGTATAATTAAATACAAATTTATTTGCTTCGATTTATAGAAAACTGCCACCTGTTCACTAGTCTCCCCCACTTAATTCACAATGTTCTAACATTTTAAAAGAACAAAAGCAAAAGAATGAAATCGGGGAATAAAAGTTTGTTCTAGTTCATGTTTGTTCAAGCACTGTGACAGATGCCAAGGCAACAGCCATGAATGAGACAGGCATGATTCCTACCTGCTACAAATGAAAAGAACATGACATGTGAAGAGCCTTGACACCCATACGATCACTGATGGGGCCAAACTCCCTGAGAATCCCCGCTAAAGATTCCCTTGCCCCAGACTAAATAATACATTCAGATAATTTCCCTGGGTTGCTGGAAACAGAGTTGCTATTTCAAGGTCTCATATTCCAAAGCTATTCCCTGGACCCTCTCTCATTCAGTTGGTTATGATATGAAATGTCCCCAATTCCATTTGGGCTTTTAAGAATAAATAGAAAGTTTTCACTGAATACTTTCATCTCTTCCTCTTTTTACCTTTTCCATCCTCTTCAGGATTACGCATTACAGCTCGCAATGTGTGGAAATAGCCACTCGCTTCTTTGTATCTGTAGTGCAGTCGCATGCAGGAGAACTTTGGCTTACCAAAAAGAGTGGGTTCAGGGCCTAAAATCCCAAATGAATACGTATAAAGTTAAATGTTTCACATAACATTTTCTTCTATTATCTTAAAAAGACCCAACACATTTTTCTTCATAATATAAATGACAGCACACAAAATACAAACTTCTGGTGACCATTTGGTTTGATAAGGCTAGAAGAACTCTTTCAATTTCAATCATTTAAGCTTTCTTGATCCCTGGGGTAATCTTCACAAGGTAAATAATAAAAGGAACACAGTTATTATGATAAGACCATATCTATCACTAACCTATAATGAATAGAAAGGAAGTTCTAAGAAGTAGACAGCTTGGAATATCCCTTTCTGGTTTCTAACAGATGTTATACTGGTCTCCAAATTCCACTGTAAGAAGAGCCGACATTTCTGCCTTAGGATTTCATACCTATTCCCTAGACCTCATCAAAATGCTACTAACAACAAATGGAAAATAATAGTGAAGAAAAGCATTTGTAGGTGAAACTTAAACCAGGTTCTTGCTTAAATAATTTGACCCCCTCTTGGAAACAACAGCATTTGCTTTTGATGACTTGATTAGTATGTTAAAACTTACCTATTTCAATTTTTTCCAGGTTTTCTAGACTTAGTCGTTGATACTGGTTTACTTTATCAACTTCATCATCATAACTAGATAAAAGGAAATGAAGTTAAAAGAGGATTTAAATCAAAAGCATATTTGGCTTGTCAGGGAAGGCATAATAGCTGCAAACTGTTACATACAGTTAACAAAATCTTCCACAGCACATACATTCTGGGGTAAAATGTTAAACATAAGAACTCTGTTAAAAATTAAACAAGAATAACATATATATAGTTCAACAGCTAAGGGAAAATAAGTTTACACATCTAACAGTTAAAAAAAGCAACTACGGCCAGGCGTGGTGGCTCACACCTGTAATCCCAGCACTTTAGGGGGCCGAGGCGGGTGGATCATGAGGTCAGGAGTTCGAGACCAGCCTGACCAACACGGAGAAACCCCGTCTTTACTAAAAATACAAAATTAGCTGGGCGTCGTGGCAGGCGCCTGTAATCCCAGCTACTCAGGAGGCTGAAGCAGGAGAATCACTTGAACCCAGGAGGAGAATCACTTGAACCCGAGAGGCGGAGGTTGCAGTGAGCAGAGATCATGCCATTGCACTCCAGCCTGGGCAAAAAGAGCGAAACTCCATCTCAAAAAAAAAAAAAAAAAAAAAGCAACTACAAGGTTAAAATATTTTAAGTTTTATAAAAACTCATATAAAATGAAAACAAACCTAAAACCTAACTTACAAGGCAAACACATGCGCGCGCGTGTGCACACACACACAGAGCAAGAGACGGAGGGAGGCAGAGATGAAGGGAGGGAGAGAGAGAGAGGAGGGAGAAAGACAGAAAGAGAAACAAACTATGTATTTGGGAACAATACAGCTGTTAAATCTGATATCCAAAATCGAGAATGAAAAATCCATATGATATATGCCAACAGGCATCTGGGCAAATGACTAAAAAACAATAGTTTACACAAAGCCAAAAATAAATTGAATATTTACTTAGTAAATACAAATTAGAACAATTCTGGTAAGGTGTGAGGAAACAGGTGCTTGTATTTTGCTACTAGCACTGTTCATTGAGAGTCTTTCTGGAGATCAATCTGACAACAAACCACAAAAGTCATAATTCATCATACCCTTGTAACCAAAGAAGTGCGCAGGCACATGCACACACACACACACACACACACGTTATTGCATAAAGACAACTGCATCATTGGTAGTAACAAAAAATTGTAAGTAATTTAATACCTAACAGTGAGGAAAAACTTCACTATAGTAATGCAAACAATGATACGTGGTCATTAGTGATAAAAACGTATGGAATACATCAAAACCTGGGAAATATATAGGAAATAACACCAAATGCCAAAAGAATACACTATAACATAAACATACTAATTTAACTGTAAAATCTTGCTTTCAAACCGATAAAGATAAAAGGAAGTTAGAATGACGTAACAGTTATATAAGGTAAAGGGGTTCAATGAAGTTTCATAAAATACATAACAAAACCATATTCTCACATTTTTTTGTTACGAATTCTAAAAAGAAAATTTACTCAAGTTTAAAAAACAAAATCAAAACCTTTAAATCAATAAGCAACTTACTAGGCCACGTAGTAGGCAGAGTTAGAAAGCAGTAACAGCACATCCACGTCTCTGTGAGTAGCATCAATGAGGCTAAACAAATATGACACAGGAGATTAAGTATTTTCATTTCCATCTGCATTTTTTGCCAAGCATATTTCTACAGCAGAGCTACTTAGGACAAAAAATTGGCCAGGGGGAGGGAAAAGAAGAAGGTAATCAATGAGTTCTACTGCAGTTAGATGTAATACAATCTATCCATTTGGACAGTCTTTAAAAAACAAGGAAAAGCAGATGTGGGAAGTGAGGGATGGAGCGTAGAGAAAGGCAGCCAAAGGAGGAAGGAGTCCCTCAGGAAATGGGATAATTTGAGGTGGGGGACTGGTGGTATTGGAGGATGATAGAGAAGCAGTTAAGGGAAGAAGAAAGAAATACGTGAGAGTGAGAAGGGAGAAATCATCTAAACTATCTCACATTATCTAATCTTCAAAATAACACACTATACATTCAGGATATCTTTACATTCATGTGGAAGGCATCTTTTGAAAGACTTTTACATTAATACAGTATTTATGTGCAAAAATGGAACAAGTCCAAGCTACTTTTGCATTTTTGTCATTATAGATTATTTGGCTTTCAATAAACAAACACTTCCTTATTCCATTTTGCCATATTTATACCCATTCTAAAATCAATGATGAAAACAAGAATTAGAATCCAGGTAGTGTTCATGAACCATGAAACCAAAACTACAGTAAAATGTACATCCTTGTAAAATTACCAATAAGAAAATTCTTAAAGTATAAAATCTACAAATAATTAACAACACAGGCAGAATCTGAATTAAGGTGAAACTTTTAGTCTAATATTAATCTAACAATAATAGCCTTTCCAGCAAAAGAGAGATGTTTCTGCATTCTTATGCTGGTCTCCAAATTCCACTGTAAGAAAGCCGACATTTCTCCCTTGGGATTTCATACCTATTCCCTAGACCTTATCAAAATGCTACTAATAACAAGCAGAAAATAATAGTGGAAAAAAAATTTATTAAATCTGCGTAAGAATGAGGTCATTGTTTAACAGGTACTGCAGGGAAGGATTTACCATAATCTTAAACTGCAGTTTTTTACATCAGAGACACCTCGTTGTAGCTTGAGTCCAACAGTCTTAATCTAAAACAACAAATTCACCTCAATTTGCACGTACAATAATATATCAAAAAATACAGCAAATGACATAATGAGATGCCAAGACCGGGAACACACAGATCGATTCTAGGAGCCAAAATCTGAGCATTAACCAATTAACCAATGGGAAAAGGAGACCGATCCAGACAGCTTCATAGAGAATAATACCAAATAACACTGTAAAATGTTAAGTTTTACGCGTTGATACTTACGTGCACTCTGAAAATTGTTGCTTGAGCCAAGCCATAAAAATTACGTCATGACACATTTTAATATGAAATAAATTCTACTACTAATTACAGTGTTACTTTCATCCTAGCTCCTATTTTGGCATTAATATTTACATCAGCCAAACATGATCCCCAGTCAAAAACATTATGTCCTTAACAAAAAGCACTTGGCACGTAACAGGCAGTCGGAAAATGTCAACCCTCCCCCCACCCCCAATTTTACTGAAGTCTTAGCTGCAGTAAATATTTAATTCCCTCCCCACCCACCCTTCCCCTTTAAAAAAAAAAAAAAAAAAAAAAAAAGCACGTTCAATACGAACAAGAAACAAGACAAAAACCCTTTAGGTATTTCCCCACCCCCCACGTCTGCAGCTCTGAAGAAGCTGCTCTATTCGTTTTTGTTTTCCCGCCACTGGGGCAAGCCCTCCTTCCACACTATGAAGACGAAAATTGCCAGCACCACATGAAGCCCGACCACTGCAACAATGGTCGCATAAAAGCCGCTGTCTTCAGGGGACATCAACATCAGACTTTGGAAAAGAAGTAATTTGCAGGAAAAATATAACCCCACAGGAACTTTAACCATAAGCCCTGCAAAAAGGAGAAAAATCTTGAAAGTCATAGCCACAACGCCCTCAGACTTGGGCTCGGCTGCTGCGGCAGTGGCAGCCCGCTGCGCGGTAGGCGGAGGCCTGTGAGAGCGCGGCATCGTCAGTCAGTCCGTCCGTCTGTCCGTCCGTCGATGCCTCGAGGCTCAAACAGCTGCCTGCACCCAACCTCGCGCCTGCAGCGAATGCGGCGAATGCGGCAACTGCGACGCGGCAGTGCCAAGTCACGCCCAGGGGACACGTCTAGCTTCCGGACGCCCACTTCCGTCCTCGGCTGGCGGCCAGTGCGCATGCGCGCTCCATCCTGCGCATCCTACGCCTACCAACGAGGGCACAGACCCCGGCCCGGCGGGGGAGGGGCGCCAGGGTGGCCACTCCCGCGAGAGTTCGCTGGCGCCTTCGCCTTCGTCAGGGACAGTGCCTGCGGCTGGAGGGGGGCGCTGGCGGGCCGGGCGAGGGTACTGCACCGAGCGTCTGGCCCCTAGGCCATCGCATGCCTAAGAGACAGTGGCTGCCGCGTGCCTGGCCACTCCATTACCACTGCTGGACCGGGCAGGCGACCTGAGCGCACGGAAGCAAGTCGAAGCAAGTTGGGAACACCACTTGGCTTAGCGGAGAGGCGAGGCGGGCCCTGCAGGTCCGTGGTTTCCTCTCCAGTCTCAGAGCCTCTTTCCCGCTGTCGATAGAGTCGGGGGTTTCCTGCGATAACGGGCGGGAAAGGACAAGAAAGGCAGAGAGGTCGGCCCTGGCCACGATGGAGTCTGTCTAAGGTAGCCCGGACAGAGCTGCGCTCAGCCTTGCATGGGAGAAGGGCCAGGACAGGCACGGGCGTGCTGGACAGTTCCCGGTTTCTAGTTCTCTGTATCCGGCGACCAATGCCCTAGGCCGCGACCCCGCAGCCAGGCCTACTTCCCTGCTGGGACTGCGCATTTCCAGAATGCTTGCCTGTTTTTCCACCAGATATTTAAACGCAGCTGGGACTGCAGTGAGGTGAGTGAGGTACTGGTCTCTGGTACAGATTTTAAAGGGTGTCATTAATTTTGTCAACAAGACAATTGGTGCAATATTTTTTAAAATCAAAATTAATGCAAAAATATGATAAATATGATGGACAAAGCATCAAACATTTAAGATAGAATACATCCCTGTAGTTGCATAATCGTACCTCACTCACTTGACCCTAATCCCAACCCTGTTCCCAACAAAACTTTATTTACAAATCAACAACCCAATTAAAAACTTGGCAAAGCGTTTGAATACATGTTTTTCCAACTAAGACACAGAAATAGCCAACAAGTACAAAAAAAAAATCCTTAACATCGTTTGTCATCAGGGAAATGCAAATCAAAACCACAATGAGATACCACTTCACACTAAGTAGGATGACTGCATTTAGAAAAAAAGGAAAATAAGTGTTGGCAAAGATTGGAGATATTGGAACCCTCCAAACTGGAATGTACTGAAATACATTGCTGGTGGAAACGTAAAACGGCGTGGCCACTGTAGAAAATAGTTTGGCAGTTTCTCAAAAGTTAAACAGGATTATCAGATAATCTGGCCATTTCCACCCAAAAGAACTATTTAATAGAGACAGGTGTTCAAATGAAAACCTGTACACAAATGTTCATAGCAGCACTACTTACAATGGTTAAAATGTGGAAATAACCCAAATGCCCATCAAGAGAAGAATGAACAAAATGTGGTCTATAATGAAATACTATTCAGCTACAAAAAGGAATGAAGTTCTGACACATGCCACAACATGGATTAACCTGGAAAACATTATGCTAACTGAAAGCAGCCAGTCACAAAAGGCCACGTATTATATTATTCCACTTGAATGAAATGTCTAGAATACGCAAATGCAGAGACGAAGTAGATTAGTGGTTGCTTAGGGATGGTAGTGTGGAGGGTAAGGAAGTGACAGCTAAAAAGTACGGGGCTTCTCTTTGTGGTGATGAAAATGTCCTAAAATTGACCATGGTGATGGCTGCACAACTCTGAATATACTACAAACCACTGAATTATATATTTTAAATAGGTGAATTATATGGTATATGAATTATATGTCTCAATAAAACTGTTTAAACACACACACATATTCCAGGAGTGGATGGTTCAGGCAGGCAGTGAGAGCAAGTCCCCAAGTCTGGGAGCTGAGCCTTCCGCTGCCTGGCTCTCCAGAGACCCGCAACCCCACTTCCACTTCCAGGGCCACCTCTTGTCCTCCACCAGGAGCCTCTGTTCTGGGTCAACATCTCCAGCTGAGCTGATGGACTGTACAGAGGTTCTATAGCAAACTCGGCCCAAGAGCAGGTTTCCAAATCTCTCATCAAGAGAAAGGGGAACAGAGCACCACTAGGAAAATCTTTAAGCCTTGCAGTAAGTGGAAGAAAAATATCGGTGGCAAATTCAAAGAAATCTCAGCAGTATTATTAGCAAGAATCACACCCACAAGACAAAGACATGCCTGTACAAAGAGGAGTTAATAAAGAATTCTGTAATCTAGATGGAAACGCAATAGTTACTTTGAAAACTCAAACAGCACATGACATCCGCTGTCCACCAAGAGTAATCCATAATCCACGGAAGAGGAAAATGTAGGAAGAAGGTAACAGTTCTCTATTTGAAAAAGCATCACCTCTAGAAGAAAAGAAAACACTTGAAAACCATTCTGAGAGCCAGCCCCTGCTCCACCTCCTCCAGCTAGCTCCTCCTGTGCCCCAGCCTAAACCCCTAAACCACCTGGCTCTCCAAAAGGGGCTCACAGTGGAGCCAGCCACAGGGACATTAAGTGCCTTCCATTAGAAAAATACCAAGACTCCTGGTAGGCAGGCCTCATCCTGCTACGCAAGCCAACAAGGAAAACATGACCTGAGAAGCTGTTGGCTCCAAAGTATTGGCTTCACTAGCTCCTACATCCACCTCATCCTGTCCCCAACCTTCAAAGGAACAAGTTTCTAGCAAAACGTTAACCACGGGGACCACCAACAGCAAGGAAAATCTAGCAAGCGGCCAACACCTCAACCATTGTGAGATGCAATCAGTCTGGCGTGGTGAGCTTTAGAGGAGATCTTTCCGGAACAGAGTGGAGAGTCTCAAAATTTAGCAGCCATGCCTGTCTCCAAAGAGCAGACCACACACAAATTCCACAAGTCAGTGACCCTTGTGTCCTGTGTTCTACCTCCTCCTCTTGACAATTAACACGTCATTCCCTCAGACACTCCTGCTGTCCTGGTTAGTGATGGAGCTCCCCTGCCCATCTCTGCCTTAGACCCAAGTCAGCTTCTCTGGACTGAAGAGCCAACAGACAGAACCACTCTGCATCAGACACTGGTTTACACATCAGAGAAGACAACATTTTCACAACCAACAATACATCAGGAAAGACAGCACCTCAGCTAATGATTCCTACATTGATGGGAAGATCTTCAGAATCTTTCAGTGTCCCAAAGGATGAAGATCAAAGGGAATCACTGAGCCAGTGACTCTGACGGGTCTATTTTGGATACCAATGACCACAAGGAAGAAGATAAGGATGGCAGTGGAGGCTCTGGCACGTAACACAGGTAAAGAATACTCTCACAATCACTCTTGGCAACTGACCATCTAAGAAAGAATCAGAGGAAAAAACACTGTTTAGCAACATCTGAGCAAGAGAGTCAGGGAATCCGACAACAAATTGGAAAGTAATTGGGAGACTTAGAGGCCCCCAGTGGAAGCTATCCCAAAACAATAAAGAAGTAGAGGGCTGGGCACAGTGGTTCACACCTGTAATCCCAGCACTTTGGGAGGCCGAAGCGGGTGGATCACGAGGTCAGGAGATCGAGACCATCCTGGCTAACAGGGTGAAACGCCATCTCTATTAAAAATACAAAAAATTAGCCGGGCGTGGTGTCAGGTGCCTATAGTCCCAGCTACTCAGGAGGCTGAGGCAGAAGAATGGCGTGAACCCAGGAGGCGGAACTTGCAGTGAGCCGAGATCGCGCCACTGCACTCCAGCCTGGGCGACAGAGCGAGACGCTGTCCAAAAAAAAACAAAAAAAGTAGAAGAAACAAGAAACAAACATACAACTAAAAGGCAAACTCAGCAGAAAGCTCAGCCTGAGACCCACAGTGGGGCAGCTGCAAGCCCTGGACCAGGTTAGCATCTAAAGGCAAAGCAGCAATAAGGATTAAACAAAATGAACTTAAAGGTTTCATTGTCCATCATGCCATGTGAGACTATCTGGGTCATCTTTAGGGGTAGCCCCATGTGCTGAAAACCTGATAACGCACTGAATGCGTGTGTTTCAGCTTCACTTGTCATGAAGGAGAGTGGGCAGCTGCTTTTTGGGGAAGAACTCCTCAGCTGTACAGCCCAAAGGCAGCAATGAGAAACAGGAAGGATGCACTGGCCCTTGCTGTCTAACACGTGTCACTGATGGTAAGTTACGTGTGACTGATGATAAGTTACGTGTGACTCATGGTAAGTTATTCTTCATTGGGAACTTTTATTATTTATTTATTTATTTATTTATTTATTTTGAGATGGAGCCTCACTCTGTCACCTAGGTTGGGGTGCAATGGTGTGATCTCGGCTCACTGCAACCTCCGCCTGCCGGGTTCAAGCAATTCACCTGCCTAGGCCTCCCAAGTAGCTGAGACTACAGGCACGCACCACCATGCCCAGCTAATTTTATTTTTAGTAGAGACGAGGTTTCTCCATGTTGGTCAGGCTGGTCTCGAACTCCTGACCTTGTGATCTGCCCGCCTCAGCCTTCCAAAGTGCTGGGATTACAGGCGTGAGCCACCGTGCCCGGCCCTAGGAACTTTAATTAAAGAAGATGAACAGAAGATACTCACTGGCTCCCTGTTATCGGGAAGTCAAATTCTATAGTGCTGGATTAAAGAAAAATAGGATGCATTTACTGGGCACTGGACAGAGGTGGGAGTCAAAAATCAGGAAAAAAAAAGAGAAGCATTTCATCATGTTAATGAAGAAAAGAAAACTGAAGCACAATGTCATTTCTGAGGCAGATATTTGGTAGCTGAGGACTTAAAAGATTTGAGACTCTAATCACCCAATGGTGACTTTTTTTAAGAGACAGTGTCTCACTACATTGCCCAGGCTGGTCTTGAACTGCTGGCCTCAAGTGACCCTCCAAACTCAGCGTCCCCAAGCACTGGGATTACAGGTGTGAGCTACTGTGCCCAGCCAGTGATTTAAAGACCTAATCCTAGAAGACTATTCTTGTTTCACCATAGTGTTTTTTTGAGTTTTTTTGTTTGTTTTGTTTTGTTTTTTTTGAGACAGGGTCTCACTCTGTCACCCAGGCTGGTGTTCAGTGCTGCAGTCATGGCTCACTGCAGCCTCAAATGCCTGGGCTCTTGAGTTCCTCTCACCTCAGCCTCCCGAGTAGCTGGGATCATAGCTGTGCACCACAATACCAGGCTAATTTTAAAATTTTTTTGTAGAGATGAGGTCTCAAACTCCTGGACTCAAATGATCCTCTTGCCTTGGCCTCCCAAAGTGCTGGGGTTATAGGTGCAAGCCACCACACCATTATTCATTATTTTTATTAATATAATTGCCAGAAATAAGTATGTTTTTATGAATCTTTGCAAGAGGCTTCTAATGACTCTTAAAGCATCCTTACCCAGACTTTGTTGCAAACTTTAAATAGCAAAGCTATATACACTTTACATTTTCTAATACTCTTCACCCCAGGGTACCAATTTTCCATAAAAATTACAGAATTGGAAATCAAATCATCAAGTGTAATGTGACCCTACAAAATCGTAGCCAACACTAGAAATAAACCTTTTGGTTTTTCCCAATTTTGATTATCCCAAAGTAGACACAAAAACACTTGACTGAAGAAAGATGATATTGACAATCATGATATTGATACCCTCTTAAAAATCTAAGTGCAGTTAAAACTCAAGGAAAATGCAGGTGTGCTGCCAGCAGTTATTTCTGAATGGGAAGTAAAAGTACTCTTTTTTTTTTTTTTGGTGCTATATTAAGTTGGATTGCTGCCACTAAAAATACAAGTGAAGGACATGAATCAAAATAGCTTTACCAAATGGCTTAAACAAACACAAAAACCTTCTGCTAGGTTGTGTGTGAGGAAAATTCATCTCTTATTTTTAAAGTCCACATATTATATCCATACATAACAGTATTTACTATCAAAGTGAAAAAAATCCATGAGATTAATATCATGGGATGTTTCCCTATGAATCCACAGTCAACGTTTTTTATTCCTTTTAATACATAAATACTATCTTTAATTGTACTTTCAAGCACATTTTATGCCCCTCTTACTAAAAACACACAAAACGTATGAGATAAAATAGAACTAGAGTGCTTTATTCTTAAAGCTTGGGCTACAATTTCCCAAAATGTCTCTGATTTATAATATTAAAGATTATGATTTTAGATTTCAGCCTAAAGGCAAGCATTCAATCTAGTGGATAAATTTAGATCCCACTATTCATTGATATTTTGAAGAACCACTTGAAACCGGTTTTTGTTAAAAAAAAAAAAAAAGAATATTAGTTGACCTATTTATTTTATAAAAGGCCAGGACCACTTTATAACCAATAAAAATACCCAGCCTCACTACACCTCTTGTTGCACTCACTTATGTGCATTAATACAATAAACCTAGATTCTAGGGCAGGGAGTGGGGAACCCACAGCCAGCTGCAGGCTGTAGTTTGGCAATTTGAATTTTGTTTAATCAAATACTGCACTAAAATATTTTTCTTCATTACCAAGTTTTTAGAACCCCCTTAATTTTGCATCCAAGGCAAGTGCCTCAGTCAGCTTGCCTCACTACCAGCTCATAGAGGAAATAGTCACGCGCCATGCATCCATGCCCACAGCTTTAGGGACAACTGCCAGTGTTAATCATGACAACTTCCCAACATCAGTTAAGCAAGCTGGTCACCTGGACACCACTCCAACTCACCTAGGGTCACAGTCAATGAGGGCCCAGCCCCCATGGAACTTCTCATCATCAGGCAGTAGTAACTTCATGTAACTTTGTAAGAGCTGGCTAATTAGTTCCTGGTGGCTTCTCTGATTTTCCTTATGCAAAGCTTCATGTTCTTTCTCCTTGGTAAATATGGAATAAAGATCTTCTGTCACTGGAATGCCTTGCATCAAATCTAGGGTGGAATTGTTAATATCTATCATCATTTTAGTTTACTAATATATTTTTAAAAAACAAAAGAGAATGTAAGACCTAAAACTGTAAAGCTCTTGGAAGAAAACACAAGCATAAATCTTTGTAACCTTGGATTAGGCATGATTTTTAAGATATGACACTAAAATCATAAGCAATAAAAGAAGAAAAAACAGACAAACTGGACATCATAAAAATTAAAAACTGTGTTTCAAAGGGCACCATCACAAAAGTGAAAAGATAACCCCTAGAACAGGAGAAAATATTTACAATTCATCTATCTGGTATAAATCAATAATAAAAAGATAAGGCAATTGTAAAATGAGCAAAGATCTGAACAGACAAGCTAACTTCCTCTTGGTGGGGCATGCGGCGCAGCCTTAATAAATCATTATAATCCCATTCCCTATGGAGTTATTCCTCCCTATCTCATTGTCTCATGGGACAATGACACTCGAGGAGGCTTCAGCGAAAGAAGACCTGCCAACCACTGGCCCTACACAGGAAAGAGACAAGCACAGATTGCTACTGGCTTCTATCTCTCAACCTTGAAGATCTCTCAGCCAGCTTCAGGATCTGGATGCAGCTGATGCTGTGGATGGCTGAACTGAGAGGACAGAACTGAGGTCCTCAGTGATATAACTGAGTAGCTAGGTCAACGAATGGAAGTAAGATATCTTCTTTTTTCCTTGAATATCAACTGCTAAAATCCAATTCTGTAGTCACAGCATGCACCCTCCATGTCTGGCAAATAAGTCAAACATCTTCACATCAGACTTCTCAAATTCCTAAGTGGCCTGTGTCTAGGCCCTACTAGTCTGATGTGTGCACTAAATCATCAGGTGAAGAAATAAGATTTCAAAAAGACCCTCAGGGACCACAGGTCAGCTATGTTACATTTGGTTCTAATCCAGAACACTCTGCATTTACTTTAATCCTATACAGTAACATCTTCATGAGTATTAAATTTTTAAAATGTCAATGCATACATTCTACTGGGCAATCTATCCTTCCATTTCCTCTTCCAAAAAAATGATGAGTTGGTTAGGGTAATCTCTAAATCTGGTACCCTAATATTCTGATAAACCATGCTTATGGAAAAGGCTGGTATATTTGTCCACAGCAAGAACACAGAACAAATAATATACAGGAAAAATAATCTGGTTACATTGCTCAGCCTTGAGTAATGAGAAAACAAACGGAATATGAAGTTTTTAATTGTTGAGGTTTTAGGGCACCTTATTCCACACTCCAGGAGCTTCAAACCCTGCTTTCTATTACCTGAGTAATAAACTGACAAATATGCATGGAAAATAGATGGTTTCTTTTGTTGCTCCAGCCAAAAATATTTGTCAAATTCTAATCTTGTAAAAATTTGAATTTGATATATTGGGTAAGATGCTCAATACAGAAACACAAGTATATTACAAAATATGAATTATGTTAATGAAGCTGGTTTCTGTAAAATATTAGTCACAGAAGACATAAATTTTGAGGAAAGAAAAGCTTTTCTGCTTCTTACCTATAACAGCTTGCCTATAAGCATCCTTAAATCGGTTGAGGTAATATCTGTTTGCTGAGTTCACTCCATCTTTCATAACTCCTGCTAACTTCCTTTCTCCTGTCCTTGTAAAGTCACCCTGTCAAACAAAAACTGATTTTGACATCTTATTTAAACACAAGAATGCCCCCAAAATAAATTGTGGGCTTTCAGTTCAAGTCTAGAATTCTACAGGCTTTTATAATTTCCAAGGTCTGACTTCTATAATTTTCAAATAGTATAGTTAAATTAAAATATCTACTAGTATTCTACCCTGATCTAAGCTTGTCAAATGCTATTTGTGGCATCAAGTCTTCACAGTTAGATGGTGCTTTAGGGTAAAGCCATTCTTGGCAATTTGTAGAATTTCTAGAATTTACAGGTCAAAACAAATTATATGACAAACACCAAAACAATAAAAATTATTTACATCTCAAACTGGTGTAATATTCAAAAACCGATGTTTCTGACATGGGAAAATGTGGCTAGTTCCCTAGAGTTGATCACAATGGGCTTTTAGCCTGGGTGTGCAGATGAGCAGCTCTACACAGGGAGGAAAAGCAGGAGTTTCCTTACCTTGCTGCACATCACCAGCACCTGTAGAACAACCCAGTGACAACTTAAACTGTTTTGTTTCCCTTGCGCTTTTCACAACAAAGATGTCAGAGCAAGTCCCTAGAGAAGTGGTGACTTAAACTTAAGGCAAGGAAGGTGTAGTCTCTTTTTCCCCATCCCAACCCCTCTATTTCTCTCCAAGGCAATCTCAGAAATCTCAGTCCAAAAACCGACAATTTAGGAAGAACATGCTGCCAATTAGGTCAGTCTCAGGGAATATTAGTAGAGCAACAAGTCTCTATTACAGAAAAAAGGTATAATACTCATCCCGAAGAAGTTTAAAATCAAGGGGCAAAAAAGAGAAGTATTTCTCTTTAATCACTAACTTGAACCAGGCTTTTTTTTTTTTTTTTTTTTTGAGACAGAGTCTCGCTCTGTCGCCCAGGCTGGAGTGCAATGGCACAATCTCGGCTTACTGCAACCTCTGCCTCCCGGGTTCAAGTGATTCTCACACCTCAGCCATCTGAGTGAGTAGCTGGGATTACAGGCGCACGCCACCATGCCCAGCTAATTTTTATATTTTTGTAGAGACAGGGTTTCACCTTGTTGGCCAGGCTGGTCTTGAATGCCTGACCTCAGGTGATCCACCCGCCTCAGCCTCCTAAAGTGCTGGGATTACAGGGTTGAGCCACTGTACCTGGTCTTTACCAGGACTTCCAAAGTTTACTTTCTGTAATTAATAAAAAGCTTTTGATATTTATCACTCAATGCAAAAGAAGGACTGATGCTTGTTAAGTCCTTGATGGTACAATCTGTGTAAGAAGTACCTTGAGATGAACTAGAACCTTGAAGAATGATTAACATAAACCTAATTTAAACAAATTCTAACACTTCCTACTGCCACAGAGGACAACGCCCTCAGACTGAGTAATTTATTTACTAGAGAATATATTTTATATTTAACTTAATATTCTATGAGGACTAGCTCTATAGGATCTTCAAAGGACTTTACTTTTAACAGTAACTAAAACATTTCTTCCGCATTTACGTGTGTCAGAGAATATTCTAAGCCCTTACATGCATTGACTCATATGATCCCATAACAGTCTTTTGAAATAGGTCTAGTATAATTCCTGTGTGACAAATGAGAGTGGTTAAGTGACTTGCCCAAGGTCACAGCTAGTTAAGAAGCAGGGTTGGGATTCAAACTCAAAGATGAAGTATGACACTGGTGGCCAAAACCTGCCAGCAGACATGCTCTGTTTTGTCAGTTTTGAAAACCAACCATTTCATATAAAATTCTGGATTTCCAGAATCCCTTGAAAAACTGGAGGGTCTGGCAACATAGGCCCCTCCAGAGAGAGCACACACTCCTCCTCAGGCCCACACAGCCCCCTCTCCCTCTGATGTAATGTGTGGCCTGCTTGAGTCACATTACCTGGCCCTGCCTTAGCCAACCATTTCAGAAAAGAGTCAACTACACACATCTGCAATCTGGAACCCACACACATTTCTGTGGTTTTAAACCATAGTCTAAGCTGTGTCCTACATAATGACCCACAGATGCTTCCTGCAAGTATTTACCTTCAGAGCAGCTGTCCCAGCATACTGTCTGCTAATGGAGTCACCATTATTGGCCCACATTATCTGGTAGATGCGATTACATTTCACAGGTAATGGCTGTTCCGGGGGCATCACACCTAATTTTTTCAGCTAAAATGAACACATTGGTGGATTAACTGTATATGGGCCAGGAAACCATAGCAAAAAATGTGTACTGCAGAAAAAGGAAACATATTCATATACAATTTAGGACCCTTAAATAAGAGAAATGGTCTTTTCAGACTCATTTTTAATAAAGTAGTGCTTGAAAGATGGCTTTATAAATTGCTACAAGTTGAATAAATATAATGAAATATTTATACTGTTTTGGTACAATTTTTAATGTGCAGGATCATACTATTATATTTTGTCTTTGTTTTAAATTTGCCTATGAAGTGAAACTGAATATCAAAAAAGCACACAGAAACAATACTAATAGTGGCAGAATAGTTAAGTGCCTAGTAAATGTTAACTCTGTGCCAAGGCTAGGGTTCTAAGAGCTTTTTTACACAGTTTTTTCACATTCACTAGTCCTAACACCACTATGTAATTGATACTGTTATCACCTACATTTTACAAATTATGAGACTGAGGTTTGGAAAGGTTAAGTTCTTTGTACAGAGTCAAAACCTTGTATGTGGTAGAGCCAGGGCTTAAACTCAAACCTGGCTGCTTAAACACTGTACATAAGATAAACAGATTCGTGTCCTCAAAGTACAGTCACAAGGTTATTTTATGTATTTTATTTTTTTATTTTTATTTTTATTTTGAAGATAGAGTCTTACTCTATCTCCCAAGCTAGAGTGCAGTGGCACGATCTGGGCTCACTACAACCTCCGCCTCCTGGGTTCAAGTGATTTTCATGCCTTAGCCTCCCGAGTAGCGGGGATTACAGATGACGGCCACCACGCCCAGCTAGTAGGGACGGGATTTTAGTAGACAGGGGGTCTCGCCATTTTGGCCAGGCTGGTCTCAAACTCCTGACCTCAGGTGATCCACCCACCTCAGCCTCCCAAAGTGCTTGGATTATAGGCATGAGCCACTGCGCCCAGCCTACACACCACATTTCTGCTTGGCCTGCTGGATCTGCCAATAGGAGGCACTCAAGGAAGCCCATGAGACAGGAGGAAGAAAAAGACACAGGCTCCTTCACCTGTGTTCCTCCCGTCAGCAGCTCCCTCCCCAACAGCCTGGGCAACAGAGCAAGACTGCATCTCAAAAAAAAAAAAAAGAAATGCAGTATCAAGACTTCCAGCCCCAAACACAGAAGGGTGGGCTTGGAGGTGAGAGGGAAAAGGTAAATGACCACACAATGCCACCCAATGGACTTTAAAATGTTGGCCGTCACATTTTTGAAATGAGTGATTAAGAAAATCTCACTTTATTTAACTGATTTTCAGTGCAGGTTGTGCTTTCCAGATTTTAATGCAACAAGGGTGTTTGTATATTGTAAATGTTGTAAAGAATATTTGACATTTGAAAAATATTTAGCTATTTGCTTACTCATGGAAAAAAAAAGCATTTCGAAATGAATATTTGCAATCCAACAGACTCCAAATTACCTGCTGTTCCATGACCACTCTCGCGATGGCAGCTTGGACCACGTTGGTGCGATCCAGGCAGTCCATACAATTAACACGAAAAATCCCTTCCTGCTTACATATTACCCCAGCTTCATCAACCCTTTTTAAAAATAATACAGAATTATTTTACAATATAAAATAATAGGGTTTTCAAAAGACACAATTCTTTAAAGTATATCAATAAAACAGCAGCACTGGCTGTAATTTGCTTGGTGTATCTTTATATGCTATGCATTATTGAGTCATTTATAGACATCATTGTTAATTTACACAATAACATAGCAAGGAAGATATTATCCTCATCTTAAGGAAAAAAAAAAACTGGGGTGCAGAGAGACTTGCCAAGTCCTATAACTACTAGGCAGAGCTGACATCATCCCAAGTTATGTTTTCCTACATGTAAAAAAACAGAAGGCACTTTAAAACACCGTTGTTCCTTTAAAGTAGAAATGCACCTAAACTCTCCAAAACAGACGAAGTTATTTTACCCCCCAGTGAGGAGGCACACAGCATGGCTTGCTCATCTAATTTCTCTGGCCACCCGTGTAGTCTTAACATCTAATCAAATGTTCTCTTCTGTCCTTTAAGCCAATTTAAACCTCCTGTACTCAGAATCATTTTCCGTCTCTGATAATTTTGAAATGCCTGAAAACTGAGACAAAGTACCTCTAAGACTTCCTTCCTGTGTTAGGAACAGTGAGAAAGAGGAGAAAGAGAAAATGTGGACCGTGGGGCATGAGAAGGAATAAATTCATGTCCTTAAAGAACAGTCAGAGCGTTTCACTTCATTTGGCCTGACCATTTCACACCCTCTCCCTGTTCAAAGCTAACACCACCTGCCTAAGGGTCAGCAACATTCTCTTGAAAAGAATAGGAACTGGGAAGCAAAACGAACAAAAAAAAATGCTGTCTCTGCATGCTGCTATCAGTTTAATGCTCAGTGGTACTATTTTACAGATCCCAGAGTCTGTAAAAAGGAGTTCTTGTAAAATACTTACCAACACCACTTCATATCAAGAATAATGTCATAAATGGCATCTGTTAGTGTCTGAACATTCTCAAACTTCATTCCTCGGCTAAAATCCATGCCAAAAGAAAGAAAAAATCTTTAATTTAATCATAGATTTTTTTAAAACTTAAGATATGCTATTTAATGTAGCTTCGAAAAATTAAAAAGAATTGTTGCTGTACATATATGAGGTTAATACTACTATATATTATATAGGCAATTAGGTAAATGTTTATAGCTAATCTGCATTGTGAAATAAAGCATACTTAAAAACACATTAAAACATACTACAGACATCAGAAGCTTCTTTCCCCACCAAATTTCAATACTTAGGTAAATTAACCTAAGTTAGAACCAGGATTATGGCAAAAGAACCTTGCTGTCAGAATACACACGTTAAAGGCACCATCAAAATGATTCACTGGGCCGGGCACATTGGCTCATGCCTGTAATCCCAGTACTTTGGGAGGCCAAGGTGGGCGGATGACTTGAGGTCAGGAGTTTGAGACCAGCCTGGCCAACATGGTGAAACCCCATCTCTATCAAAAAATACAGAAGTTAGCCGGGCATAGTGGAGCGTGCCGTAGTCCCAGCTACTCGGGAGGCTGAGGCAGGAGAATCCCTTGAAGCCAGAAAGTGGAGGTTGCAGTGAGCCCAGATCACACCACCGCACTCCACTTCAGCCTGGGCGACAGAGTGAGACCTGTCCTTAAAAAAAAAAAAGATGCCCTGATTGTTGTTGTTTTCCTCTAGTGAAGTTTACCCATCGAGAAAGAAGTATCACTACCAGACATGAAGAGGAGCCAGCAAGATACTCTTAAGGAAATTCTATTACTTCTGCTAGGCTCAGACCCAAGCAGAAAGGCAATGCCATCAGTTCTTTAGCTGGTGTGATCAAAGCAAAAAGGGAACTCCACATCTCCAAGATCTTCTGGAACAGAACGACTGTAAATATTTTGGAATCAACTCTAAATTTTAGCCAAAATAATGCCCACATGAAAATTAAAACAAAGTAAATGAATGATACCCTTTTTCTTTCCAACAATGAGAAGAAATTTTTATTCCCAGCAAAGAAGAGAAACTAAGGTCCCTGTGGCAGCATCTACCAAAAACACTGCAATTGATCAACACTATTCTCCGAAAGCCATCTTACCAGTGCTCATGGAAGTCAAACGAAACGTAAGTGAGGTGTGAGTTGTTGAAAAGCAACACTTGCTTCAGGTAAGCATCGCCAATAATCTTCTCTCTTCCTGCCTGGTCTACCAAGTTAATAATAACCTATAAGAGCAAAGAAACAGAAAAAATTTAGTTAGATTTTAGAATCACAATGTGGTTTAAAATTTAATTAGATGTTAGAATCACAGTGTGGTTTTTAATAATTTGGAATTATGTGTTAGAAATATTTTATAGCCATACTTAGAAATTAATCCACTCAAACATCAATTTTTTTCCTATAAAATTTTCATTTGTTACATACATTTAAGTTTGTGAGAATTGACATCAATGACATTAATAGCTTTTCTATATATTTGCAATAACCAATTAGAATGAAATAATGAAAACAAGGTCCTTTGTAACAGCAAATATTTTAGATATCTAGATTTAAAAAGAAATAAAGAAAGCCTAAATACTGAACATGATAAAATGCTGCTGAAGTACATAAAGCATATGATAGAAAACCTGAATTAACAGAAACATATACCATGTTACTAGGCAGCAAGATTCAATATTGTAAAGATTTCAAGTCTCCCCCAATTAATCTATACACTCAACCATCCCAATCAAAATTCAATCAGGATCTGTTAATGAACTTAACAACTCAAAAGTTCATCTGGAAGAGTAAATATGTGGAAAAAATTTGGAAGCTAATAATAAAAAAGGGACTTGTCCCATTGGAAAGCAAAACATACTCTAAATCTGTAGCAATTAAAACTGTCATACTAGCGTAGAAATAGCTAAGTGACTCAACAGAACAGGAATGGTGGCCCAGAAGCAGACCTATGTAAACACTGAAGAATCTAAGCTATGCTCATGATACCACTGTGGGGCAAATATGGACTAGTCTATAAATGATACTGGGATGTCTATGTGTGGGGTAAGGAGAAACTTACATTAGCTCCCTACATCTCATTAATTATACACAAATAAATTTTAGATGCATTAAGAATCTAAATAGTTTTTCTAATGATAATAGAGCTAGAAGAAAACTCAGAATAATGCTTCTATAAATGTAGGTTGGAGCATGACTTTCTAAGCATAACTTTAAAAAATTTTAAGCCTGTGTACCAAATGACAGTATAAGCAAAGGTAAGAAAGCAAAGTGCTACCTAGGAGAATATACCTGCAACATAAAAACCAATAATGCATAAAGAGTCCTAAATCCAATACGGAAAAAAATGGTAAAGGATACAGAGAAAATCCACATGAAAAAAATATACAAATAGCTAATAAACATGAGACTACAATTTCTGAACCTATACTCAATGAAGAGATGACAACTTTAATACTCAAAGAAATGCAATTTAAAACAGAAAATGAGTTTTCACCTATACCTAGGCAAACGTGAATACTAAACACAGACCGCACTGGTCAATATGTGAGGAAATGGGCACTAGCTCCTACTGTTGCTTTAAAACAATTTTTTTTAAAAAACCTGGTGTGATCTTTTCAGAAGCAACAGAGTGGTATCAAATTTAAATATACATAATGTCTGATCCAGCAATTTCATTTCCATAAATTTATTCTATAAAACATACAAGTATCCCAAAATATATAAAATGCGTTCTGTTCCTAGTCCATGGAGTTTTTAAAAAAGAAAGATATTTTCTGGAGTCTTTATAATAGCAAAATAACTAGTATATCCTAAAGGTCCACCAATAGAGAAATGATTAAACAGCAGCCATGAGACCTTAAATGAAAACAGCTGCACAATAGTATATATGGCATAGTTTTGTTTTGACTTGAGTTTTTTATTGTGTATATGCATGTGTCAAGGTGGCTTTTTTTGCTGCGGATGACAAATTTGAGTCAACTGACTCATACCTCAGAACAAGTCTGGAGGTAGGACGGTTCCAACATGGCTTAATAGTGATTCCCAATACCATTAAGGACACAGGTTCTTTCCATCCCTTTACTCTGCCATTCTTCCCATCTTTTTTATTCTGCCAGCATATCGGCTGATCCTGAGGCTGGTTCCTTCACAGTCTTGAGAGAGCTGTAGCAGTTCCACATCAAACCCAGAAACAGCAACCACAGAGGGACTATTGGTTCCTGTATCTCTTATTAGAGCAGAAAACCTGTTCCCAGAAGCCTCCCAGGAGACTTCCCCCACATCACCTATCTCATTGGCTAAATCCCCAATGAACATACACAGGTCCGTGCCTGAACCAATCACTGGTGACAGCAATGGGACCACCATGGCTGAGTCAGACCGACTGTGGGCCCAACGCCCTGGAAAGTAATTACCCAGGAAAAGGTGGATAAATGAACACTGTTGGGGTACTGTTCGAAATCAGGAAGTATCTGCTCAATACACACACCTAGAAAATTGATGTGAATGTCAACAGGGAGCAGGATGAGTGTGGGAGGCGGTTATTTCCTCTGCTTGCACACCTTAGTATTGTTTTGTTTTATAATTGCACGTTACACTTAAAATGTGGTTTATTCATTATTGTATTTTTATTTTTTAATTTTATTTATTTACTTATTTTGGAGACAGAGTCTCACTCCATCACCCAGGCTGGAGTGCAGTGGCACAATCATGGCTCACTGCAGCCTTCACCTGCTGGGCTCAAGTGATTCTCCCACTTCAGCCTTTTGTGTAGCTGGGACTACAGCCATGTGCCACCAGGCCTGGCTAATTTTTAAATTTTTTTGTACAGACAGGCTCTATTCTTTATATCTACTTATAATTACACACATTGCTAATACATGAATTTATTTACACTGAAACAAATTCAAATGTAAAATAAGGTCAAATCCTTCCTGACCACAACCCAATCCTATGGCCCTCCCTGGAGGTAACTCCTGTTATCAGTTGGGTGTATCCCCATTCAGCCCACATAAATGCATTTCTGTACAAATATGCATGTCATATGTGTGTGGATAGAATAAATGGAAGAGAACCAACTGTATGTAAATGACCTAATTTTGTTTTGTGGGATTTTTTAAATGGCTAACATACCATACGCTGTTAAAAGTTTTCTCTTCTTACCCCACAAGGTGATTTTAAGATCTTCCCATTAGTACACGTGGATCTACCTCATTCTTTTCCATCATTTATATTCAATACTTTAGATGTGCCATGCCTGATTTTCCCACCTATTGTCCTCCTGATGAACAATTAGGTTGTTTCTATGCTGCAATGAGTGTTCTTGTACATGCCTCCTTGACTGAATATGTTTCTCTCAGACAGATTTAAAAATTTTTTCTATTACAGTTCTAGTTGCTCCATGTCCTTGTCAAAACTTGGTATCCCTCCACTTTTTTTTTTTTTTTTTTTTTGAGACAGAGTGTTGCTCTGTCACCTGCTGGAGCACAGTGGTATGATCTTGGCTCACTGCAACCTCCGCTTCCTGGGCTCAAGTGATTCTCCCACTTCAGCCTCCTGAGTAGCTGGGACTACAGGTGCATCCCACCGTGCCCAGCTAATTTTTGTATTTTTAGTAGAGAAAGGATTTCTCCATGTTACCTAAGCTTCTTAACTTTTTTATGTTAGCCATTCTGGTGTGTTGAGTAGCGGCTTTAATTTGCATTTCCCTGACAGCTAATGAAGTGGAGCCCTTTTGCATACATCTACTGACTTTCTGGATATCCTCTTTTGTCCAGCTCTCTTTTGGGTTGTACATCCTTTTGAATAAACTTTTAGGTTTTTTTGGTTTTTGTTTTTTTTTTTTGAGATGGAATCTCACTCTGTCGTCCAGGAGTGCAGTGGCGCAACCTTGGCTTACTGCAACCTCTGCCTCCTGGGTTCAAGCAATTCTCCTGCCTCAGCCTCCCGAGAAGCTAGGATTACAGGCACAAGCCACCATGCCTGGTTAATTTTTTTTTTTTTTTTTTCAGTAGAGACAGGGTTTCACCATGCTGACCAGGGTGGTCTCAAACTCCTGACCTCGTGATCCGCCCACGTTGGCCTCCCAAAGTGCTGGGATTACAGGCGTGAGCCACCACGCCCAGCAGGCATTTTTAAATATACTCTAGATATGAGACCTTTGTCATACATACACTGAAAAATCTTAAATATCTTCTACCACTTTGTGAACTGCCTTTCCATTCTCTTGTGTCTTAACAAATACAAGTTTTTTATTTTAATAAAGCCAAATGTATCAAGTTTTTTTCACTATGGTGTTTTCTAAAGTCCTATATAATTTTAATAAAATTTTAATAATATTTACAACAGTATTTTAATATTTATAATTTAGTAAAGTTTTAATAAAAACGAATTTAAAGTCTAATTTATCATTTTTTTCATTAGAGTGTTTTTTAAAAATAAAAACTATTTCCTAGATGGGCATTACCTCTCATTAAACAACTAATAAAATATGTGATACATAATAATACATTGAAAACATGGGAAGACAATAGTTAGTGCTTTTTAAAGTCCTATTTAAGTCACCAGGTCAAAAAGATGTCTATTTTTTCTTCTAAAAGTTTTATTGCTTAACCTTTCACATTTAGGTTCATAATCCATCTCAACTGATTTTTGTATAGGGTATATAGGATAGATATCAAAAATTAAAATTACTGGGCTAAGCAGTATAAGTATGTTTAATTTAATTGATAATACCTTCAAAATGGCTGTACCAACTTAGGCTCCTTCAACCAATGTGTGAGAGTTATTTCAAAACCTAAATACTCGCCCCTTTTAATTCTTATCATCAAACCTCATATTTTTTTTCAATTTGAGGGTTTGCTATTTCCCTGCTGAGACTTTGTGATTGCCCAAAATTTATATATTAATTTAGGAAGAACTGAAATCTATTTAATATTGAGACTTCCCTTCCAGGAACATGGTATTTTCTCTCCACTTAAGTCAGGTTTTCTGTTGTGTTCTTCAGTAGTTTTTTTCTTTTTTTTCCTCCATATACATGCTATCTTTTTGTATGTTATTTTAGGCTGTTTCTTCCTACTTCATTTTTGTTGCTGAAAAAAAAATGCATTTACCTATTCATTACACATTCCACGGCATTACTCATTCACACTGGTCACTGCTAATGGATAACAGAATTACTATTATATATTCATCTTGTATCAAAATCATTGAACTTGTATCTCACCTACCAGTTTTCAGTTGATTTTGGTTTATACACTTGCATTCTTATATGTGAGTGAATATGAAGGTGAGCAGAGAAAAAAACATACTGAAAAATACATAACAAGTTATCTCCAGGAGGTTGAACTGTAGGTGGTACTGAGACATGACTTTCATTCCTTGGTCTAGATGCTTCTTAGATTGTTATAATTAATTGATAGCAATCTAACCTCTTCACGCTATCCAAACACAGTCTAAAGTAGCTGACCCTGCCGGGCACAGTGGCACATGCCTGCAGTCCCAGCTACTCGGGAGGCTGAGGAGAGAAGATTGCTTGAGCCCAGCAGTTTGAGTCCAGCCTGGGCAATATAGCAAGACAGTGTCTCTTTAAAAAAAAAAAAAAAAAAAAAAAAAGTAGCTGACTCAATGATTATTCTTAAAGAATATTAAGAAAACTCTTAGCTTAAATGTGTTAAACTTCATGACAAATGCTTTAATTTTGAATAGTACAATGTTATTTTTATGAAACTTAAAGAAAAAGTTATTTCTAAAGATGAAGGAACATTTTACTACTGTAAATCAAAGCCCACCTGTTTTTTGTAAATGTTCAGTTGTTCTTCGAAATGGGCACAGAAATAGGCAACAGTTTCCTTTTCACCTACAAAGAAGTGATACAAAATCTTTTTTTCCTTCCCATGTTTAAGACATATTAGTGTCTACTCCATCTTTATTCTTACTTTTAAATAATTTATTGACAGCCCAAATGAACTAAGATTGTCTAAAACCATCATTTAAAAATGAAATGCTAAGTCAAAGATCTGATTTTTTTTCCAGTTACACTACACTAAAATATATCTGAAAGTGCAAACTATGACATTATAAGATTATTTATATATCTAGCCTACTTCTCAGAAAAGTTTTCACGTAGTTTATAAGAGAATAAAAACCCCTCTAAAACAATATTTTAAAAACCAAAGCTTTACTGAATTCTCACAAAGAATACCAACTAAGTTGAGAGAGAAATTTACTTTAACATTTTTTTTAAAATCAAGCTCATTCAGTAATCTAATTAGATTTAAATGACTTAGCTATTCCAAGACCAAAGTTAAAATACTAGAAGAAACAAAATATTCGATTAAAAAAGAAAAACAAAACAAAAAAAAAAACTTTCACAGAAAAATATTTGAGTAAAGGCATCTTATTGATTTTTGGTAGATTCCATCTTAAGATAGTTCCTGCTTCTACAAATATTGGCTAGATTCGCTCCTTTCCAAAGTTAAACATTCAATAAAGTACTCTTCAAAGCGATAGCAATTTAAAATCTCTGAGGTAAGCCGTTTTGCTCTACTGTTAGAGAAATTTTTTATTGTTAAATAAATGACTTAGTCAACTATTTTTACTATGATTATTACATTACTTTCTATTACATTTTTCAAATACAAGTTATCGTTTTGAAAGAAGTATCTGGCAAAGCAAATCCAAACCTAACAGGTAACTAATTTCTTAAAAACTATTCTCTCTGAAATCATCATTTGCAAACCCAATAATTGACCTGCTTACTTCTGTCCAGCCGCGGTCTTGGGTTATATCGATACCCAACCTGGCTCCAAAAGACAGGCACAGAGCCTCGTGTTTGAACAAATGACAGGGTATGATTATGAACATGAATCAACTGCTCAGTCTCCACATAATTGGCAACATTTCCATTTTTATCCACTCCTCTTCGTTTATAGCGCATTCCTGAAAGAAAATTAAAACAGAAAACAGCAACATTTTAAAAAATTTATTTAGTCTGGCTAGATTATGCTTCCTAATCAAATGTATGTCTTCCAGGATAGCCTTGGGGATTCAGTGTGCAACTGCCAAGCAGAACAGTATCAACTTACCCAAAATCGTAACTGTATGCATCATTGTTTTTAACAAGTTGAAGCTCAGTTCCTCTGAACTGAAAGAGAAAGGTCTTCCCAAAGGCACTAGCACATAGGAAGGATTTATCACGGTGATACAGGCTGTCAGTGGAGTGCCAGTATTCTGAAGCACATCTCAAGTGACTTTTTCCCTTCTCTCTATATATGTACCTCCTTTTCCTTCTCATTTTGCTAACTCTCTCTTATTCACCCCTCTTCAAAAATTTGTCCCCAATTACATCACAGTATTTAGAGTCCCCAAGCACTTTGAAGCCAACTGTGTTCCCAAATCCATTATTGTCATTAGCATTTCAACACATCTGCAGCTTTTCCATTCTCGCCTGGATTTGATTTGAATGCTATTACAGCCCTCCACTCACCTGCTCTGTGCCTACTTCGGCGTGAAATGAGAGCCACTAGAAATCGTGGGTGAATATCATCTACACAGGTGGACTCCTGAGGGGGGGTCTCTGGGCTGCTTTTCTCATCATCAGATGATTCGGTATAATTAACCACAAGTTCTTCAATCTGCACAAAACCTTGGATCATGGGGATAATCCAAAAGTCCACATCTGGAGTCTGAAAACAAAATGAACATGATATCGTTTCTATTCTGTACAGCACTGCTACTTTCTTAAACCCAAACAGTAGTCAGCACATATTTCTCAGTTTATTAGAAGCAGAAACCTTCCATTATTCAACCATATTTTCTGCTTATTGAAGAACACCACGTAAGGAACGGACAGAGGAGGTCTTTCCTTTTCTTTATGGTGAACACAGCCTAAGAGCCAGGCTGCCTGGGTACAAATCCAAGCTCACCATTTATTAACTCACTGAGGGGAGTCACCCTTGCCGTCGCTGTCCTTCTCCGTGAAATAGTAACAACTACTTCATGAATTGTGAAAATTAAATGGATAATACACGTAGTGTTTAGCACAGTGCCTGCCATATGGGAAGTATTTAACAAATGTTTATGATTATGATTCTCAACTCCCAATTGTATTAAGGCTTTAATAAAATACAACCAACTCTGATCACTTTATTATAAAACACATAGGTCGGCTTTATTTTCTGGCTTAGAAAAAAAAAGTCTCAATTCCTGAAGCTAAAATCTAAGTAATAAATGAAACCAAAAAGAAAAAACCCATTTCATAAATGTCTTATTTTAAAATGTCATCCAGCTCTCCCTCTCCCTCTCCCCCTCCCCCTCCCCCTCTCCCTCTCCCCACGGTCTCCCTCTGATGCCCAGCCGAAGCTGGACGGTACTGCTGCCATCTCGGCTCACTGCAACCTCCCTGCCTGATTCTCCTGCCTCAGCCTGCCGAGTGCCTGCGATTGCAGGCGCGCGCCGCCACGCCTGACTGGTTTTCATATTTTTTTGGTGGAGACGGGGTTTCCCCGTGTTGGCCGGGCTGGTCTCCAGCTCCTAACCGCGAGTGATCCGCCAGCCTTGGCCTCCCGAGGTGCCAGGATTGCAGACGGAGTCTCGTTCACTCAGTGCTCAATGGTGCCCAGGCTGGAGTGCAGTGGCATGATCTCGGCTGGCTACAACCTCCACCTCCCAGCAGCCTGCCTTGGCCTCCCAAAGTGCCGAGATTGCAGCCTCTGCCCGGCCGCCACCCCGTCTGGGAAGTGAGGAGCGTCTCCGCCTGGCCACCCATCGTCTGGGATGTGAGGAGCCCCTCTGCCTGGCTGCCCAGTCTGGAAAGTGAGGAGCGTCTCTGCCCGGCCGCCATCCCATCTAGGAAGTGAGGAGCGCCTCTTCCCAGCCGCCATCACATCTGGGAAGTGAGGAGCGTCTCTGCCCGGCCGCCCATCGTCTGAGAGGTGGGGAGCACCTCTGCCCTGCCGCCCCATCTGGGATGTGAGGAGCGTCTCTGCCCGGCCGCCCCATCTGAGAAGTGAGGAGCCCCTCCGCCTGGCAGCCGCCCCGTCTGAGAAGTGAGGAGCCCCTCCGCCCAGCAGCCACCCCGTCTGGGAAGTGAGGAGCGTCTCCGCCTGGCAGCCACCTCGTCCGCGAGGGAGGTAGGGGGGTCAGCCCCCCGCCCGGCCAGCCGCCCCGTCCAGGAGGTGAGGGGCGCCTCTGCCCGGCTGCCCCTTCTGGGAAGTGAGGAGCCCCTCTGCCCGGCCAGCCGCCCCGTCTGGGAGGGAGGTGGGGGGGTCAGCCCCCCGCCCGGCCAGCCGCCCCGTCCGGGAGGGAGGGAGGTGGGGGGGTCAGCCCCCCGCCCGGCCAGCCGCCCCATCCGGGAGGGAGGTGGGGGGGTCAGCCCCCCGCCCGGCCAGCCGCCCCATCCGGGAAGTGAGGGGCGCCTCTGCCCGGCCACCCCTACTGGGAAGTGAGGAGCCCCTCTGCCCGGCCAGCCGCCCCATCCGGGAGGGAGGTGGGGGGGTCAGCCCCCCGCCCGGCCAGCCGCCCCGTCCGGGAGGGAGGTGGGGAGGGGGTCAGACCCCCGCCCGGCCAGCCGCCCCTTCTGGGAGGGAGGGAGGTGGGGGGGTCAGCCCCCCGCCCGGCCAGCCGCCCCGTCCGGGAGGGAGGTGGGGGGGTCAGCCCCCCCACCTGGCCAGCCGCCCCGTCCGGGAGGGAGGTGGGGGGTCAGCCCCCCGCCTGGCCAGCCGCCCCGTCCGGGAGGGAGGTGGGGGGTCAGCCCCCCACCTGGCCAGCCGCCCCGTACGGGAGGTGAGGGGCGCCTTTGCCCGGCCGCCCCTACTGGAAAGTGAGGAGCCCCTCTGCCCGGCCACCACCCCGTCTGGGAGGTGTACCCAACAGCTCATTGAGAACGGGCCATGATGACAATGGCGGTTTTGTGGAATAGAAAGGGGGGAAAGGTGGGGAAAAGATTGAGAAATCGGATGGTTGCCGTGTCTGTGTAGAAAGAGGTAGACGTGGGAGACTTTTCATTTTGTTCTGCACTAAGAAAAATTCTTCTGCCTTGGGATCCTGTTGATCTGTGACCTTACCCCCCAACCCTGTGCTCTCTGAAACATGTGCTGTATCCACTCAGGGTTGAATGGATTAAGGGCGGTGCAAGATGTGCTTTGTTAAACAGATGCTTGAAGGCAGCATGCTCTTTAAGAGTCATCACCACTCCCTAATCTCAAGTACCCAGGGACACAAACACTGCGGAAGGCCGCAGGGTCCTCTGCCTAGGAAAACCAGAGACCTTTGTTCACTTGTTTATCTGCTGACCTTCCCTCCACTATTGTCCTGTGACCCTGCCAAATCCCCCTCTGCGAGAAACACCCAAGAATGATCAATAAAAAAAGAAAATGCAAACATAAAAAATAAAAATAAAAATAAAATGTCATCCAACATAATTAGGAGAGTACTGATTAAAGATTTCTTCTTCTGGTCAGTTGCAGTGGATCAATGCCTGTAATCCCAGCACTTTAGGAGGCTGAGGTGGGCTATTCACTTGAGGCCAGGAGTCTGAGACCAGCCTGGCCAACATGGTGAAACCCCGTCTCTACTAAAAATACAAAAAATTAGCTGGGCCTGGGGCGCAAGCTGTAATCCCAGCTACTTGGGAGGCTGAGACAGGAGAATCACTTGAACCCGGGAGGTGAAGTTGCAGTGGGCTGAGATCGTGCCACTGCACTCCAGCCTGGGTGACAGAGAGATACTGTGTCAAAAAAAACAAATAAATAAAATAAAGATTTCTTCTTCTGTCTCTTTCAGACTAAGAAGACAGATTTCTCAACTTATTATCTGCAGAGACAGTAAAGGATAAAAATGCTCCAGAGAGTTCTTCTTTGTCCTTTCTCTCTTATCTCCGTAAGTGTACCCAGCCTTAATCTCAGCATCCACTTCAAATCCACCTCTTCTTCCATCACCAAACACTCCAGGTCCTATCTCAGTTTTGTTTTGTTTTGTTTTGTTTTGTTTTGTTTTGTTTTGTTTTATGCAGCCTGCAGATAGGATCTTAGGAAGGTGGCTAAAGTTGAAAATAGTGAGGTAAAGGATCTACCTGCATTCTTATCACCATTCCCATTATTTGTATTTCTGTTCTAGCAATAAATGCAAAACTCTTGACAGGCATAGAGAAATTTATGCTGCCAAATGTCACCTTTGAATATGACGACTTCAAGTCGTCAGTTTTAAATGGTAATGTAAAAGCATTCTGACAAAAACTCGGCAAAACATGTTAGAGCTCGATATTGTCAGCACACAGGACAAATGCTCATTACAGATGCCCCTGCTTTTCTCCTCTACCACTGGGTTTTGGTGGTCACAGTTTGATCAGCATTGCAAACAGAGGTAAGAATAATCTCAGGCCTCATTCTCCATAGAGGCAATTGATGGGTATCTAGCGAAGACACCACTAGATTATGTGAAAATCATTGATACTAACCACCACTAAAGGGGAGAAACCAAAAGGAAAAGGTGTGAAATTTCTGAAAGGTTAAAAGATAACATATGACTTTATTCACCTATTTGCCTGCTTTGTTTAATGTCTAAAAGACAAGTGGCACATAACAGGCCTTCCATAAATATTTGTTGATTGAATGAATTGTCTTTAGACAGTCAATTTTCCAACATACATGACCAAGAAAAGGAAAAAAATAATCATCAAACCAAAGGAACTTCTTGCAATAATCTCATCATATTCTGTATCTTCCCCCTATCAAATACTGGTAGTACAGCAATGGCCTCAGAGATTTGGCTATTCCAATTCCCAGATAGAAAACAGAAGTCCGGCGAAGGTTAAAAAAAAAAAAAAAAAAAAAACTGGTACCATTTCAGGAAAACTGGGCTCAAACATTCCCAATGGGTAGAAAGAAAATACCTCTTTTGCAGGAAGTCTATGAACATGAGTTCCACAGCCTTAACTTACCATTATCCTATGGGAATGTGCTAAAAAGACAGGCCTGTGACGAGGCAGTGAAATTGTAAACTGCCTTAAAATAATGCCTTGGTTTTCCTGGCTAAATGATTCCCATTCCATAGGGGAAAACGTAGTGATCTTTAAAAATGTATCTTAATATAATTAAAAAACATTTGCTTAACAATTATAACCAGACGTTTTAGAAACAAACAGACCAATTTCATTACGGTTAGGAAATTTTAGAAACAACTACTCACACCAATCTCAGTAAGATCTTGTATCATGTATTTATTCCAAAAAAATCGGTCATCAACCTAGAAAAGGTGCAGGAACAATAGTTCAGAAACACATTATTTCAGTTTTCCTACAAAAGCCAAAACAGGCCATCACTTCTTCCCAAGTGCAAACCCTGCTCTACGAGCTGTGAGTGGTACCTTCTGCCAGAGGGGCCGACCGTCCCTCTCCCCAGTGCTCTGCCTCTGCACGGAATTGGTCAGGTCATAGGTCAAGCTATAATAAAAGGATTCTGAGTCCATGAACATCTTCAGCAACTCTTCAAGTAATCTCCTCTCCAACTTCTCCTTCTCTTTACTTTCCTTAACCTATAAGAAATTAATCTACTATTACTACAGAAATTAAATGTAAAGTAGTCTGGGGATAACACATAAATTCCTAAGACAGAAGTGAAAATAATCCCAAGGGCATAAGGAGATGGTGCTTCAATACAACAAATGGTTTAAAAATAAATTTTCTGAGTGGAGAATTATCTCTCTATTTAAAACTAATCAAAGGTGAATTCAAAGCCTATATCAATTAAACTCTTACTTTCTTTTTATTAGGAGCAGACACATTGGATTTAATATGCGTAAAGGTCTTCAGTAGAAACTTTGAGTCATCAGGAGATGGTATGATCTTCTCTGGTTTGTTAATACCAAAATGATGCTTCTTACAGAGCTAAATAGGAAGAGAAAGATGATTTGTTATTACTAATACCTGTTTGTTAAATGTTCGAGTGCAAAAGTGAATGCTACTGCTCAGGCATTCTGATTAACAGTAAACTTCAAGAGTTAGAAAAATTATCAAGTAGACAATTGATGGCAAGCACAACTATGAGTCCCATGATGAGAAAGCTATAGCAGAGGATAAAACACAAAGAATACAGGGCAGGATATACTTAGGATTTAGAGGTGGAAAATTCAGGTTAGGCTCATAATCGGTTCTCTTCTAACATAACTGAAGAGTGAAATGTTCCGGCTGAGGTTATTAATGCTTTGGAAATTAGTATCTAAGAATTTAAAAATTGCAAAATGCACATTTGCTATGCTTCAGGGTTATGACTTTACAGGTATCCGTGCTAAATACTGATGCTAATTGAGTGTTTTGGTTGAGAAGATGGCTTAAGAGCCTGCTCTAGTGGGAGCCCTAAAAGCTGGACATTTCAACCACTCCCTCTCCTCCTACGCTCACATGCACTAATGAAATCAGCTTAATAACATACACTTTGGGTCCGGAGATTAGTTAAACTTGAAGAAGCAGTAATTAGGGGCTGCAGGAGAAGTGCCGCACAGCTGACAAGGGTAAGGAAGGGCGTGGGAGCGTGAATACGGCTATGTTAAGAGAAGAGAAGGCACAGAAGGTTCTAAAGAAGGCTACCTGATTAAAGTTGAGGGATTTACATATAATTTCATGTAGCTCAGCAAACAAAGCAAATATTCTGAAATGTACACACAAATTCTGTTAACAATATGCAGACCAATTCCATTTTTTCAACAAACTAGTTGCATTGCTACACTAAGTAGGAGACTCTTAATAAGAACTAATAGTTACTAAATGCTTATTATCATCAGTGTGTTACAAAATAACTATTAAGATAAAGTGAGAAGAAAAGCGAGTTTAAGCTTTGATTGAGAGAGAGAGAATCCCTGTTTTATCAAATTTGGAAGTAGAAACTAATAACTGGACCAAATTTTCATGTGCAATGGGATCTCCAGATGATTTCAAGCCTTTTCAAAATCATGGCTATCAAAAACTGTCCACACAGGTTTCACACCATGATTACAGCTTTAAGCTGCTCCTGCCCTACCATTAAAGACAAGGGAACTAAAGATGAGGGAGAAAAGCTTTATACTCCTATTACCAGAACAGCTCACTTTATTTCCCTTCAAATAAGCAAAACTAGCAAGAATTCCAGGTGACACGGAAGGAGAGAAGACAGAACCAAGCTTATGGACATGGCATCCCTCTTTCTGTGATCGTTTCCGTCAGCACACAGGCCCATCCTCCTCCGCTCCTCTCCTCTGCACACCCCCGAGCGACTCCTCTTCCTCAGCCACTGCTGTCCTCTTACTCACTCTGCACTCCTCAGTACCTCCAGCTCCACTCCTCCCATTCTCTCCCCAACTCGCCCCCCACCCCACCCCCCGATTTGGCTTTCACCCCTACCACTCTCCCAAGCTGCTGTCTGAAGCATGCTCAATGACCTCCACTTTGCTAAATCCAATGCTCTTGGTTCTTAACTCTCAGTAGCGTCTGAGTCCCTCCCTCATCCTACAACACACGGCTTCACCTGGCTCCTTCCTACTGGTCACTCCTCCTCTGCCGCTTTGAGCAGTTCCTTTCCAGCCTCCTGCTTGATGTCTAGGTGCCCCAACGTTTGGTCCCTCATCCCCTTCTCATCTGCATTCACTCCCTCAGTGATTTCATCCAGACTCATGGATTCCAATACTGTCCTTATGCCAACCCCACCTTCCCAAATGTTTATTTCGAGCCCAGCTCTCTCCCAAAACTCCAGCCTCACATATCCCAACATTTCCACTGGGATGTCTACCAGACATCTCAAACTCAACATGTCCAAAACCAGAGGTTGAGGCAGGATCTTTGTCTTGTTGACTCCTACCTCCAGTGCCTTAGCAGTAGCTGCCATTGGAGCTTTCACGACCATCACTCCCCTTCTCCCATGAACACATTGTACACACCCCACCCTCCTTGATACAGCATCACTGGGGCAGCAGAGCAGCAGTTTTAAAAAGATGCTTTCCCTTTGGTCTCCTGCTACTACTTTGCTTGTGGCACTTGGCAACTGCTGGCTAGCAATTTTTATATAAAATATCAGTGATTAGTCATATGAATAACTCTTTTAAAAACCTGAAAACATGCTTACTTGCTCAAAACCGAGCTACAGATTGTTACAATTTTAGTATTCAAAACGGGATACACAGACATAGCCATTCTTTTTTTTTTTTTTTGAGACAGAGTTTCGCTCTTGTTGCCCAGGCTGGAGTGTAATGGCGCAGTTTCGGCTCACCACAACCTCCGTCTCCTGGGTTCAAACAATTCTCCTGCCTCAGCCTCCCGAGTAGCTGGGATTACAGGCATGCACCACCATGCCTGACTAATATTGTGTTTTTAGTAGAGACACGGTTTCTCCATGTTGGTCAGGCTGGTCTCGAACTCCCAACCTCACATGATCTGCCCGCCTCGGCCTCCCGAAGTGCTGGGATTATAGGCGTGAGCCACTGCGCCCGGCCAACAAAATCATTCTTTAAGAGCACTCAAGCCAGCAAAAATTTCCCCCCAGGAATCTATCAAAGGTCCGCTATTTCAAGTAAATGTGCAACAGCACACCTAGTCTGCACCCAGGTTTTCCTCACTCAGAAAGACCGAGTCCATTGTTCTCTTCAAGGTTAGTTTCTGGGATTAGGACCTGGGCTCATCATTCACCCCTTTCCTTTGTCCCAACCTCTAATAGCCCCCTTCCTAGCACCTTGTGACATGTTTACACAAGTGAGAATCTTCTTTTAAATCCATTCCTCAAACATGGAATCCACTCTGAGAGCCAGCAGGGTACAGTGTCCCAGCCCAGGCACTGGAACTGTAAGGACTATAGTCTGATTGGGGCAGGTCAAGGAGTAAAGGCTCTGATGACACTGCTTAGGCCTCCTAACTCTCTCGGAATGAAAGAACACTCCCTGCTGTCTCTTCCTCTGGTCCCCATGACAACAATCTCTCGGGGTCCTTCCCCATCTCTGGCTGTTCCTTCTCAGTCTCCTTTGTGGGTGTATCTTTCTTCTCTAAAACTGATGGTATTCCCAGTGTTCTACCCTTAACTCTCTTCTCCGTCTTCATGCTCCATCTAGAAAATGTCACCTTCTTTCCTAATTTTAACTACTACTACCTTTGCTAACTCCACTCTTTTCCCCTAATCTCAAGACTGATGCATGTGACGTCTCCCCCACACTGAGACACACTAGACCCTCAGACTCAGCATCTCTAGAACTGCGCAACACCTGCTCCCCAAATATTGTTCCTTCTCTGGTATGCCCTATTTCAGGTAATGACTGCACCACCCACTGGATCATTTAAGCAAGAAACCTTGGAATCATCTTCCATCATTCTCCTTCTCTAAGTCTCTCCTATCAACCCCAACCACTTCATGCCCATTGCTATGGTGTTGATTCAGATCCCTATCTTTTGCCCAGACCAGTATTTCTTCATGGAAATGCTACTGGCATGGCACACAGGAGATGTTCTATGCAGGATTATCCAACTCAGTGCAGACACTCTAACAGCTCCCCTCATGATCTAGGGAGTTCCACCTGAGCACCAGGCCTCAAGTGCTAAGCATGGCCCCAGGATCCCATCTCCCATGAAGCCCTGTTAGTCCTCTTTACTGTGTAGGGGCCAAATTCCCACCTGCTACTGTCTGCTTCTAGATGCAGACCCAGAAAGGCCTCTGGCTTCAGTCTGATCTACTTTAAAAAATGCTTATTCTCTAAGCTTGGCATTTCCTTCCTTCCTGCCTGCCTGCCTGCCTTCCTCCCTTCCTCCTCCCCTTCCCCTCCCCCTTCCCTTTCCTTCCTTCTATCCTTTCCTTCCTTCCTTCTTTCCTTCTTTGAGACAGAGTCGCACTCTGTCACCCAAGCTAGAGTGCAATGGCGCGATCTCAGCTTGCTGCAACCTCCGCCTCCCAGATCCAAGCGGTTCTTCCACCTTAGCCTCCCGAGTAGCTGAGGCACATGCCATCATGCCTGGCTAAGTTTTGTATTTTTAGTAGAGACAGGGTTTCACCATGTTGGCCAGGCTGGTCTTGAACTCCTGACCTCAAGTTATCTGCTTGCCTCGGCCTCTCAAAGTGTTGGGATTACAGGCTTGAGCCACCACACCTGGTCTTTTCTATTTTTATTTCTTTTATCTACCCTCATCCTGGGCTTGAAACAGAGTTAATATAAGCCCATCATCCCTTAACTTCCTTATGTACAATTCCAAAATCCAAAAAACTCTAAAACCTGAAAGTGTATCTTTTAAGTTAAAAACTCATTTAATGGCAAAGCATGCCCTGAACTGATATGAAGATACTGATAATCATCACTTACCTCCCTTAGTATGAACATTCATACCATTGTTTAAGAAACATTAATGTGTTTTATCGTGGGGTAATGCTCCAGAACCACTTTAGAGGGTAGAAAATACAGGGAATAACCTTTTGAAAACCCCAAAAAACTTGAATTCTAAAACAAATATGGCCCCCCAAGAAGTTCAGATAAGGATTGTGGATCTGTATAACAAAGTTCAAACTCATGGAAACACCTTCACTGGAAGGTTTTCTCTGTCTCTTAAAAGTGATTTTTTCTAAATAAAAATCTAAAATTACTGGCCAGGTGCAGGGGCTCACACCTATAATCCCCAGCACTTTGGGAGGTAAAGGTAGGCAGATTGCTTAAGCCCAGGTATTCAAGACCAGCATGGGTAATATAGTGAGACCCCATCTCTTCAAAAAATAGAAAAAAAAAAAATTAGCAGGGGGTGGTGGCACATGCCTGTAATCCCAGCCACTTGGGGGGCTGAAGGCAGGATGATTGCGTCACTGCATTCCAGCCTGTGTGACAGAGCAAGACCCTGTCTCAAACAAATAAATGAGATTACTATAAATGCAAACATTTCCAGTGAGTATGTTAGAATCTGCTACACAGTTATCTTTAGAAAATAAAGTATAGAGCACTACCTTTCTGAAAAGGTTAAATTCAGTCCTGACAAAAAACAGGGATAGAGAAAATTACTTCTTAGGATTCCTTCCCAGTCCTAAGGTATTTTGTTTACACAGAGCCCCAGGGATTACAATGCATAGCACTGGCAACAGGATCACCTTCCCTTTTCCAGAGGCCCAGCCAGTTCTGTGTGGTATGTGGTTAGGTCCTTATCACAACTCTGAAACACGCGATCTCAAAAAGACAACACCACAGCCACAAGCTCCACAGCACTTCCCTAGTTTTTAAATTACGCTTGCAACTTACATCTTGTGACCGAGACTAAGGGTTGATGTTGCTGCTGCCATTTAAGAAAAGGGACATAAATAATTTTATGTGAAAAGCTGGTACCTACATCCATCTGAAGCTAAAATTTTAAACAGGTGTCTGATGGAAACTAAATACGGAAAATGATGCGGTTATCCATTAAGGCAATGAGATACGCAAATAAGATATGCAGACATGGAACATAAGCCTATATAACTTTAAAGGGTATTTTTTTTCTAAAGAAGCAACAACTAAGTCCTCATTGTTTAAACCATTACAGATTCTTCATACCCTTATACAGGTTTTTAATTTTTCTTTTTTAGAGACAGGGTCTCACTCCACCATCTAGGCTAGAGTGCTGTGGTGCAATCACAGCTCACTGCAGCCTCAAACTCCAGGACTCAAGTAATCCTCCTGCCTCAGCCTTCTGAGTACCTGTGACTACAGGTACACACAAATATGCCCAGCTAATTTTTAAATTTTTCATAGAGACAGGGTCTTGCTATGTGGCCCAGGCTGGTCTCGAACTCCTGGCCTTAAGCAATCCTCCCACCTCGGCCCCCTGCCAAAGTGCTGATATTACAGGCAAAGTCAGTCTCAGTCTCTCTCTCTCTCTCTCTCTCTCTCTCTCTCTCTCTCTCTCTCGAGCGGATCACAAGGTCAGGAGATCAAGACCATCTAACCAGGCTAACACAGTGAAACCCCATCTCTGCTAAAAATACAAAAAATGAGTCGGGTGTGGTGGCATGCACCTGTAGTCCCAGCTACTCGGGAGACTGAAGCAGGAGAATCGTTTGAACCCGGGAGGCGGAGGTTGCAGTGAGCCGAGATCGTGCCACTGCACTCCAGCCTGGGCGACAGAGCGAGGCTCCGTCTCCAAAAAAAAAAAAAAAACAGTCTGGCAGTTCCACAAAAGGTTAGATAGAGTTACCATATGACCCAGCAATTCCATTGCTAGGTACACACCCAAGAGAGATTAAAACAAATATACCACCAAGAACTTGTATGCAAAATGGCTTATAATAGCATTATTCATAATAGCTAAAAGGTGGAAACAACTCAAATGTCTACCAACTGATGAACAAATAAATAAAACATGACATACCCATACAAGGGATTATCTGGCAATAAAAAAGAATAAAGTACTGCTACACACTACAACTGGCATGAACCTTAAAAGCTATGCTAGGTGAAAGAAGTCCATCACAAAAGGCCACGTGGTGTATTATTCCGTTTCTATGAGATGTCCAGAATAGACAAATATTTACAGAGACAGAAAGGAGATTAGTGGTTGCATGGTGCTGGGGAGCTGGAGTTTGGGAGGAAGTGAGGAGTGGCTGCTAACGAAGACAGGGTTTTTTCGGGGGATGATGAAAGGTTCTAAAATTGATTGTGGTGATAACCACATGACTCTGAATACACTAAAAACCATTGACTTACATACTTTAAACGGGTGAACTGTAAGGTATTTGAATTATGGTATGTGAATTTTTTTTAACTGGCAAACAAATAAGGCATATATTTGCGATAAAAAGACAACAGAGGCAGAAAACTAGAAATTCTATTAATACCCGTCTCTGAAATAAGATTGCTTCTGCTCCAATTACAGAACACAGACTTAGGCTTTAGCAAATCTGGGAACAGTGACCACATTAAAGGATGCTGCTGGAATAAATGCAGATTATTCAAACTGATACACAGACATCCAAATCAGAAAGTCATACTAAGGAGAAATAAGTAGTTTTGTTTAACAAAGTCTTCCTATGTTCTTAAAAAAATAATAAGACTAGAGGGAAATATGTAAAAGTGCAAAACAGAGAAACTATTCTGAAACATGTGAAAGTAACACTGGTCCTCCAAAGAGCCTAGGCACAAATGGAAACACCCACCAAAACTCAGTAGAATATTGATAACAATTATTTCCAAGTGGAGGAATTTTTTTTCTTCTCTTTTACAATTTACTGTATAACCAAAAAACAATTTAAAAAGGATTAAGCTTCTAAAAACTCTTTTAAATTGAGTTATATGGAAATTGAAATAGATACCAAGATTTAAATTAACATGTTAAAAGATAATAAAGTTGTGATTTTCAACATGTGGTTCTTTGCCCTTCCTGTTGTTCACTGTTGCAAAGTTCCTTTACCATAAAACAGGATTAAAAGGAAAGAAAAAATGGCAAAAGTGTAAATTTCTAAAATTTTAATCTCTTGAGAGAAAGGTGTACCAAACTATTCACTGAGATAGGACCTGGAAATACTTTCTCTGTAGTTACTTTTACTCCCAATTAGCAAGAGTCGTTACGTATACTCAACTCTTAACGTGAACCACGATCTCGCTGGCCCTGAGAAGTACGGTAGTTTATACTGTACAGCCCAACAGCTGTAAAAATAATTATGTCAATGGAGGAAATCTCACTTCCTTTTTATTTGAATATAATCTCTTTCCCTTAGACTATCGAGAGAGAAAAAAGGGAAAGTATGAAGAATAAAGAAGCTCTTAAAGCTTTGATAATATTCACACTTTTGCCCTTAAAGACTCCATGTAAATGTTAGTTCCTAAAGCCATCTTGGTTTTTTCCCTTTTTATTGAATAGTCAGCTACTAGTCTCAAAAATGTTACAGATTGGTGGCCATGAAGGACATCAGAACACCTCCCTGAAAGGCCTAACAAAGGTCCCAACCTTTTCTGGATGATGTGTGACATTTAATTTCCGAAGAACTGGGAGTGCCAAATATGCAAATCATGACTGGCAGATGGATAAAGTGCTGGGCGGGCTGGTTCCCATCTCTAAATCAAACTGCCAGAGACCCCAGTCTTAGTGCTCAAACCTGAATGCCAGGCCAAAGGGGTGCCCACCCTCAAGGGAAAGGTCTGTGATAACAAGCCATCCTGATCTTTCAGTGTGTCAGCAAAACCATCCAAAAGACACTGCCAGCAAATTTACTGGCTTAGGAAACTAACAAAATTTTTGCTAGTCTGGCTGCTCTTCACCCAAAAAAAATGCAGACAAAAACTGCAAACATCTGCTTTTAATAGGCCTAATTGCCACCTAGGTTTTTTGTCTCTCGATCAGCAATAGTGAATAGTGTTCTAGCATAAGTACCAATAAAAGGAGAATTAAGAACTCCAAACTTTTTTCGATTCCTGTAACAAATAATTAATATCAGAGTCCACTTAAATTCATTTTGTTTCTTAAAATTCAATTGTCAAACTTCCAGTGACATTTGAAGCATAAAAATAGTTTTATTTTTACTTATTCTTAAGGCAATTTAACCCTGTCCCCAAAGTTCCTCCCCAAGAACTCTACATGGAAAAACATGTGTTGAGTTGTGGGGCAGTGTGTGCTTTGCTGTTACCTGATGTTCAGGTAACAGGGCGGCAGCTCAGCAGAATTATATAGGACCAGGCAGCCTGAGTCTAGATCCAGGCCCCACCTCTGCCAGCTGTGTGACTTAACCCTTGCCAGGCCTCCTTTATTTGTTTTTATTTTATTTTCTAAAATCCATTCACTCATTAATTTTTTTTTTCCACAAGACAAGGTCTGGCTATGTTGCCCAGGCTGGTCTCGAACCCCTCAGCTCAAGCAATCCTCCAGCCTCAGCCTGTCAAAGACAGGAGCCACCCACCTAGCCTCCTTTATTTGTAGTAATGTCTACCTCATAGGGGGGTCTTGGGGACTAAATATTATCATCTATGTAATACACAGGGCCCACCTGGCACATCACATAGTGAACAAAACAATCGGAGTGATGACAATTACTAGGCATCTAATTCCCATACTAAGAGCAAACAGGACATAAATGCTTTCATGGGTTACTTCTACTAGGAGGCAGCACCTTGTGGTAAAAAACACTAGCCCTAGACAATCTCATTATTCCATCCTTAAATCACTCTACTTGTGGACTTGAGCTCTTCTCTGGAAAATAAAGAGATTACATTAGATGAGTGACTGTCTTCCTTTTAAAAAACTTTCTTTGTAAATTTTAATAGAGTAATATATGCTTAGAAAATTTTCAAGAAATGCAGACAAAAGAGGATATAATAAGAGCTCTCCTTTTCTTAACTCACTCCTTTTCCCTAAGAAGTTTTCAAACTGTACTGTGCAGAGCCCTAGGGCACCCTGGAAACAGAAGGTGGCTTCCCAGGAGAGATCAAGTGGACAGAGCCCCAGGGATTCCCCCAACACTACTGCGACCACAGCAGCCCTGCCTTTATGTGTCTTCTACACTAGATTTCATGGATTTTGAGACAAGAGTTCCACTACTAAGTTGGAAAATCTTAGGATTAAATTATTTTAAAAACATTACCCAGCTCTAAAAATGTAAGTTTCTGGTCTACTGAACCAAATCCTCATATTTGCTATTACATTTATATCAGGTTTCCATATAATTTCCCTTTATTTCACCTACCTCTAGCTCAAGATCCTGAGGTTCCATTTCAGAAAGTGAGAGCACAGCAATTTTGGTAACTTTACAGACCTCATGGTCTCCTGGGAGTTTGCCCACCAATGCTTTCTGCCGAATTAGAATAAGCCACCATGGAAGATCTGAAAGAGGAGAGTCATAATAAAGTCTGGCGTTTTTAGAGTGCTACTGTTCTGACAAGTTGAAGGTGAATAACCTAACAATGATAACAAAAAAAAAAGTGTGCATCCAAAATAAACTTTTAAAGTAAAACATGTCACAAAGACATAAAATGACCCTTAAACATGTGAAAAGATGTTCAATCTCACTCATAATTAGAGAAATGTAAATTAAAACCAGTTGTGACACCATGCTCACCCATCAGATTGGGAACAATTAACAAGAATGACAACACATGTGCTGGCGAGACTGTGAGAAAACTCAAAACAGCTGTGCAGGTGAGAATACCGATGACAAACACAACTTTTCTGGAAGGAAATTTAGCAATACCTAACAATACAACAAATGCACTTACCTTTAATCAGTCCAGTGATCCCATCTTTGGGAATTTACCCTGAGGGTACACCTCAACAACCAAAGTATATACACTGAAGCCTATTTTATAATTACAATAAACACTGGAAACAGCCTAATGTCCAGATACAGGACAGTGGTTGAATAAACTATGGCACATCCATGCAATGGAGTACTATGCAGCTGTAAAAAAACAAAAAAGTATTCTATGAATTAATAAGGAAGGATTCCTGGATGCACTTAGTAGATAACCTGAATATATTATTAACATACAGCCATCCCTCGGTATCTGCAGGGGACTGGCTCCAGGACCCCCCGTGGATACCAAACTCCACGGATGCTCAAGTCTCTCATGTAAAATGGTGTAGTATTTGTATATAACCTATGCACATCCTCTCATATACTTGAAATAATCTCTAGATTGCTTACAATACCTGATATAATCTAAATGCTATGGTAAACAGTTTTTAAACTGTATTGTTTAAGCAATAATGATGAGAAAGAAAAGTCTATACATGTCCAGTACAGATGCAACCATCTTTTCCAAAAATTTTCCATGTGTGGTTGGTTAGATCCACAGACACAGAACTCAATGGATACACAGGGCCGACTGTACATAATAAGGCTATGTTATAATAACATAATAAATATATGTTTTGTTTTGTTTGAGACTGGGTCTCACTCTGTCACCCAGGCTAAAGTGCAGTGGTGCAATCTCAGCTCATGGCAGCCTCTGCCTCCTGGGCTCAAGCAAACCTCCCATCTCAGCCTCTAATGTAGCTGGGAACACAGGCATACACCACCATGCCCAGCTAATTTTTGTACTTTTTTTTAAGAGATGGGGTTTTGCCATGTTGCCCCAGCTGGTCTCAAACTGCTGGGCTCAAGCAATCTGCCAGCCTTGGCCTCTCAAAGTGCTGGGATTATAGGCATGAGCCACCGTGCCCAGCCAATAAAATATATTATTAAATCAAAGCATAAAAGAATACCTAGAGTGTACTACCCTTCATGTAAGGAAGAAAATATGAGGTGATATATATCTATACAGTCACATACCACATAATGATGTTTCAGTCAACGATGAGCTACATATGCAGTAATGGCCCCTTAAAATTATCATGGAGCTGAAAAATTCCTATCACGTAGTGACATCATAAATGTAGCATGACACATTTCACATTTGTGTGATTCTGGTATAAACCTACTGCACTGCTAGTGATAGAAAAGTATACAACATACAATTACATCTATACATAAGACTTGATAATAATAAATGACTGTTACTGGTTTACATATTTGCTATACTGTACTTTTTACCATTATTTTAGGTATACTCCTACTTATAAAAAAAGTTAAATAAGGGTAAAAAGAAAATATTTTTGCACAGCTGTACAATGTGTTTGTGTTTTAACCTAAGTGTTATTACAGAAGAGTCAAAAAGTTTTAAAACATTAAAAAGTTTATAAAGTAGAAAAGTTACAGTAAGCTAAGGTTAATTTAGTATTGAAGAAAGAACTTCTGGCAGGGCATGGAGGCTCATTCATGCCTGTAATTGCAGCACTTTGAGAGGTCAAAGTGGGAGGATTGCTTGAGCCCAGGACTTCAAGACCAGCCTGGGTAACATATGGAGACCTCGTTTCTACAAAAAATTAAAGAATTAGCCAGGAGTTGGGACACGCACCTGTAGTCCCAGCTACTCGGGAGGCTGAGGTAGGAGGATCGCTTAAGCCTGGGAGGTTGATGCTGCAATAAGCCATGGTCATGACACTGCACTCCAGCTTGGGTGACAAGGAAAGATCCCGTCTCATAAAAAAATAAAAATAAAAACCCAAAAAAATTTTTAAAAAAGAAAGAAAAGATTTTAAAGTCAGTGTCGCCTACATGTATGATGTTTATAAAGTCTATAGTAGTGTACGATAATGTCCTAGGCCTTCACATTCACTCACTGACTCATCCAGAGCAACTTCTGGTTCCGCAAGTTCCATTCATAGTAAATGCCCAATACAGGTGTACCATTCTTATCTTTCATACCATATCTTTTGTACAGTATTTTTACTGTACCATTTCTATGTTTAGATGAAATTGCCCAACAATGCATTTCTCATTAAGTGATGCATAACTATATGTATCCACCCATTTGTACAAAAACAAGAAGAGGAGAGAACCAGAAGTCAGTGAGATTAGTTATCTCCACAGAGTAGGTGGAAACGGGGTACAGAGAAGAGGGGGATGGGAATAGGATAAAAGAGATGAAGGGGAAATGACAATTCTCTGAGTATGCCCTGGCAAATGACTGGTCTCTGAGTAGAATTCTGACTCTTAGAACAACGGTAATGTTTCACATATCCGTTAAAATAAATAGTTCAAATCAACCAGAATGTGGGAGAACCTCAAACTGCAAATCCAACTCTATTAAAAATTAAGAATAGAACTAAACTGTAGGAGATAGAGAAGAAAAAACTAACTGAACTAACTTCAGAAAACTATTTGGTAAAAATAAAGACAAAAAGAACCGTATGCACTACTGTACTCTGGTTACTAAATTTATTTTTCAGAAGAGTATGGGTTGGTAATTCTCCAACTACTTTGTGTGTACACTAGGATTGAACAGAGAACTAAATATAATGAGGAGAATGGAGGGAAAATGGCAAAACAACCTAAAGAAACCTTTAATAAACACAAGACAGAAAGAAGCAAACACCCAGTCTTTCCAATCCAAATTTCTACTTCTCACAAGAGATTTTTAATTAAACAAAAAATAGTCTATGAAAGACAGCATGCAAATCAATTTTTCAGTTTATGAGACTACACCATTAAAAAGTACTCCCCAATTAGACCCCAAACCAAAAATTATTGAAATTGTGTTTCAGGAATTTATTATAGAAAAATAACACCATATATTTCCCATATAAAACAATTTTTTTAAAGGATATATAGGCTGGGTGCAGTGGCTCACACCTATAATCCTAGCACTTTGGGAGGCCAGGGAGGGCAGATCACATGAGGCCAGGAGTTCAAGACCAGCCTGGCCAACATGGCAAAATTCTGTCTCTACTAAAAATAACAAAAATTAGCCGGGCATGGTGGTGCACGTATGTAATCCCAGCTACTCGGGAGGCTGAGGCATGAGAATTGCTTGAACTTGGGAGGCAGAGGTTGCAGTGAGCCGAGACGGCACCACTGAACTCCAGCCTGGGCAAGAGAGTGAGACCCTGCCTCAAAAATAAATAAATAAATAATAAAAATAAAAAGGATATATAATATTTTCATTTCCCTCATTTATTCCCCAAGTACTGATCAACTTTCATTTTAGAAATGGTGCTTTGGAGATATGCTTTAAGCGTTTCATAAATGCAGAAGTTTGGAAACATTTCATAATTCCTTATAAAGTAGGGTGGAAATTTACTCCAAAGTTTTAAGGCTTTTATAGGCCATTTCCCTATTATCATTAAACATTAACTGAAGACCTACCATGTGCTAGGAAATTCATCAGGCATGAATGGACATTACCAAGCATCTTGTAGGTGTTATGTGAAACATTACCCTTTAGGTGCTTGGTAACAAACCTAACATGTAAATCTTCTTAAAAAGCACATAACAGATAATAAACTGTTCAATGTCAATAAATTTTGTTGAATAAAAAGAAATCTTTACACTAGGTCTCTTAACATCACAGGAATAATTTCTAACTTATATTATTTTATTTATTTATTTATTTTGAGACAGAGTCTCGTGCTGTTGCCAGGCTGCAGTGCGGTGGCGCAATCTCGGCTTACTGCAACCTCTGCCTCCCAGGTTTAAGCAGTTCTCCTGTCTCAGCCTCCCAAGTGGCTGGGACTACAGGCGCCCGCCACCACGCCTGGCTAATTTTTGTGGGTTTTTTTGTTGTTGTTATTTTAGTAGGGACGGGATTTCACCATATTGGCCAGGCTGGTCTCGAACTCCTGACCTTGTGATGCGCCCGACTTGGCCTCTCAAACTGCTTGGGATTACAGGTGTGCACCACTGCGCCCGGCCATTTCTATCCTACAGTGAACAATTTAGAGTTGGGCCAGGCATGGTGGGTCATCCCTGTAATCCCAGCACTTTGGGGGGCTGAGAAGGGAGGATCACTCAAGGCCAGGAGTTCAAAAACAGCCTGGCAACACAGCAAGGCACCAGCCCTTTAAAAATTGTTTTTAAAAATTAGCTGAGGCCAGGTGCGGTGGCTCATGCCTGAAATCCCAGCACTCTGGGAAGCTGAGGTGGGTGGATCGCTTAAGCCCAGAAGTTTGAAACCAGCCTGGGCAACATGGCGAAACCCCATCTCTGCAAAAGATACACAAGTTATCTGGGCATGGTGGTACATGCCTGTAGTCTCAGCTACTCAGGAGGCTGAGGTGGGAGGATCATTTGAGCCCAGGAGTTCAAGGCTGCAGTGAGCTATGACTGGATCACTGTACTCCAGCCTGGATGACAGAGCAAGACTATGTCTCTAAAAAAAAAATAAACAAGAAATCTTTATGACTCAAGGACCTCTCTTTCTCTCTCTCTCTGTGGGTCACACACACACACACAAACACACATACACACACACACACAGAGGAAGGCCCTTCCTAGTTTACATCTTCTTGCCCTGATTTGCTCTGGATTCATTTCATATCGACATTACAAATTATGATTTTAATAAATTCAATAACAAAAATACAATGTACATTATCAAATATAGTATCTTTCCAATAAACCATCTAAAGGTATAGTACCAAAAATATAAAATTTTTAACTTTCAAACACAGGTTTTATCTCATATACAAACTCACCTGGAAAACCAAGAGGCATCTTTTTTCCCACAAAAACATGGTATTGCCAATACTTAAACTCAACTTACACATTCAAATATATTTTAAAATAAATACACATTTTTTTAGAGTTAACTACTCATATACAAAAATGTGAAAAATCTATGTGCTTCTTTTTAAAAGGTTACAGATATTCAATATGCCTTGCAGTTATGATGAAGATTAAATCTGAGAAAATATAATGTAACAGAAACAAAGCTTTGTCAATAGTAGCCTTCCTTTTTCAAGGAGGCTTCAAGTGTCCTAGACTTTGAGGTCAGAAATTGGACTCAAATTTTAGCTCCATCATTTGCTTCTTGTATACTTCAAAGCATAATACTTAGCTGCTCCAATTCTCAGTTTTCTCATATGAAAACTGGGATAAAGCTGCCTACTTCAGAGAATGGCTATGAGGATTAACAATTTGTATAATTCATGATGCTATTCCTAAGAATTAATGTTTACTGAACATCTACTATAAGTATCACCAGGCAATTTATGTCTATATTTTTAATACCACTACACCCTGCTAACAGATTCCATTTCCAATCTATAGTTGAAAAACTAAGAAACATTCAAATAATGTGCCCCAGGCTTGCAACTGGCCGATAGGATTTTTTTTAAACTTCCCTTTTAGACATCTTCAAACATACATAAAAGTAGAGAGAGCAATATAATCAAACCAAATCCACCCACCACTTAGGCCCAACAGTTATCAATGAATGACTCAGTCTTCTATGATGTTCAACTTTTTTTTTTTCCAATGACTCTGTACTTGTCTTTAAAAGAATTCCAAATCTAGAAAGTAAAGAAGAAACCCCATGGGCTTTGGGTTAAAAACCTGAGTTAGAATTCTATTTGAGGCTGGGCACCATGGCCCATGCTTGTAATCCCAGCACTCTGGGAGGCCAAAGCAGGTGGATCACTTCAGCCCAGGAGTTCAAGACCAGCCTGGGCAATATGGGGAAACCCTGTCTCTACAAAAAAAACCATTTAAAAATTAGCCAAGCATAGTGGAGCAACCCTGTAGTTCCAGCTACTCAGGAGGCTGACAGTAGAAGGATCACCTGAGCCGAGAGAGGTCGAGGCTGCAGTGAGCCATGATCACACCACTGCACTCCAGCCTGGGCAACAGAATGAGAGATGCTGCCTCAAAAAAAGAAAAAAGAATTATATTTGATAATCCAGTTTCTTCCAGAAATAAATGGCAAAAAAAATTTTAGATTCTAGTATAATCAAATATATAAAATTTTTCTTTGATTGATTTTTCCCCCTAAGGAAACCTAAAGAGAATCTGAGTGAAGAAAAATTCCAACCACCTATCATCATACCATTTTCCAAAGAAGAGAGAAATTAAGGTAGAGAACTTAGATTATGACGTGTAGATATCTATTTCCTTACAAATTTTACTTAGTTTAGTTTTTTTTATTTTTTGATCTATGTGTTAGACTGAAACAGTGAGGAAAAAAACTAACATCGAGCCTTTACTATATGCTGTATATTTTTCATTTGCTAAACCTCAGCCTCATGGAAAAAGCGTGGACTCTAGATGTAATATAAAAGGTTAAAAACTAACTATACATATTGTAAGGAAATGGAATATTATATATTTAGCAGTTTTTCAGACCTTGAGAAACCAATAATATATTAATAGATGGGAGTCCACTGATGTGGCCACATATAAATAAAAACATACAAAAAAGCATTAATATAGGCCACTTGCATATGTAATAGAAAAAAGGTATCATAACATTAGCAACAGGAGCAATAAAGTTTCTGGGACTAATTCCAATTAAGAAATGTCTAGGTCGGGAGTGGTACTTCCAGCACTTTGGGAGGCCAAGGCAGAGGGATTGCTTGAGCCCAGGGGTTCAAGATCAGCCTGGGCAAAATAGCCAGGCCCAGTCTCAAGAAAGAAAGAAAAAAAAAAACAAAACGAACAAACAAATGAATAAAAGAAAGGTCTAATATCTACATGAAAAGCACCACAGAACTTTCATTTAGAGCATACAGAAAATAAATACATGAAAGCACCATGAGCCTGGATGCACAGGTTCAACATTTCAAACTTGTTGGTATCTCTCAAATTAATATAGAAATTTAATGCAATTTCAATCAAAATTCTTATGGGACTTCTAGGGAGTTTTTTTTTTTTTTTTTTTTTTGGAGACTGAGTCTCCCTCTGTCGCCAGGCTGGAGTACAGTGGCGTGATCTCAGCTCACTGCAACTTCTGCCTCCCGGGTTCAAGCAATTCTCCCTCCTCAGCCTCCCGAGTAGCTGAGACTACAGGCGCACGCCACCATGCCTAGCTAATTTTTTTATTTTTAGTAGAGACGGGGTTTCACCATGTAGCCAGGACGGTCTCTATCTCTTGACCTTGTGATCTGCCCACCTTGGCCTCCCAAAGTGCTGGGATTATAGGCATGAGCCACTGAGCCCGGCCAGGAAATTTAAATATATTTTAAATTTCACTTGAAAGACTAAATGCGTAAAAATATCCAGTAAAGATTTTGAAAAGAAATTGAGACTACTTGTCTTCCTAGGCAGAACTATGGTAACACCAGGCGTGGTGGCCTGCACCTGTAATTCCAGCTACTTTGGAGGCTGAGGCAAGAGGACTGATTGAGCTCAGAAGTTCAAGAAGTTGTCAGTGAGCTACGATTCCATCACTGTACTCCAGCATGGGGGACAGAGTGAAACCCAACATTGGAGACAGAGCAAGAGGGGGATTTAAAAAAGCATGGTAATTAAAACTTGATACTAGGTAAAGGAAAAGATAAATGAATCACTAGAATAGAGAAGCCAGACACGACCTATGTAAAAATGAGCATCTCATAAATGATGATAAAGAAGGGAAAAGAATGGTGTCTCAATAAATGGAAACAATAAACACTGGAGATTCCGAAACGGGGGATAGTGGGAAGGAAGCAAGGGTTAGAAAACCGTCTATTGGGTAGTATGTTCACTATTTGAGTGACGGGATCAACAGAAGACCAAACCTCAGCATCATGCAATATACTCATGTAACAAACCTGCAGATGTCGCCCCGAAACTAAAATTTGAAAAACAGGCTGGGAGAGGTGGCTTATGTCTGTAATCCCAGCACTTTGGGAGGCCAGGGTGGGTGGACTGCTTGAGTCCAGGAGTTTGAGCCTAGCCTGGGCAACACAGCAAGACCCTGTCTCTACAAAAAATACAAAAATTAGCAGGGCATGGTGGCACACATCTGTAGTCCCAGCTACTCAGGAGGCTGACATGGGAGAATTGCATGACCCCAGGAGGCGAAGGTTGCAGTAAGCTGAATTCAAGCCACTGCACTCCATCCTGGGCAACAGAGTAAGACACTATTTCAAAAAAGATAATAATTTTTAAAAATTAGGCTGGGCGCAGTGGCTCACACCTGTAATCTCAGCACTTTGGGAGGCCAAGGCAAGCGGATCACGAGGTCATGAATTCAAGACCATCCTGGCCAACACAGTGAAACCCCATCTCTATTAAAAATACAAAAATTAGCTGGGCATGGTGGTGCGTGCCTATAATCCCAGCTACTCAGGAGGCTGAGGCAGGAGAATTGCTTGAACCGGGACCCGGGAGGTGGAGGTTGCGGTGAGCCAAGATTGCGCCACTGCACTCCAGCCTGGGCTACAGAGCGAGATTCCATCTCAAAAAAAAAAATTAAAACAATGTTGAAATAATTGGTTCTCCACACGAAAAAAAAGTTAAATTCCCACTGCAAGCCATGCCCCCCAATTAATTGTAGATGAGCTAATTGCTAAAAATAAAAGCAAAACAAAATATAGCAGATTCTTTATCATCTCAGAGCAGAAGGACCTTCGGAAGCATGATACATAATCCAGAAGTCATAAAATGAACAGGCTTGATTCCATTAAAAATGAAACATATCTGGGTGGTAAATCACACTATGAACAAAATGAAAAGCAAATGACAAACAGGAAATTATTTGCAACACATGGCATGCTAAAGGTTAGTATTTACGAAATAGAAAGAGCTGTATCAATCAACAAGAAAAAGGTAATAGGTTTTCCTCTCGGTAATTTTCCATCCACAGATTCCTACCACACTCTTTTGCTGTAAATCCCCACTTGTCCTTACTATATCTGGAATTGAGCACAATCCTGGACTGAGGTTTCTTTTCCCCTTGTGCAACAGTTCCTCAATAAAATCTGTAGAAAAGAAAAAGGTAATGTCCCCAAAGTAAAAAAAGATAGGTCAGGTGCAGTGGCTCACACCTGTAATCCCAGCACTTTGGGAGGCCGAGGTAGGCAGATCACGAGGTCAGGAGATCCAGACCATCCTGGCTAACATGGTGAAACCCTGTCTCTACTAAAAAATACAAAAAATTAGCCCGGCGTGGTGGCGGGCACCCGTAGTCCCAGCTACTCGGGAGGCTGAGGCAGGAGAATGGCGTGTGAACCCGGGAGATGGAGCTTGCAGTGAGCCGAGATCGCGCCACTGCACTCCAGCCTGAGCAACAGAGTGAGACTCCATCTCAAAAAAAAAAAAAAAAAAAAAAAAAAAAAAATATATATATATATATATATATATATATATATATATATCTCCATACTTTATGGAGTATGGATGATAAACATTAAAAATATAATTAAGCTCAGCAATAATGAAATAAAATAGGAAGATCACTTTGTATCAGACTGTCAAAAAGAAATCTCTTTGTTAAAAGTAATACTTAGTGTTGGAGATGCATCAAAATTCAAACTGTGTACATGCTTTATCCAATCTGTTCCTCTCCTAGAAATGTAGTCTATACACTTGGGAAGGCTGGGAAAATGAAGACTATAAGCATAATAATTGTATTTGTTTGTAAATGCATAAAGAAACTCTCAGAGGATTCACAATAAACTAATGATGGTGCTAGGTTGGATGAAGCAGTGGAAATAGGGCAGATAGGGACAGAGGAGTGAGGGAGGCTTCGCTGAATACCTTTTACTACTATTTACATTGTTGTTAAACCACGCACTTGTACTACCTAAAAATTTAAATTAAAAAAAAAAGCTCCTTCTGCGGAAACAACCCAAACATCCATCAAGGGATGAAGGAACAGACAAAACATAGTCTATCTATACAAGGGAATATTATTCAGCTATAAAGGAATGAAGTGCTGATACATGTTTCAACATGGACAATCCTTAAAAACATTGTGCTAAGTGAAAAAAAACAATCACAAAGGTGCACATATTGTATGATTTCATTTATGTGAAATATTGAGAACAGGAAAATCCCTAGAGACAGAAGGTAGATTAGGAGCTGAGGTTAGTGGTTGCCAGGAGCTGGTGTAGGGGTAATGAGAAATAACTGGCCATCTGAGAGGTTTCATTCTTGGATGCCGAAAATGTTCTGGAATTAGAGAGTGGTAAATGTTGCGTAACCTTGCAAATCTACTAAAAACCACTTAACTGCACACTTTAAAAGGGTTAATTTTATGGTATGTAAATTAAATCTCAAGTTTTTTATTTATTTATTTATTTTCAAAAAAATCTCCTTCTGAAGAACAAAAGAACTTGTTAGGAGTCTTAAGAAGAGGATAAAAAACTAAAAGTATACTTTCTGCCAAAAATGGAGGTTAGGATAGGACAGCCTATAATTCTTGAAATGTATCAACACTAGTGAAAAGATGTAGGTGTCTGGAATAGTGTTCAAGGAAATAATCAAAATTATCACAATGAAAAGAAAAATTATGAACTGAACACTGAGCTATTTCCAAGCAAAAACACTCACTCTAGAAAATAAAACAAACAAAAGAAGACCTCACAGAAAATAATAGCAATCTCTACTCCTGTAATTATTTTGCCTTAGGTGAAACAAAATACACCACCACTGCCACATAAAAAGCCTGAGATGTCCGGCAGGAATGTGCATATTGAGCTACAGGGTTAAATGATTTCTACATTTTATACTTAGAATTAAAACAAGACAAATGTAAAAGTACAGCGTCACTATTGTTTGGCAATCCTATTATCCATCAGGCCTAATTTCACAGTACAATTTTTAAAAGCACCAAAGCAGGCTATGTATTTATTTGTTACCCACCAGGAAAAGAAACTTGGTTCAATTAAAGCTACCATTTTGAGATCAGGATATACACAGTATAACAAGGAATAAAAAAAATAGAATCTAGCAAGGTCTGATGGCATAAAGATTTCTTTCCAACTTTTTAAACATATTACAATGGGGGAAAAAGTCAATTTTGTAACCGTGCCTCTTCCTGGAAAAGAGAGACAAGGAAACCTGACTTCCCCAGCAAGATAAAAAAAACTGATTAGGAAGTGATTATCTTGAAAAGCATGACCAGTAGGGCAAGCTAAAACAATAGTCCTGGAAAAGATTCAATTGCTTGACTTAGAAAGTGACTCACTTAAAAGGAGATGAGCAACTGTAGGATAAAGATTTTCATACCACTTTAGAAAAAAAAATTTTTCTCCTGCATTACGGTTCTCTAGAGAAACAGAACTAAGAGGATATATAAATGAGAGGAGATTTATTATTGGAATTGCTCATGTGACTATAGAAGCCAAAAAGTCCCACAATCTGCCATCTGCAAGCTGGAGAACCAGAAAAGCCTGTGGTGTAATTCAGTCCAAGTCCAGGGGAGTCAATGGTAAAAGTCCCAGTCCAAGTCCGAAGGCCTGAGAACTGGGAGGCTGATGGTTTAAGCCCCAATCTGAGTCCGAAAGCTTGAGAACCAGGAGCTCTGATGTCCAAGAGCAGGAGAAGATGGATGCCCTGGCTCAAACACAGTGAATTCATACTTCCTTTTTGCTTCTGTTCCGGCCCTCAACAGACGGGATGATGCTCACCTACACTGATAAGAATGGGTCTTCTTTACTCGGTCCACCAACTCAAAACGCCAAGTATCTTCTGGAAACACCCTCACACACATGACCAGAAATCATTTTGTACCAGCTTTCTGGGCATCCCTTCCCAGTCAAGTTAACACAAAAAATTAAACATCACTGCCAGATCCGGTGGTGTGTGCCTGCAGTCCCAGCTACTCAGGAGGCTGAGGTAGGAGCATCACTGGAGCTCAGGAGTTTGAGACCAGCCTGGGCAGCATAGTGAGACACTGTCTCAAAAAGTAAATAAATATAAATAAAATTTTTAAAATTAACCGACTCCCTACTCATGACCTTGCCTCTAAGGGGTACTGCAACTACGTATTTCTAGACATGGCTCACCATCCTATTGACATACAGAAAAGATATACATTTAATCCACCAATGCATGTCCAGCAATCATTTTTATTTTTATTAACATTATATAGGGAATATATTAATATATCCCATTTTTTGAAAGTTTAAACATTACAGATAAAACTGAAGTTCTCTTTGACCACTATTCCCCACTCCATGGAAATTCTTTAAACCTAATCCAAACCCTGCTTTCTTAGTTCTCTCACATAAGGAGAACAGGAGAAATGGAAAGTAACCAGTTACCATTCTTGGCACTAGTCCTTTTAATTTTACTTGAGAACTTAAAATGACTTATGTTCACAGCATACAACCATAATTTATTTTGTAGGTTCTATTTTCACCGCTCTTTTGGACACTTTCCAGTTTATCTCTATAAACATTCATGTGAGGAACAAGGGTAAAAAGGAAGAGAAGGTGCATTTACTAATGAGTCTCAGGTGTTTACTTCCTTTAGTATGCTCTAATACTGCACACTACATTCCTGAGGCAAAGATTACCTTTCCTAGGTCCACTGGAACAGTCACAGAGAGGCTGGGAAATGGTGAAACAGAGAGCACCCATCAGCCTGAACACTCACACGGTTGTGCAATTATGACTTGAGGAGCTAGCACAGGAGAATTCATAATTTTTTTCCTTTTCTTTCTCTCCCTTTTAAGAGACAGGATCTCATTATATTGGCCAGGCTGGAGTGCAGTGGCTATTCACAGGCACGACCCCACTACTGATCACAGCGTGGGAGTTCTGACCTGCTCCATTTCTGATCTGGGCCAGTTCACTCCTCCTCAGGCAACCTGGTCGTCTCCCCTCCCAAGAGGCTGCCGTATTTGATGTCAAACTTAGTGCAGACACCCAATCAGCATAGCTCACTCCAGCCCAGAACTCCTGGGCCCAAGTGATCCACCTTAGACCTCTACTAGCTGGGACTACAGGTATGTGCCACCACACTTGACAAGAATTTATAATTATACTGACATACCAACAAATATTAACCCAAAGACAGAGGTGCATACTATATACTCCAAAGTCTTTTGTAGCATAATATTTAAATACAAACATTTCTTGAAGGACTTCTGCAGATTATGCTCAAAACGCCACAGAAGAGTCTATATTTGCACTGGATACATCAGAGGATGGAGACATGTTGGTAAAGAAGGAAAAAGATAATCTGAAAAGGGGAAAAGTCTGCTCGCCTTTCCTTTCTTCTCTGTAACATTGCCAACAGGAATACTCACGTTCCTCTGTCATTTCAAATTGACAGTCTAAACTAAAAAATGTAAACCAAATGACTCGTTGCTTTTTATATATATTTATAGTTGGTTTTAAGGTTATACTTAGATGCATACAAATTTCAAACTATTCTTTCTGGTGACTTGAACATTTTGTTATTTTTGAAATGATTCTCTCTACTTCCTGCCTTAAAGTCTACTTTGATATTAGCACAGTGACACCAGTTTTCGTTAGGCTAATATTCACACAGTTTCTATGCTTTTACTTTCTGTATTCATATCTCTAAGGCATTTGTCTTGAAAGTAAGCATGTAGATGGATTTTATTGTTTTTCTAGTATAAACATCTTTGGTTTTTAATTGAAGCATTAAGTCTACTCATTTGTTATGTAATGTCTGACATATTTAGGAATCAAACTATCATCTTACTATTTGTCCCATTTGTTCCATACATACCTTTTCTTGCCTTCTTTTGGATTAAGTTTTTAAATCATTATTATTCTGCTTTTCTCCTTTATGAGCTTTTTACAATATTTTATTATTCTGTTAGTGGTTACACTGTAGGGGATAACATGAATCCTAATTTACAAAAGCCTAATGTAAATTTGTACTTTTCCAGCTGCTGGACAGTGAAAGGACTTAGAATACCAACTCCTCTAACTCCCCATTGTTACTACTATTGTTGTGTATTTTAATTCTACATTTAAAGTTAAGCCCCATGTATGATGACAAATTCACTTAAATTTACTATTTCCCCTTTCCATTGATCTTCATTTCTTCCTACCCCTCCATGCTCCCATCTGGAATCATTTTCCTTTTGCCTGAAAATCTCTCTAGGTTTTTTTTTTTTTTTTTTTTTTTTTTCTGGAGACAGAGTCTCACTCTGTTGCCCAGGCTGGAGTGCAGTGGCATGATCTCAGCTCACTGCAACCTCTGCCTCCCAGGTCCAAGGAATTCTCCTGCCTCAGCCTCCCAAGTAGCTGGGATTGCAGGCTCCCATCACCACGCCTGGCTAATTTTCATATTTTTAGTAGAGACAGTGTTTTACCATGTTGGACCAGGCTAGTCTTGAACTCCTGACCTCAGGTGATCTGCCAGCCTTGGCCTCCCAAAATCCTGGGATTACAGGTATGAGCCACTGTGCCCAGCCCTCTCTAGTATTTCTTTTAATGCAGAGACTGTTGGTGACAAATTCTCTGTTTTTATTTGTCTCAAAATGTCTTTATTTTTAATTTCTGAAGGTATAAAATTCTGGACAGGCACTTTGACGATGTCATTCCATTGTCTTCTGGCTTCCATTGTTTCTATCAATGCTTAACATGCCTTTGAATTTAATGTGTATTTTTTTCTTTGGCTGCTTTTAGGATATCCTCTTTGTCTTTACTTTTCATCAGTTTTACTATGAGGTAACTGAGTGTGGTTTTCTTTATGTTTTTTCCTTGGATTCAAAGTACTTCTTGAATCTGTGGCTTGTATTTATAGTTGGTTTTAGAAAATTCTTGGCCATTATCTCATCAAATACTGCTGTTGTCAGAAACAGAACCTCTGACTAGTTTTCTTGATCTCGTTTTTAAAGTGTATGAAATATCCGTAAATGACCCTGTGATGGTTAATTTTGTGGGTCAACTTGACTGGGAAGGGATGCCCAGATTGCTAGTAAAACATTATTTCTGAGGGTATTTCCAGAAGAGATTTGCATTTGAATTGGTAAACTGAATAAAGACTGCCCTCACCAATACAGGTGGGCATCATCCAATCCACTGAGGGCCAGAATAGAACAAAAAGGCAGAGGATGGGCTACCTTGCTCTCTAAGCTGGGACATCATCTTCTCCTGCCTGCAGACATCAGTGCTCCTGGTTATCAGGCCCTTGGATTCCAACTGAGACTTACATCACTGACTCCCCTGATTCTCAGTTTTTGGGCTTGGACTGGAACTATACCACCAGCTTTCCTGGTTCTCCAGATTGCAGATGGCAGCCTCCATAATCACATGAGCCAATCCCTTATAATAATTATCTTTAAATAACAGATCTCTGTAAGTAATAATTTCGGTATAGATGTTAAATCTCCGTCTCTCTCTCTCTCTCTCTATATATATATATATAGTATATAGTGTATACAGAGAGATTAATTAGTATTTATATATAGTATATAGTGTATATCTATATAGTATATATATACACTATACACACACACACACACACACACACACACACACACACACACACAGTTTACCCTTGAACAATGCAGGAGTTAGGGGTGCTGACTCCCCATGCACATGCAACTTTTGGCTGGGCACAGTGGCTCACACCCGTAATCCCAGCACTTTGGGAGGCCGAGATAGTTGGATGACCCGAGCTCAGGAGTTAGAAACCAGACTGGGCAACATAGCAAAACCCCATCTCTACAAAAAAAAAAAAAAAATACAAAAATTAGCCAGGTATCATGGCGTGCACCTGTAGTCCCAGCTACTCAAGAGGCTGAAGCATGAGAGTCGCTTGAACCTAGGCAGTCGAGGCTGTAGTGAGCTGAGATCACGCCACTTCACTCCAGCCTGTGTGACAAAGCAAGACCCTGTCTCAAAAACAAAAACAATATCCACATACAACTTTTAACACCCCCAAAACTTAACTATGAAAAGCCTACTACTGATTAGAAGCTTAATAACATAAATAGTTGATTAACACATATTTTGTATGCTGTATTATATACTGTATTCTTACAATAAAGTAAGCTAGGCTGGGCACGGTGGCTCACACCTGTAATCCCAGCACTTTGGGAGGCCAAGGCAAGTGGATCACCTGAGGTCAGGGGTTCGAGACCAGCCTGACCAACATAGTGAAACCCCATCTCTACGAAAAACACAAAAGATTAGCTGGGCGTGGTGGTAGGCACCTGTAATCCCACCTACTCGGGAGGTTGAGGCAGGAGAATCGCTTGAATCCAGGAGGCAGAGGTTGCAGTGAGCTGAGATCGTGCCACTGCACTCCAGTCTGGGCGACAAGAGGGAAACTCTGTCTCAAAAAATAAATAAATAAATGAATAAATAAAGTAAGCTAGAGAAAAGAAAATGTTATTAAGAAAACCACAAGGGGCCAGGCGTGGTGGCTCACACCTGTAATCACAGCACTTTGCGAGGCCAAGACAGGCGGATCAGCTGAGGTCAGGAGTTCAAGACCAGCCAACATGGTGAAACTCCATATCTACTAAAAATACAAAAAATTAGCCAGGCATGGTGGCGCATGCCTGAAATCCCAGCTACTTGGGAGGCTGAGGTAGGAGAATCGCTTGAACCCGGGAGGCGGAGGTTGCAGTGAGCCGAGGTCGCACCACTGCACTCCGGCCTAGGCAACAACAGCGGAACTCCATCTCAAAAAAAAAAAAAAAGAAAACCATAAGGAAGAGAAAATGTATTTACTACTCATTAAGTGGAAGTGGGTCATTATAAAGGTCTTCATCCTTATCTTCATGTTAAGTAAGCTGAGGAAGAGGAAGGATGAGAACGGGTTGGTCTTGAGGTCTCAGGGGTGGCAGAGGCAAAAGAAAATACACTATACATGAACCCACACAGTTTAAACTTGTGTTGTCCAAGGGTCAACTGTGTGTGTTTGTGTGTGTGTGTGTGTGCACACGCCTGTGTATGCAAGCACATGCGCGCGTATACACTATTGGTTCTGGAAAGCCCTAATCGAGATTTTGGTACCAAGCAGCAGGGGTGCTGCTATAACAAACATCTAAAGATGTGGAAGCAGCTTTGGAACCAGGTAATGGGTAGAGGCTGAAAGAGTTTGGAGGTGCATACTATTAGAAAAAGCCTACACTGCCCTGTGTGAACCTTTAAAGGTGATTCTGGTGAGGACTCAGAAAGAAGAGAGATGAGCTGTAGAAAAAGCCTCAATCTTCTCAGAGAATTCCTAAGTAATCCTGAGCAGAATGTCAGTAGAAAACATGAACCGTGAAGAGCATTCTGATGAAGTCTCAGATGAAAATAAGGAACGTGTTATTGGACAATATGGAGATGATCCTGGTTATAAAGTGGCAAAGAACTTGGTTGAAATTTGTGCATGTTCTAGTATTTTGTGGAAGGGAGGACTTAAGAGTGAAATTGGATATTTACCTGAGGCAATTTCTAAGCAAAATGTCAAAGATGAAGTTTGCCTCCTCCTGCCTGATTATAGTAAAATGCGAGAAGAGAGCTATGACTTAAAGACAGAGTTGTTAAGCAAAAATGAAGTAGAACTTAAAGATTTGAAAAGTTCTAGCCAGACTATGGAAATTTTTAAAAAGGCCCGTTCAGGGGAAAACACTACAGGTGTGCCCAAGTCCCTCTGATAAGGAGAGTAATATGGGTGTGAACCATGGACTTAAGCCACTTCAGCAGGAGAACAGCCAGTGTGAGATGAAAGGGAATGAACTGGGAAGGAATGAAGGATGGCTATCAGTCTTCCTGGGTTTTACAGGCCAGGACCATAGAGCTTTTTGGCAGAGAATGTGCACTATTCTTCAAGACAAAGGCAGAACAAGCCCAAAGGTGATTAAGAGATCATCAGGGCTGCTTCCTTGGTTTCAAAAGGGGTAGGCAGGGACTGCATTATTCAACAGGCAAGATGGTCTCTGCCAGATGCCGTGAGGATAGGAACAACCAGCAGGGCCCTAGGGGCACAACCCTTCCTGGGTAGAGCCGTGGAGGCAGGGCCCCCACCTCAGCAGGTCTGGAAGGTAGAACCTCTACCGCAGTGGGCCTGAAGTGCAGAACATGGACTCAGTGAAGATTATTCTCGAGCCTTAAGATCTCAAGGAGTTTGTCTTATAGTTTGGACTTACTAGGGCTCCACTGCCTCTTTCTTCTTTCCTATTTCTCTTTTGAAAATGGAAATGTCTAGCCCAAGTCTGTCCCACCATTGTATTTTCTAAGTACATAACTTGTATGGTTTCACAGGTTTGCAGCTGAAGAGCAATTTGCCTCAGGATGAATCATATCTTGAGTCTCACCCACATCTGAGTTAGATGATATTTAAACGAGACTTCGGATTTTTTACTTTAAGAGTTGATGGTGGAATGAGTTAAGAGTTTAAGAATGTTGGGATTATAATGAATGTATTTTGCATATGAGAAGAGCATACATTTAGGGGGACAGGGCAAAATATTATAAGCTAAATGTTTATGTGCCCACAAATTCATACAGTCACCCCTCAGTAACTGCAGGGGATTGATTCTAGAACCCCCTATAGATACCAAAATCCTCAAATGTTCAAGTCCCTTATGTAAAATGGCATAGTATTAATATTTCCATATACCTATACACATCCTCCTGTATACTTTAAATCATCTCTAGATTACTTATAATACCTAATGCAATATAAATGCTGTTTATAGTTGTTAATATTATTTTTATTGGGTTTTTCTCCTGAATATTGTCCATCTGCAGATGTGGAACCTACAGATAGGGAGGACCGTGACTGTATGTTGAAATCCTAATCCCCCATATTATGGTATTGGGAGGTGGGGCCTTTGGTAGATGATGAGGTTATTAGGGCTACATCATCACAAATGGGATTAGTGCCCTTATAAAAGAGACCCAGGAGAGCTCCCTCACGCCTCCTGCCATGTGAGGACTCAGTGAGAAGAGGCCATCCATGAATAAAAGGCAGCCCCTCACCAGACATCAAATCTTCTGGGGCTTTGATCTTAGGCTGTCCAGCCTCCAGAGCCATCAGAAATACATTTCTGTTGTTTACAAGCCACCCAGTCCATGACATTCTGTTACAGCAGCCCAAACAGACAAAGAACTATTATACACAGTTGACCCTTGAACAACACAAGTTTGAACTGCAAGGGTCCACTTACATGGAGATTTTTTCCAATCAAATGCAGATTGAAAAATACAGTATTCGTGGAACGAGAAACCCACATAAACAGAGAGCCAACTTTTCATATACGGAGGTTCTACGGGGCCAACTTCGAGACTTGAGCATGCATGGATTTTGGTATACGTGGGTGGTCCTGGAACCAATCCCTCCTCTTCATACCAAGGGACAACTGAACTATGATATTAACATGCTAAGAGAAACAAATAATTAGGAAAATATCTTAATAGTTTATTCCAAGGCATATTATGCTCCAATTATGCTCCAATTTTATTTACAAATCTTTGGTATGAATGTAAATTGAGTCCTAAGTGTGCATAAAACCTACTTCATTGGTATCTGCTGCAGAAGCTATTAATTGGCTATTTAGCACTTTTAAGTGAACAGAACGTGAGTCTATAAAGTAGGTTTTATGCACATTTATGCATGAATTTAAATTTCAACTAAAAATATGAATTCACAGTATGTTTAGTGAATTTTTCTGTTTTACATTTAAAGCCATGTCTTAAAAAAAAAAAAAAACTACATTAAGAGAAATGTTTTGTCCCCCCTAATGGAAGTAGAGCACCATATATCCCTGATTATATTTCAGGGAACAACACACATCAAGTAAATGGAAAAACAAGTAATGCTACCACCACGCCAGTGCTGGTTTGTTCAACGTCAGGTACCTAATAGCTAAAAGTACATCACATTAGGCTTCTAATGCTCTCAGTGACTAAAGAGCCAACTATTAATTTGTTCATCTTCCAAACATAGCAGCTATTCCATGTTTCCTGACTGGTTGCTCTGTTCCTTACTAAAGTTTCCTAAGTCTCGGTTTATAGAAAACTGACAATGACTCATAGGGAGAGCATCTAGAGCAAGAGACATTTTTAATAGGCTCTATTTCAAAAGTACCAAATGGTGCAATTAGAAGTATATTCTGCTTAGCCTGTAAAGCTTAAGACTGTAGTTAAATCCCTAAATAAATCTGCCATAAAATGAAATAACCTTGAAATAATCTATTATACTCTAAAAAAATATAAACTCTTGTAACTATAAGAAATAGAAAAGACTTAGAAAACTAGAAAAGTCTAAATTATTAAGTACTGTTGGGCAAAATGATTTTCTATATAAAAATGTATTTTTCAGACAACTACAGCTTATCCCCCTAAAGTACTAAAATGTTTTCCTATATGTTTATTGAAAGCTTCAATACTTTCCTAGCCACTAAACTCCAGCATACTAAAGACAATCAGGATTTTTACTCACAATACAAGTTAATCATCATAAAGATAAATTAATGCTTTGAAAAGTGACATAAAAATGCTTCAAGGCTGGAGGTTATTGGTCCGTACACAAAGGGAATCAAGCCCACGGGCTGTAACAGACCTGCTATCCAAGTCAATTAAATAACCTTCATTTTTTGCTGTCAATGGTTGTTACTGGCCAAGCCTAAGTGAGAACTTAACAAATTTATCGAGAATCTCCTTTCTTAAACACAATTAGCTTTGACAATAATTTGACTGGAATTACTTTTAAATGTTCAGTAAGATAAAAAGTCCAAAAGGTAATACAAAGGAGGAAATAAATACAGAAAGCACCTGTATAGGTGGCCCACACAGTCATTTTTACCTTAATAATCCTCCTTTTCTTATTTTTATTCTTTAAGAGACAGGGTCTCACTAGGTTGCCCAGGCTGGAGTGCAGTGTCTATTCACAGGCATGATCATAGCACACTGTAGCCTCGAGCTCCTGGCCTCAAGCAGTCCTTCTTCCTTCAGCCTCCCAAGTAGCTGGGACTACAGGCACGCGCCACTGCACCCAGCTTTCCTCCCCTCTTTCTGAGGCTAGAAAACAAACCTTTAATATGGCTGCTACTGAAATCACTGAAGAAAACTGGAGTTTAAGAACAAATGGGTTTATGACTAGAAAAAGGAATGAGAGTGGAATAGCATGAGGCACGCTAGCCTGCCTCTCAAGTATCTCTCTGCCTGAAAACATAAATATCTGCCATGCCACTTAGAGATATGCTCAGGAATAAGAAGCATACTTGTGTAACCACACTCTGGGGAGCTCAGAACTGTGGGTCGCATTCATGTGACTTCTTCAAGCATCACTTCTACCCGGGAGGTGGAACCATCTGCACCAAGGAGACGGGCTCAAGACTAGGAACAAGGGAGGTGGGAAATTCTGAAGCACAAAATGTAGCAACAAGCTGAGGGGAGCAAAGAGAGAAGGACGAAGCACTCAGCATCTAGGTACCTGAGGAGAGAAGAAAAGGAACAGGAGAGAAGCAAAAACAAAACCAATGAGAAGATACCGGAGAATGTAATCCTCTCACACCACTTAGCTGCCTGCTTCCAAGACTCAAGTCTGTTAAGAGAATGGGTCAGCTAAATTATAGTTAAAGAATCTTCTAAGGGTTAACCAGGAATCTGGTCACCAATGAAAATCTTACTTCTAGGCCAGGCGTGGTGACTCATGCCTGTAATCCCAGGACTTTGGGAGGCCGAGGCAGGTAGATCACTTGAGGCCAGAAGTTCGAGACCAGCCTGGCCAACATGATGAAACCCTGTCTCTACTAAAAATAAAAAAATTAGCCACCTTAGGGTGAGGCACAAGAATCGCTTAAACCAAGGAGGCAGAGGTTGCAGTGAGCCAAGATTGTGCCACTGCACTCCAGCCTGGGCTACAAGAGCAAGACTCTGTCTCAAAAAAAAAAAGTAAATCTTACCTCTAAAAGTCAGTAACTCTGAGATCCTCATGAGAAAATGAACATAAAAATGACTGTATCTGAGGCTGGGCACAGTGCTCATGCCTGTGTAATCCCAGCACTTTGAAAGGCCAAGGCAGGTAGACTGCTTGAGCCCAGGAGTTCAAGACCAGCCTGAGCAACACGGCAAAACCCTGTCTCTATTAAAAAATACAAAAATTAGCTGGGCACGGTGGTACGTGCCTGTATATACACAGGCAAACTCATATCTAAGCAGAAGCAATAACTAAAAGGCTTGTCCCATGACCCAGCCTCCAGCAGAGGATGAGAGCTCCACAGGGACCCTGTCAGACCCTCTTGTTTCTCTCCAATGTACTTAAGGAGTGGGGTTTCCAGTGGCTTTTAAGGCATGCACTAAAACAATGCTAGTGACACTCCATTTACCACTAAAATATGTAAAATATTTCATGTCACTAGTGCCATAGCAAAGTCTCCATAGACAGAAGACTAAAATCAGTATTAAAATCATATGCATAACACACTTTACCATCTTAATGACTGAGACATCGTCACCACTACAAAAGTGGAGGAACAGCAGATGGCGAGTATTATTTTAATGAATGAGATTTACTTGAGTGAATTTTTGTCTAGGATTGTTCAGTACTATCAGTAGTAATTCAGTTAATTACTAAACAAAGAGCCTCTATTGCCACATTAATCAAGGCTCCTGACAATTTTCTCTTCAAACTAGTCCTGAATATATCGTGGGATATATTCCTTTACTAATGAATCTTTTTGCTTATCTTCAGATACTTCTTACCCTAATTGAGCTTATCCTCTTCTCAATCTTGAAAATACATTTTAACTTGAAGAGCTTTTGTGATCTATTTTAAATCTCCAGCCTAAAGCAGTCTTTTCCTGGATGTCTGTGTGAAGATATGACTATACCCAGACATTACACAGAAAATGAAGAGAAGAAACACATCAATCATGTGGGCCTTTTGCACAGCTGCGTACTCTGCCAAGAACCGGGCCTTTTGCACAGCTGCATACTCCGCCAAGAACTACCTCTCCTCTCAAGGCCTCCCCGCTCCCACCCCTGGCCCTGTCCGTGTGAGATGCTTTCCATCCAGGAGCACCAGCTCCACCCATATGAGATGCTTTCCATCCAGGAGCACCAGCTCCACCCAGTTAGGCTCTTCTGTCATACACACCACAGCACCCCACACTTGTCTTCAGATGATTACATTTTTAATGGTAAAACTGTGTGACTAGTAATTAACATCTATCACTCAGATTCTGAGTCTAGGTTTCTACAAGCTTCGACCTGCAGCCCCAGCTTGTTCAACCTACAGCCCCAGCACTGAGTACAGGCCATGGGACACAGTAGGTACTCCATAGATACTTGTTAAATCCATAAGTACTCACTGAATATTTCTGAATTGCCCTGCAGTGGGCCAGCACACAGAGACACAGCAGGTAAGCAGAATAGACATGGCCCCAGTTGCTGTCTTCTTGGAGGTTATTTCCATGAGAAGACAGACAAAAAAGAAAAAGAAAAAATTAATATGTAATTACAATTGTGATATGAAATTGACTACCATTCTTTTTTTTTGAGATGGAGTCTCACTCTGTCACCCAGGCTGGAGTGCAGTGGCAAGATCTCAGCTCACTGCAGCATCCACCTCCCGGGTTCAAGCAATTCTCATGCCTCAGCCTCCCGAGTGGCTGGGATTACAGGCGCATGCCACAGTGTCCAGCTAATTTTTGTATTTTTAGTAGAGATGGGGTTTCACCATGTGGTCAGGCTGGTCTCAAATTCCTGACCTCAAGTGACCTACCTGCCTCAGCCTCCCAAAGTGCTAGGATTACAGGTGTGAGCCACCACATGCCCGGCCTTGACTACCATTTTTATTTCCTCCTGGATACTACAATGAATTTTTTTAATGTTGATTTTTCACAGATCTATACTTTTCTTTCACCTATTTGATGCATTACACATCCCTCCTACTTTCTGTTCCTCATATTAATAAATCTCGGTCGGGCATGGTGGCTCATGCCTGTAATCCCAGCACTTTGGGAGGCTGAGGCAGGCCGATCACCTGAGGTCAGGAGTTCGAGACCAGTCTGGCCAACATGGGGAAATCCACTAAAATTACAAAAATAAGCCAGGCATGGTGACGCATGCCTGTAATCCCAGCTACTCAGGAGGCTGAGGCAGGAGAATCGCTTGAACCCAGGAGGCTGAGGTTGCAGTAAGCCAAGATTGTGCCACTGCACTCCAGCCTGGGCGACAGAACAAAACTCTGTCTCAAAAATAAATAAATAAATAAATAAAGTAAAGAAATCTCAACTGGTCAAACCAAAGTCAGACACGTTTGAGTTGTCGGAAGACAGACTACATTACACCCTGGCTGAAATCCACCTGCCTGCAAATGTCTGAGGAAGAGGTCTTGCAACCCAAAAATAGGCTAATGGTTCTAAATAGATATTTTCTAGGCATTAGGGCAAATAGAACCTTTTTTTTTTTTTTTTTTTTTGTGGCAGAGCTTGCTAAAAGGGCAGGCAATCATCAACAAAGGATAACACGCACAGAAATAGTTTGAAATTCTTCTATCATATATTTTTTAAAAGAAATGTGTGGATTACAAAATAACTTTCACTAACGCTACTAATGTGTTGTTACCAAAAACATTACTTTTTATACATTTTCACAATGTAGTCTTTTAGTGACTTGTTCTATTTTTTTGTTTTGTTTTGTTTTGTTTTTTTGACAGAGTCTTGCTCTGTAGCCCAGGCTGGAGTGCAGTGGTGCGATCTTGGCTCACTGCAACATCTACCTCCTGGGTTCAAGCGATTATCCTGCCTCAACCTCCCGGGTAGGTGGGATTACAGGTGCCCGCCACCACACCCAGCTAATTTTTGTATTTTTAGTTGAGAGGGGGTTTCACCATGTTAGCCAGGCTTGTCTCGAACTCCTGACCTCAAGCAATCCACCCGCCTCGACCTCCCAAAGTGCTGGGATTACAGGCGTGAGTCACCATGTCGGGCCTGTGACTTGTTCTTATTACAGTTTCAGCAAAAACTAACATTAGAAAAATAGTCCATGTTTAAAATTTGTTCAAAATTGTGTAGCCACAATCTAAGTGGTTCTTGAGTAGAATATCTGATATCTATGAGGATCTTTAAGAGGGAAAAAAAATAGTAATCAGCATATATTGAATTTTTGTTTTGTTTTGTTTGTTTTCTTGAGACAGAGTCTTGCTCTGTCACCCAGGCTGGAGTGCAGTGGTGCGATCCTGGCTTACTGCAACCTCTGCCTCCTGGGCTCAAGCAATTCTCCTGCCTCAGCCTCCCGAGTAGCTGGGATTACAGGTGTGTGCCACCACACCTGGCTAATTTTTGTATTTCTAGTAGATATGGGGTTTCACCATGTTGGTCAGGCTGGCCTCGAACTCCTGACCTCATGATCTGCCCACCTCAGCCTCCCAAAGTGCTAGGATTACAGGCGTGAGCCACCACGCCTGGCTGAAATGCTTATTATTACCAAGAACTCACTTTATGTGAGTTTTATTAAATCTTCGCAATAACTGTGTCAAGGAACCATGAGCTTTGTCTTATAGATGGCAACTGAGGCTTAAATGAGGTCACCTGATTCGAGGCAATTGTGTGATCTTTCAGAATTAGTCCACATCTGGAGTGGGTTCCTAGCCAACGATACTTGAGGACTGGCCTATCACACTGAAATGAGCACAAGCAGCAGGAAACAGAAACACCAGACTAGAAGGAATTCTTTTTGACATGCTTTTGTAATGAAGCATTTTGGTGGACATTATGTTCCGTTATGGGCTAAACTGTTTCCCCTTAAAATTCATATGCTGAAGTCCTAACTCCCAGGACCTCAGAATATGATTATATTTAGAGACAGGGTCTTCGAAGGGGGTAATTAGGTTAAAGTGAGTTTATTTGAGTGGGCCTTAATCCAAAATGACTGATGTCATTACAAGATGAGGAAATTTAGACAGACACACACAGTTACAGAGGGAAGACCACGTGAAGACACAAGGGGATGGTGGCCATGTACAAGCCTAGGACAGAGGCTTCGGGAGGAACCAACCCAGCCAACACCTTGATTTCAGACTTCTGTGTTCCAGAATTGTGAGAAAATATGATTCTGTTGTTTAAGCCACCCAGCTGGTGGCACTTTGCTATGACAGCAAACTAATACAGTTCCTAAGTCACGAGCACTTGCTCATTCCACAGAGCTCAGAGTTCAGTGACAGTCAGGAACAGCGGCATTGCTCACCCACGCCACTTTAAGACTGTCAATGACATCTGTTCAAATAAATTTATGTTCCCATCTCCCTAGGTGAGAAGAAAAATTTGTGCATTAATATGTGGAGAATAAGTAGGAGGGAAACAGGAGAGAGTTTCAGTATAGACATTTTATTCCCCTCATCCCCTATCCTCCAAAGATAAGATGTTCCTGGGGAAAATGCCCCTGAAGTAATTTTCTCAATTCTTTCTCACACACAGCAGGCACATACCTCCCTTCTAGCCAATCTGACCCAGGGCAAGAGCTTTAATCGGGGGCAGGGAGAGGAGAGGAGGAGGCATCCCTGAGGACAGATGAGGAGAGTAAGTAAGGTGGGTGCTCACAGGCAAGGGGCTGGGGGCAGAGTGACATGGAGAGGGTTGGGAGGGAGGGAAAAGCAGCAGGGGCCCAGAAAAGTGTTTCCCTTTGCTTCCTCCCGACTCTTTTTCTTAAGAGCCAAACCGTTCAAGTGACGTGACAAGAAGAAGGAAAAAAAATGTCCAAGGATTAGGAGAATGAAAAATTAAGAGAATTTCCCTGCCCTTTTTTCCTTTTTTATACTTTCTTTCTCCAGTTCACTCTACCCTCCACCTCTCCCTTCTTTCAAAATATCCTACATCACAGGTATTCTCACTGCCTATCAATCACCTATTTTGGGACCAAAGAATGGCAAGGAGGAGAAGTACATATAAAGGGGGCTGACCACAGATGACCATACCTTCACCGCCTCCTAAATGACCATACTTTGACTGTATCGTAAACTCATCAACCATTAACAAACTTACATTTGTACATTATTTGTAGGAGACAGCTTCTGGGCTGTCTGCCAAGTCCAAACCCTCCTGCTCTGCCTCCCACCTAGGGGACTGGGACTCTGGAGCACGGTCTGATCTACGTGACCCTGGCCAGGAGTCCCCTGGCCCAAGATGGGCAAATAAGTCTCTTACCTAGAAGTCTAACGTGGACTCACTACTCAATCTTTTTTAACTGCTTGTCAGTTTCCAGTTATTACAGGGAATATCAGATGTCAGCTGGCTTGAGGCTAAGGGTGTCATTTTAAAGGCAGAAATTTTAACCTACATACACACAAACAGAGAAAGCCAAAAAGAGAGAAGAATAAAAGAGACATAGAGGGAGAGGCAGTTTGTCAGAGACCAGCTGCCCCAATAAAGTAATCCTGGGTCCTGTACAACATCCATTTCTTTCTTGTTTTTGGTCCCTTGGGTTCTTCATTAAAAAGTGTGTTTTTTTGCCTAAGCTGATAGGTTTGTATTTGCAACCAAAGAGCCTTGATAAAATAGTGATTTACAATTTACTAAGCACTTGCAGGTACAATAATCTCATTCGGGACTCACAGTACCCTATGGAAATGAAGAGACCAGTTTCTTTTACCTTGTGTAACAACTTAAGACATACAGGCCCTTGAACACTGGTAGCTGCCTTCTCAGCACCCAGCCACTACCCTGAAAGGACGTCCAGGTTATCCAGGAGAGAGAGGAGGACTCAAGACAGGCATTGTGAGATGAGAGACATGGAGAGAGGGGCCAGGTGAAGGAGAACTAAGACCACCCAGGCAAACTCCTGGTGAATGTTGCTACGTGAATGACCCCAGCCAACACAACAGACAAGAGCAGAGCTGCTCTGTCAACCCATAGAATCATGAGAAAGTATACACTGTTGTTGTTTTAAGCCATTAACTTTTGGGACTGGCTTGTTACATAACAAGAGATACATGAAACAGATGTTAGGCAGCTTCTCCTATATCTCAAAGCTAAATAAATACAGCTTGTCTTCAGGTCTCCTAACTGATTGCAGTGATTTATTCACTGTGCTAAGATGTGACTGAAAATGAGAAAAATAACTCAAAAGTTTCATACGTGTCATTTAAATAATAGAAAACGAATTTTAGCTCAGAACACCCAGCTGTGAAATTATCCTGTCAGCATGTAAATGAATTAAAAATATATGTAGGTAAATGTGGACAGGTAGGAGACTGTTATTAAAATACTTGGTTACATGGTTACTCAACGACTAAGTGCTTTTCTCCTCTGTGTTGAAAGAATTTTTTTAAAAACCTACCAAATACAGAATATACAACAATGCTCATAGCAGTATTAGTTCTAATAGCAAAAAAAAAAGAAAGAAAAAAAAAGAAACAACTCAATTACCCAGTGAGAGGAAAAAGGACAAATCACAATATATTCATAAACAGTGAAAATAAGGAACTACAGTTTCATGCATGGATAAATCTCAAAAATATAAATAAAAATAAGTGAAAGAACAAAAACAACTTAATATCATTTATATAAAATCCCCAAAATACAACCCTTAGCAACATCTTTAGGAATACCTATATAATAAAAGCAAAAACGAAAACCAAGGGAATACAAAATTCAAAATAGCAGGTTCCTTTAAGGGGAAGGAAATTGGAAACATTTGGGAAAAGGCACAGAGATGGCTCCAAACACATTGGTCATATTTCATTTCTTTTTTTTTTTTTTTTTTGAGATGGAGTTTTACTCCTGTTGCCCAGGCTGGAGTGCAATGGCGCAATCTCGGCTCACTGCAACCACCATCTCCCAGGTTCAAGCGATTCTCCTGCCTCAGCCTCCCGAATAGCTGGGATTACAGGCATGCGCCACCATGCCCAGATAATTTTGGTATTTTTAGTAGAGACAGGGTTTCTCCATGTTGGTCAGGCCAGTCTCAAACTCCCGACCTCAGATGATCCACCTGCCTCGGCCTCCCAAAGTTCTGGAATTACAGGCATGAGTCACTGCGCCTGGCCCATATTTCATTTCTTAACCTAGGTGGTAGATACATGCGTGTATTTTAAAACAACCTTACCGCACATCTGCGATAAACAGCTTTTTGAATTTGTAAAATATTTCATGATAAAAACACACTTCTAAAAACAACCAAAGAATCTAGCAAAGGAAAATTAGATTTTCCAGATATACGTGCTTATTTCTAATACACAAAAATCAATCTAGCTCCCAAATGCTTAATATTATTTTTAAATAAAAAGGACACACTATAAAGATATATACTCACAATTATACAGAAATAATGGCAAAGCCTCCTATAATTCATAACTCATCAAAATTGATACCAAAGGAAAAATATTTATTTAAATGTAGTGCTTAAAATATTTCATTTAGGCCAGGCATGGTGGCTCATGCCTGTAATCCCAGGACTTTGGGAGCCCAGGGCAGGGGAACTGCTGGAGGCCAGGAGTTTGAGACCAGTCTGGGCAACGTAGCAAGAACCCATCTCTAATTTTAAAAAGCTCCCTGAAGGGTAAGGCACCAAAAAAGAAAAAATAAAATTTCATTTGGCCCCTTTCAGTTAGCCTTTTGGGACCCACCTGTATAATACCTGTTATACTTTCCCACCAACAAAATTCCCTTTAAACTGAGGACACAGGTGCCTGTCATTCCAAGTGAGGGCCTGGTGAGTGACCTGGACTTCCCATCAATCTGCCTGTCCTGGATAGGGATCCCTGACAGGACCACACTGTGTGCTAAGAGACCCATACTCGTCTCTGGCAGAGCTGACTGCATCAGGAACAGTCAGCTGACATAAAGCCAACCAGTCATGGTCTGCCACCTGCCTGCCTCTCCAGCTTTATTCCTACTACTCTCCTTTGAGATCAATGCATTTGCTATATCTTTCCCTCATGGCACCTTCCACAATTCCAAATAATCATACGTTTATTTCCATGATTACTCTTTGATACCTGTCTTTCCTCCTAAACTGTAAGCTCCATAAGAGTAGAAACAGGTCTTCGCTCATTATACACCCACTTTGAGCAGACCCAAAATTAAAACAAAGGAATCAAAGCTATAAGAGAATCTCATGTATCCTCAAAGAGGAAAACACCAAAAAATGCTACAATAAATTTGACAAGTTTAAGGAGTTTATAGAAACATACCTGAATGAAGTTGAATTTTCCCAATAACACCTTCTACCAACCCCAAACAAATGGGATTCCAGGCAAGAAGTAGATCAGTAGCTAAAATAAAATAGGAAGCAGTGATGAGAAAACATTCACCAGAAAATATATTAAAACAGTATCTTTAGCAGTGTATTGAAAAAAAATCAATGTCCCAAAAAAGCAGTATGAATATCCAAATGGAATACATTACCATAAAGCAATTTGTGACAAAGTATTAAATGTGAGGCCTGAATAAGGCTTGGGATACAATAAGGCTTCGGACAGTTAAGGGGAAAGCAGTAACATTCAGAAAACTCTTCCCAGATAGGAAGCAGTACCTTGGCGCCCTACAGTGGAGGAACAGGGCCATTACACTACAAGAGGACAAACGGAGGAGCTGCGTGTGGTCCTACAGCACAGGATCCAAAGACAGGGCCTAAGAAATTGCCACAGAGCTGTCCACTTACTGGATCACACTCTGGAAAATACATTTTCCCGAAGATGCTTATACCAAACAAAGAAATCCGGAAAGCAACTGCTCTTTTATCTGACTTCCAGGACAAATACAATAGGAACTGTTTCCGTTTGAGTGCCTTCTACGTGCCAGGCATCTCAATCAGGGTTCCTCATCTAAACCACAGAACAGTGATTTGTTTTGGGTGACAGTTTTCTCACTTCTTCCATATGAGAAATTAGATGACACAAGCTGGTTCCATTCTAGACACACAAGAGAGAAGCAAATTCATTACATGCAACGGATGCCTAAGGACAGGGTTTATTCTCTTGTGTGGCCCAGATTGCAAAAGGTTATATACGTGGTAATAAACGTAACATTTGTGGTAGTTCGACAGGTGAAGATTATCAAGAATGAAAACAATATTTGTCTTGGCAGAAAATTAAAATTACATTTTCATTATTATCATTTACAATTTATTTTAGTGAAACTTACACTCAATCTGTAACTCACAGAGTAATTATACACTTAATAGTTTAGCCTCCAAATTCATTTGAGTTTTGACTATTGCATCTTGAATGTCTTTGTTATGATACATTCAATGGAAGGCAAAAAAAGTTGACTTGTTTTTGGCTGGACGTGGTGGCTCATGCCTGTAATCCCAGCACTTTGGGAGGCTGGGGAGGGTAGATCGCCTGAGGTCAGGAGTTCGAGACCAGCTGGCCCACATGGTGAAACCTCATCTCTACAAAAATTAGCCAGGCATGGTGGCACGCGCCTGTAGTCCCAGCTACTCAGGAGGCTGAGGCAGGAGAATCACTTGAACCTAGGAGGTGAAGGTTGCAGCGAGCCAAGATCGCACCACGGCACTCCAGCCCAGGCAACAGTGCGATACTGTTTTTATTGCAAGAATTAAAGCAAAATAAGAAATTTATTTTTTAAAGGCTATTATAATACATTATCATTTCTAATCTTGACAACTCTGAGTTAAGTTTAAGGAGTCTCACTTTACAGATGAGGAAACAAATGCTGAGAAAAGTAAAACATGGTCAGGTCATACAATGGATCGGATCAAGGCTGCTACCAAAAACCAGGTCAGCCTGACGCTTAGCCCCTGCTCTAAACCTTTCTGTTACAGTGTCCCCTTCAGAAATTATACGTGGAACTAATCAGTAAGGCAGTGATTTTTAAATAACATGTACTATAAAATCAAAGAAAAAAAATCATCACCTATCCCACCACCCAGAGACAACTTCTTCAGCTACATTTCAGGGCATTTGTTTGTATACATACCAAACTGCAGCGCTAATAAATAAGCATTATTGATGGCAGCCGCAGCCTGTCTGGATGCATCCGGGGAGGCGCGGCCAGGGCTGCGCCCTCCATGGAGCCAGCAGGGCAGAAAACAAGCGGGAGCGCTGCCCCCTACCAAGTTGGCGGGGCTCCTGGCACAGCTGCAGCCAGCAGAGGCTCCAGACCTGGGCATTCCTGTACTCTCAGCTACCCGGGAAGACCCTCTTTCCCCACAGGCTCGGAAGTGCCTGCTCCCACTCCCTGGCCTCTCTCCCTGCTCCCAGCACCTGCTCTGGTGCAGAGCAAGTTGTGGCCGAGCCTGGGGACCGTCACGACCGAGTCGGGTGTGCACAGGCTTGGACACTGCTGTCACACCAGCTCCCTGCCGCCTCAGCCCCCTCTGGACTTCGGGTGCCGATAAGCGTGGGAGAGAGGCCAGCAGGGGTGAGGGCAGCTCCAAGTGGGCCTGCAGGCACCCCTCAGCCCAAACAGCCTGGGCAGTGGAGGGAGACAGACACAGGTTCCTGTCCAGAAAGGGGCAGATCACAGGTAAAACCCCACCTTCAAGCCAGGGACAACCTGAAGCCTGGGGTCTGAGCTGCAGGTTCCGGGTGGAGTCCGTGAGCTGGAGTAAGAACTCAGGGTGCTTTCTCCAGGCCGTCCGTGGCCTCCCATGGACCAATCAGCACACACTTCCTCCATTCTGAGCCCATTAAAAATCCCGGACTCAGCCAGACTCACAGATGTCCAGACCACCAGCTGCGGGAGGGAGCTGCCCCCTTCGGGTCTCCTCATTGGATGACCTGCCTGCAAAAAGGAGCTACCCACTTCAGGTCTCCTGAGAGCTCTTCTGGGGCTCAATGAAGCTGCTCTCTGCCTTGCTCCCCCTCCAGTTGTCCACATACCTTGCATACCTCATTCTTCCTGGACACGGGACCCCTGAATGGTGGGACTGAAAAAGCTGTAACACAAACAGGACCAAAACACGCCCCCTGCTCACCAGGTTGTGGGCAACAAGGAGGAAAGGGCTGCGGCCCTTCGGGAACACCAGACCTAGGGGCTCTCCGAGCCAGGGCTGTGACAGTGGGGCTCTGCAGTTCCTGGCATCTCCAAGCTTCCGGGCATCACTGCATTCCCCAGTACCTGCAGCAGAAACTGCTTGTGGTACACCTGGTCCAGCCACAGCCTTGCACAAAGCCAGTGCCTGTACCGGTGCCTGGAGCTGCCTGCCCTGCCACGGCTGGCACACCTGGCTGTGCATAGTGTCTGGACCGTGCACGCTCGCTCATACACCACTCGCCACTCCGCACCTGGCTTGCCATTGGCAGGCATGGGATCCGGGCTGGTAGTGCAAGCCCAGCACAGCTTGCCGAGCCAAGACAGTGGAAAAAGCCCAGTGGACCCGAGGAAAACTCAGGCAAAATCGCCACTGGCCACAGAAGTGTCCAGGTGGAAAAGCAACACCCTAAGGATCCCATGACATTATAGTTTTTTAAGTAATTTTTTCTAACATTTCTAACATAGTTTTTCTAAAATTTCATGAGTATTTTCTTCTTTAAAATATTCTTCAAGATTATAACTTCATGGTGACACAATTTTCCACTTAAGGAAGTACTTCCTCAAAGAAAACATTTAAGTGATTTGAAGTTTTTCCCCCATCATAAAAAACACTGTGATAAATGATGAATATTATGCAAATATTTGCCTCTCTAATTAATAGCTTTTGGATAGATTCCTGGGAATTAAATTAATAGGTTAAAACCTTAAAAATGTAAACTTCTCAAATAATACCAAATTGTTTGCTACAAAGGTTACATACCAAGTTAGATTTCTGCCAGAAGCATATGAATTTCTTTTTTGAATTAAAAAAAATTTTTTTTTAAAGCAAGGCCAGGCACAGTGGCTCATGCCTGTAACCCCAACACTTTGGGAGGCCAAGCTGGGTGGATTGCTTGAGGCCAGGAGTTCAGCCTGGCCAACATGGTAAAACCCCATCTCTACTAAAAATACACAAAAAATTAGCTGGGCGTGGTGGTGCGTGCCTGTAATCCCAGCTTCTTGGGAGGCTGAGGCATGAGAATTGCTTGAACCAGGAGTGGAGGCTGCAGTGAACTGAGATCATACCACTGCACTCCAGCCTGGGGGACAGAGCAAGATTCTGTCTCAAAAAAAAAAAATTAATAATTTTGAGTTAAAAATTTAGAATTTATCTAATTTTGCTAATTTGATGGCATCTGGCATCTATTGCCTAACATGATGTTTATTTCCTTTCTATTGCTGATAAGATTAAACACTTAATTATAAAATTGGCTGCTTATGGCCGGGCATGGTGGCTCATGCCTATAATCCCAGCACTTCGGAAGGCCGAGGCAGGAGGATCACTTGAGGTCAGGAGTTCGAGACCAGCCTGGCCAACATGGAGAAACCCCATCTCTACTAAAAATACAAAAATTAGCTGAACGTGTTGGCACACGCCTATAATCCCAGCTACTTGGGAGGCTGAGGCACAAGAATCGCTTGAATCCGGGAAGTAGAGGTTGCCGTGAGCTGAGATTACATCACTGCACTCAACTGCAGCCTGGGCGACAGAGCAAGACTCTGTCTCAAAAAAAAAAAAAAAAAATTTGGCTGCTTATATGTCATGTCATCTTCTATGATTTTCTTGTTCATGCCTCCTAATTTTTCTTTATATCTTTCATTGACTTACAAGTTCCTTTCACATTAAGGACTTCAACTCTTTGACATGTTTGCAAATATTTTCAGTTTTTAATTTTTATATCTTTTGGCTTACAAAGCTGTTCCTTAGTATCAGTTACCGTATTTACTGATTTCATCTCTGTTAGTTGTTAACTACTTAACCCTAATGCCAGTGGAATAAAGATACCCTGATTTCTTTCCAAATAGTGAGCCAGAATCCCTGTATCAGGCAGACCATGTCTCAACATCTGCCAACACAGATGCCCCTGCTAAGGAAAGAGCTCCAGCTACCCAGAACCCTACCACCTTGACCTTAGATGAACAGACCACAGTTGTAGGACTCTAACCCTTGGGTACCAAATAAGCTTTAGGAATACAGAAAAGGAAGGAAAAAACAGAGTTAAAGCAGTCACGGAGAGTCATGTAGAAGAAGTGGCGCATCAGGCATAAGGACAGCAGCAAGAAAAATAATACAGCAGACAAAAAAGTACAAGATTTGTTCTGGTATGTGTCCCATCATTGGAGAAACACATATCAAGTACTTGCCAGGAACCAGACACTGTATCACGTTAAGATGATACAAAAATAATGAAGCAAACAGTGTAAATAACAGAAGACCAGTAGGTACACTGGAGATATGAATTGATAATGCTAGAAAAGTAAACTAAGGCCAACTGTGGAAAAACTTGAATAAACAGTAATGAGCCTGGTCGGGCACGGTGGCTCACACATGTAATCCCAGCACTTTGGGAGGCCAAGGCGGGCGGATCACAGGTCAGGAGTTCAAGACCAGGCTGACCAACATGGTGAAACCCCATCTCTACTAAAAATACAAAAACTAGCCGGGCATGGTAGCGCATACCTGTAATCCCAGCTACTCAGGAGGCTAAGGCAGGAGAATCGCTTGAACCCAGGAGGTGGAGGTTGCAGTGAGCCGAGATCACGACACTGCACTCCAGCCTGGCTAACAGAGTGAGGCTTCATCTCAAAAAAAAAAAAAAAAAAAAAAAGGAATGAGCCTGAGCTTCCTGGAGACCATGGCAAGCAGATAATAACATAAGTAAAATAAGATTACGGCCAGGGATTACATCA